>NC_000008.11:68427265-69052265 GCF_000001405.40 Homo sapiens | reverse complement strand
ATTACATTATTATTAAGTGAAGTTGGTAGTTTATATTAAGGTTTACTTTTTTTGTGTGGTACTCTTCTATAGGTTTTGACTAATGCATGCCTTATATCCACCACACAGCACAGTTTCATCATCCTAAAAATCTCATATGTTCCATCTATTTATCCCTCCTGTCCTCCCTGATACCCCACCTCAACTTCTGGAAACCACAGATCTTTTTAAGGTCTCCATAGTTTTGCTTTTTTCAAGATTGTCATGCAGTTGGAATTATATAATATGTAGCCTTTTCATTTCACATTGGCTTTTTAAACTTGGCAATATGTACATAATATTCCTTCATGTCTTTTCATGGCTTTGTAATTCATTACTTATTATATAATTTTTATTATATAGTTCATTAATATTATCTACAATTATATTCAATTTTATGGATGTACTAGAGTTTATTCATCTACTAAAAAATATTTTGGTTAGCTTTCAGATTCTGGTGATTAAGAATAAAACTGATGTAAACATTCATACGCAAGTTTTTATGTGGACATAAGTTTTCAACTCATCAGGATAATTATCTAAGTAGGCAATTGCTGGGTTGTGTGGTAAGACTATGTTTAGTTTCATATGAAACCACCAAATGATCTCCTAAATTAGCTGTACAATTTTGCATTACTGCTAGCAATGAAGGAGAGTTCCTATTGTTCCACATCCTTAACAGCATTTAGTATTGTCAGTTTTTGGATTTTTATTCATTCTAATGCTTGCATAATGGTATTTCATTGTTGTTTTAATTTGCAATTCTCTAATGACTTATAATGTTTTGGGTTTATTTTTTAGTCACTTACTAGGTTTTTGAGGTGAAAGCTCACATTATTGTTTTGAGCCTTTTCAAACTCTTTTCTAATGTATGCACTTAGTGCTATAATTTTTCCTCTCAGCATGGCTTTCACTGTGTTCTACACATTTTGACATGTTTTAACTTTCATTCAATTTGATGTATTTTTTTCTTTCTCTTGATAATTCCTTTTTGACTCATGGATTATTTAGTAATAGGTTGTCTTGTTGCCAAGTGTGAAGAGATATTTTTGGTTTTATTTCTATTAGTGATTTCTAATTTGATACCATTATGTTTGGAAGACATTCTCTGCATGATCTCAAATCTTTTCTATTTGTTGAGGTCTGTCTTATGGCCCAGAATATGGCTGATTTTGGTACTTGTTCCATGGACATTTGAAAATAATGTGTATTCTGCTGATGTTGAGTGGAATTTTTATAAATGTTATTTAGATTCTGTTGGTTGATGGTATTGTTGGGTTCTTATCTCCATGTTGATTTTATGTCTAGTTTTTCTATCGATTGTTGAGAGAAGTATGAAGTCTTTATCCATCATTGTGGATATGTCTGTGTCTCTTTTTCTTTATTTCAGTTTTTGCTTCACATGTTTTCAATTACATTACTTGGTGCATGCTCCATCTACCATTGCAATGTCTTTGTGGTGGACTGACACTTTTGTCATTATACACTATTCCTCTCTCTCTCTGGTAATTTCTTTGCTACAAAATCTACTTTACTGGAATTAATTTAGTCATTTCTATTTTTGTCTGATTCATGACTGAATTTTATATTTTTCTACTACTCTTTTAATTTCAGCCTGCCTGTATCATTATATTTGAAGAGTTTTTAATATTCTGTAATTGTCATGATTTTAAAATCCATTTGCCACTCTTTTTTAATTAGTGATTTTAGAACATCTGCATTTAATTAGTTATCGATGTGCTAGTATTTAGATCTGCATTTTATTTTAGGCTTTATTTCTGCTCCCTACTTTTCCTTTCAATATCTTCTTTTTTCCTATCCTGCTGTGGGTTAATTGAACATTTTTTATAATTTTTTTTTTTTTTTTTTTGGAGATACAATCTTGCTCTGTCACCCAGGTTAGAGTGCAGTGGTGCGATCTCGGCTCATTGCAACCTCTGCCTCAGGGATTCAAGCAATAATGCCTCAGTCTCCCGAGTAGCTGGGATTACAGGCATGTGCCACCATGCTCAGCTAATTTTTCTATTTTTAGTAGAGACAGAGTTTCACCATGCTGCCCAGGCTGGTCACTATAATTTCATTTGGATTTACCTATAGTGTTTTGAATGTATCTTTCATATAACTTGTTTCACTATAGGTATTACATTATACAAACATATCTCAGAGATATTGCAGGTTGAGTTCCAGACCACCACAATAAAGCAAATATGGCAATAAAGTGAGTTACACAAATTTCTGATTTCCCAGCACATGTAAAAGTTATATTTATACCATACTATGAAGTGTGCAATAGCATATTTCTAAAAACATGTACATACCTCAGTTACAAAACACTTTATTGCTAAAAAGTGCTGATACAAAGACACTAAGTGAGCACATGCTGTTAAGAAAACAGCACCCATAGATGTGCGTAATGCAGAGTTGCCACAAACCTCCAATTTGTAAAAAACATCATATCTGCAAAGCACCATAAAGCGAAGTGCGGTAAAATGGGTACGCCTGAATATACAATTTTCTATACATAAACTTATTACAAGGTGCTGATGTCATTTTTTTTCAGTTGAAGTGAAATATATAATCCTTACCTCTTTTCTATGCCCCTTTACTGTCCCATGTTTATATAATAATAGTTCTAAATATTATCTCTACATAAATTTAGAATAAAATCAGTGTTATAATTTTGACTTAACGATCAAACATAATTTAGAAAACCCCAAAGGAGAAGGAAATCCCATTTTATTTACCTTATTTTTTTCTGTTTTCTTCCTTTCCTGGTGTCTTTCTTTTGTTTTCCTTCTGTTTAGAGAACTTTCTTTAGGTATACTTTTTGGATAGGATAGTAAATTATCTTACTTTTTCTTCAGCTTAAGAATATTATGATTTCCCTTTCACTTTGGTTATAGGATTGAATATTCAGGGTATAGGATTGTTGATATGGTTTGTTTCTGTCTCCCACCCAAATCTCATGTTGAATTGTAATCCGCAGTGTTGGAGGAGGGCCCTGGTGGGAGGTGATTGAATCATGGGGGTGGTTTCCAATGGTTTCGCACCATCCCCCAGTGCTGTCTTGTGATAGAGTTCTAACAAGATCTGGTTGTTTAAAAGTGTGTGGCACGTTCCCCTTCACTCTTTTTCTCTCCTGTTCTGCCATATGAAGATGTGTCTGCTTCCCCTTCGCCTTCTGCTTTGATCCTAAGTTTACTGAGGCCTCCTGAGTCACACCTCCTGTACAGCCTGCAGAACTATGAGCCAATTAAAGCTCTTTTCTTCATAAATTACCCAGTCTCAGGTAGTTCTTTATAGCAATGTGAGAATGGACTAATGCAATTGTGAAACTAGGATTTCATCCTGGGTAGAGGATTGTCAGCCTAGGTTGAGAGCTCTTTTCTTTTGACACCTGAAAAATATCGTGCCACTTCCATCTCTCCTCTGTGGTTTCTGATGAGAAATCTGTCATTTTAATTGCTTTTCTCGTATTGGTCAAGTGTCTTTTCTCTGATTGCTTTCAAAATTTTTTCTTTGTTTCTAGTTCTCAGATGTTTAATTACAAGGGAACTTGGTGTGAATATCTTTGTGATTACCCTGTTTAGGGTTCATTCATATTTATTCATATTCTGTAGGTTTATGTCTCTAATGAAATTGGTAGATTTTAGATGCTATTTTTTGGTGTACATTTTTATTTTTTATATATTTATGTATTTATTCAACTTTTATTTTAGATTCAGGGTGTATATGTGCAGGTTTGTTACATGGGCAGTGTAGTACTGGGGTTTGGTGTACAAATGATTCCATCATCCAGGCAGTGAGCAAGATACCCAATCGGTAGTTTTATGACCCTCACTCTCCTCCCAGTCTCCCCCTCCAAGTAGTCCTCAGTGTCTATTGTTCTCATCTTTGTGACCATGTGTACTTGGAGCACATTTTTAGACCCACTCTATTTCTCTTCTTCCAGGTCTTTGCTAGATATTTTGTTATAGTCCACAGATCTTGGAGGCTCTGTTCATTTTCTTTTCCTTTATCCTCTCTGTTGTTTAGATTATGTGATTTTTCTTCTTCTATCTTAAAGCTACCTGTTTTCTTCTTCTGTCTCTTCTATTCTGCTGTTGATATCATCCATTAAGCTTTCACTTAAGTTATTACATTTTTCTGTTCTAAAATGTCCAGTGGTTCTTCTTTGTGTCTTATATATCTGTGCTGAAACTCTGTTTTTTAAATTTGTTTCAAGCATGTTTTGATTGTTGAAGTATTTTTACCACAGTTGCTCTACAATCTCTGTCAGATTATTTTAATAGCTCTGCCTTCTCACTATTGGCATATAATGAATTTACTTTTTATCCTTTTTGAAATTTTCCTTGTTATTTGTATGACAAGCAATTTTTGATTGAAACCTGGTCACATTCATATTACGTTAAGAGTCTTTGGATCTTATTCAAACTTTATCCTCCAGCTGCTTTTTTAGGCACTGCTTTGAAAGGGGGAAAAGTGGCTCAACACAGCTTTCTACTGGAAGGTAGAATTCACTTCCAGATCCTTCACTTCTCCTCCACTGACACCTGACTCTGCTGAGAGAAGCAGGTCTTAATAACTACTGGGCATAGATATTTGTGCTGCCTCTCCATGTGATCTCTATTGACACCATAGTGGTGGTGGCCTTGTTACTAATTAGTGGTAGTGAATGTCCTCACTTCCCACTGGGATCCTCTGATGCCATTCCATCAGGGAAAGAAGGGCTGCCTCGTCACTGCCAGGTAGCATGAAAGTCCAAGTTCCCCATATGGTCTCCATTTACACTGCAGTAGACTCTTGTTACTGGCTAACAGAAATGAAAGTTTTGGCTCCCTTTTCCATGTCCTCTGACACCACTCCTGTAGGGGTATTGCGGGCACCTATTTACAGCTTTGTGAGGGTGGCAGTTTAGACTCCCCACTTGGGCTTTGTTAGCATGAGTGAAAATGAGGCCACAAGTTTTTTTTGTTTGTTTGTTTAGTTTTGTTTTCTGGATGTGGTTGGAGTAGAGCAGTTACAGCCTGAAAGTTTTCTGCCTTGATAGTCTGCCCCTTTTCTGCTCCTTTGCTAGAGATGGCAATCTTTCATTGCAGCTTTTTCTCCATCCAATGTTGTTTCTGGATTGCTGATTTTTCATCTCCAAGTCTGAGATATATGATGGAAAAGAAAACCCAGGAAACCCACCACCATGTTGTTCTTTGAGACCAAGGTCCCTGGCTTGTCTACCTTTTCTCCATACTGCAAAGTCTTCTCTTTTTTTTCTTTTATTTTAGGTGGGGGAGGTTAAAATATATACAGTGTCCAGAAATTTAGTTGAACTTAGCTGTTGGAGGAGGGAAAGTTCTTCTGTATCTTTCCTGATGCTACTTGGTCTAATCAGAAATGTTGCAGAATTAAGGGAAGTTTTATTTTGTTTTGTTTTGTTTTTTGACAGAGTCTCGCTCTGTCCCCAGGCTGGAGTGCAGTGGCGTGATCTTGGCTCACTGCAAACTCCACCTCCTGGGTTCAAGTGATTCTTCTGCCTCAGTCTCCCGAGTAGCTGGGACGACAGGCGTGTGCACCACCACACCTAGCTAAGTCATCGAGACCTGGTATTACAATTTTTATTATTTGATTACCACTTTGAGATTTTTTTTCTTCTGAGATGGTACTTAGTTTGAAGGAACTTTTATACATTAAGGTTATTAGCTCTTTTGCCTTATGCAAGCAAATATTTTCTGAAAATTTTTATTTGATATTAGTTTTATATAAGGCATTTTTTGAGTCACATAAATTTTAGAACTCTCTACGGGAAAATCTCTATAATAGTCATCCTTTATGAATTATTCCATTGTTTTGAACTAATATATTTTATGACCATTTTGTAATTCAATAAATTTTTATGGATATTTTTTCTATTTTTTTCTTTTTTGACTTATTGGTTTGATTAACTTTTACATTTAATATTTTAATCCATGTAGAATATATTTGGTTGTATAATGGAGATAAAGCTATATTTGATTTTCTTCACATAGTTAACAAACTGTGCCATTATCATTATTATTAAATAATCTTGCCTTTCTTTAGAGTCAAAAATTAGCTCCATGTACTTGGTTTCCTTGATCTGATGCTGTTTTTCTGACAGACTTTTCTGCTTTGAGATTTCTGATAAGGTCACTGCTCCATTTAACTAGAAGCCTTGATCTCTTATCTTCAAGACTTGTTTTGTCAACAAAGAAGATCCTATCTCCAACAGTTCATTTATTTCTAATGCACACAAATCTTGCTTCCTCCATGGGGCAGCTGACCTCCTGGGGATAAAAAAGGAAAGACAACTATTTATTTTTCTTCCTTTAAGAACGGCATTAACCATTATTCTGGAGATGTATATTGTGCCTATGGTGGAGAATACAGAAGATAAAATGGTGGGAGGAATATGAGTTTTGAAACAGAAGGGATTAAGAAGAGTCCTTTCTAATTCATCAAGATATGAATTCTGAAACCTTATTTCATTTTATTTGTCTCTTAACTAAATTTGATATTAAATACAGTAACTATAAACTTTCAATTATTTCACTGAAGAGTAATCGTCTTTGGAATAAAACAATTCTGATATTGAAGCTAACAGGTATTTGCCATGTGGAAGTTGCATGTCCAAAGGGATATATTAGAATAATAATGCTTACTTCATAGTTTTGTTATGAGGAATAAATTTTTAAAATGACCATTTAGGTGAATATATCAATCATGGAACCTTGCCACATACTGAGTGATTAATAGTTATTGAATTGCCTTTTGATGTCTTTTCTGAAAAATTAAAATGTGGATTATGTAATAATGTTTTAAATCCATATCATTTGTTGAGTAATTACTATATGCCAGATAGATTGCAATTTTTTTTCAATATTTTTATGACATCTCTGTGCATGAACTAGGCACTATTTTAAATACCATTTTGCAGAAAAGCAAATTAGGGCAGCAAGAGGTGAACTCTCTAACGTAGAGTTATATAACTTGTACATAGGAGGACTCGCATGCGAATCCAAGGTCTGACAGATGCCAACTCCAGATCTCTCATTCTTAAACTCCATGTTACTTGGTCTAATCAGAAATGTTGCAGAATTAAGGGCAGTTTTGTTTTGTTTTGTTTTGTTTTGTTTTGTTTTGTTTTGTTTTTTGACAGAGTCTCGCTCTGTCCGCAGGCTGGAGTGCAGTGGCATGATCTTGGCTCACTGCAACCTCCACCTCCTGGGTTCAAGTGATGTGATTCTCCTGCCTTAGCCTCCCCAGCAGTTGGGACGACAGGCGCGTGCACCACCACGCCTAGCTAATTTTTGTATTTTTAGTAGAGATGGGGTTTTACTATGTTGGCCAGGATGGTCTCGATCTCTTGACCTCGTGATCCACCTGCCTTGGCCTCCCAAAGGGCTGGGATTACGGGCATGAGCCAAGGGCAGTTTTAACAAACTAAACCAGAGCTTCCTCTGCTGATTTAATTTCACTTTTGCAAATATATGTAAAGCATTAAGTGTCAACTGCTAACATTTGTCTTTGCCTGTGTATTTCTGGTGTGCTAATGTACCCATAAGTCATCTATTTAGCTAAAGAAAACTGAGGAGAATTCTTGGGAAAAGGTCAATAGACTGAAAAAAAAAAAGACAGTCAAGGATGTATAGACTGAAAATCAGAAGAGCGGCTATTTTGGAAAGGAATAGGGACTATGCTATTCAAGGATACTGGTTTAACATTTCATGGCTTGCATCTGAAAATGAAGAAAAAGGGATTTGTACCCTCAAATGAGAATACCTGGAGTCAACATGCTATCATAAAACAATGGTAGGTAGGCATTGCTTGTCACACTAGCACTGAAGGCAGTGTGCTTTGTACCCTGTATAGCATGGGGAGTCTCCTGGCAGAGGCAGCAGTGACAAGTGGAAGTGATAAGCATGTTTGCAAAGTACTATGATCAGAGGATGTAAAGCAGAATGGGAAGACATACCTGGGTGCCGTAGGAGAGCTGATGGAATCTATTTGTGAGCACACATTAAACATCCTGTGAAATGGGCTGGGTTCTCCCTTAAGAGGTGGCAAGTGGCAGAAAAATATGATACATGTGTTAGTTTGGTCAAATTTGAAACTTTTCTTTACAGCAGATAATAGCTGATGATGTTGCCTTTGAGGACCAGCGTTCAGGATAATCATTTGTTTTTTTTTAGAGTAAAACTAGGTCCAGCCAGTAACTCTATTTCAACTGAAGTAGTGTTTTTAATTGAGTGTGTGATTTGGGGTACTTCAAAGCTCTTAGAGCCATCTAAATTACTATTAATCTATCTCACATGAATTTATTCTATAAAATTAATTACACATGCAAACACGCATATATTCGGCTAGAATTTTCACTGAGATATAGCTTTGAAAATGATCAGAATGTTTGACTTCTGTAGCTCCTCATGCTGGACTAGGCAATTTGCAAGAAAGGGATTAATTCACTGATTAGCTTGCTGCTTAGATGTGGAAACAGGCTATTTTATTCCTACGAATTTTTTCCAGAAACTATTTTTTTTCCCTAAAACCATTAAATCCTTTCTCTTTGCTTAGTTGTAAGTTTAGGAAGCAGGTCAGTTCTTGTTTTCAGAAGAGCTAAAGAAAAGAAAAGGAAACTGTCTTTAACTTAACATTACAAGTGCTTAATGGTTTAATGCGATCTTACTTTACAAGCTCATTTTTAAATAGTTTACTACAGGAGGATGTGGGAAGACATAATCTTAATTCAAGAACAAAGATTTAAACAATAAACTATGGTAAAAACAAAATGTAAAATCTTTTTTTTTTCATAACTAGAAAGCATTTTGGGCAGGCAGAATAAGTTGTGAGTTTGCACGGGCTGTGGGACTAGTTGCCTTGGTTCCAATTCAGGCTTCACTCCTCATTATCTGTGAGAGTTTTAGACAAGTTATTTAATCTTTTTGCATCTCATCAATAAAATGGGATATCAATTTTGTGGAAAAAATAAGACTAAATGAGACTCTAAGGAGTACCTTTGTGGAGCTGTGCTGCCTGACACATAGCAAGTGCTCAGTAAGTATTAACTATTACTATGCAGTTCAAGCTCTTCCTTCTGCAGACTGAGAGGCTGATCCAGAGGAATAACCCAATTTGGAAGAGCTGGGACGACAGTTTTCATTTTGCTATTTTTAGTTTACCTAAGAGGGCAGCTGAAGACTATCAGAGCAAATACTTCCCACTCAGGAAAATGAATTCTGTGTTACCAAAAAGGAAGAATTATTTAATCTAAAAATTAACGTGAAATATGTCTGATTTTTAGGCATCCGGAAATCTAGAATAGACAAATGTTTGAGAATGAGATTTTTTTTTGCACATGCATCTTTCTGCTTGACAATTTTAAGAAATCAAATGTGAAAATCCACTGTACTTTGATCATATAGATTACACATAAGAACATAAACTACATATTCAAAAAGGAGAAACATTTATAACTCCTGAAAATGCTTGATGTACTATTATATCTGTCAACATAGTATCCAGTTCTAGATAAACAATTCCACCCAGATTTTCTGGGTAATACTATTTAATCTAATTGTAATCTTTGCACCAAAAGCAACATATTGTCAAATACGGTTTGGAGTTTAAACTGAGATAAAGTTCTTTCAATGATCAGGGGAACATAAACTGTTAAAACTACTTTTTTTTTAATTTGGAAAATAAAATCAGAGATAGCTCTTCATGCTCAGCAAGCATGTGTTGGTCATTCTTTCTATACACATTATATTCCTTAAAAAAACAGAACACGCTGCATGAATAGACCTTTCCACAGGGCCTCAATTTTAATTTTCCTGAGTTGGGAGAAGCAACATCCATCAAGTTCCCTGAACTGTTGGGAATAATGCTGTTTTTGTCACACACAGGATCCATTTTGGCCCAAATATACCCACTGACTTTAGACTATAGGCTTGCAGATCTTTCAGCACAATGCTGTATTACAAATTGTCCCTTTAGCAAGATGACTTCATTTTAGCAGCCTGTTCTGGTTTCTGTATTCTTCCAGGTTTCACAGTTCAGTGCAGTCATACAAGGTGATGGCATTTTTAAGGCTCTATATTTATTGGTCTACAAATGAAGGTAGGTGGCCAGGTGCTATTTCAGGGGTTCATCTGGCAACCTGGTGTTAAATTTGAGTACCTTTAGACTAAGGGAGTTGTGATTTTAATACTGGAAACATAAATATTGCCATTTATGGAAATGGCTGCTGTAACAGGAAGTGATCTCATAAATCATTAGATGAAATAAGATTATAAGAAGGTCTAAATTTAATCTGAAAGATCGTTAAAACCTGGGACATATTATTTCTAAAAAATTGGTTTATTAGAATCCATGCAACCCCTATTTGCAGTTTAAACCTTTTATTTATTGGATGCTAACTAAACCTTATACTTTAATTATTTCCAACATTACTCGGACATTATCTAATGTCCTATGAAGACAAAATCACATCTGAAACACATACATAAACAGTGTACGGCCTATAAACAGTCATAACTGTTCTTTAAGTTTTATCTTTTGTCCAGGAAAAAATTTTGCCCCCAAATGGACCATGTCTATGTATGAAAAGAGAGAGTCACTTGAAAGATTATGGTCATTAGAGATAGGCTGAAGAAGGATCACCTGGAGTCACAGGACTTGAAAGCAATTCCCAGCACAATGAGTAAGAGCTGTATGAACAAGAGAAAACTGTTAAGCTTTTCTTATCTTTCATTTCACCCTCTGTAAAATAGCAGCAACAGTAGCATCTGCTCATAAGCTATTTATCTGCTCTTCTTCCATCCCAAATACTCTTCTAAGTCCTTTGTGAATGTCCTTTATGTTATGCAAAAATTATATAAAAATAGATATATTAAATGTGCAGCCTGGGCATGGTGGCTCATGCCTGTAATCCCAGCACTGTGGGAGGCCGAGGTGGGTGAATCACTGGGAGTTCGAGACCAGCCTGGCCAACATGGTGAAACCCTGTCTCTACCAAAAATACAAAATTAGCCAGGTGTGGTGGCACATGCTTGTAGTCCCAACTACTCGGAGACTGAGACAGGAGAATCACTTGAATCTGGGAGGCAGAGGCTGCAGTGAGCCGAGATCTTGCCACTGCACTCCAGCCTGGGTGAGACAGAGTGAGACTCGTCTCAAAATAAATAAATAAATAAATAAATAAATAAATAAACAAACAAACAAACAAATAAATGTCCAATAAATACATATATTTCAGTATATAATTTGAAATGTATATGACCAACTGTAACCAAAAACCGAATGTCTATACAAAAGAGACTGTTTATACAAAACTTGCTATTTTGTATATTGTTCTCTGCTTCATCTCAGTGATTTTAGAGTTTTTATGTTAAAGTTAATAATTAAACTCTCTCATCTGTTACTTTTATAATCTTCTGCTTTGTTATTTGAAGGAGTGAAACACATTCTGTGTGGGGATGTATTTTCAAATGCAGAGTTGGACCTACAATTAAGAATTAATAAACTATCAACGGTTCAAAAATAACATTATTACTAATGTGATAACAAAATTACTTGTGGTTTTCTAACAAGTGATATAAATGAAAGAGTAAGAGTGAAACTTTGGTAATCACACAACTTTACTTTGATTATTAAAAAATGTCACACAGGCCAAGAGTGGTGGCTCACACTTGTAATCCCAGCATGCTGGGAGGCCAAAGCAGGACAATTGCTTGAGCCCAGGAGTTCAAGACCAGCCTGGGCAACACAGCAAGACCCTGTCTCATAACAAAAAAAAAAAAAAAAAAAAAAAAAGAGGCACAGAATTAGCATCTAAGTCAACATTTTGCAATAGAAAATTAAGGGCATTAGGTTCTATGGAGAAGAGAACTGGGGAATCTAAATATTCATAAAACATTGACATTCACTTAAGGTAGGGTTAATTCAGAAGCTATTTATTTGCACCATAAATTTTGATATTCTCTGGAGTTCTGATCTCTCTTCTTCTTTGAAACCTTCTTATAGGCAGAGAGAACCTGGTTTCTTGGTTTTATCAATAATCTATAAATGTATAATCCCAAATGTACGACTCTAGTCCAATCAATCTCTCTCCTGTACTTTCTATCCAACACTCTATTTTAGCAGGTCCACTCATTTTAAGAGAAAACATTTTTTGATTTAATAACTACCATTAAGCATCAGAAATCTTACCATTTAAATATTTCCTGTTTCCTCAAAAAAGGAAGCTGCCAACATATAGTATCGTTTGTGGGTTTTATTTGTCTGTATAATATCTATAAGCAAGCAGTAACTGCCTATGTTAGTAAATTTAACATATCTTTCATTCAGCTCACATGAACTCTTTGAACCAAGGGTGGAGATTTTGCTGTAAATATTTGTTGCATGAATAATTCCATGAACAAATGCTTAATGTGAAATGGTAGAGCTACAGAGAGGAATAGATAGTAGAGTTTAAAAGATAGCAAAATTATAGTGTTATGCAGAATAGTTTTGATTTTGACCCTGGGTTTGAATCCCGCACTGTCCTCTACTCTGGCCCTCTCTTTTCTGTCTACTCCCTGGAAATAATAAAGATAATTTGAGGACTGTGAAGCCCTAGAAGATGACAGAGCCACTGTACAGCAAGAGCCTGGTCCCCTAAGTGAAATGGTCTCCCTGCTGATCTGCATCGGACTGTGAGGTTAATGAGAAGGAAACACGCATAATGTTGAATCACTGAGACACTGTGATGAGCTAGGTATTTCTGCTAGCCTATCCTGGCTAATACACCTACCTCAAAGGGTTGAGGTTAAGATTAAATAAAGGTAATATTGAATGCACCAGCCTAGAAGTGCATATACTATAAATACTATAGTTTCATCTTTATTTATTTATTATTTTTGAGATGGAGTTTTGCTCTTGTTGCCCAGGCTGGAGTGCAGTGGCGGGATCTCGGCTCATTGCAGCCTCTGCCTTCTGGGTTCAAGCAATTCTCCTGCCTCAGCCTCCCAAGTAGCTGGGATTACAGGCACCAGCCACCATGCCTGGCTAATTTTTTGTATTTTTGGTAGAGATGGGGTTTCACTATGTTGGCCAGGCTGGTCTGGAACCTCCTGACCTCAGGTGATCTGCCCGCCTTGGCTTCCCAAAGTTCTGGGATTACAGGCATGAGCCACCATGCCTGGCCCAAATACTCTATTTTTAAAACTCCCTTTTACCTTTGTGTGTCTTAATGAAAACACCTCTCAAGTAGAAGCATATTGTAAAACTTTTATTTTTAATATTAAATAGCACTATTTACTTTATGTAAACAATGTGTCCAGACACTGTGCCAAGCATGAATGAATGTGTTTACTGCACTAACACTATGAAATGATAACTGGGCTGGACTCAGTGGCTCACTACTGTAATCCCAGCACTTTGGGAGTCTGAGGCTGGTGCATCATTTGAAGCCAGAGTTCGAGACCAGCCCGGCCAACATGACAAAACTCCATCGCTACTGAAAAAATACAAATATTAGCCAGGTGTGGTGGCAAATGCCCATAATCCCAGCTACTCTGGAAGCTGAGGCACTAAAATTGCTTGAACCCAGGAGAGAGAGGTTGCAGTGAGCTGAGATTGCACCATGGCACTTGAGCCTGGGTGACAGAGCAAGACTCTGTCAAAAAAAAAAAAAAAAAGATAAAAGATAATTATATTGTCTCCTTATTGATGAAGAAACTGGAGTATATAAGATAAGTAATAATGGGGCAATAGTCATTAAATTAAAGGCCATTGCAGACAAATCAAGAGTGGCTATAGCTTACTAGAAAAGTATAAATTTCCCCAATCAACTAAAGAAATACTTTGTGGAAAGTATTCAACTAAATTCAGTCTTTAGACCTAAAAGTTATAAAAAATCAGCTTCTCAGATACAATTATAATAAAAAAAGAAGATCATTTCACTAACAAACTTTTGGTAAAATTACAAAGTATCATGCCAACAAATGCAAATACATAAAATAGAAATGTATAAAGTTAAATTCTGTATGTTAAGTAATTAGATTATATTCAGACTCCTGGGAGAGTTTTTTTAGTAGAAAGTCCATTTTGATCAGGCAGGAGAAAGAAATAAAGGGTATTCAATTAGGAAAAGAGGAAGTCAAATTGTCCCTGTTTGCAGATGACATGATTGTATATTTAGAAAACCCCATTATCTCAGCCCAAAATCTCCTTAAGCTGATAAGCAACTTCAGCAAAGTCTCAGGATACAAAATCAATGTGCAAAAATCACAAGCATTCTTATACACCAATGACAGACAAACAGAGAGACAAATCATGAGTGAACTCCCATCCACAATTGCTTCAAAGAGAATAAAATACCTAGGAATCCAACTTACAAGGGATGTGAAGGACCTCTTCAAGGAGAACTACAAACCACTGCTCAATGAAATAAGAGGATACAAACAAATGGGAGAACATTCCATGCTCATGGATAGGAAGAATCAATATCGTGAAAATGGCCATACTGCCCAAGGTAATTCATAGATTCAATGCCATCCCCATCAAGCTACAAATGACTTTCTTCACAGAATTGGAAAAAACTACTTGAAACTTCATATGGAACCAAAAAAGAGCCTGCATTGCCAATACAATCTTAAGCCAAAAGAACAAAGCTGGAGGCATCACGCTACCTGACTTCAAAGTATACTACAAGACTACAGTAACCAAAACAGCATGGTAGTGGTACCAAAACAGAGACAGAGACCAATGAAACAGAACAGAGCCCTCAGAAATAATACCACACATCTACAACCATCTGATCTTTGACAAACCTGAGAAAAACAAGACATGGGGAAAGGATTCCCTATTTAATAAATGGTGCTGGGAAAACTGGCTAGCCATATGTAGAAAGCTGAAACTGGATCCCTTCCTTACACCTTATACAAAAATTAATTAAAGATGGATTAAAGACTTAAATGTTAGACCTAAAACCATAAAAACCCTAGAAGAAAACCTAGGCAATACCATTCAGGACATAGGCATGGGCAAGGACTTCATGTCTAAAACACCAAAAGCAATGGCACCAAAAGCCAAAATTGATAAATGGGATCTAATTAAACTAAAGAGCTTCTGCACAGCAAAAGAAACCACCATCAGAGTGAACAGGCAACCTACAGAATGGGAGAAAATTTTTGCAATCTACTCATCTGACAAAGGGCTAATATCCAGAATCTACAATGAACTCAAACAAATTTACAAGAAGAAGACAAACAACCCCATCAACAAGTGGGTGAAGGATATGAACAGACACTTCTCAAAAGAAGACATTTATGCAGCCAAAAGACACATGAAAAAATGCTCATCATCAGTGGCCATCAGAGAAATGCAAATCAAAACCACAATGAAATACCATCTCACACCAGTTGGAATGGCGATCATTAAAAAGTCAGGAAACAATAGGTGCTGGAGAGGATGTGGAGAAACAGGAACACTTTTACCCTGTTGGTGGGACTGTAAACTAGTTCAACCATTGTGGAAGTCAGTGTGGCAATTCCTCAAGGATCTAGAACTAGAAATACCATTTGACCCAGCCATCCCATTACTGGTTATATACCCAAAGGATTATAAATCATGCTGCTATAAAGGCACATGCACACGTATGTTTATTGTGGCACTATTCACAATAGCAAAGACCTGGAACCAACCCAAATGTCCATCAATGATAGACTGCATTAAGAAACTGTGGCACATATACACCATGGAATACTATGCAGCCATAAAAAAGGATGAGTTCATGTCCTTTGTGGGGACATGGATGAAGCTGGAAACCATCATTCTCAGCAAACTATCACCAGGACAAAAAACCAAACACCGCATGTTCTCACTCATAGGTGGGAATTGAACAATGAGAACACTTGGACACAAGAAGGGGAACATCACACACTGGGGCCTGTTGTGGGGTGGGGGGAGGGGGAGGGATAGCATTAGGAGATATAGCTAATGTAAATGACGAGTTAATGGGTGCAGCACACCAACATGGCACATGTATACATATGTAACACCTGCACATTGTGCACATGTACCCTGGAACTTAAAGTATAATAATAACAAAAAAGAAGAAAGTCCATTTTGAAATCAGCATCATATACTCTTTCAGGGGTCATCTTAGATTCTGCTAACTAATACAGTTGTAAAATTTGAGTTATTTGCCACAAGAAATATCTTAGAACTATGAGGCAGTATGATTTAAGGAATTATACTGCTTATAAGAGAAGAAACTTCCCTTTGACGAGCTCTTTTATCAAGTTTCTAGAATAGTTGACCCAAATCTACTAATTTTAACTTTTCAAAACAAAATAATAGAATACAATAATCCACCATGAAAGTTTTCACTCTATGATATTCTCAAACATAGGATCACTGGCAAAGAACCTATAATAGGCTTTCATGTAGATTTTGCTTATTTAAAAGAAATATTTTGTATTAATTAATTATATTGATATTCTTGGAGGATGGTTAAAGAGGTTTTTTTCCCTTTATTTTCCTGCAATTATTTAATGAAAAAGTAAGGAAATAGAAAAGAGCCCATGGGGAGGAGACAGATCACTGCTTTGAATTCTGGAAGGTTCTTAAATAACTTTGATAGAGTTCCAGATAAATGAGAGAATGAGGTTGCTAACCAATATGCTATGAAAAAAAAATGAAGCTTTCATGGAAAATCTTCTCTTCTAATTAATTATCTTTACATATTTTTTCTAAATATTTATCTTTTGTAAGCCCTGGATCAACAAATGTATTGTGTTAAACACTTTAAAAAGAGTGTTTTCATTTTCATAAAGTATGTCAGTAATAAATATTGAAGAATTGACAATTGCAAAACCCATGCATATGTGTTAATCATTTATTCATCCATTATCTATTCATTCATCTATTCAAAAAGTATTATCTAGTACATACTGCTATGTACTAAGTATTGTGAAATAAGGGGTCAAGGAGGTGTTGAGAGATAGAATTAGTATTCAATGACTGTGAATATAGCTGTAGCTCGATTACCTGGCAATATAGCAAATGTATCCAATATCATTTTGTTCCAGGGAAAGAAGGCTACTGTCCAGTTTCTTCAATGTCAGTTCCTTGTTTGCATACATTCTGAAGGTGCTATGTGCTTCAAAAATTCTTTGCCAGACTGGGAAAATTGTGCTTTGGAAATCATTAAATTTCATCCTTTTAAAAATACAGGTGTGATTTTTCACTGGACGGAAAGCCCCCAATTTAGTTGATTTTTAAAATAAAACAACAATGGTAACAACAATAACGACAGCGCTGGGTGTGTGTCTGAACTAAAATGACAGTGAAATCTACGCATATTCTTTAAAAATTAAGAAGGGAACCGAGAGTTTTTTTTTTTTTTCCAAACCTTAGCTGAACTATTTTACTCACTCAATACTATTTTTAGTAAGAGTTAAAACTGTATTTTAAAGATTACCAAGTGATACAGAAATGTTCTTGGTAAAAGGGAGGAAAAGGGAATGTAAAATTTTTTAAACTATACAAAACGATTAAAAAGACAAATGCTTTACAAGATTGGGTAGAGATTCAAAAGAAATCTTTCTATCAGTACTATCTTAATAGATATAATTATGTTGAAGTCATCAGTTGACATGCATGGAAATCATATGCTTAAAAAATAAACTTATCAAGGATTAACCTAAGAAATATTTAGGACAAGAAGTGTGTCTTACTCATTTTTTAAACCAAAAGAATCTAGCAGAATAGCAGTGCCCATTTCTACAACCAAACAGCTTGCAGAAATTTGCAAGAGAAAAGATACTATCTTTTTTAATATGAGAACTGCATTTCCCTCCCAAATTAAGAAAGGAACACACAATGCTATTCTTTACTGATATCTTTGAAAACTATGGTCTTTTCAGATTATTTATTTATATAGGATCACCTTCCAGATGTGCTGCTCTGTGTCACATGGGAAACATTTATCTTCACGTGCTTCTAAATCTCTCTTATATGATTCATACTGGATTTCAGTCCAACCACCTTTAAAAAAATAAAAACAAACATTCCCTAAGGTGCCCAAGTTCACGCAGTTCCAATACACCATATAAACTGCAATAAACCATATGCTGCAGGAGTCTAGAATAAATAGCCCTTTTAAAAAACTGAGCTGCCAACAAAATTGAGATTCCATTTTTAAATGATTTTCTGCAAAGTAAACATTTTTAAAGCTTGATCTTTGTGTAATTTTTCACTGGCATTTTTCAAGCTAGAAAAAAATCTGCACATGTTCTTTTTGTAACGAAGGGTTTAATACTGCACTGTGTCACCAAGTCCCAGTGAGCTAATTTGTTCTAAAGACAACATTACTACATCAATACAACACAGCTTAACCTTCAACTAACCTTATTCTGTTTGCTTTCCACATCCCAACTGAGGCTCTCAGCCAAAACGTCCCCTCAATTTTGGGTTTATTTCTCTCTAGATGGTAAATATTGCATGTAAACTATGCTGCTTTTGTATATCAGAGAGAGGAAAGGCAATGTTCACACAATCCAAAAATTCTGGACATACACACACACATCCTCTCATACACACATAGCCCTTGTTCCCTATCTTACAAAATATGGAATCACTTCAGGGAGCTAGAATGCTTAGAATTTAAGATAGAATTCCACATTAAAGCAAGGTCTCCAAAGAGAAATTGTGAAAAAACAGAACAAATTCAAATCCCACAGTTTAGTGTTTTGGCTCAAGCCTCTTTATTTCTTCAATTTCTAAGGCCTCTTACTATAATATCCTTGTTCATGTGAACAAATGATGACAGTTTTTAGTGAAACCGTCATGAAAATAGCTCAGTTTCACACATGATTTCTCCCTTAGCTCTCCCTGTCTCCCAGACCCAAAAGAAATCAGAAGCACTTTCAATGCTTCCTCATTTTTTCAAATTTAATTGATTTGTTTACATTTGAACATGCTAGAATTAGATTCTCTTCTGTGCTGAATAGGTGATGTTATTTTCCTATTTTACACCAGAAAAGTCGTGAAATGTTGATACCCTGAAATTGTTTTGAATGAGTTTTTTCAGACTTTATGCTAGCTAGACAAGTTGATGGGCTCTCAACTTTTGCAAAAGAAAAAAAAAATACATTTGTAGTCAGAAATTGTAGGGTAGAAAAAAGAATGTTCCATATTTTATTTTAATTAGCTAGGTGTTTTGCAGACTATTAAGGCCAAGTCTCACTATGTCAGATAACTGTGTATGACCTGAGACTTACTCTTAGCTGTTAAAAATAATTGGGTCAATAAAGAAAATATGAGCCAAAATGAGCTTGATAACTGAAGAAATCACAAAGAATATCTGTTACTCCCAGTGTTAGGGATTTTTCTACAAAATTTATCACAAGTCTGGAAAAGAACTCAAGCGTAGTAGAAACTTTTTATTAGGCAAAGATTGATTTTTTTTTTTGCATAACACTGTTGTATCATCATCCATCTTCGTTTGAAAGTATCTCTAAGCCAGTGTTATGAAATCCTCACTGATGCTTTGCAAATAGAGAAGCAATTGCAAAGTGTCATAAATGTCATTTTATCTGATTAGAATGGTCAATAGATTAACTATACAATCCAATTTCTGCTGTCAAAGTATTTAAGATTTCAAATAAGAATTATATTAGATTCAGGACAACTCAGGACAATGCATTATTTACTTAATATCGAATTCTAATTCTTTGGAAATTTACAATGCAGGTACTACCAATACCATTATATATATATATTTTTTTTTTTTTTAAAAGAAGACATCTGATGCTTTATTGAAATGTGTCCTTCTAAAATTTATGCTGAGGCTCTAACCCAGTTAGGTTGTTCTTATAAAAAAGGGAATTTGGACACACACGTGCACATAGGGAGACCACCAGGAGAAGATGAAGGTGGAGATCTACAAACAAAGGAATGCGAAAGATTGCTAGAAAACCACCAGAAACTAGGGATAGGAATGGAACAGATGGTCCCTCATCATCCTCAAAAAATCCACCTTGCTCTTGGACTTCTGTCCTCCAGAACTGTTTGACAATACATCTCAATTGTGTATGCTGTGGTATCCTTATTTTGTTATGGCTGCCTTAGCAAGCTAATATATATTTCTTGGATACTTTTGTGAGTCTTTTTTTTTTTCTGATAGTTTCCTGACTCCCAATTCATGAGTGAATTGAAGATTAAACATCTAACTCGATGATTTTATACTTTTGTTTTACATCAGAGTCATCCATGAAGAGTTTTCAAAACACAAATACTCAGGCAAAACCTTAAAACCTACTGTATCAGAATCACTGATATGGGGATCCGAAATTGGTATTTTTGAAAAGGTCCATAGGTGGTACCAATGCACATCTTGTTTTGAGAACCACAGGTCTAATATACGTGTGGGTATCATGTTCCAGGGGTGATGTCCATTCCTTATAGTGGAGGAAAGTGCCCTGGTTTTGTTAATCATGGGAGCCTCACGGCAGTGACTGCAGCCTTGGCTACACATTAGATTCATCTGGGAAGCTTTTAAAAACCACAATTGCAGACTGTACCCAGATCAAATAAAAGAGAATCTCTGGGGTGAGATTCAAACATCGGTATTTTTTAAACTTGCATGTGGTTGCAATGTGTACTTAGGGCTGAGAGCCATAGGTTTAAGTTTAAGAAGTAAAAGTTGTGGGCAATGACTAATCAACTAATTAACATAGTCAAGATCAGATAACTCAATGCAACCCAAATAAGTCAACAAACATTCACCTCAAAACATACTGAGCTGATACTTTTCTCCTTTGTTCTCCATTTCTCTCTTTTAATATATCCCCTCCTCCTTTCTTCCTCTCTATTCCACTTCGTCTTTCTTGGTCACTGAATTCTTTTTTTTTTTCCTTTCCATGCCATCAAATCTATTCTCTGGCTCTAACATAGCTTAACTGATAGCCTGTCTTTATCTCAAATTTTGATATTTTATTAATCGTGTTTTGAGGGTGTATAAATTTTTATTTTTTCAAAAATGGCATTAAAATATTATATTGATTACTGTGAAAAAAAAAACAAAAAAAATCTATTTTCTGACCCTAACTTGGAAATATGAAACTGAACTTGTATATGTCTATCATATTTGTGAGTCAAATTATATCATCTCTGATCTTATTTTGGAAATTAGAGCTGAGATATTTTACATTTCTTCAAGACGCTCCATTTTCTAAATTAAGATGCTTTTCCAGATGCTTTCTTAAATATACACACCTCTTACTCCCCATTCTCACTCCCTATATCCTTAGAATATTTCAGAATACTATTGGATTAAATATCAGGCCTCTGGCATTAAAGAGCTCACAGGCTTCTGGAGGGTCACAGTGTTTTTCTAATCCTAGGTTTATTTCCCTAGTGTAACTCTGAGGAACTTGGAAGACTTCCTGGGAGCATGGCAGCAGCTGCTAGAAGGCAGCAGGACAGTACCATACATTACACTTGTAGAAGGCGCTGAGAGGTTAACAATGAGTTGTCTCACGATTGACAAAACTTTGAATGGTGCCAAGAGTTAAGAACTGCCAACAAAACTTGTGACTGTGAACAGCAGATAAACTTATTTTGAGTTGAGTTTAATTTCCTGGGATCCTCTTCTCGGAAAACTTGAGTCTCATTTCCTCAGGACCGATGATATCTCATTCTCCTCTTCTCATTCTATCATTTTGTAAAGAAACAGTATCTGTTTTACGTAGGTCCTAACTGGATCATAGAAGTAACTCACTCCAGAGAAGCACTGCAGATGTAAGATGTCAAATCTATTCACCAAAAAGAAAAATAGTATTAACCGTAGATGTGGCCAAGCAGAAGAAAAGGGTCATATGTGCACCACCCATTTTAAATCTTTCTCTTTTAATTTTTCCTGTTTTGGGTTCCCCTTTTTCACTTTTTCCTCTTTTTCTTTTTATTCACACATTTGAAATAAAGAATATAACTTTTTTTAAAAAAATCTCCTGTTCACTGAATGAATTTGTATGCATAAACAAATCAAACTTTATTATAAACTCTCTCAAAAGTTGACCATCTAGGCTTGCCTAGAAAACATTGGTCCAGATGATACCACATAATTAGCTGACCACCTTTTGAAAAATCCACCAAATAATTAGGTTTTCATACAAATGATCAGTTGTTTTTGTCTTTTTTGTTAGCCTTAGTTTATTCTGCAGAAAAAAAAATGCTCATTTGCATGGTCAAAAATGTCGATGATTTTTTTCTTCCTGCTTCATGATAGGTCGTGTAGTTGTCTATTCTTCAGCTTTGTGATTAAAAGGGAAACATAAGTTGCAAGTCTGAAAATGGAAAAAAGTCAACAACTCAGTCAGGCGACACTATTTTTGCTCAAAAGAACTATGTAAAAACACAATGGCTCACCCTCTTTCTGCCTGGCTCCCCCCAGCATGCAGACACAGAAGCACCCATTGTACTAAGCTCAGTGAGTGTGTTAGCTTCCTGGGGCTGCTGTAACAAAGAACCACAAACTGGATGGCTTAAAACAACAGAAATGGCCTGGCACTGTGGCTCATGCCTGTAATCCCAGCACTTTGGGAAGCCGAGGCAGGTCGATTACCTGAGGTCAGGAGTTTGAGACGAGCCTGACCAACATGAAGAAACCCTGTCTCTACCAAAAATACAAAATTAGCTGTGCATGGTGGCGCCTGCCTGTAATCCCAGCTGCTCGGGAGGCTGAGGCAGGAGAATCTCTTGAACCCAGGAGGCAGAGGTGGTGGGCCAAGATCGTGCCATTGCACTCCAGCAGCCTGGGCAACAAGAGCGAAACAACTCCGTCTAAAAAGCAAGAAACAAAAAACAACAGAAATGTAATGTCTCACAGTGTCGGGAGCGGGAAGTCTGAAATCAAGATGGCAGTAGGGTTGGTTCCTTCAGAGGCTCTGAGAGTTAGTTCCATGACTCTTTCTTACTTCATGGTGACTGACAGCATCCTTGGTGCTCCTTGGCAGCACTCCGGTCTCCAGGGATGCTCCCCGCGTGTTTCTGTATGCAAATTCCCCTCTTCTTATAAGGACTCCAGCCAGATTAAATTACAGCCCACCCTAATGCCCCACCGCACCCCCCACCCCCGTTTTTTTTTAAGACAGAGTTTTGCTCTTGTTGCCCAGGCTGGAGTGCAATGGCGTGATCTCGGCTAACTGCAACCTCTGCCTCCTGGGTTCAAGCGATTCTCCTGCCTCAGCCTCCCGAGTGGCTGGGATTACAGGCGCCCAACACCACTCCTGGCTAATTTTGTATTTTTAATAGAGACAAGGTTTTATCATGTTGGCCAGGCTGGTCTCAAACTCCTAACCTCAGGTGATTCACCCGCCTTAACCTTCCAAAGTGCTGAGATTACAGGCGTGAGCCACTGCGCCTGTCCAACCTCATCTTAACTCGAATACATTTGTGAAGACTATTTTCAAATTAGGTCATATACACAGGTACCAGATTAGGGCTGTAGCATATGTTTTGCGGGGGACACAATTCAACCAGTAACAGTTGGTGATAGGAACATTTTGTATATGTCCTTACACAACAGTTAAATTTCATTGTTAGAGAAACTTATTTTCTGGCAAAGCAAACTAAGTACAGTTGCATGCACCATATATGTAATGTGTGTACAAACTATTTCTGCCTGTTTAAAAAGTACCCAGTGGTATTTCAGTTCTAATTCTAATTCCCACTTTTGATGAACGCCTTCTTCATTTTTTTTCTTTTTTTTACAGAGGCGACATTCATTTATTGAGTTTTTTCTTTTATTTTTGTCTTTACATTTTTATTTTGAAAGATTTGAATATACACAAAAGCATAGAAAATAAGATAACAAAGGTGCATGTATTTATCACTCAATTCAAGTAAGAGCAACACGTCTCATCTTGCTAATTTTACAGCCCTTACCCACTTCCTCCACCCCTCCCTGTTACTTTGAAGCAAGTCCTAGGCATTCTACCATTTTACCCATAATATTTCAAAATGTACCTCTAAATACTTAATATTATTTAGTTGTAGTATTAAATATAGCCACAACCCCCTTATTACACCTACAAATCTAACAATCCATTAATATTATTAAATATCTAGTGTTCAAATTTCCATGATTTTCTTATACATTTTAATCACAGTTTATTTGTTGAAATTTTCATAAAAAATAGTTAACATAACATAATTAATAGTTCTATGATCTCTTTTAACTGTAGGTTTCATTTCCTCTCATATAGATGTCACTGTGCTAGCCATGAATATGCTAGTCTGTGTGAGAGAAGGAGGCTGCCCCAGAATAACACTTACACACAGCTGAACTAAAGCGCTTGCTTAGTGATGTAGTTGACTTACCTTCTGACACAAGCTCACTGGTCAATAGTGGTTTCCAAACCTTTTGCTCCAGGGACCCTACTTTGAAAAGCACTGTCTGGGTGCTGCTTACCGTGTCCCCAGAATGTTATTTATCATAGTCCTTGTGTCCTATATTTCTTGTATACTGGTAGTCCATCCAATGCCTTGATCAGATTCGGAATTAATTTTTTGGCAAGATGACTTTCTAGGTGATGTATACTTCAGGTGTATACATCTTTGGCAAGATGACTTCTAGGTGATGTATACTTCAGATATATACTTCAGGTGTATACTAGGTGGCGTTAGCTGCCATTCAGTTATTATTTCTTAGATGTATTCATTTATACGTGATGGAAAATAATGAAAGTCTAATTTTATCATTTCTTCTTTATCCATTAACTGGGAATGATTCCACAATGAGCAACTTCTTTTCGTCAACTGTTGTATGACTTTGAGGTACAGTTAATATATGAAAGTCAAGATAAATATTTATTTCTTTTTTTCACCAGTTATCACGTACTGAGATAACCTAATTTCTTAAAAGGTGACAAGTGAAGGCAGTGAGGGGGGTATGCCTGAGATGAGCTCATAAATTTAATTATATTAATTGTTTCAATACACAGAACATCTTATGGATGCTCAGATTCTCCCGAAGATGGGACAATATTTTTTTTTGCCCCAAAGATGGGACAATCTGAGCATCCATAAAATGCCTCTTTAACTTGATTCCTGAGTCCTTTTGATAGACCCACAGGTAATCTTTAATATATTTCTTGATTTCTGGCCCCACAAATGCCCTAGTTTCATCCTGGGTATCTGTTGTGCTGGGCCTGCAATCAGCCACGTCTCTAAGAAGCCCTTGTCCCTTTATGGCCCCTGTCTTTTGACTGCATTTTTATGGGACTGTACTGGGACTCAACTGCCCATTAGATAGTGTTTTCAACCTCTCCCATATTTTACGAAGGACATTTTTTCTCTTGAAATACTAAAAATGTATTTTTTTCTGTTGAATTACTTTTTTTCTTGAGTTCTACAGATGCGGCAGAGCACTTAACTGTCTTTGAGTTGATCAGCTAAAACCCAGATAGTGGTCACAAGAACCACAGTAAAATTTAATTCTAAAATATAATAAAGAGAACTGAATGATAAAATTGCTATGCTCCCTGCGGCAACAGATTAGATCCTCATTTCTCCATACACACCACTAAGGGTGCAGATGAAAACCTAGGAATTTCCATTTTTTTAAGCTATGACAGTAGGTCCAACTGTAAACTCCCATACAGGGAGTCAACCAACAATCTTTCAACAAACTAGAACAGGCCAATTTTGTTTGTTTGTTTTTAATCACAATACCTAGGTAGTTTTAAGAAAATCTTGGTTTCAAATGGTGTTAGTTCTAGAGTCTTTCATTTATTTATTATTTTAACATAATTACTGCATACTTCTTGTATGTATAGGACACTGGAGATTCTAAGATGAATAAGATAAGGAACCTACCCTCAAACTGCTTATGCTACATGGAGAAATTGTCAAACAGTGTCCAAGATTTACACAACACAATATAAGCAATTGAAGAAAAATTAAGTGTATTTATTCTTTTGACCCTTCAAGAAGAGTAATTCAAATTAACAATAAGCTACAATTTTTAATTTTTTCACTGGGTAATTATAGATTATTGAAAAAGAAAAAACAAATTAATAAAAAGGAGTAAATAATTTACTGGAAACAGTATAACTTTGAGTTAAAAAAGGAAACATTGGGGTTTTATCTGCTGAAACTGTGAGACTTAAATGTAAAGTGCCAGACACCTGGTTGCTATGGCCTCAGGGCCACAGCAATAAGCAGGCAAGAAAAAGGACTGTGTCATTCTTACAAATCCTGACCTCAGACTTGACATGCAGCCAAAGTGTTTTAGGACTTGGCAATGTTATTTTATTGACACATGTCAAATAATTCTAATTTATGGCCATATAATCCTACATCTTGAGGTTCAGCTTTGCAACACACAATGGAATTCAATACAATGGTAGTGTTAATATTAGAGCCAAGTAAAATGAGAACTCAACTTTTATGTTGAGCTTTATGAGTAACAAACAGAATCATAAGGTGTTTAATTGTTTGGTTGTTTTACTAATTCTGTGGCCTCTGAATGTGCTTATATCATTACTGGATTTAGCTTTATTTTCTTACTTTAAGTAATCCGGGACACAACTTAAGAGATGATGGAAATAAAACATGTCATACGCAAAAGGTTGAAGTTTACATAAAATAAAGAAATCCATGGAAAGAATTCTCAATGAGAATTCACTCTTTGTGAAACAGACTATATATGTTATTTTTGACAGATGAATATCTTGTTTTTGAATAAACCTCAGAAAAGTACTCTCAATTTCATTCAGTAATCTCTGCAAGTATTGAATATTATTATTCTTGGCCATTCTGATTTATTTTCATATATCAGGCAATTTTCCATTTAAACCACTAATTTTTTATTTATTGGCACTAAAATTGGTTTAAAAGTACACATAATGAACTACTCCATAATAGCCTTACTTCTGAATAGCAACGCAAAAATTCTAAGGTAAAAAAAGTAGCAAATGGAATCCAATAGCACACTGAAAAGGGGTAGTATATCATGACAAGTTGTGTTAATTTCAAGATTGCAAGTATGGGCCAGGTGGGGTGTGGTGATTCAATCTTTTTTTTTTTTTTGCTCGTTTCATTATTTATTTATTTATTTATTATACTTTAAGTTTTAGGGTACATGTGCACATTCTGCAGGTTAGTTACATATGTATACATGTACCATGCTGGTGTGCTGCACCCACTAACTCGTCATCTAGCATTAGGTATATCTCCCAATGCCATCCCTCCCCCCTCCCCCCACCCCACAACAGTCCCCAGAGTGTGATGTTCCCCTTCCTGTGTCCATGTGATCTCATTGTTCAATTCCCACCTATCAGTGAGAATTTGTGGTGTTTGGTTTTTTGTTCTTGTGATAGTTTACTGAGAATGATGGTTTCCAATTTCATCCATGTCCCTACAAAGGACATGAACTCATCATTTTTATGGCTGCATAGTATTCCATGGTGTATATGTGCCACATTTTCTTAATCCAGTCTATCATTGTTGGACATTTGGGTTGGTTCCAAGTCTTTGCTATTGTGAATAATGCCGCAATAAACATACATGTGCATGTGTCTTTATAGCAGCATGATTTATAGCCCTTTGGGTATATACCGAGTAATGCGATGGCTGGGTCAAATGGTATTTCTAGTTCTAGATCCTTGAGGAATCGCCACACTGACTTCCACAATGGTTGAACTAGTTTACAGTCCCACCAACAGTGTAAAAGTGTTCCTATTTCTCCACATCCTCTCCAGCACCTGTTGTTTCCTGACTTTTTAATGATCACCATTCTAACTGGTGTGAGATGGTATCTCATTGTGGTTTTGATTTGCATTTCTCTGATGGCCAGTGATGGTGAGCATTTTTTCATGTGTTTTTTGGCTGCATAAATGTCTTCTTTTGAGAAGTGTCTGTTCATGTCCTTTGCCCACTTTTTGATGGGGTTGTTTGTTTTTTTCTTGTAAATTTGTTTGAGTTCATTGTAGATTCTGGATATTAGCCCTTTGTCAGATGAGTAGGTTGCAAAAATTTTCTCCCATTCTGTAGGTTGCCTGTTCACTCTGATGGTGGTTTCTTGTGCTGTGCAGAAGCTCTTTAGTTTAATTAGATCCCATTTGTCAGTTTTGGCTTTTGGTGCCATTGCTTTTGGTGTTTTAGACATGAAGTCCTTGCCCATGCCTATGTCCTGAATGGCAATGCCTAGGTTTTCTTCTAGGGTTTTTATGGTTTTAGGTCTAACGTTTAAGTCTTTAATCCATCTTGAATTAATGTTTGTATAAGGTGTAAGGAAGGGATCCAGTTTCAGCTTTCTACATATGGCTAGCCAGTTTTCCCAGCACCATTTATTAAATAGAGAATCCTTTCCCCATTGCTTGTTTTTTTCAGGTTTGTCAAAGATCAGGTAGTTGTAGATATGCGGCGTTATTTCTGAGGGCTCTGTTCTGTTCCATTGATCTATATCTCTGTTTTGGTACCAGTACCATGCTGTTTTGGTTACTGTAGCCTTGTAGTATAGTTTGAAGTCAGGTAGTGTGATGCCTCCAGCTTTGTTCTTTTGGCTTAGGATTGACTTGGCGATGCGGGCTCTTTTTTGGTTCCATATGAAGTTTCAAGTAGTTTTTTCCAATTCTGTGAAGAAAGGCATTGGTAGCTTGATGGGGATGGCATTGAGTCTGTAAATTACCTTGGGCAGTATGGCCATTTTCACGATACTGATTCTTCCTATCCATGAGCATGGAATGTTCTTCCATTTGTTTGTATCCTCTTTTATTTCCTTGAGCAGCAGTTTGTAGTTCTCCTTGAAGAGGTCCTTCACATCCCTTGTAAGTTGGATTCCTAGGTATTTTATTCTCTTTGAAGCAATTGTGAATGGGAGTTCACTCATGATTTGTTTCTCTGTTTGTCTGTCATTGGTGTATAGGAATGCTTGTGATTTTTGTACATTGATTTTGTATCCTGAGACTTTGCTGAAGTTGCTTATCAGCTTAAGGAGATTTTGGGCTGAGACAATGGGGTTTTCTAGATATACAATCATGTCATCTGCAAACAGGGACAATTTGACTTCCTCTTTTCCTAATTGAATACCCTTTATTTCCTTCTCCTGCCTAATTGCCCTGGCCAGAACTTCCAACACTATGTTGAATAGGAGTGGTGAGAGAGGGCATCCCTGTCTTGTGCCAGTTTTCAAAGGGAATGCTTCCAGTTTTTGCCCATTCAGTATGATATTGGCTGTGGGTTTGTCATAGATTGCTCTTATTATTTTGAAATATGTCCCATCAATACCTAATTTATTGAGAGTTTTTAGCATGAAAGGTTGTTGAATTTTGTCAAAGGCCTTTTCTGCATCTATTGAGATAATCATGTGGTTTTTGTCTTTGGTTCTGTTTATATGCTGGATTACATTTATTGATTTGCATATATTGAACCAGCCTTGCATCCCAGGGATGAAGCCCACTTGATCATGGTGGATAAGCTTTTTGATGTGCTGCTGGATTCGGTTTGCCAGTATTTTATTGAGGATTTTTGCATCAATGTTCATCAAGGATATTGGTCTAAAATTCTCTTTTTTGGCTGTGTCTCTGCCCAGCTTTGGTATCAGGATGATGCTGGCCTCATAAAATGAGTTAGGGAGGATTCCCCCTTTTTCTATTGATTGGAATAGTTTCAGAAGGAATGGTACCAGTTCCTCCTTTTACCTCTGGTAGAATTTGGCTGTGAATCCATCTGGTCCTGGACTCTTTTTGGTTGGTAAGCTATTGATTATTGCCACAATTTCCGATCCTGTTATTGGTCTATTCAGAGATTCAAATTCTTCCCGGTTTAGTCTTGGGAGAGTGTATGTGTCAAGGAATTTATCCATTTCTTCTAGATTTTCTAGTTTATTTGTGTAGAGGTGTTTGTATTATTCTCTGATGGTAGTTTGTATTTCTGTGGGATCGGTGGTGATATCCCCTTTATCATTTTTTATTGCATCTATTTGATTCTTCTCTCTTTTTTTCTTTATTAGTCTTGTTAGCGGTCTATCAATTTTGTTGATCCTTTCAAAAAACCAGCTCCTGGATTCACTAATTTTTTGAAGAGTTTTTTGTGTCTCTATTTCCTTCAGTTCTGCTCTGATTTTAGTTATTTCTTGCCTTCTGCTAGCTTTTGAATGTATTTGCTCTTGCTTTTCTAGTTCTTTTAATTGTGATGTTAGGGTGTCAATTTTGGATCTTTCCTGCTTTCTCTGGTGGGCATTTAGTGCTATAAATTTCCCTCTACACACTGCTTTGAATGTGTCCCAGAGATTCTGGTATGTTGTGTCTTTGTTCTCGTTGGTTTCAAAGAACATCTTTATTTCTGCCTTCATTTCGTTATGTACCCAGTAGTCATTCAGGAGCAGGTTGTTCAGTTTCCATGTAGTTGAGCGGTTCTGAATGAGATTCTTAATCCTGAGTTCTAGTTTGATGGCACTGTGGTCTGAGAGATAGTTTGTTATAATTTCTGTTCTTTCACATTTGCTGAGGAGAGCTTTGCTTCCAAGTATGTGGTCAATTTTGGAATAGGTGTGGTGTGGTGCTGAAAAAAATGTATATTCTGTTGATTTGGGGTGGAGAGTTCTGTAGATGTCTATTAGGTCTGCTTGGTGCAGAGCTGAGTTCAATTCCTGGGTATCCTTGTTTACTTTCTGTCTCGTTGATCTGTCTAATGTTGACAGTGGGGTGTTAAAGTCTCCCATTATTAATGTGTGGGAGTCTAAGTCTCTTTGTAGGTCACTCAGGACTTGCTTTATGAATCTGGGTGCTCCTGTATTGGGTACATATATATTTAGGATAGTTAGCTCTTCTTGTTGAATTGATCCCTTTACCATTATGTAATGGCCTTCTTTGTCTCTTTTGATCTTTGTTGGTTTAAAGTCTGTTTTGTACATATATATTTAGGATAGTTAGCTCTTCTTGTTGAATTGATCCCTTTACCATTATGTAATGGCCTTCTTTGTCTCTTTTGATCTTTGTTGGTTTAAAGTCTGTTTTATCAGAGACTAGGATTGCAACCCCTGCCTTTTTTTGTTTTCCGTTGGCTTAGTAGATCTTCCTCCATCCTTTTATTTTGAGCCTATGTGTGTCTCTGCACGTGAGATGGGTTTCCTGAATACAGCACACTGATGGGTCTTGACTCTTTATCCAATTTGCCAGTCTGTGTCTTTTAATTGGAGCATTTAGTCCATTTACATTTAAAGTTAATAGTGTTATGTGTGAATTTGATCCTGTCATTATGATGTTAGCTGGTTATTTTGCTCGTTAGTTGATGCAGTTTCTTCCTAGTCTCGATGGTCTTTACATTTTGGCATGATTTTGCAGCGGCTGGTACCGGTTGTTCCTTTCCATGTTTAGTGCTTGCTTCAGGAGCTCTTTTAGGGCAGGCCTGGTGGTGACAAAATCTGTCAGCATTTGCTTGTCTGTAAAGTATTTTATTTCTCCTTCACTTATGAAGCTTAGGTTGGCTGGATATGAAATTCTGGGTTGAAAATTCTTTTTTTTAAGAATGTTGAATATTGGCCCCCACTCTCTTCTGGCTTGTAGGGTTTCTGCCGAGAGATCCGCTGTTAGTCTGATGGGCTTCCCTTTGAGGGTAACCCGACCTTTCTCTCTGGCTGCCCTTAACATTTTTTCCTTCATTTCAACTTTGGTGAATCTGACAATTATGTGTCTTGGAGTTGCTCTTCTCGAGGAATATCTTTGTGGCGTTCTCTGTATTTCCTGAATCTGAATGTTGGCCTGCCTTGCTAGATTGGGAAAATTCTCCTGGATAATATCCTGCAGAGTGTTTTCCATCTTGGTTCCATTCTCCTCATCACTTTCAGGTACACCAATCAGACGTAGATTTGGTCTTTTCACATAGTCCCATATTTCTTGGAGGCTTTGCTAATTTCTTTTTATTCTTTTTTCTCTAAACTTTCCTTCTCGCTTCATTTCATTCATTTCATCTTCCATTGCTGATACCCTTTCTTTCAGTTGATCGCATCGGCTCCTGAGGCTTCTGCATTCTTCATGTAGTTCTCGAGCCTTGGTTTTCAGCTCCATCAGCTCCTTTAAGCACTTCTCTGTATTGGTTATTCTAGTTATTCATTCTTCTAAATTTTTTTCAAAGTTTTCAACTTCTTTGCCTTTGGTTTGAATGTCCTCCCATAGCTCAGAGTAATTTGATCGTCTGAAGCCTTCTTCTCTCAGCTCGTCAAAGTCATTCTCCATCCAGCTTTGTTCCATTGCTGGTGAGGAACTGCGTTCCTTTGGAGGAGGAGAGGCGCTCTGCTTTTTAGAGTTTCCAGTTTTTCTGTTCTGTTTTTTCCCCATCTTTGTGGTTTTATCTACTTTTGGTCTTTGATGATGGTGATGTACAGATGGGTTTTTGGTGTGGATGTCCTTTCTGTTTGTTAGTTTTCCTTCTAACAGACAGGACCCTCAGCTGCAGGTCTGTTGGAGCACCCTGCAGCGTGAGGTGTCAATGTGCCCCTGCTGGAGGGTGCCTCCCAGTTAGGCTGCTCGGGGGGTCAGGGGTCAGGGACCCAATTGAGGAGGCAGTCTGCCCGTTCTCAGATCTCCAGCTGCGTACTGGGAGAACCACTGCTCTCTTCAAAGCTGTCAGACAGGGACATTTAAGTCTTCAGAGGTTACTGCTGTCTTTTTGTTTGTCTGTGCCCTGCCCCCAGAGGTGGAGCCTACAGAGGTAGGCAGGCCTCCTTGAGCTGTGGTGGGCTCCACCCAGTTTGAGCTTCCTGGCTGCTTTGTTTACCTAAGCAAGCCTGGGCAATGGTGGGTGCCCCTCCCCCAGCCTCGCTGCTGCCTTGCAGTTTGATCTCAGACTGCTGTGCTAGCAATCAGCGAGACTCCGTGGGGTAGGACTCTCTGAGCCAGGTGCGGGATATAATCTCGTGGTGCGCCGTTTTTTAAGCCCGTCGGAAAAGCGCAGTATTCGGGTGGGAGTGACCCGATTTTCCAGGTGCCGTCCATCACCCCTTTCTTTGATTAGGAAAAGGAACTCCCTGACCCCTTGCGCTTCCCGAGTGAGGCAATGCCTCGCCCTGCTTCGGCTCGCGCACGGTGCGTGCACCCACTGAACTGTGCCCACTGTCTGGCACTCCGTAGTGAGATGAACCCAGTACCTCAGATGGAAATGCAGAAATCACCCGTCTTCTGCGTCGCTCAGGCTGGGAGCTATAGACCAGAGCTGTTCCTATTCGGCCATCTTGGCTCCTCCCCCGATTCAATCATATAATCCCAGCACTTTGGAAGATGGAGGTGGGAAGATCGCTTGAGGCCAGGAGTTTGAGACCAGCCTGGGCACCATAGGGAAACCCTGTCTCTACCAAAAACAAGCAAACAAAAAAACTAAACAAAAAAAATTAGCCAGGCATGACGGTGCATGCCTGTAATCGCAGCTACTTGGGAGACTCAGGCAGGAGGATCACTTGAGCCCAGGAGTTCAAGGCTGCAGTGAGCTATGACCATGCCACTGCACTCCAGCCTGAGTGACATAATAACACTCTGTCTCTACAAAAAAAAAAAAAAAAAAAATGCAAGTATGGTTCAATATTAATAAATCTATCAGTTTGATTCATCATATTAATAATTCTATGAAGAAAAACTACATATCAAATCTACAGGTACTGAGAAAGCATTCTAGGATACTCCATTTTTAATATTATAGTATTTATACCTCAGTCCCCAAGCTAGCATTTATACATAATGTGGAAACATCAGCTGCATTCCTGCTAAAGACAGGGATAAAACTAGAAACCCACACTCATTACATTGGCAGTGGTAAACAATGTAGACAGGAAGAAGATGGTGTTTAAAATAGTAACCCAAAAGATATGCCTTTATGATTACCATTTTAAATATTATCTTATTTTCTACTATATTGTTAAACTATGTGTGTGTACTTTTATATGTGTGTGTGTATACATACACAGATATAGAAAATGAGAGAATGAATCGAGAGATCAGAGAGGATGTCCAGTGACACATTGATAGATTATTTCTGATATGTGTCAGGAGGTATTTTGAAAAATTGTCACTTTCTTTTTTGTACTTTTCTGGATATCACTTGTGTTTGATTTTACAGAAAACATAATTCTTAATTTAATAAAATCTTCTTAGAAAAAGCAGTAATTCTTTAAGAATCTTTCAAAGTGGAATTATACAACTTTAGATACAGACTTGGAGGTAAAGTCAAATTATTCCTGACCACCAAATATAATATGATGTGAGATGATATACTATGATGGAGATATCTGGCATTACGTAACTGTCTTACTGTCCAAAGTCTTTCAAACATTCCCAAGGCAGTAAAAAACAAAATCATATCATCTTCACTTACTTTAATAGATGCTGCCTTTAGTTTTAGTTTGGGACAAAGAATAGACAATGGACTCCACAGTGTCACTTAAAATCCGAGTTCCATTCTTTTTTGAATCTGAAAGGATAGACTTATAGACTTAAACATTTATTTAAGTTGATTATGCAAAGAAGAGGCCCTGGAACCGTATTACTGGCACTAAAATCTTTTTCTCCTACTCTAGCTTGAAAGAAGTGATTTAATATTTAATTATTTAAAAAAATTTCAAATGTAGGGAAGGATTAGGATCCTTCCAGCACTTTCCATAGTTTTTCCATAAATAAATAATTCTATTCATTAGATACATATTTATTGATTTTCTGCTGTGCCAATCACTGTTTTATGCTTCAGGGATCCATGACAATTGAAGAGAGAAGTCCTGTGTAAGAGGGTATGGAAGGGGGAACTCACATGTACACATGTAGATGCCATACAGTATTTAAAGACACAAAGAAGAGAAAGGTCTTATACTGGAGTTGAGAGAAAGAAACAAGAAAAGAATCAATGAAGAATGCTGCTTGAATTCATTTTTAAAAGTTGAGTGTGGTTTTCAAGCAAACAGCAGAGTAAGTTGTATGTGCAAATCATGGAGATAAAGAACTAATAGATGAGTATGATCAGATTATATGCTACAAATTGAGAAAAGGAAGAGGCAGCTCAAGATAGACAAGAAAGTAAAGCCAGATCACAAAAAGCCTGGCTCTATGAGGAGAGCCCGTCAATACAGACCCTATTCTCTGGCTGGAATGACCTCCTTCTGATGCCTTGACCAGCAAACTTCTACATAACCTTCAAGACCCAAGTGAAAAATCAACCTTCTTTGAAGCTACCACTGACTTAGCACTTACAGCAAAGCATTTATCATATAAACATTTGCGAGATGACTGAAATGCAGGTCAGTAAAGTAAGGTGGAATATTATGGGAATATCAGAGATAAAATTTCACTTGTTAGACAAGGCTGTATGCTTAGTATAAAAACGTGATTGCTGAGTTGGAGCAAGTGAATTTCACTACTACTTTCAATGAGTAGGTTATGATTGAATGATTGTTAGAAAGACATTTGTTTCCCACCTGCTTTTACCCTTCAAAGACCTATTTTTCTTGGCAAAGTCACACCCGGAGATTTGGCTCCATGTGAGGTTTGCATTTTCATTAATTCTGAAAAAATATAGTCAAAGTTTAACACATGCTGAAGTGTTAGTTAAGTTTGCCCATTATATAGGCCCCAAGCACAGGTGTACTGAGTTTACATTGGTCATTATGTATGACATTATGTTATTTTAAGCAACGATACTGATTTTGCTGAAAAATAGGTTAAATATGTGTAGAAATAGCTTTGTATAAAGCTTTTTGGCTAAATTATTTGCTACCATAACCAAATCAACTATATTCTAATAAAATTACAATTCATAAGTTATTTGTGATAGAATTTATTCTATCCCTGGGAGGATTTAAACTTGTAACATTTTTGTTATGCAAACAAAAATGAATGAACACACAAGCTGAAACCTAGTTAAATCAACTACAACATGTAGACTCTAAAAGTTAAAGTTATTACTTGATCAGAAGAATAGGACTCTTATTTTTCAGCAACATTATTCAGCTTATACTTTGTGTTGAGCTCATAGCAGACACTTAAGATTAGTAAATGTCTGTGGAACCGAACTGAAGTATTAAGCACTATGGAGATGATGAAGAAATTAAGTAAAAGTCTACCGTCAAGGAATTAAACGTATGTTTAGAGATACTACACACAGAAATCAGAGGTTTCTAGACAGGGTAATCTTAGAGATTCTCTTGTCCAAACTCTTCATTTCACAATTGAGAAAGCATAAGCCCAAGGGGAGATGACTTGCCTAGACCTGGCCACGATGGCAAGACTGATGGTCATCCTGGCCTCCAAAGGAAGAGACACAAGGGGCAAGTGAAGTCACATCAGGGTCAAATGCAAATCAACTGATTTAGATTTTAAAAATACATAAGATGGGCTGGGCTTGGTGGCTGACACCTGTAAACCCAGCACTTTGGGAGGCCAAGGTGGGTGGATCACCTGAGGTCAGGAATTCCAGACCAGCCTGGCCAACATGGTGAAACCTTGTCTCTACTAAAAATACAAAAATTAGCCGGTCATGGTGGCAGGCGCCTGTAATCCTAGCTACTTGGAGGCTGAGGCAGGAGAATCGCCTGTACCTGGGAGGTGGAAGTTGCAGTGAGCCAAGATCATGCCACTGCACTCCAGCCTGGGCGACAGAGCAAGAATTCATCTCAAAAAAAAATTAGATAGATAGATAGATAGATAGATAGATAGATAGATAGATAGAGATATAGATATATAGATATAATGTGAGTCCAGTGAAAATACGGGACAATATTCATAGCATATAAGAGAGAAATAGCCTTGTAGCCCATCAACCCCCATGCTCTCCATCTCCTGTCCCAGTGCCTGTGAGAAACACAACCCATCCACTAGCATCCACAAACATCCATGCATTGCTGCTAGGACAACAGGTCAGGAGTTTCACTATAGATCTGAAGAGTTGTAGTTTAGGGGCCAAGGCACAGAATTGAAGGCTTCTCCCATCTCTTTCTTTCCTTCATCTTTCTCTCCCTCTTAGGGCCAAAACTAATTTTCGCAGTCTTTATTCTGAGAGGTGACATTGTAAAGATTTCTAAAGCTTTCTAAAAAGTAATTTACTATGCTCTTTAAGTTTTTATACTGTGCATATTATTTTATAATAAAAAATCAAAAGAGTAAAGCATCCAACTCAAAAAAATGAAATTAATTGGATTCAACTGACTTCATAGGCCATAACCAAATAAGGTTCTGTTTTTCAAAAATCACATGATGCATCCAACTGGTCTGTGTTTGTTAAAAGATTTAATATCAAAGAGTGGAATGCTTAATTGGTAGAAATTTCCCAAATTTACCCAACTCATTCGTTTGTTTTATTTTACAACCATTATGATCTTATTTATGACTCTTCCTTGTAGAGATTTTGAGAAGAGAAAATACTAAGGGAAGATACATTATAAGCAATTAGATATTCTAATTTGGCACATATTTTTAATTTTATTTTTCAGGGAACTGTTACACATAAGTCACTGTAATCAAACAATGTCTGATACTAAGCTGAGGGCTGTTTCTCTTTTACAACTGAGATAGGTAACAATTGAGTGACTTACTTCGTTTAGTAGTATGACCAGACACAAGTGTTGGCAGAGTGCTGAAGTGGCTGGTGTCCTGAGCAGTAGGAAGTTCTGCACAAGCAGCTTCTTCTGTCTGGGCTGGTGACCTAGCTAAGGATCCTGTAGTCTCTAGAAGTGTGCTCCATGGCCACACATGAGTGGTTTTTCATTCCTTCTGCCTGCCCTGTGGACCCCTGGTGTTGATATGGTAGAATAAATCTGAATTTTAAAAACTGTGTGTTGTGCCAGGAATGGTGCCTCATGCCTATAATCCCAGCACTTTGGGAGTCTGAAGTGGGAGGATGCTTGAGGCCAGGAGTTTGAGACCAGCCTAGGCAACATAGCAAGACCCTGCCTCCACAAAAAATCTAAATATTTGGTGCACACTGGTAATCCCAGCTACTGGGGAGGCTGAGGGGGGAGGATTTTTCGAGCCCAGGAGGTTAAGGTGGCAGTGAGCTATGATTGCACCATTTCATTCTAGCTTGGGTGAGAGAGCAAGACCGTGTCTTGAACCAAACCAAACCGAACAAAACACTTTGTGTTATGATCCATTAGTGGGTCATGATGTCAGTTTAGTAGATTGCAGTAAGGATTTTTTTTTAAGAAGAAAAATATAATAATGTCAATTTTCCTAATTGTGCCCAGTGAATGGGAAGGGACAAACAAGCAGATCTTCTAAATCTATTTATCTGTATTAGCTACAGCTGCCGTAACAAAATCTCACAGACTGGGTGGCTTAAACAACACAGATTTCTTTTCTTACAGTTCTGGAGGATGGAGGTTTAAGATCGTGATGTCAAGAGGTTTAGTTCCCCATGCGGCATCTCTCCTTGGCTTGTAGTTGTTCACCTTCTAGCCATGTGCTCACGTGGCCTTTCCTCTGTGTGTGGGCATCCCCGATGTCTCTTGCTCTTCTTAGAAAAACACCAGTTATGTTGGATTAGAGCCTCACACTTACCAACTCTTTTCACCTTAACTACTTCTTTAAGGGGTGTATCTCCAAAGACAGTTATACTGGGGATTAGGGCTTCGACATGTGAATTTGGGGAGAGGGACACAATTCAGTCCATCATACCACCCTACCTGTTCTCACCTAACACCCACTGCCCCACCCCCAACACACACACACACACACACACACACACACACACAGCTTTTACAGTAAATGCCAGCACCCCCAGTGTCTCTGCCACAGAACAGAAAAACATTTGTCTCTGGGTTAGTATAGGAAGAAATTAAACAAAAACCGTGAATTGAATTAAAACCAATGAACCTGAATTAACTAAATAAAATGTAACAATTGCAGATTTAATAAATTTTAAGAGAATTAAACACCAAGGTTACTTTTGATTATCTTAAACTCATTGTTCTTCCGCTCAGTAAAATATCTGCAAATGTATTCACTGAATTTAAATTTAAAAATTGCACTTTCAAATTTAGCTAATTCCAGATTAGCTAGATTAAAAACTAAAAGATTTCTTTTGTGTTCGAAACAAAGAATCTATGCACACTTGGCACCTGATTATCTTACTCATCTCCAAGGAAAAATAATTAGGAGGTTTTGTTTTTGTTCCTTTTTAATGAGAACCCTCAAATCACTGTATGATGTGGCACTATGATACAGTCATGATAATAAATCAATGTATCCATAAGTTAGAAAAAGCATTCCTAAAACAGATTTCAGAATTTATAAAAATTGAATGATAATAAATAAAGTATTATGAAATAATAGGAGAAAAATGAATTATTCAACAAACGATGCAGGAACATTAAGTAAATATTTAAAGAATATATACATAGAAAACATCCAGGTGGATTTAAAAATTGATTATAAATGAAATCATAAAATGTAGAAGAAAGTGGGAGTGAATATGTAATTGATTTCAGAGCACAGACAGACATAAGAAGTATTAAAAACAAAGAAAAGAATTTTCTAGGAAAATATTACTAAATGCAACTTTATCAAAATGAAATATTTCTATATCAAAAGCTAACATTAAATTGTAAGAAGGAGAGATTGAATGGAAATGTTTGCCTCTGTTTCTTGCCAAGATCCACTAAAATGACAGATTGCTAAAGGTAAAGAAACTGCAAACCCACAAGGACAAAGAGGAGTGAAGATGACAATAACAAAATTTGGATGCAAATTTTGGATGCAAAAGGATTATGAATAACTGCTTTAGTAAAATGAGAAAATGGAATTCTTTCAGCAGTAGAGAAAGCTGAGAGGCAACTTGATTTGTACTACAGACCCCCCAAAGTTCAGTAATTGATGGTACCAGGTACCCCTGAAAGTGGGAGTGAGGTTAAAGCTAAAAAGAAAGGGATGGGTTGAAACTGTGCTTAATAAGTAGTTGTCTTTACCCCCAACCACTGCCACTAGGAAAAGATCTGAGAAACCATTCCTTTTCTATCTGGTAGAAAGCTGGGGGTATATTCTCTGGAGAGCAAGAAAAGGTGTTTTCTAGATTGGAGGACACCAGGCACAATTGTAGGCAGAATTATCATGCGGAAAAGAGGCAGATTAAGGAAAGTATACACGTTGAATGCTAAGAAATTTCTCCTTCACCTCTTGCTTGGAATCAACTCACAGAATTTTGGCAGGCGGGACAGTAGATTCTTTTCAGTGGAACATTGAACAACTGAAGAGAAAAGCTAAAAGTGCTTACGTTGTGGGCTCCTCAATACAGCAACACCATCAGCAGCAACAAAATTAGCTCAGTCCATTACTCTACCGAGAAGACTACAATCGACCACCATATGCACAGAAAAACTTCCATCAGTGCTTTCGCACCTGCAACATTTTAACAGGCAACCGAAGAAAACTAGATATCCAGAGAAAACTCCAACATGAAACAGAAAAAGAAAAAAGCTACTCACAGACAACAGAGAGGATATACGAGGACATATAAACTTAAACAATTATATAGTTCTCAGAGGAATAAAAGAAGTATGGTCTCCAAAAAATGTCAATGGGATTGTATTTTTAAATTCTACTTGGAAAACAGGACCACACCAAGAAAAAAAAGTGTAAGTATAATAGCAAAAATTTTAAAAAAGAACAATAAAGATGATAAAAATCTTCCAGAATGTAGACAAGAAAGATAAGGAGATGAAACATAAGAGGGAAAATATAAGAAAATCGGAGTATTATTCTGGGATGCTTGATCCCAGAAAAAAAAATAGATATTAAAGAGAGAAAAAAGACAGAACAAGGAAAAAGAAGAGGAGAAAAATAAGCAAAATATTTCAGTGTTTTTTTTTCTAGGACAAGAGTTTCCATATTGAAAAAGCACATTGATTGTTTATTACAAATGGATAAATATGAAAACACACCAAGGTACAACATTATTAAATTTCAAGCACTGTGGACTAAAAGAAAATCCTATAGGCCTCCAAAAAAGGGGGGAAATTCAGATTATATTCAAAGTATAAAATAATTGTAATGAAGAGAAGCTATCAACAGTAACCATTGTAACTAGAAGAAAAGAAAACAATGCCTTCAAAGTTCTGAGGAAAATCGTAAATGGAATTTGTCACCTGCAGGATAATGGTCTGGGCAGCTTATTTCACCTCATTAGGGACCTCAGGATGTTAGTATCATCTTTAGTTTTACTCTTGAGCTGGTCAAGATTCCACAGAAAATAATTTTCCAATCTCCTGCCTGGAGGGTATTTCCTGGTAGCCAGAATTCTGTGAACTGAGTCCAGGAAATGAGTGTGCGAGAGATATCTCACCATTCAGTCCTGAAATACCTTCATATAGCCAGACTATTGATTAAGTGTGAGGGAATGATAAGGACCATCTCAGATATGCATCATTTTAAGGCAGTTTTCAATCAAAGCAAGGGATTAAACAAAGAAAAGATAAAGCACAGATTCCAGAAAACCATGGTTCAGATACACACTGGAGGTGGAGAACTCCCCCAGAAGATGACAAAAGAAAGGCCTGTGAGGACAATATCTTTACAGCAGGCCTAGGGAGCAGATGCACAGACTACAGCTGCTCAGAGGCTCTGGGAGAGATATCTTTTGGCAGATGAAATTGATAGGATATCTGTTATTTTTTAAGGTATTAGGAAGCAAGTTACACAACTCAGGGAAAGACATAAAATATAGAAATGTAAGCAAACAAAAAGCAAGAGATTTGTTTCTTCAGGAGAAACAAAAAGTTGTAATGAAGGAGAATAGTAATTATAGACTCTGTATACGGTTCAGCTATGAATACCATTGCACAGTCTTGATAATATAGGCGCTAAATATTTACCTGAGCAATATTATTATTGTATTTATATGGGTGGCTGAGTAGTATGAGGATGGGAGTGGAGGGTGGTGGGGCAGCAAAACAAGAGCTAAATCTTCATCATAGGGAGCCAAAAAAATAGATACTTTTTGATATATTTTTGTCGAGATTTGATAAAGGTTTTTCTAATAAAGATATTAAAAAATCAACAAATAGCATAAATATGCTATTTAGATATATGAATATAAATGCTAAAAGAGCTAATAAAAATATCTCTCTTAAAGGAGACATTTGTCATGAGAGACTGAGATAAAGAGATAGAAAGATACAGATAGATGATATATATAAATAGAATAAACTTTCTAGAATTTTTTAACCTTGTATTATTTGTATCAATATATTTGAAAAAATTAAAACTACATGTAAAATGTCTAGAAATTGTAAAGCAATAGAAGTGGATAACAACTTGTAACAAGTATTACTCAAGGCCAATATCTTTAGTATATAAACTATTTTTAAAATTAATTTTTAAAATCACTAACCCTCAAGTAGGGAAAAAAAATGACCAGAGGAGAGATAATTTACAGGGTAACAGATGTCAAAAAGCACAATCTTTTTAGTAATAAAAACTGAAACAATAATGAGATTTTTTTTTTTTTTTTACCTATCCAATTAGAAAATATTAACAGAGCACTAGTACTCTCCAATGAATGGTACAAATGCTCTCCCATAGGCTCTTTTATTGAATCTATGAAATGATTCAATCTTTCCCAAAAGGTATTTGCCAATATATACAAAGTATTTTTAAAATTCTTATGTTATTTAACTAGTAACTCAATTTCTAGGAATCTTTCCAAGGAAAATAAAATCAGAACTGTAAATAAAGTTTTATGGATTGGGAAGTTGGAAACAACTTCACATTCAAATTAATACCAATCTTTTTTCTTCATGAACATTTATCAAACATTATCATTATCAAACATTATTTATCAAGTCATTATCAATGACTTGTTCACTGTTCTACCTGTATGTTATATGCTATAAAGTGCAAAAGTAAAAAGAAAATGTTTAAATACATATAAATCATATTTTTATTAAAAAGTCAATGAAGTGAAAATGTTCATAATTGAAAAAGCAGCCATATGTATGATATTACCCAATTTGTAAAAAGTAATTGTATAAAAGTAAAAAAAAGTTATAGAATCTTGTGTTATAGCAATGCATTACATTTATTTTATCATGTTATCTAAAATAATTATATTGAAAAAATGATATTTGTGTAGCAAGTTTGACCAGAATTGTTTCTATCAAAGGCATATCTTATTTGGGTCATTGTGTAACCACTTTCCTTACATGTTTATTTTCTGGAATTTTCCCAAATTGCCCTGCTGAACACATGAATTGTTACAATAAAAATATGGGACATCAACAATGTTACTAGATTACCAAAGAAAAAGCAATGGCTGTTTCTCTTTTACAGCTGAGATAGGTAACAATTGAGTGACTTACTTCATTTAGTAGTATGACCAGAAACTCTCACAGATAAGGGAATACAAGATGTGATTACAAGAAGTTGGAAAGAATTCAGATTTCCATCCCCAGAGGAGTCAATGAGCAAAATGTGGTTCTGTTTAGGACAAAACACTTTACGGCAGTCACTAAGTAAAAGTGACCAGTGGATTAAAAAGAAAGAAAGAAAGAAACAGACAAACAAAACCACATTAGATTTATAGCACAATATCATATATGAAAAAACTAATAAAATACATACAAACAAAATAACATATATTATTCAAAGATGTGCATATATTTCATTAACACATAGAAGGTGGATTAGCAGGACAATGTTAGGTACACTAGAGTGGTTGTGTATGTAAGAATTGGGAGTAGAAATGAAAATGGGGGTGAGGAGGAAAAACTAATATAAAACAGAAGAGAGACCTTGAAAGTGACAAATAATGATTGCATGCCATGGATTGAGGATTATAATCAACTTATTTCTGTGAACCTGAGATCTCTATTATATACATAACTACGTAAAAACTTTTAGCCTGTATTTTTAGTAAGCACAACAGATGATTCATAAACAAGAGGGCTACAGGCCACCCTTTGGCAAACACTGAACTGTAGGATGAAGTCTGAAATGCTAGGCCCCATGATGCTGAGCTCTTTGGGTATGGATTTGGTCAGACTCCCTAGATAAGCTCCCTATTTTAAGGCCAAAAAACATGGAAATTTAATTACATCCACAAAATCCCTTCATAGCAGGAGCTAGATCAGTGTTTGATTGAACACCTAGAAGAAGGTTTGTGTACATCAGAGACCAGGAATCAGGTGGGGAGCAGGGGAGTTAGAATTCAGCTACCACGGAGGTGATAAGCAGCATGACATGTTTGTAGGAGAAATCACAAATAATTAATTCTCACAAAGACTCACTTGTCTAGCCTGGAAGAAAGCAACCATCTGTGCTGTGAACCTCCATTTGGCAAAAAATCTGAGGGTAGCCTCTAGTTGCTGAGAGTGATTCCTGGCCAACAGCTAGAAGGAAAATGGAGACCTCAGTTTTCCAGCTGCAAAGACATGAGTTCTGCTAACAACCAGTGCTCTTGGAGGAAGACCCCCAAACCTCACAGAGAACTGGGGCCCTGCCAGCACCTTGATTTCAGCCCCTGAGAGGAGAATCCAGCAGTGCTATGCCCAGACTTCTGACTTACAGACACTGAGAGATAATTAATGTGTGTTGTTTAAAGCCACTAGGTGTGTGGTAGTTTGTTAGGAAACAATAGAAAATGAATATCACCTCCACTGATATCCCTGTTCACCTCCTCTACTCAGCTATCTCAATTTTCCATTAAGACTTCAGATCCACTTCCTCCAAAATATCCTTGATGTATTCCCACCTCTTGTCCTACAATATGTGTATTTTATCATTTCACTTATGATAAATTTTTTAGTAATATTCATATGACTGTCTCTCCTGCAAGTCTATAAACTCCTTGGGAACACAAACTACCTTCTATTTGTCTTTGAATCCTTACTCTCAAACACAATGAATGGCACATCCTAGATGGTGAGTAGATGCTTGCTGAATAAATAAATAAATAATTAATTAAGTCAATAAGAAAAAAAAGCCAAGAAAACATAAGATAAAACTCAAGTTTCTGTTGGGTGACCAGAGGAATAGTAATTTTATTGACTGAAGCTAGGTAGGATGACCATATAATTTACTGTCCAAATTGGGGCACTTTTGTGTAAAAAGCTATTAAAATTATTTAAGGATTTCTGTTATTTAAGGACTATTCCTGTCAAAATGGAACGCATGTTCTGGCTTCTCCTAAATATAGAGATACTAGAACAAGCCCTATTGTTGTATAAAAGTCTGCTTACTTTCACTTGGCAAGGCAGCACATTTAAAAACACCTGGTGTGCTGGAATTGAGGATATTTTATTTCTTCAGCTTAATTTCCTTCTCTGCCCCACATATCCTACTTAGGTCTGGATTCCTCTTAAGTTCCTTGTTTCTTGGGGCTACCAAAGAATTGTTTTCTTTACCTTACTCCTCAAATTATCCCTAACATTGAACATTTACAAGGTAGACATCTGTATAATTATGGGAAAAGTACAGCTCTCAGTAAAGGTTAAAATTGGACAGTTCACTACACTCTACATGCTCCTGGGCTGTGAATTGGCAGGGAATGAGTTAGGGAAGGGTACTAACATTGCGAGGGAATTTTCGTTTGTAATTCCACCATGATTACTTCAGGCTGCGTAGTGTATTAAGGACTATATTTTTATATAAACAGGAGACTGGCTACAATAATAACAATGACAGCTAGAGCCTGAGTGCCTGCCTGATATTTGTCAGATAATTACTGAATAATATGTATTAGTTCATTATGTATCTTTCCTATATTATTCTCTAAACTCTTCTGCATGTTTGAAATATCTATACTTAAACTGCATTTAATTTTAAAATATTATGAATTAGATAGTTAAATATCATGATGATAATATGGCCATTCATTTTACATTTAGATGTATTACCTGATCTAATCCTTATGAGAAATCTCAGTTTTGTCATTTGTTGTTTATGTAAGTTTGGGAGAGTTTCTACTCCTTTTTATTTCAGTTACCTGTCTCTAAAATAGGAATGATGATATAACTTACTTCATAGAGCTCTTATTAGGATTAAATATGCATAAGTCATTTAAAAATAATCTGGTATATTGTATAGGCACTGAACAAGAGGTTTAAATCATTATTGTTATAACATTCCATGTTTTAGAGGAGGTTACTAAAATTCAGAGGTTAAGTAGACCTGACTGTGAAGCCTAAAATTTCTCAGTCTTAGTACAGTGCATCCCAACTATCTCCTTACATAATGGTAAACTCATTTACATTGTAGTAGGAGATGGTAACAGTTACAGATTGTATTTTCCAAAGACAGTCAGACAGGTGCTTCCAATCTCACATCTTCTTATGAAATGTGACTTCACTCTTCTTCCATCCAGAGATAGAGTTTATTTCTCCATTCCCTTAAATCTTGGTGGGCTCTGTGACTGCTTTGACTGACAGAATATGGCTGAAGTGATGCCTTGCCAGTTCTGAGTGTAACTCTTAACGGCTAAACAGCTTCTTTTTTCTGCCTCTTGGCACTCGTGCTTTTGGGATGCTCTCTCTTGGAACCAACAGCCATGCTCTAAGAAGCCAACTCTAATGAGAAGCCATGTGTAAGTGCTTTGGTTGTTAGCCAGCTGAGCTCTCAGCCAAGAGCCGGCTTCAACTGCCAACCATGTGAGTGTGCCATTTTGGACATTCTCAGCCATCCAGCTCCCAGATCACTGCAACCCAAGACAGCGTCACATGAAGCTGAAAAACCAGTCACTCATAGAATTGTGAGAAATAATAAAAACGTTGTTCTAACTCTTTAAATTTTGTGGTGGCTTGTTATGTAGGAACAGACAACTAGTCAATCAGTATTATATGTCTATCATCATTTACACAAAATTTCAGGGGTGGATCAGAATCCTATCTCTGTGATAAAGCGTTGTTTCTCTGTGAATATGTTTTCTAGATTCTAAATAACTAGCATATAAATCAGTTTTGGATAATTTATTTGTAGGTTTGGCACAGTCTATATCAAAATTTGCCCAGGACTTACTGAACACTTGATTCTGGCAGGTAGAGCTCACCGTGAGAAAAGCTAAGAATATGAATTAGACATGGTTTGTTACTGAAATTCAATATCATCCTATTTTGTTCTGCCTTGACATTCTTCTCTTCCTTTTTTTGATCTTTTGAAGTCTTCCTGCTATATAAGCCTCTCCAACCAAGACTCATCTTAGACTGTCTCAGATTCCAGACCTTTTCTTCCCCTCTCAGACACACCAAAACCTATTTTCAGTGAACTTGATGCACTCTAATAAAGGATGAATAATGAAATGTTACTGAGATTTGCATCATATATATGTAACCCCCTTCAGACATGTTTGCATTTCAATAGGGACTACAAATTCAATTCAAAGTAATGAATACCTAATGGTGAGGGTGAATGGAATGTTCTTTAGGCTGAGGGCCTGATCATCATCTCTATTCAGGCCATTTATGCAGACACTAGTAAAGTCTGTAAGACAAACCCAATAGTGGGTATAATACAAATATATATACTTAAATCAAAGCACTTTGAGAAAAAAATAACTAATTTATATAATAAGTCTAGTGTCCACTATAAACATTTTGTTTTCCTTTGAACTAGTAAACTTTAGTTTATCCAATTACACACATTTGTAAGTTAGGCAAATTCACTTGAATTTCTATAAGGATGTGCAGATTTCACAAGATATATTTTTTGGCAGAGACCCGGCTTCACACACTGATTTACATAATGACAGTTTGAATTAAGACAGAGGATCTGAAGCCAACCACTAACATTCCTGTATAAAAAGACTGCAAATGACATCCTGATGAATGTATGTTAGTGGCTCTCCTCTGTCCTTAACTGATAGCTCTCTGTTAATCAGCTATTTTATCAATGTGGCTGCTCATGTCCTCAATAGCAAAGAGCCAGTCATTATCAAATTCATCGATTGGGTTCTAGTTGTAGTTCTATTGTGAAATTTATCACTTATTACCTCAAATTAAATACTCCATCAGCTTCAGAATTCTGTTTCCCTAAAACTATTAACTAAGGCAGGTTCCTGCTGGAGAATAAAACTATGTGAATTTTGAACATGTTTGTGAAATTCTGGGTAATTATCTCCTACATAAAATGATTATCGTAAACTAAGGAGCCTGCTTCTTGAGCTTAAAACATTATTTATACTGACAAGTGGTATTATCTACATTAAGGAATTGATTAAGGACAATTACTTTCATGGACATTAATCCATGTTGAGAGTTTAAGTATTTGAATATGTAATAGGCTCATATGAAATATCACAGATATACTTTTGAATAAATTAACAATGTAACAAATGTTGATATCAAAAGAAACATTATTCCAGACAAAACCTTTAAAATGTAGGTGTTAGTCTTTGAGAATCCCAGGAAGTTTTCTTGGGTACAGTCAGTTGATGGTCTAACTTATTATATTCTAATTTCAATATTTCCAACTGGTTTTTTTAAAAAAATTCTGCCAGTTGCTATATACCATTTCACTTTGGGTGAACATTTCTTAAAGATTAATCTAAATTACCTGGGTTATGATTTTTTAAGACACATGATGACAAAATTATAAATCAAATATTTAACCTCAATAGCTTAACTTTTAAAGTAAATTTATCTTAAATTTGCAACTGCTATGGTTTTTATGACAAAAATATGAATGTATCATTCACAGTGTGAACTTTGAATAAACTAATCTCAAAATATGGTAAGAACTAGAATGAGCACTTCATGATGTTTTCTATGTAAAAATTTACAATTGGAAGCTATTACATGGTTTTCTAGCAATCAAATATCAGAGTGGATCAAAGGTTATCTGGGGTTAGATCAGCAGCTTCCCAAGAGAATGTAGGTCTCTAACCTCATTGAACAACCTCATGTCCAGGGAGTCTTCCTTCTTATGGATGTTTCGGGTGCCTGTGGAGCCACATATCTTTTGTAGTTCCACTGACACTCAACTAAACAGCTTTTAACTCAGCATAGTACTTCTTGCTTCACTATGGTCTTTAAATTAGAAGTGTAATAGGCTCTTTCATTATGGGTTTTAAACTTGCTATTTATTTTACAGGTTTATGTGATCACCACTGTTTGTTATATGTTCTCTGCCTTCTTCATTACTCTATGTTGATTCACTTTTTCACTGACTATTACACATCCTTAGGTAGCTTTCTGAGAAAAGGTCTGTCAAGTGTACACTTTAAGAGTTTACACATCTTAAAATATGCTATTTTAAATGTTCCATCATTTTACCACTATCAGAATTATAAGCTTGTTTGTTGTAATATTTTGTTCTTTCCACTACAGATATGCTTAATAAAATTCCTGCATACCATGTTATGATGGCACTTCTAAATTTCTGTGTCCTGTTCTTTAACTAAATATGTTGTCCCTATTAGTGCAAGTGGCAGTCATAACCTTCTAAGCAGATTCCTTTAAAAAGCAATTTTCTTGGCTTTCTTTTTAGTCAGAATTTTAATATTCAATTCATAGATTTTTCTAAGCTCTAATACAAACCTTGATATTTTAAATTCCAAATTTGCTTACCACCTAGATAATGTACTAACCTATTTAACACTTAATGATTAGCTACAAAGTAAAAATTTCTGTCAAACTATTACCAGAAAGTGGTCCTGATCCAGGCCCCAAGAGAGGGTTCTTGGATCTTGCACAAGAAAGAATTTGAGGTGAATCCATAAAGTGAAAGCAAGTTTATTAAGAAAGTAAAGGAATAAAGAATGGTTACTCCATAGGCAGAGCAAGAGCATGGGCTGCTCAGCTGCTTATACTTATTGTTACTTCTTGATTTTATGCTAAGCAAGGGATGGATTATTCATGAGTTTTCTGGAAAAGGGGTGGGCAGTTCCCAGAACTGAAGGTTTCTCCCATTTTTAAACCATATAGGTTAACTTCCTGATGTTGTCATGGCATTTGTAAACTGTCATAGCACTGGTGGGAGTGTGTTTTAGCATGCTAATGCTACACTTAGCATATAATGAGCAGTGAGGATGATCAGAGGTCACTTTCATTGCCATGTTGGTTTTGGTGGGACTTAGCTGGCTTCTTTATCACATGCTGTTTTATCAGCAAGGTCTTTGTGACCTTGTGCCAACCTCCTGTCTTACCCTGTGACTTGGAATGCCTAACCTCTTGGGAAAGCAGCCCAGTAGGTCTCAGTCTCATTTTACCCAGCCCCTATTCAAGATGGAATCCCTCTGGTTCAAATGCCTCAGAGAAAACATTTAGACTTTTTTTTCCCAAAATGTAAATAGAGTTTTAGCTCTGAGCTAATAAAAGAGAATTAAGGTCAGTCATGAAATGCAAGAAATAATTTTTTCTCTAATTTTACTAATTATTATTTTAATTTTGATTTTTACCTGTCTGATAAGCAAAAACATGTTATATCTCTTCCAGTTGAGTAAGCCATGCTTTGATTACAGGTGAGCTGAATCACTTTCCTCATTTAATTGGGCATCTATACTTCTCTCAGTGAATTTTTTTATTTTTCCATTTGTCCACTTATTTATTGTGGTGTTCACATTTTCTTTATTGATGGGAAGAATCTTATCATTTATACAGATATAACTGTTATGGATTACATGTGTTCCCCCCAAATTCCTATATGGAAGCCTTAACCCCTAATGTGACTGTATTTGGGATAAAGCCTGTAAAGAGTTTATTAGGGTTAAGTGAGGTCATAATGGTGAGTCCCTAATCCAATAGGACTCATGTCCTTTAAAGAAGAGGAAGAGACATTAGGGATGTGAGTGCATAAAGAAAAGGCCACGTGAGGACACAGCAAGAAAGTGGTCATCTGCAAGCGCAAAAGACAGGCCTCAGAAGAACCCAACCCTATTGACACTATGATCTTGGACATCCAGCCTCCAGAACTGTGAGAAAATACATTTCTATTCTTTTTCTCTATTATTTAAGATACATAGACTGCAGTGTTATGTGTCTAGCTCTAACAGACTAATAGAGTAATATATTATCCATTACTGTATTGCAATCCATTTTTTTCTAGCTTACTCATGGTATTTCAATTTTGTTATGATAATTTCTTCAAACTTTTAAAGTAATCAAATCTATTAATGTTTTTCTTCAAGGTCTTTACCTTTGGATTTATGCTTAGAAAGTTTTCTCAAGTTCCAAGATAGTATCAATATTCATTGTTTTCTAGTGCTATTGTGATTTTATCTTGAACATTTAAATTTAAGTTAGACTTAAATCTTTCTGCATGTATAATTCATTTTGCTGTGTGATACACGGTAAAAACAGATTGTATTTTTTGGCTAAAAGTTCATTAATTATTCCAGCATGATTAAACGATTAATCTTGCTACCAATGCAAAGTGCTAATTTCTTACATATTGTATTTTTCATACTTTGGTAACTTTGTGTCCATTGACCTGTATTGATGTTAGCATCACAATCATATTCTTTTGATCCTTGAAATGTCATAGAATATTATGACACCAAGGGAGGGAACAGAGTCTTTTCCAGGGGCCACTGCCATACTCACACACCTTGTTTATCCAAAATTATTCTATTTTTACAATTAAATTTTTTTCAGATGAAAATTTAATCATATGGTCATGATCTTACAGTAACTACCACGGGATTTTTTTTTTTTTTTTGATTCAACTAAATACATATGTCGTTAGAAGAGTAATGTTACCTTCACCATTTTAAGTCTTCCCATTTGGAAACACAGTATGTCTTCCATATTATTCACACCTTCTTCACATTCTTTAGTAAAATTTTACTGTTTCTTTTCTTTTTTTTTTGTTTGAGACAGCATCTCACTCTGTCGCCAGGCTGGAGTGCAGTGGCAGAATCTCGGCTCACTACAACTTCCGCCTCACGGGTTCAAGCCATTCTCCTGCCTCAGCCTCCCGAGTAGCTGGGACTACAGGCACGTGCCACCACACCCAGCCTGCCACTTCAGGAAAAATTTACTAAAAATTTTTGCATTTTTAGTAAAGACAAGGTTTCACCATGTTGGCCACGATTGTCTCGATCTCTTTACCTTGTGATCCCTTCGCCTCGCCTTCCCAAAGTGCTGAGATTACAGGCATGAGCCACCATGCCCAGCCAAATTTTACTGTTTCTATTACAGAGGTCTCATGTAATTCTTGTTATATGTATTCCTAGTGTGTCCGGAATTGGTAGGTTCTTGGTCTCGCTGACTTCAAGAATGAAGCCGCGGACCCTCACGGTGAGTGTTACAGTTCTTAAAGATGGTGTGTCGGGAGTTTATTCCTTCTAATGTTCAGACTTGTCCGGAGTTTCTTCCTTCTGGTGGGTTCGTGGTCTCGCTGGCTTCAGGAGTGAAGCTGCAGACCTTCGCAGTGAGTGTTACAGCTCTTAAAGGCAGCAAGTCTGGAGTTGTTCGTTCTTTCACACCTGTAATCCCAGCACTTTGGGAGGCCAAAGCAGGTGGATCACAAGGTCAGCAGATCGAAACCATCCTAGTTTACACGGTGAAACCCCGTCTCTACTAAAAATACAAAAAATTAGCCAGGCCTGGTGGCAGTCACCTGTAGTCCCAGCTACTCAGGAGGCTGAGGCAGGAGAATGGCGTGAACCCAGGAGATGGAGCTTGCAGTGAGCCAAGATCGCACCACTGCACACCAGCCTGGGTGACAGAGCGAGAGACTCTGTCTCAAAAAATAAAAAATAAAAATAAAAAATAAAAAACTATGCACATTGTACATAAACCAAAGGTAAGAAAACTCTGAAAGGTAGAGAGAAGAAGGCAGTCCAGCTAACAGCCCTAGGACTCAAGAAATGACATGCTGATGAGTTTTGTGTAATTTTTTTTTGAGACAGTGTCAGTGTATTGTTTTGTCATCCAGGTTGGAGTGCAGTGGCATGAATGCCGCTCACTGCAGCCTTGAGCTCCCAGGCTCAGGTGATCATCATTCCTCAGCAGCCCAAGTAGCTGAGATTATAGGTTCACGCACCAGTCCTGGCTTCTTTTTTTTTTTTTTTTTTTTTTGTAGAGGGATGGTCTCACTTTGTTGCCCAGGTTGGTCTTGAACTCCTGGCTTCAAGTGATCCTTCCACCTAGGGCTCCCAAAATGTTGGGATTACAGGCATGAGCCACCACACCTGGCCCTGGGTTTTCTTTGTGCCTGAAATATCTCAGACTTTATGCTGATGAAACTGGCAACCCTAAAATACCAAAAAATGCAGACCAAGAAAAAGATTCTAAAAAAGAGCATTATCAAAAATAAAGTATCAAGAAAAATTAGAAAATACATTGTACTGAAAGAAATGAACACACATTTCAAAATGTATAGGGTGCAGATAGGGCAGTGCTAACAGATTGATAGCACTAAATATATATACTAGAAAAAAGTCAAAATCAATAAGCAAAGTTTCCACCTCAAGAACTTTGCAAATGAAGAGCATAACAAAACCAAAAGAAGCAGAATGAATGAAATAATAATAATAAAGCAGGCTGGGCGTGGTGGTTCACACCTGTAATCCTAGCACTTTGGGAGGCCGAGGCGAGCAGATCACTTGAGGTCAGGGGGTCAAGACTAGCTGGTCCAACACGGTGAAAACCCATCTCTACAACAAATACAAAAATTAGCCAGGCCTGGTGGTGGGCACCTGTAATCCCAGCTACTTGGGAGGCTGAGGCAGGAGAATCTCTTGAACCCAAGAAGGCAGAGGTTGCAGTGAGCCAAGATTGCTTATAGGATTGCTTATAGGAAACAATTCACTCCAGCCCTGGGTGAAAGAGTGAGACTTTGTCTCAAAAAGAAAAAAATAAAAATAAAATTAAATAATAAGAAAGCAGAAGCCAATGAAATTGAAAACAGAAAAACTATCCCTTTATGCAACTGTGAAATGGTTACATTGCTGTATTGCATTATTACATTGAATTTAATCAGTTCTGTGTTACTCACTTTCATACCTTCAGCCTAGGAGCAGAGAAGAAACCATATTTACTCATCATCATGTAAGTCTAAACTAGCAAAACACTTTTTACTTCTGAAAATTGCATTAATTTTGTTTACTGGGAAACTTTAATGAATGACGGCCTCAGGGGGAAAAATATGTAAAATGTAATACAACAGTTAGATTTAACTGAAGATTATTATAAAATACATATAAATGGTACAGTTAATAAATATAAAAGAATGCAAAGATTAAATATTCTTTAAAAGTCTAACCATATTCTGTTAATAAGAGATGCATCTTATTCAAAGTCATATACAGAGGCTAAAAAAATGTTGGAAGAATATACCACGTAAATACAAATTGGAAGGGTATTAGTAGAGCAATATTAGTATTAAACTGAGAAAGCATTAAGGTGAAATCATTGCTAAAGAAAAAAGTCACTTCATAAGACTTATATATACAAGTAAAAATTATTTTATATTTTATGGCTTTGGTAACACAGTTTCCAAGTATATCACGGAAAAAATGATGGAACTACTTGGGGGAATAGGCAAACCTATTTTTTAAAAAAGGCTTAGCATCAGCTGGGAAGATTTGAACAATGTGATCAGCAACCTAGATCTGATGAACGTAGGTCCTTATGCTAATTAACTTTCTTTCTAAGCAAATCATAATATTGCTAAAAAATTACATACTTTGTCTCAAAAAAAAACTACAACAAATGTTAAAAGAATGAAAACAATAGAGCATACCCTCAAATTATAAAGCAATTAAGCCAAGAATTATGAACTACATAATTAGAAAAAATATTTTAAAACTTGTCAACATTTATTTTATTATTTTTTTTGAGACAGGCTCTCACTCTATTACCCAGGCCAGAGTACAGTGGTTATCTTGGCTCACTACAGCCTCATCCTCCTGGGCTCGAGAGATCCTCCTTGACTCAAGCATTCCTCCCAACTCAGCCTCCCAGGTAGCTGGCGCTACAGGCATGTGCCACCACACCCAGCTGATTCTTTGTATTTTTTTGTAGAGGTGGGGTGTCACCATGTTGCCCAGGCTGGTCTCAAACTCCTGGGCTAATGCAGTCCATCCGCCATGGCCTTCCAAAATGCTGGGATTATAGGCCTGAGCCATCACATCTGGCCAGAAATACTTTTTAATAACATATCATCTATTAAGAAATCACAATGAAAAGAAAACATATTTTTAACAAAATGGTATTTAACAATGACAGATTAAAATTTGTAGGAACAACTAAAGCAGTCAGGGAGAAAAAAGGCCAGCCTTAAATGCACATATTAGAAAACATGAAAGACTCAAACTCAGTAAGGTATGCATCCACCCTAAGAAGCTAATAAAGAATAGTAAAATATACTCAAAGAATATACATGGAAGAAAATAATACAGGGTAGAAAAGACATTCATGGAGTAAAGAACGAAGAGAATGAACAAAGCCAACAGTGGTTTCCTTCAAAAGACAAACTAAAATGACAAATCCGTGGTGAGACAATTGAACAAGAGAAAGCACAATTAACAAATATCAGAAGGGCAAAGAAAATATGACCAGAAATGCTATAGACCTTTAAAGGATCTAAATGGAGATTGTGAATAATTTCATGATAGTAATTTTGAAAACTTAGGTAAAATATATTTCTAAAATGTATAATTTTTCAATCTGAAACAAGAAGTCAGAAGAACAAAACCAGTTTATAAAAATGACCCATTCCCTTGGATTTAGAAGGTTTGAATTATGTGCTAGTTATGGAGTCATTTTGCAGATGCTTGAATTCCAGCTCCACCATTTATTAGCTGTTTGGGCACCTTATTTAACCTCGCTAAATCTCAGATCTCTCATTTGGAAAATGAGGTTAATAATCACATCTCCTCCCAGGTTGTTTTAAGGCTTAAATAAGATAATCATGGAAAGAGCTTAGCACTGTGTTGGGCAATTAATGTCAGATATTATTTATAACATCTTCGTTGTCATCAGTCTTTCAAAGACTAACAGTGACATTTCAAAGCCTCCCTTACATTTATATTTCTGGCAATCTCCTGCATGTTTCTAACAGGTTTACTCTGTATGCTTGAATAATGTTATTCAACAAAAAATCATGCTTATTCTATTTTCATTATCCTTAAAAAGTATGTGATACTCACTGTCTCATTTAATGACTTGTTTGGAATTCCATTTGTAGATACTGTGTAATACTGCAGCCACTGTATTAAATACTGATTATACACAGAAGAAAGTATGGTTCTGCCATCTAGAACCTCATGTCATGTTAGGAATACAGACAAATATACATAGAATTGCAGAGCAAATTGGTAAGGGTTTACATGGAAGTAAATCAAAGTTTTATGAAAATATAGAGATTCATTAAAGTGAAATGCAGATGATGGGGTTGGAGCAAGAGAAGTCTCCCTAGGAGTGTTTTTGCCTTGCCACTATCTTTAAAAGTGAGTAGTAGACATCCTGACAAAGAAGTAGAAGAGTAGAGGGAAAAGAATTATAAATATGGTAAAGTATAAAAGAGTATGAGAGAATGAAAAGAATTACAAAGTACTAAGAAAAGAATATGGCATCTCTGGGATATTGCAAGTGCTTTGGTTTGATTACTTTGGATAAGATTACTTTAGCAGTTTTCTTTGGGGGGGGTTAGCCATTTGCTGTTTTATAGGATTCAAAAATATTTCATTTGTTTCTGTACAATGGTAATCTGTTTAGAACAGAAGAAAGCTTTGTGTTGATATAAGGTTCCTCCTTGAAGGTAGAATGTTTTCAATGCTGCAGTGAGATAGCTAGTTGACATCACTGAGTTAAGTATTCTCACAGGACTGGTCAATCTAGAAATCTGGGATTTTATTTGTTTGTTTATTTATTTATTTATTTATTTTATTTTTTGAGACAGAGTCTTGCTCTGTCACCCAGGCTGGAATGCAGTGGTGCAATCCTGGCTCACTGCAACCTCTGCCTCCCCAGTTCAAGCAATTCTCTGCCTCAGCCTCCTGAGTAGCTGGGACTGCAGGCGCCCGCCACCACACACTGGGCTAAATTTTGTATTTTTAGCAGAGACAGGGTTTCACCGTATTGGCCAGGCTGGTCTCAAACTCCTGACCTTGTGATCCGCCTGCCTTGGCCTCCCAAAGTGCTGGGATTACAGGCATGAGTCAATGCGCCCGGCTGGGATATTTTTTAAGCTGTACTAGGATACCAAACTCCAAAATGCTGCCAATTAGTTTCAAGTTAGTACTAAAATTTTTTAAGTTTATGTTTGCTGTCTTGGCAGGAGAAGGGGAAGAAGTGCCTTCATTATTTTTTCTTGCAAGTAAAGAATGGAGAAAAATAACTATCTGTATCTATAGTACCGATGCCTATGCATAGTACCTAGGGGTACTATGCAGCTCCCCTAAATAATTTCATGATCAACCTAAGAACAAATTACTGAAGAAATGGATTATTTATCATATTAATGGAATACAATCAAACTCAACATAAAGGTATATGAAGAACTGTTTCTATTAGCTTCATGAAATTTCTACTTCTATATCTGTTTTTCTAGACATGTGGTCAAAGCCAGTGATGGCACATATGTGCATATTAGAAAGAGTAAATTCTTATAAAGTGAAATAACACAAAACAGAAATAATTTTTATTCTTTGGCTCTCTAAAAACATATAAATATTTATGCTCATAGTAGATTAAAAAGTCCTAATGAATTGATAGATGTCTTCTATCAGTGCCCAGAAATCTAAGAATGATTTAAGTAATCATGTAAGTGAAATGTATTTTCTTTTGTTGAACAAGTCCTGTGGAATCGAACATTCTTAGAAATAAAGCAAAAGATAAATTAATGTGCATCAAATAACTTTCAAAATATAAAATATCTTTCATCCCAGTTTATCCCTGGGAACTCCAGGCTGCAGAGATTTCTCTTTGGCTAGAATGTTCAGTTGATTATTTATCTGCCCAGTGAAATTAATGGTTTGTCTCTTTGATCTCCAGGATGGTCTTATTTCTACCTTATCTTAGTTCTCTAATATTTCAAAAGCTACTATGAATTTGCCCCCTTAAATTTTTAAAAACATATTTCTTGTCCCAATAGAAGGCAAGACGTTAAACAAATTTATCACAGAGAATGAGGTAAAATACAAATACAGGCAAGAGGCAGCAATGCAGCATTCTACAAATGGCATGGCCTGCATAATCTAATGTAGCGCTTCGTATGTTGGTTAAATTTAATTGCTTCATATGAGTTAGTTTTACTTCTTCAACTAAATTGTACGGCTCTGAGGGCTGGAACTTTGAGAGATTTTTTCAACTGGCAGTTGTTTGTAGGGATGCAGAAGGGGAGATGGAAGCCTGGACTCTGGGCCTGTACCTGGACTTCATTCCAAGCTAATCACTGTTTTACATCTTCCATATTGGAATGCTTTTAAGAAAAAAACTAGTCCACTGGTAATGAAATTTTTAAAGGAAAGAGAAAGAAAGAAAAGAAAGGAGGAAGAAAGAAAGGAATGAAGAAAGGAAGGACCACAGTTCAAAGCTAGGAATGCAGCAGTGTAGTGGGTTGATAAATCATAACAGTTTATTATCCCGGCATCTTCATTTCTTGTTTCTCTTAAAGAAAAAAAAAGTTTTATTTTCAGAGTTAGGTGATGACTGGTTATTAGTTAACATTGGATAACTTTTCAAATGCTGTTAATTTTGTGGATTCTTACTGGTCCATACAATTTCATTTCGTGAAAGAGCTGTAAGTCTTTCTGGAACCTGATCAGAAATTCTTGGAATTGACTACAAAAAGAGCTTTTAAGTTGCTAAAGCTGAGAAGGGTGAGCGACATTTCACAGTAGAACTCCAGAGACAGAAACAACACAGTTGTTCTCAAAATAAGAAACAGTCCATAAACAAAATTTTCCAGTCATTCCTCCTTTATATCATTTAAAAACTGACCTTTCAGAAAAATTTCAACACGTATATTCAATTTCTCATGAAGCTGAATTTCTAGGACATTTCTTTTACCACATTCTTCTAAAACTCCCACAGATTTTTTAAAAATGTGTTTAATATTAATAATTCATGCTTGACATCCCCACTTTCTCCTCCATGTTTTTATCATCCAAAAATAAAAGGCTATCCATAAGGAATTATAGATTTTAGAAGAGAGCTTTGTAACTTGGAGAAATCTTTCTCTCTTTTTTTAATTCCAGTGAAACAAGAAAAAATCTTTTGCACTGTTGGCAATGACATTCCATGTTTATCCCATTACTAAAACAAAATATGAGAACCAAAAAGTAAACTTTGTCTTTGGTTTATAAAGTACTTTCGATTTCTCTTATGCATTCATTTAAAGAAAAATCTGTAATCTAGGCTGTTTTCTGCCTTCTGTCTTCAGTTTATAAAGTACCAAACTTCTCGTACTATTATATCTCAACAATGGTCATCATTTTGATTTCATTTTAAAGGTAAATGCAAAGACGACTTGTGAAATTAAAAATATCAGGATAAGATGATCCTGTGAATACCATTTCAGAATATGGATCCCAAAAAACAAATTTTAATAGACATTTGCTTATGTAGAAATAAGACATGTAAAAATCAGGGGGGAAAAGTGTCCTGGGCTTTAAAGGGAAAAGGAAAGACATTATCAGGAAAAGTTTCATTTTAATATGTAAGATCCAGTTCAGAATAATAAAGAAAGACTATATTGATAACCCCAGTTCTTGTCAAGCTCAGTATCTGGCCAACACTAAAAAATAAAGAAGTTAGCAATAGTCTGTTTTCCCTTATTTGACTTCAAGAAAAGTGGAAAATTATATCCTAAGAGCACATGAATGTGTTCTAAAAGGATATGCATGATTTTCTCCTCCTCAGTGTATTATAATACTGTGGTAAAGATATTTTTATGTGACAGAATGGGTGGAACAGAATTTCGCATCCAAAAATCACTGAGAACTTTTTGTGCCCTATTTTGTAATTCTTTAAAATAACTACCTTGTTCTCTTACCACAAAAACCTTCTCTTTGACTTCTTCATTGGGAACCTATTAAGATTTCTTCAGTATGTTTGGTGAGAGGGGAAACATTTCAATGTGTGATTCAGTCCACTGTTTGGAAACTTGGAATAAGAAGACAACACATTTTTATACCCATATAAATGCAATGTGGCTGACCAAGAAGCTGCTATTCTGAGTGTCAGAGACAAGTCATAGGATTAGAATATCTATGAGCTACTTCCGCACCCTACAAAAAGATATACTCTCCTTTATTTCCATGGTTCGGACTATCCTTTATTGAAAATGCTATCACTTCTTTTTAAATAAGCATCAACTCTTAGTCTTTATAGCATTTCTACAGAGTGGATTTGCATTCGTGTGAAGAGGAAGTGTATTTTATTTTTACTTACTCTAAGAGTAAGAGTTCCTTTTGTAGAATCCTTAATTTTAACTATTTCAATATTTAAGTTGTTTTCCAATTTTTCATGAAACAATCTGATGTTTTCCTGGACCTATTTCCAACAGATTAAGCATCAGCTTAGTGTGACCCTGAAAGGGTTTATATTTTTGATAATCTAAAATATCAGACCACTGCTTTCAGACCTCATTAGCACAGGAGCGGCATCCATGAAGCAACCAGAAAAAGCTACAGCATTTCTCCCAAGCATTTTGTACCCACTTGTTTTGTGCTAAGTGCAAATGTGATGATCCATTTGAGAATTAACTCTTCGATGGATAATACCCAGAACATGCTTTGCATTCTTTAGTTCTTGTTGTGGGTTATGGCATTTTGGTGATGCTTTGCTTTCTACAGAAACATCACAACAGAGTCAGAGAGTCTAGGCCACACACATAAACATTCTAGACATGCTTAACAGTGTTGACAGAGGCCACACAGGCAATGACTAAAAGGGCTTTTCAACATTGCACGCCTTTCATTTTAAGCCCTTTAATATTCCAACATTCCTGTGAATGAGATATAAATCATACTTATGAATGGAGCAAATAGGAAAACATGAATTTTCAAAAGCACATCGTCATGACAAAAGAAAAAAAACTGAGTCCTGCAATGAATTCCTTATTTTAATATATGTATAGACTTGTTCCAAAAAATAGCAGATTTCAGGGATTCTTCAAATATATCTTTTCCCAGATTAGACCTTTAAAACAATCCTTAAACATTTGTTAAGTAGACCTAAAAATATATTGTTACAGATTAAAAAAATGAAAAATTAAATTCACTAGTTATGGTGCTATGTAAAATTATGATGCTTTAATATAATTTTTCCCAGTGATTGCTTTGTCTGTTTCTGTAATATTATTAAGTCGGTCTTTGAATGCTTTAATATTTAGGGCTTGGACCCATTGGAAATAAATTCATAATGAAAAGAAATCACTTGCTTTATAATGCCTATTATTGGTATTTTTCTTTTTTTCTTTTGTCCTCAGTACATCTTAGGACCATTTCACATATGTTTATTCATCCAAGCCTAACCTAATGCCTTTTAGATCGTAAGCAGATTCACTAAATATTTATTGACTTTTAGTTTTAATTCAATTCCATTCAATGAACACTTATTAAACACTTGCTATAGATGAGACACAATACAGAGTGTGGTGGATCATTCAAAGCTTAAGAAATTGTTCTTTTCCCCAGAGCTTAGAATCTAATAAGAGAGGTAAGACATCTACAGAACAAATGCAGAATAAAGAATGGTCATTTGTACTTGTAATAGAGACTCAGTGTATGAGGGGGAACAGAGTGGAGAGAAGGATGCTTCCAGATGGGGTCATTGAGGACAGGTGTCATTTCAGATTTATTTGAGATGCAACTCCTGAAAAAGGCAGCAGTCAGAAAATGGGATTTCAGGTAGATTGCACAGCTGAGGCAGGAAACATTCGAGGCCTGTGAAAAGCTTGGGAGGCAGCTGATTTGATGCAAAGAGAGGTTTCATGATTAATGAAAAAGAGTAAGCTCATTTGAAAGCGAAGAAGGAGGGTCTCAAATGCCATGCTAAGAAGCTTAGAGTTGGTTCTATTAAAAAAGGGAAGCATCCGAGGGATTTGCAGAGAGAGAGGCTGCCTGTGCTTCAGGAAGATTTGTCTGAAATAAAATTAAATAAGGGGAAAGAATCAGAGCAAAACACTATTAAATAGGATATTCAAATAACTTAGGCAAATGGACATGGTGATATGACATGTTCAGATTTCCCATCTTACACGCACATACACACACTCCCTCCCTCTTCCTCAACCAAAGTCATCCTTCAACTACTTCCCTGGATCTCTTTCTTCTTCCATTCACAACCAAACGGAAATCATTTTCCTCACTTATCGTCTCCATTTTATCCTCCAATTTACTCCCTCAACTCCTTGAAACTTAGCTTCCCCGGTCACTATGCCAATAAATCTGCTCTTGCCAAATGCATATGTGATCTCCTTCCTGCTGAATCCAATAGACAGTTCTTAAAATACGCTTTCCCATTGGCTTACATAATGCTGAGCCTCCAAGTTTTCTTTTGACCTCTCCACCCACACATCAATTTCCACGTGGAGTTCTTCTTCCTCCACTTACTGTTTGGTGCTCCTCAGGCTCCTGTCACAGAAGTTTGTCCCTCCTAATTCCACTCAACCTTGTGAAGTGAGGTCAACCGCTCTCAGATCTCAGCTGCCATCTGTCAATGATTCCCCAATGTGTATGGCCAGCTGGGTCTCTCTAGCTTCAGAATCAAATATACTGGATACACCCTGTCAGTTTGGGTGCTCTGAGAAGCAGATGTCTAAGCTCTGAGAGAGTGTTGGCTGGGCCAGTGGAGGGCTGCAGGGCAAAGACTGCCTCTTTGAGTGTCCTGCTTAGGCAGAAAGGGCCTGGCTCCAGTACACCACCCTGGTCAGTTGTGGGGCGCCAGCAGCTCTTAAGAGCGTGCCCATGACATGAGTGCAGAGGTGAATCATGAAGGGGCAGTAAGTGTGCCTCTCAGCCACTTGCATGCCTCCTGCAGGTTCTTTTTCGCCTTTATCCACTCCCATGGCTGCCACTCCAGTCACTAACTCCCCAATTTGGAAGTTACATTGACGTCTTAAAGTCCTTTGTGTCTGTGTCACAGCACATTATTTCCCTATGAATCACACATCCCCCCAGACCTTCCTCTTCCTGTTCGCCTTGTCAGCGTTAGTATTTAGTTAAAAAAAAAAAAAAAAAATATATATATATATATATATATATATATATACACATATATATGTATATGTGTCAACATTTTCCTGGGCCAGAAAACTGGGTTTCACTCCTAGTACTTTTTCCAAATACTATTTAATTTCCTAGCTTTTCTCGAAGCTTATTAACACTTTGTTACCCCATTCAGGTAAGTTTTCTGAACCTTCTGACTTCCTTCTTTCAGTTTTGTCCCATTCCAATTCCTTCTCTACACTGCAGCCATAATGGTCTTTCTAAACAACATATCTGATTGTGTCACTTAACTGAGCGGAGCCCTCCTCTGATGCTCCATCGGAGTCAGTGGCGGAACTGTTTGGAGACAGATCACAGATAGGTAACAGCTTCTCCAAGAGAACCTCTGCCAGTCCAAAGTTAATTTCTACACTCCTCTACGTGGTGTCTACCTGGAGAGTAAAGTGAAGGGCTAGGAAAAGACTTGGCTCCCACGGTTCTCTATCGCTGATTTTTCTTCTCTGGGAAATTGAAAAGCCCAAGTTGCCAGATGACTTTTATCATCCTATTAATAATCCACAGCTTCTATGTCTTCCATGAACATTGCTCTGAGGTCAAGGTCCAGCCTTCTTAGAAGATACTACCTGAAGCTATGGGGTCTGGGGTCTGAGCCCATCTTATCTCTCCAGCATTATCTATGGCTACTTGCCACTTTAGCATACTGAATTCTTTCCAGTCTCTCTGCTTAAGAAATCGTCCCCACCACCACTCCCATTTCAACATCAGCTTTCATCTACCCAGCTTTTTCCTTATCATTCAAGTCTCAAGTAAAACTTCTGGGTATTTGGTTATTTTATGTTATCTTCCACTTTCCTTGTTATTGTATTTGTCAGGCTGTAATATTATAGTTGCCTCTTTATTGAAATTATGAAATATTCCAAGTATACTGAAACCTACACAAAATAACACCCATTAGCTATTTTCACATCTTAGTTATTTGTCTCTCTTTTTAAAGAAATACACCAGGTAAAATGAATAAAGTTGGTGTTACATATTTTGACAAAGATAAATCTCACAAACACGTGAGTAAGATTTTCTCTTTTCTTGTCTTCCTCCCTGACTAAACAGAAAGCTCTATAAGGACACAGGTAGGGTCTGTCATGTTGTTTTATGCCTTTGGTGATTTGCATACTATATGTTCAAAAATAATTTCAGATAAATAAATTAATGAAAGAATGAAACATGGAAGGAAGGAACAGTTCTGAGAGTTTTAACATAGAATTTATCTTCTTCAGTATGATCTGTCTTGATACCAACCTACCATTACTTTCGATGTTTCAGATATTGTTTACTGAGCAGGAAACTTGGGGCCACAGACTCTCCATGATAGAGGAAAACAAAAGTTGAAGTTTCAGTTAAGGTTGAGTAATAAGGAGAGTCAGCTCAAGTATCACTTTGCTTCTTGAAGCTTTACTTATTTCTAGTCTGTTCACTCTACCCATTTATTTTCATTTCCAAACTCCCACATCATGTAAAACTGAACACATCTTTATCTCTTTACCATCCCTTCCTCTGTAATAGCACTGAAGCAAGTCACTGGTTGCTTTTATTAGTATTTATGTCTCCCTCTACTGAAAGGCAAGTTCCTCATTGGTAGGATGTGTGCCTTGCTAAACTTAGTACGTACTCTAGAACAGGCAATAAATAGACATATTTGGATAACTAAAATAATTTGCATGTTAGGATTTCTTTCTGCACTACTAGGTCTCCTTAGAACCAATCATATGGGAAAAATAAACATGAAATCCTAAGTATTTGACTTAATTAAAATACTTTAATAAGACTTTTCAGCTGGATGCTAAAGAAATAACTGCACTAGAACATTAAAGTTCAATAAAATAGATACATAATAAATAAAGTGGTATACGAAGATGCATGTGACAAATTTAACTTAAGTTGGCCAGGGAAAACTTATAGATATCTGTAAATTTATATAAATATACATATATAATGTATCACAATTATCTATTTTATATCTATACACAAACCTTGCATTTATACAAATGATTTGTTCACATGCATAACAAAGTACATAAGCGGTTTTTCTTTTCTTTAAAAAAAATTCATTGTTTTGGCTTTAAAGGTGATAAAAATTAATGATGATTTTTTAGCTCAATTGGGAATCAGTACAAAGAAAAACTAAACTTAATTGGTTCAGCTTCTAAAAAAAAAAAAGGCTTATCATTGTTCCCCATTACACGTTGAATTAACTCTAAATTCTCTAGCGTGAGTCTCCAAAGACACCCTCCAATATGGCCTATTTTTAAAAATTATTTTTATTTTTCTTTTATTTTTGGAGAAAGAGTCTCACTCTGTCACCCAGACTGACTGGAGTGCAGTGGTGCAATTTCGGCTCACAGCAACCTCTGCCTCCCGGGTTCAAGGGATTCTTGTGCCTCAGCCTCCCAAGTAGCTGGGATTACACGCATGTGTCACCACATCCGGGTAATTTTTTGTACTTTCAGTAGAGACAGGGTCTCACTATGTTGCCCAGGCTGGTCTCAAACTCCTGAGCTCAGGCCATCTGCCCACCTTAGCCTCCCAAAGTGCTAGGATTACAGGAGTGAGCCACTGCACCCGACCATGGCCTATTTTTTCCTTACACATATTGTAGGCATTATGCTAAAATAATTTCTGTTCTGAAATATATATTATACTATATATGTACTGAGGATATTTTGTCTCTGCTCTTGACATTATTCTGCTATAGAATTCCTGAAAGACTTAAATAAAATATCACTTCTTCCATGTAGTCTTTCTTGGTTTCTGCAGCTGGAGATAAACTCTTTGAGACATTCCCAGGTGAGTTTTATGGTAGGGAACATTTGAAAAACACTGCTAATGTGTAATTTAGCCATTTTCGTAAAGTTTATCACTCAGAATCATTTCAATCTCGGCTGTATGCGGTGGTTCACACCTGTAATCCTAGCACTTTAGGTGGCCAAGGCGGGTTCATCACCTGAGCTCAGTAGTTTGAGACCAGCCTGGCCAACATGGCAAAACCGTCTCTACTAAAAATACAAAAATTAGCCAGGTGTGGTGGCGGGTGCCTGTAATTCCAGCTACTCGGGAGGCTGAGGCAGGAGAATCGATTGAACCCAGAGGGCAGAGGTTGCAGTGAGCCAAGATCACACCACTTCACTCCAGCCTAGGCTGAAGAGCAAAACTCTATCTCAAAAAAAAAGAATCATTTCAATCTTATTGATTTATTTGGTTTTTAATTTTCCAACATGTCATGAGCAATGTTTTTCATCCATTAGATAACAAAAAAAGCCTGCTCCAATTCAAAGTTATCATATATTGAATATCCATTTTGTATATATTTAAAATTATACAACAAAAAATAGGCATGAATAATAAAAACAAACATATTCTAGATAGTCGGGTATAACATTTGAGAAGGAGCATAGTGAGTTTGAAGAGCAAGAGAATCAGAGGATCTGGGTTTGGCTTTCAGATCTGTGGCTTATCAGTTTGTCATTTAAACTCTGACTTTAAGGCTTCTTGTCTCTAAAATGAACATGATAACATATATATATATTCTCTATCAAATGAGACAATGTGACAATGCATATAAAATTGCTCTGCAATCACATAAATGCTAGTTATCACTATAAAAGTAAGTGATTTTTGGAAGTTTATGAATCCTAAAGTTGAACATTTAATGGGCCTTAATAGTAAACAAAGTCCTTAAAATTAAAAATGGAAAGGTAAAAAGGATCTATTAAATGGTGAGACTGCCCATTTTTCATTCCTGCCAAATGTCTTCAAATCAAAGGCCTCTGAAAGGGTGGTGATGTTTACTAATTGGTGACTGAAGGATGCTTAGACCTTTCTGCTCACTCATTTTGCAAAATATTGGTCCGATATTTCTGGACCAAAAATTTGACATCTTCAGAGCAACTCCCAGTGTTATATTTGAGTAATTTCCTTAATGAAATTCAAAACTCATTCCCTTCCTTTCTCCTGTACTTTTTTACAAACCAAATATTTAGACAGACGCAATGCTATGGTTTGAACTGGCTGAATGTGTGTTAGCAGTTTTAAGCTTATTAAAAACTGCCATGAAAGGAAGAATGGCAAGGATGGGGTTAAATATTCTCAGCATAGATTAATGAAATCCCAAGACTTAGAAACACATAGAAAAGTATCAGAAATTAACTTAAGCCAAGCAGACTTTAAATAATACTAATAAATGTATTCAGTCTCAAAAAGAATTAACGTTCGGGAGCAGAGCTGGAAAGCCGCATAATCTAGTTGAGTAAGTTTGGCTTTAGGAATAAAAGGACGTCCAATCTTGTCCTGGCGAGACAGTGGAGGAATCCTGGGCAGTAGGGGACCTGTAATGGATGTTTGTGAAGGTGACCTAGAAAGGCTGATTTTCATTTGGACTTATGTTTTGAGATAGGAGGCTTAGATTGAGAAGCCAGGATGATGTAGTTTGATAGATCACTGCACATTTTTGTGGTAGAGACTGTTGGTGGCTCAGGATTAGGAAAACTTGTGCAAGGGAACAAAACTGGGAGTCTGGGAGAGTTATCTCAAGGTAGTTTAGGGCTATTCTGGCTCATTCAGGAGCCCAGAAACCTCAAGGACAAGTCTAGAAGTAATCCTGTACTAGAGTTTGCCTTTGAATATAGAGAGGGTACTGATTCTTACAGGTTTTTTGCTTATACAAACTGCCATCACATCATGTGATATTCCAGGGGCAAGGGTAAAATTGTTCTAACTTAAAAAAATTAAGGCAAAATTTATATAATATAAAATTAAACATTTTAAAGGGTACAGTTTGGTGACACATAGTGCATTCACAATGTTCTACAGTCACTACTTCCACCTAATCCCAAAACATTTTTATTATCCCCAAAGAAAATTCCATAGCCATTATGCAGTCACTCTGGATTCCCCGTACCCCTCTCCCTGGCAATCACCAATCTGTTTCCTATCTCTATGAATCTGCCTATTCTGAATATTCAATATAAATGGAATCATATAACATGTGACCTTTTGGGTCTGGCTTCTTTTATTTAACATAATGTTTTCAAGATTCATGCATATATAGTATATATCAGTATTTTATTCTTTTTTTGTGACTGATGTTCATATTTCATTGTATGTGTATGTAATAATTTTTTTATCCATTCATCCACAGATGGATATTTGGAGGGTTTCCATATTTTAGCTATTGAGAATAGTGCTGCTGTGAACATTTGGGTACCAGTTTTTGTTTGATCTAGTACCACAAAGATTTGATTACTGCAGCTTGGTAGTAAGTTTTGAAATTGGGAAGCATGAGTCTTCCGACTTCATTCCCCTTCTTCCATTTGTATATATATTGACTGTTTGGAGTCCCTTGCAATTCTGTATGAATTTAAGGATCAGCCTTTACAATTCTTCAAGTAAGGTTTTTGGAATTTTCATAGGGATTGCATTAAATGTGTAAATAGCTTTAGGCAGTATTGCCATCTTAACAACATTAAATCTTACAATTCATGAATGTGGAATATCTTTCCATTATTTTGGTCCTCTTCAATTTCTTTCTGCAATGTTTTGTAGTTTATAACAGACAAACATTTTACCTCCCTGGTTAAATTTATTCCTAGGTATTTTATTCTTTTGAATAGTGATATAGTTTGGCTCTGTGTCCCCACTCAAATCTTGTGTTGAATTTTAATCCCCCAGTGTTGGAGGAGGAGCCTGGTGGGAGGTGATTAAATCATGGGGGTGGACTTCCCCCTTGCTTTCCTTGTGATAGTGAATGAGATCTCACGTAATCTGGTTGTTTGAAAGTGTGTAGAGCTTCCGCCTTCTCTTTCTCTCTCCTGCTGCCAATGTGAAGACACGCTTGCTCCTCCTTTGCCCTTCCGCCATGATTGTAAGTTTCCTGAGGCCTCCCTAGCCATGTGTCCTGTACAGCTGGTGGAACTGTGAGTGAATTAAACCTCCTTTCTTTATAAATTACCCACTTTCAGGTCGTTCCTTATAGTAGTGTGAGAATGAACTAATACAGATGGTATTATAAATGAAATTATTTTCTTAATTTTCTTTTTCAAATTGTTCATTGCTGGTGTGTAGAAACACAACTGAATTTTGTGTTGATCTTGGACTCTGCAACTTTGATGAATTGTCTTATTAGCTCTAGCAGCTTTTTTGGTGAATTTTTGGGGATTTGCTATATATAGGATCATGTTATCTTCAAATAGTTTTACTTCTTTTCAAATTATTTTCTTGCCTAATATCTTTGGCTAGAACTTTCAGTACACTGTTGAATAGCAGTGCTGAAAGTAGCCTACTTCTGTTTTTCATAATGTTAGAAAGAAAGCTTGCTGCCTTTCATAACTGAGTATTGTGTTAGTTCATTAGGGCTGTCATAATAAAATACCACAGACCAGGTGGCTTAAGCAACCAAAACTTATTTTCTCACAATTCTAGAGGTTGAAAATCCAAGATCAAGGTATCAGCAGATTTGGTATCTCTTGAGGTTTCTGTCCTTGGCTCAGAGATGACAACTTCTTACTGTCCTCACGTGGCATTTTCCCTGTGGGTACGCATCTCTGCTGTCTCTTCCTCTTCCTACACAGACACCAGTTCTATGAGATTAGGGCCCCACACTTAATGGCTTCATTTTACCTTAATTGCCTCATTAAAGGACCTATCTCGAATAGAGTAACATTCTAGAAAACTGGGGTTTAGGGCTTCCATATATGAATTTTGGAGGTACACAATTTAGTCTATTACAAGTATAATATTAGCTGTGGGATGTTTATTAATGTCCTTTATCATGTTGACAAAGTTCCCTTGCATTCTAAGGTTTGCTGAGTGATTTTATCGTTGAATTTTATCAAATGCAATTCTGCATCAATGGAGATAAGCATGTACTTTCCCCCCTTATTCTATTGATGTATTACAATATGGTATATTACATTGATTAATTTTGGTATTTTTGAACCCCGTCTTGAATTTACAGAATAAATCTCACTTGGTCATGTTGTATAATCCTTTTAATATGCTGTTGAATTTGATTTCCTATTATGTCCTTAAGAATTTTTCACCTATATTTATAAGAGATATTGGCCTGTAGTTTTGGATTTTTTTTTCTTGTTCTTTGTCTTAGTTGATATCAGGGTAATACTGAATAAAATTATTATATTACTGAATATATGACTGATTATATTACTGAATCTGGCCTCATCGAATAAGTTAAAAATTATTCCATTCTCTTCTTTTCGGTAGGACTTGAGACAGGTTGGTATTAATTATTTAAATGTTTGGTGTAATTCACCAGTGAATCCATCTGTCTCTGGATTGTTTTTTTGGTAGGATGGTTTTTTTTTATTATTACTGATTTGATCTTATTACTTGTTATCTTTAGATTTTCTATTTCTTCTTGAGTCAGTTTTGGTAATTTTGTTCCTCCAGACATTTTCCCACTTCACTTAGGTTATCTGATTGTCATACAAATTTTACTCATATACCCTTAAAACAGTCTTTATTTCTGCAAGCAGGCTTAATTTATGAAGTGAATTATATTGAAATCCACTGTGTGCAATGACTGCATATAGAATAACGTGTTATACTGATATATTGGAAATCCTGCCTCAGAATGGGAGTGCCTGATAATCAAGAGCTTACGCATTTTTTGCTTAGCCTCCGGTTTCCTGGGACATTTAAGTAAAGTGTTTCCATGGAGCAAAACAATATTTCTCTTCATCTCATCACAGATGCATGAAAGACTGAACCCCAGGATATCATGAAGAATAAGATGAAATAATAAAGTGGAAATAATGATAATGTCTGCCATTGATGGAGCTTTTAGTATATTCTAGGCAGCACACTAAATACTTTATTTAATCCTCAATATGATTCTCAGGTGGTACAACTTTTATACCACATTTACAAATGCAGACCAGAAAATTGAGCCTAAAGAGAGTTTAGAAACAAGAGCTTAAAAAGTTTTAAGGAGAACAACAAAACTTTTCCAAGGTCACAGAATAAGGTACAGAGGTAAGCCTTGAACCCAGGTCTTTCTGTCACCAAGGTCTGTCTTTCCTTCCAAGTGATTATACTGAAGCAAAAGAAATGAGTCATAATAGTTTCCCACAGTTTCTGAGGAATTTGACATTGATTTTACATAGAAAGAGTAAGTTTCTCAATGTTCTCAATGACTAGGTTTGATGGTGAATACATTTGAATTATGATTATTTCCTGCCTACAAAAAGAGCAAAGTCACAGGATTTTAAGGTTATGGACATGCTTGAGACACTCTGGAAAGAATCAAAACATTTTATAGCCTAATAGCTTAGTTATTACCAGGTTAAAAAAAGTTTATGAAGTTCTAAAAATTTCAGTGTAACACAAAAGCACATGAGGTAAAGTGGAAAAACAAATCTACCATATTTCAGTCTTTAATGACCTAATAAGGTTTTTATTATTCCAAAGTGGATTTGCTTAGCCTAATAAATCCAATAATCTATCTAAAAGGCTCTTTAATTTTCCCCTTACACCTAAGCAATAAAATAATCTCTATCTAAAAATAAATATGTTAAAAGGAGATAACAGCATTTTAAAAAAGAAACTAAAAGAGGTTCATCATGTTCATAAGTCTCAATGGTCTTTCTGTAGACATTTACAAAATAATTTGTTATTTTTGGTGTAAGGGTGGAAATTTTTTAAGTCTTGGAACTGAGAATCCTGCTAGCTAGCACACACTTAATTTTACAAGTGAGGAGGAAAGGATGATTGCAATTAAAAAATCCAGGACCATTACAATTTGTAACATTTAGTGCTTGATTTTAAGTCATTGCCATCTCATTAAAATGTTAAATTTGTGATGCACACCTGAAATGATAATGCAATAACTAAAACAGTATTATAATTTGACATTAAATCAAAAGCAAATAACAGTAACATGAAAAAATATGCATGAGAAAACACAAAAGAAAAAATGTCACTTTATAGCTTTAGGCTTCGTAATTTAGCACTTAATGAAACTTCTTTCGTAGAACAGATGAAAGACAATTAGATTTGTATAAAATATATAAAAGTCCTGTTCTCTTTCTTCAAATTGTTCTGAATCTAATTAGAAGATAAGACAAATTGCTCTAGGCAGTTATTGATGAAGATGGAACTTTGTTCTGTCAACTGAATGTGTAAGAGTAAAATCCTGATTTCTGAGACATAATTATTGAAATTTCTTTTATGTAAATCATTCTCCACAGGAATCATAGAACAAAGATGATGGTAACTAGGTAGAAGGAAGTACAATTTTTCCTAGAAATTCTTCATGCTTTCTCCATTCTTATGGTTACTGAGAACACATGGATGTTCTCAGAACATAGCTAATCATAGTTAAAACAGTGATTCTGAACTCAGATTTTCTGGTTTGGTGCCTGTCCTTGCTACTGAGGTGTGATCTTGGGGACATCCCTTAACCTCTTTCTTTCTCTGTTGTTTCATCTGTAAAGGCGACAATAATATCTACTACATAGAGTTGTTGAGGGGATTGAATGAGTTATGTTAACGTTTTAGAACATCACCCAGTGCTTCTGGTAAGCACCCAGAAATGTTAGCTGTCATATTATTTTTGTCTAAACTACCTCAATGATCTTGTATTAAGACTCCCTGGTGCCAGTCTTATTCTTCGTCCATCCATCACCTGTAATTGACTATGGTAATCTTTCTATAGAAGGATAACAGCCAGGTGACCTCTCTGATGGACATTTAAATCTTTCCATTTTATTTTTTTATTTTTGCTACTTCAAATATTACTGAACAAGCATGCTGTGTATGTCGTCTTGAGCACATGCTGAGAGTTTTATGCAGGCTATACACAGCTATAAGTAAATTATTGACTCATCAAATATGTACATCTTCCTGGCACACCCTGTTGTCTGCATAATTTTTCTTCACAGCATTTATCTTCATCTTACATTTTTTACACATTCATATCTCTTTTAAATGTTCATATTTTGCATATATAATATTTTATATATTTACCTTACTTTTTTTTTCCTCAATGCAATGTGCACTCTAGAGGCAAGGACTTTTTGTCTATTTTGTTCAATGCGAGGCATGATGGATGATGGCAAACATGACAGCATCATGCAGCCTGGATAGAAAAGACAGATTTTACTGGGAAAATATAAAAGCCCAGCATCAGCAAGAGGAAGCATACAACCCCCAATTCTCTCATCCCTTCACAGAAAGGCATTCAGGACCCTGCTCTACACACAGTGGCACTACGCTCCAGAGGACTGACTTTGGTTCCTTGTCATACTGCCTCTTTTTCTTAAAGTGGTTGTACAATTTTATCTGGTATGAGAGTTCCAGTTGCTCCATATTCTTGCTAATACTTGTTATGGTCAGTTTCATTCGCGTCCGTGTGAAGAGACCACCAAACAGGCTTTGTGTGAGCACCATGGCTGTTGATTTCACCTGGGTGCAGGCGGGCTGAGTCCAAAAAGAGAGTCAGCGAAGGGAGATAAGGGTGGGGCCATTTTATAGGATTTGGGTAGGTAAAGGAAAATTACAGTCAAAGGGGGTTTGTTCTCTGGCAGGCAGGAGTGGGGGTTGGAAAGTGCTCAGTGGGGGTGCTTTTTGAGCCAGGATGAGCCAGGAAAAGGACTTTCACAAGGTAATGTCATCACTTAAGGCAAGGACCAGCCATTTACACCTCTTTTGTGGTGGAATGTCATCAGTTAAGGTGGGGTAGGGCATATTCTCTTCTTTTGTGATTCTTCAGTTACTTCAGGCCATCTGGGCATATATATACGTGCAAGTCACAGAGGATGCGATGGCTTGGCTTGGGCTCAGAGGCCTGGCATTCCTGCCTTCTTATATTAATAAGAAAAATAAAACAAAATAGTGTTGAAATGTTGGGGCGGCGAAAATTTTTGGGGGGTGGTATGGAGAGGGAATGGGCGATGTTTCTCAGGGCTGCTTCAAGCGGGATTAGGGGTGCTGTGGGAACCTAGAGTGGGAGAGATTAAGCTGAAGGGAGATCTTGTGGTAAGGGGTGATATTGTGGGGTTGTTAGAAGAAACATTTGTCGTATAGAATGATTGGTGATGGCCTGGATACGGTTTTGTATGAATTGAAAAACTAAGTGGAATAACAGAAGGAGAAAAACAGGTATAAAGGGTAGATATCAGCTGTGATGGCTTGGAGAAACAGTGTAAACCGGCAGTGTAAACAAGAGCAGGGCATGTATGAGTAGTTGAGAACAGTGAATAGGAGTATGACTAGACAAAAGATAGTAGGGATGACAAGTTTTTTTGGGGCACAGTCTAAGTTGGTCTGGTGTCAAATGAGACTGGGGCCTAATAAAAAGGAGCATCTATACAGGAGCTTAAATGGGCTGTACCTTGTAGCATTCTGAGGACAGGCCTGAATTCTGAGAAGCAAAAGTGGTGAAAGTATTGTCCAGTCCTTTTTAAGTTGGTGGCTGAGCTTGGTGTGGTGTGTTTTTAAAAGACCTTTAGTCCGTTCTACTTTTCTTGAAGATGGAGGACCATAAGGGATATAAAGGTTTCACTGAATACTAAGAGCCTGAAAAACTGCTTGGCTGATTTGACTAATAAAGGCTGGTCTGTTATCAGACTGTGTACAGGTGGGAAGGCTAAACTGAGGAATTATGTCTGACAGAAGGGAAGAAATGACTGCGGTGGCCTTCTCAGACCCTGAGAAAGTGTCTATTTAGACTAAGAGGTATTTTAGTTTCCTGACTCAGGCATGTTGAGTAAAGCTAATTTGCCAGTCCTGGGTGGGGGCAAATCCTCGAGCTTGATGTGTAGGGAAGGGAGGGGGCCTGAATAATCCCTGAGGAGTAGTAGAATAGCAGATGGAACACTGAGAAGTTATTTCCTTGAGGATAGATTTCCACGATGGAAAGGAAATGAGAGGTTCTAAAAGGCGGGCTAGTGGCTTGTACTATAGCATAACCTGCCTTTGCTGGTGTCTGGCGATTAGGCCTGGTGGAACCGCCATCAATAAATCAAGCGTGATCAGGGTGAGGAACAGGAAAGAAGGAAATTTGGGGAAATGGGATGAATGTCAGGTGGATCAGAGAGTTACAGTCATGGGGGTCAGGTGTGGTATCAGGAATAATGTGGGAGGCCGGATTGAAGTCCGGACCAGGAACAATGGTAATTGTGGGACTTAAAGAGTGAGTACAGCTGAAGGAGCTGGGGAGCAGAAAGTATATGCATCAGGTATGAGGAAGAAAATAGATTTTGGAAGTTATGAGAAATGTAGAGAGTGAGTTGAGCATAGTTTGTGATTTTTAGGGCCTCTAACAGTATTAAAGCAGCGGCAGCCGCTGCACGCAGACATGAGGGCTAGGCTAAAACAGTAAGGTCAAGTTGTTTGGACAGAAAGGCTACACAGTGTGGTCCTGGCTCTTGTGTAAGAATTCTGACCGCACTAACCATGCCTAGGAAGGAAAGGAGTTGTTCTTTTGTAAGGGATTGAGGTTTGGGAGATTAATCGGACACGATCAGCAGGGAGAGCACGTGTGTTTTTATGAGAATTATGCCGAGATAGGTAACAGATGAGGATGAAATTTGGGCTTGACTGAAGTAATGGGGGCTGTCTGTGAAGCCTTGTGGCAGTACAGCCCAAGTAATTTACTGAGCCTAATGGGTGTCAGGGTCAGTCTAAGTGAAGGCAAAGAGAGGCTGGGATGAAGGGTGCAAAGGAATAGTAAAGAAAGCACGTTTGAGATCCAGAACAGAATAATGGGTAGTAGAGGGAGGTATTGAGGATAGGAGAGTATATGGGTTTGGCACCACGGGGTGGATAGGCAAAACAATTTGGTTGATAAGGCGCAGATTCTGAACTAACTTGTAAGGCTTGTCTGGTTTTAGGACAAGTAAAATGGGGAAATGGTAAAGAGCGTTTATAGGTTTTAGAAGGCCATGCTGTAGCAGGCCAGTAATAACAGGCTTTAATCTTTTTAAAGCGTGCTGTGGGATGGGATATTGGCGTTGAGTGGGATAAGGGTGATTAGGTTTTAATGAGATGGTAAGGGGTGCATAATCGGTTGCCAAGGAGGGAGTAGAGGTATCTTATACTTGTGGGTTAAGGTGGGGGGATACAAGAGGAGGACGCAAAGGAGGCTTTGGATTGGGACGAAGGGCGGCAATGAGATATAGCTGTAGTCCAGGAATAGTCAGGGAAGCAGATAATTTAGTTAAAGTGTCTCAGCCGAATAAGGGAACTGGGCAGGTGGGGATAACTAAAAAGGAGTGCTTAAAAGAGTATTGTCTAAGTTGGCACCAGAGTTGGGGAGTTTTAAGAGGTTTAGAAGCCTGGCCGTCAATACCCACAACAGTTATGGAGGCAAGGGAAACGGGCCCTTGAAAAGAAGGTAATGTGGAGTGGGTAGCCTCCGTATTGATTAAGAAGGGGACGGGCTTACCTTTCACTGTGAGAATTACCTGAAGCTCGGCGTCCGTGATGGTCTAGGGGGCTTCCGAGGGGATTGGGCAGTGTCAGTCTTCAGCCGCTAAGCCGAGAAGATCTGGGAAGGAGTCAGTCAGAGAGCCTTGGGCCAGAGTTCCAGGGGCTCTGGGAGTGGCTGCCAGGTGAGTTGAACAGTCCGATTTTCAGTGGGTCCCACACAGATGGGACGCAGCTTAGGAGGAATCCCGGGCTGCGGGCATTCCTTGGCCCAGTGGCCAGATTTCCGGCACGTGTAGCAAGCTCCTGGGGGAGGAGGTTCTGGAGGAACTCCTGGCTGCTGTGGTTCAGGCGTTTGGAAGTTCTTGTGTGCTGGAGATGTGGCTGGGGTTTGTCTCACAGTGGAGGCAAGGAATTGCAACTTTTTTCTGTTATTGTACACCTTGAAGGTGAGGTTAATTAAGTCCTGTTGTGGGGTTTGAGGGCCAGATTCCAATTTTTGGAGTTTTATTTAATGTCGGGAGCAGATTGGGTAATAAAATGTATATTGAGAATAAGGATGACCTTTTGACCTTTTAGGGTCTAGGGCTGTAAAGCATCTCAGGGTTGCTGCCGAACGAGCCATGAACTGGGCTGGATTTTTATATTTGATGAAAAAGAGCCTAAATGCTTCTGATTTGGGATAAAGAAAAAGGAGCATTAACCTTGCTATGCCTTTGGCTCCAGCCACCTTTTTAAGAGTAAATTGCTGGGCAGGTGGGGGAGGGCTAGTCACGGAACGAAACTGTAAGCTGGACCAGGTGTGGGGAGGGGAGGTGATAAAAAGATTATAGGGTGGAGGAGCAGAGGCTGAGGAAGAATTGGGACCTAGCTCGGCCTGGTGAGGAGCAGCCTGGGGAGGAAGGGAGAGGTCAGATGGGTCTGTAGAAAAGGAAGATTAGAAAGACTCAGCGATGCTTGGGGTTGGGACTGAGGGGACAGGCAGGAGGGAAAGAAGGAAGATTTGGGATGAGTTGCACTGGGCACAGAGACTAGGAAGGGACTGATGTGTAAAAGAATGCCTGGACATCAGGCACCTCAGACCGTTTGCCTATTTTACGACAAGAATTATTTAGATTTTGCAGGATGGAAAAATTCAAAGTGCCATTTTCTGGCTATTTGGAACTGCTGTCAAGTTTGTATTGGGGTCAAGCGGCATTGCAGAAGAAAATAAGGCATTTAGGTTTTAGGTCAGGTGTGAGTTGAAGAGGTTTTTAAGTTTTTGAGAACACAGGCTAAGGGAGGAGGAGGAGGAATGGAAGGTGGAAGCTTGCCTATAGTGAAGGAAGCAAGCCTAGAGAAAAGAGAGAGTAGAGAAATGGGGGGAAGGGGTTCGGGGGTTCTTACCTTCCAGAAAAGTGGGAAAAGGGGTTGGGGTGCAGAGATAAGAGGTCGGGGTGTGGAAATAAGGGATTGGGGCACAGAGATATAAGAGGTTGGGGTTCAGAAATAAGGGATTGGGGCACAGAGATACGAGGCTGGGGCACAGAAATAAGGGATTGGGGCACAGAGATAAGAGGTCGAGGTGCAGAAATAAGGGATTGGGCACAGAGATAAGAGATCAGGGTGCAGAAATAAGGGATTGGGGCACAGAGATAAGAGGTTGGGGCATGGAAATAAGGGATTGGGGTGCAGAGTTAAGAGGTTGGGGCGTGGAAATAAGGGATTGGGGGTTCTTGCCCTGTAGAAAAGTGGGACTTGCCACTAAGGGTGAAGGAGAAGGGGTTGAGGGGTACTTGCCCCTCTCCCAGAAAAGCAGAGAAGAGGTAGAGACAAGGAGAGAAGGGGTTGGGGTACTTGCCCCTTCCCTAGAAAAGCGGGACTTGCCGCTAAGGGTGAAGGACCAAGGCAGGTGTCCCTGCGTGGTCTGACACCCTTGAAACAGGGGTGTATAATCAGAGAGGCATCCCTGCAATGATTAAACACCAAGGGAAGGCTGCCTTCCCAGTCCGTGACTGGCGCTGGAGTTTTGGGTCCACGGATAAAACTTGTCTCCTTTGTCTCTCCCAGAAAATGAAAGGAATTGAAATTAAGAGAAGGGAGAGATTGAAGAGTGGAAAGGAGAAAGTTGTTGAGGGACAGTGAGAGAGGTTGGAGAAGAGAGTAAGAAGAGGCCGCTTACTTGATTTAAAATTGGTGAGATGTTCCTTGGGCTGGTCGGTCTGAGGACCTGAGGTCATAGGTGGAACTTTCTTACGGAGCAAAGAACAGGAGTACAGGGGATTGATCTCCCAAGGGAGGTCCCCCAATCCGAGACACAGCACCAAATTTCATGCGCGTCCGTGTGAAGAGACCACCAAACAGGCTTTGTGTGAGCACCATGGCTGTTGATTTCACCTGGGTGCAGGCAGGCTGAGTCCAAAAAGAGAGTCAGCGAAGGGAGATAAGGGTGGGGCCGTTTTATAGGATTTGGGTAGGTAAAGGAAAATTACAGTCAAAGGGGGTTTGTTCTCTGGCGGGCAGGAGTGGGGGTCACAAGGTGCTCAGTGGGGGTGCTTTTTGAGCCAGGATGAGCCAGGAAAAGGACTTTCACAAGGTAATGTCATCACTTAAGGCAAGGACCAGCCATTTACACTTCTTTTGTGGTGGAATGTCATCAGTTAAGGTGGGGCAGGGCACATTCACTTCTTTTGTGATTCTTCAGTTACTTCAGACCATCTGGGCGTATATATATATACGTTCTTGGCGTGTATATATATATATACGTGCAAGTCACAGAGGATGCAATGGCTTGGCTTGGGCTCAGAGGCCCGACAGTCAGTCCTTTTAATTTTAGACATTCTAATAGGTATCTAGTGGTTAGTCGTATCTCATAGTTTTCATTTGCATTTTTTAAAATAATTAATGATGTTGAGCACGTTTCTATCTGAATATCCTCTATGGTGAGATGTTTGGTCATTTGACATTGTCTTTTAAGTGCAAGACCAGGGACAGTTTTGTATGGGTATAGTAGTCAACATTCAGGGCTACGGCACCAGCAGCCTCAGTATAGGGAACTGTCCAATAGCACCAGGCAGTCTTATGGGAAGAGGCCTTCAGGCTGAAGAGGGAGGGAGGCCTTATTCTATATTTCCTATGGAAAGTTGAGTTCACTGGTTGAGTTCAGGGGCAGCCTCTCTCACTAAGGAAGTGGAATGGAAACCACTGTCCCTTCACTTAGGGAGATAAAGCCCCAAATTCTGTGGGGTTTACTGCCAGACAACCTGAGATTCTTAGGGTAATTCAGCAGGCAATCCTACTTGTCTCTCCTCAAGTACAATGTAAAAAGTTAATACCTTACACTTTCATCAGCTCACATTTTAGGAGGGGCAGATGGTCAAGAGGAAGATTTAAATTATAATAACAAGTATAACTATTTTCACCAATATAAGTTGCCAATGTGACTAAGCCCTGAGCTAAGGTTTTAGGCATATTATTCACTTAATCTTATAGAAACAATAGGAGATAAATATTATTAACCTCATACTACATGAAAGAAAACTGAGGCTGAAAGACATTAAAGACACTGACATGATTTGGATCGGTGTCCCCGCCCAAATCTCATGTCAAATTGTAATCCCCAGTGTTGGAGGAGGGGCCTAATAGGAGGCAATTAGATCATGGGGTGGACTTCCCACTTGTTCTCGTGGTAATGAGTGAGTTCTCATAAAATGTGTTTGTTTAAAAGTGTGTTGAGCTTCCCTTTCACTCTTTTCCTCCTTCTCTGGCCATGTAAAACGTGCCTTCACCTTCTGTCATGTTTGAAAGTTTCCTGAGGCCTCTTCAACCATGCTTTCTGTACAATCTGTGGAACCATGAGGCAATTAAGCTTCTTTTCTCTATGAATAACCCAGTCTCAGGTATTTCTTTATAGCAGAGTGAGAACAGACTCATACATAATTTAAGATGTCACAGCAGCTTCCCATTACAATTTTAAATTAATATTTGAACCCAGGTTTGTCTCCCTTCAAAGTCCATGGCATTTCTAGAATGATACCACAGTGTTCTACTTCAATGCACTGCAGAATAGACAGTTTGGGAAGAAGTTATTTGAAGATAACAAAGGTTAGAGAGAGAGAGAGAGTAAATGAAAGGGGAGCTAGATAGTAGAAAGATGTAGACTTAGTCCAGTCAAATGACTTGTCAATTTGGATTTTACTCCTGTGGCATTGTGGAAAGACATCAATAAGTAAAATATCAAATTTTAAAATATTATGACATACCATATTTTTCATGTTTTCAGTTGGTACGTCTAGGGCTAGGGCAGAGTTATTAATACTGTTTTGGATTTTTATATAACGTGGACCACTGCGACCTTTCAGATTTAAACAAGATATTCTATGGAAGCCCAACAAGCTCCCTGAGGTTTAAATAGAAAAATGAGAGACGTATATTTTCATGTTTATCTTTGCTCATCTTTACTCCTAATCTTGATTTTTCTTGATGTTCCGACACACACACACAACAAAACTTACAATCACAGCATGCATTCTACTTCTTTAAATATTGTTTACAACTTTCTAACTCCTGAGGTTTCCCATTCCTTCTATATAGATTGAATGGTCTGTAGTTATTTTACTGGCTATCCCCTTTTTATTTTCTTCCTTTCTCCTCTCTCATGCTTCTCTTGGAAGCAAAAGCAAATTCCTTTCCTTTTTTCATGCAGAATAAATTAGCAAGCAGTCACTATTGGCTTCCTGGGCCCTGACTAACATTCATGCCTTCAGGATTTCATCTTCTGTTGTAAGTAGCTTTTTAGGATTTTTTTAAAAGACTGTCCTACTTATATTAGCTATCTAGCATCCCCAAAACTAGCAGCTTAAAACAATAAGCACTTATTAACTGACATTTTCTGTGGGCAGGAATTCAGTGCAGTGTAGCAGGGTAGTCTGGTTCAGATAGGTCATGAGGCTGCCCACAGATGATTTCTAAGGCTATGCTCATCCAATAGCTTGGTGGGGGCTGAACTATTCACTTTCAAGATGGTACCCTCATGTAGCCATTTTCAGAAGCCCTCACTTGTTTGTTGGCTTTGGAATGAGATTTCAGTTCTTCCAATAGAAATAACTACATAGTGTTGGGTGAGTGTTCTCACAGCATGGCAACTGATTCTTCCCTTGTGTGTAATACAGAAAAACCAAGGAGGAAGCTACAGTGCCCTCTAGGTCTTACTCTTGGATGCTTCACACCATTATTTCTGCTGTATTCTACTTATTAGAAGCAAGTATCTATATAGCCCAATCTCAAAAGGAAGGAAATTGACTTCCACTGCTTAAAGAAAGAAGTATCAAAGAACTTGTAAATATATTTTAATACAATCACACTTAAAATAAATTCTCATACTAAGACGCGTTTTTCATCTCATTACATAGAAACAATTTTTTTTTTACAACTGAGTATAAACACTTATAGCAATAGCTATCAATGTAAATACTGAATTGAATAGATAATTTGCTTTGGTCGAAAGTGGGGTTCATTTTGCTGTAGGTGACATTCAATAAATATTGCATAGACTCTTTGCAAAGACTTTGCTTTATGCGTTCTTTAGAGAGTTTTGTCAGGGCAGCAAACATTTCTCACTAAATACCAACAATGTTGAGTGATAAGCAAATGTCTAGTGCAGTAACCATAGGTCATGTTTTATGTGGCAATGATGTTTTTCTAATTTTGCTTATTTGTTTAGTATTTGTTTTGATTTTTAATCTCCTCTTGGATGTTGACAAAGCTTCTTGTGTTAGAAACAAATGTTCGAGACAACTTTCACAATTGCTTAATGATTTCATTTATCAACTCCTGATTTTGCTTTAAGGTAAAAAATAAAATTAGGGTATGTGTTCAGTTTAGTTAAAAAAATCAAAGACAACTATTTCAGTCTATCCAATGTGATAATCATCATCCCTTTATTTTCCCGAAGAATATGTTACTAAATGAATTGAAAAGTGAATAAAAACCAGTCTACTAATTAGTTGTTTTGCTATTATTAAGCCCCCAAAATATTAACTTGACTATTTCTGTTTTTTAAGTGAATTAACTCGATGTTTTGACATGAAATATAAAACATTTTCTCTCTTAGCCCTCTGGGATGAAATTACATTTAAAAGAACTGGATTTTTCAAATCTAGTTCCATTATTGGTGTATAGGAGTGCTTGTGATTTTTTGCACATTGATTTTGTATCCTGAGACTTTGCTGAAGTTGCTTGTCAGCTTAAGGAGATTTTGGGCTGAGACAATGGAGTTTTCTAAATATACAATCATGTCATCTACAAACAGACAATTTGACTTACTCTCTTCCTATTTGAATACCCTTTCTTTCTCTTGCCTGATTGCCCTGACCAGAACTTCCAATATTACGTTGAATAGGAGTGCTGAGAGAGGGCATCCTTGTTTTGTGCCGGTTTTCAAAGGGAATGCTTCCAGCTTTTGCCCATTCAGTATGATATTGGCTGTGGGTTTGTCCTAAGTAGCTCTTATTATTTGGAGACACATTCCATCAACACCTAGTTTACTGAGAGTTTTTAGCATGAAGGGGTGTAGAATTTTATCAAAAGTCTTTTCTGCATCTATGGAGATAATCATGTGGTTTTTGTCATTGGTTCTGTTTATGTGATGGATTACGTTTATTATTTGCATATGTTGAACCAGTCTCATATCCCAGGATGAAGCAGACTTGATCGTGGTGGATAAGCTTTTTGATGTGCTGCTGGATTCAGTTTGTCAGTATTTTATTGAGGATTTTCACATCAATGTTCATCAGGGATATTGGCCTAAAATTTTCTCTTTTTTGTTGTGTCTCTGCCAGGTTTTGGTATCAGGATGATGCTGTCCTCATAAAATGAGTTATGGAGGATTCCCTCTTTTTCTATTGTTTGGAATAGTTTCAGAAGGAATGGTAGCAGCTCTTCTTTGTAACTCTGGTAGAATTGGTCTGTGAATCCATCTGGTCCTGGGCTTTCTTTGGTTGGTATTAATTACTGCCTCAATTTCAGAACTTGTTATTGGTTTATTCAGGGATTCGAGTTCTTCCTGGTTTAGACTTGAGAGGGTGTATGTCTCTAGGAATTTATCCATTTCTTCTAGATTTTTATAGTATTCTCTGATAGTAGTTTGTATTTCTCTGGGATCAGTGGTGATATCCCCTTTATCATTTTTTTGTGTGTCTATTTGATGCTTCTCTCTTGTCTTCTTTATTATTCAGGCTAACCGTCTATCTATTTTGTTAATCTTTTCAAAAATCCAGCTCTTTTTTGAAGGGTTTTTCGTGTCTCTGTCTCCTTCAGTTCTCCTCTGATCTTAGTTATTTCTTGTCTTCTGCTAGCTTTAGAATTTGTTTGCTCTTGCTTCTCTAGTTCTTTTAATTGTGATATTAGGGTTTCGATTTTAGATCTTTCCTGCTTTCTCCTGTGGGCATGTAGTGCTATACATTTCCCTCTAAACACTGCTTTGAATGTGTCTCAGAGATTCTGGTACATTGTGTCTTTGTTCTCATTGATTTTAAAGAACTTGTTTATTTCTGCCTTAATTTTGTTATTTACCCAGTAGTTATTTAGGAGCAGGTTGTTCAGTTTCCATGTAGTTGTGCAGTTTTGAGTGAGTTTTTTAATCCTGAGTTCTAATTTGATTGCACTAAGCCTATCTGAAAGTGAGGCCACGTACCCACATGGCCACTTCCATGGTACTGTGTTGTCACTGTGTAACAGATCTATGAATAATGCTGTAAGCTAATCTTGCTGAGAAATCTCAGGGCCTTAAGTGATGATTAACTTTCCTATGGCCAGATGATGAGCACAGTCAGAATTGAACTCCAGAATTTCTGACTCATCTTTGCTGATGAGAATTTTCACTTTGCCTGTTCATGTTGGAAAAGTCTCTCCTGCGTGACTAATAAAGGCTGTGAGGAATGCCATATTCTTCTGTGGATGGCTTCCATCAGGGGGCTTTGTCAGCCTTCTTGGGGTTGTGGGATTCAGAAAGAGCCACAGAACAGCTGCATAATCCTCTTAAGCGTCACAGGAGAGACTCCCTTATAATACTAAGCCATGATATTTAATTCATCAGTAATAACCGTTGGGTTCAGAATACACTTACATTGTTTAACCAACATGATTTCAAGGAGTCTCAGAAAAGCATAATTACTAAGTTCTAATCTTTCAAACATATCTCTGCAGGTTGGGCTGTAGATGTCAACATAATAGCCTTTTCATATTCTGGGAATGTGTATGTGTGTGTGCTTGGGTGTATGAATTTCAATAGTCAATTTATATTCTCAAGTTTATTTACATCTTTTTTTTTCTGATGACAGAGAAAACTGTTGCTATGGGAATGTCAAGGAAAATAAGAATTCCAAATAACTAAAAGGAAAAAAAAACAAACCAGAAGACTCTAAACAGCTCAGGTGAAGGAGCCCCTTACCTGCTGGAGCTGTGTGTGTGTGGTGTGATGGTTAAGAGTGTGGCCTCCAAGGTTATACTGCTGATCTGGATCCCTGGCCCTAGCTGTGTTACCTGGACAAGTCACTTTATCTTTCTATTCCTCATGGGCAAATAGTGATACAGTAGTACAAAATCTATATAAAATTCTTAAAGCAGAGTCTGGCACACCGTATATTCTAAATAAGTGTTATCTATTGTTATTACATAGGAAAACAGCAGAAAAGTCGCTATTTAATAGCTACTTTAATTGTTGACCTTTTTAAATTTCTCAAACTTTGAAAGAGTTCAGCTTAGATTATGCAGCCAGGACTTTTGGGAACATTTCCTGCCGTGTGACATGACTTCAGGGATGCAAATGAGGGCTGTGTAGTGATGGCTTATCTTCCTAGCATCGATCTTGAAAGAAAAACCTTTAATGGGTGGCAAAGTTTTACTTGTTAAAAAAGTTATTGAAAATAACCTGGACAAGATTCAAATCCACATGTTTTTATTTCTAAAGTTTTGTATCTAAGGTTGGCGCTATCTTTTGAAGCAGTTGCATCCTTTATATTGGCTCCTGTCCTTACCAATCCATTTATGTATTTTAGTTGCTGTTTTGAAAACACACAACGAAAGGAGCCAGAGGCTGAAGCAGAGAGACAATTAGGAGATGAGATTGTGATAGCTGGGGCCAAGGTAGCTGCAGAGGGGCCATGAGAAAAGGCCAAATTCTGAACATGTGGTATTTGAGGTTAGACATAATGAGATGTGATGATGGATCCACTTTGTATGTGAGTATAAGACAGAAGTCAAGATAACCGATTTGGGTCTGAGAAGTTGGGAGAAAGGAGTTGCCTTTAACTGAGACAAGGAAGACTACAAGATAAAGTGGTGTTTGTTGAAATGTGTGGAGCACAATTTAGGATATTTTACATTTGAGACATTTTTTGGACATCAAATTGGAGATGTCAGGTAGTCTGATCAGATAAAATACAGGATGATCAGTGAAGTTAAAATTTCATATTTAAAAATTGTTCAGTGTAAGTATATCCTAGATATATAATGGTACATACTTATACCAAAAATTATTCATTGGTTGTCCAAAATTCCCATTTTACTAGGTATCTTGTATTTTATTTGTTAAATCTGGCAACTTTATCAGCTAGGCTGTAGGATAATGGGATGGTGTTGCAGGCTGGAGCCATCAACGTAAAGATGATCTTTAAAGCGAGGAGACTGGGTGAGAGCATCACGGGAGTGAGAATGGACAGCAATGTAAAGTGATCTAAGGATTGAGTCCTGGGATTCAGTGAAGAGGTTAGATAATGAGGAGAAACAGTAAAGGATACTAAGAAGGAGAGGATCGAAAGTTAGAGGAAAATCATGTGTGTGTGCCAACCCGAAAGCCAAGTGGAGAAATGGTTTCAAGTGGAAGCCATCGATGGCGTCCAATGCTGAAAATAGGTGACAGATAATGAAGATGAGAACTAAGAAGGGATCTGTCAAAGAAGATATCCATAATGGTTTTGACAAAAGAATTTTTGGTAGATGAATGAGGGATCCTCACCCAGAATATGTTCCAAATTCTTTTAGAAATAGCAAGTTGAGAAAATTCTTACAAGGGGTTTTATAAAGTGAAGACAAGGAATATAGTGTCAGCTGGAGATGAAAATGAGGTTAAAAGACAATTTTTTAAGTAAAATATATGGGAGAAATAACAATGTTTGAATGCTGCTCAGTATAATTCAAAGAGAGAGAAAACTGAATGATGCAAGACACAGAGGGGATAATTGCTGGAGAAATGTCCCTGGAGGGAATGGAATTTTGAGAGCAAATGAAGGGATTGACCTTGGATAGGGATACGGAGAGGTCATCCATAGTAACTGGTGATAATGTGAAGTTGATGGTACAGGAACAAGGAGGTGAGTAGAAGCGGTGGTGGTATTTAACAGAAGTTCTCTTTTGATCACTTTTGTTTTCCCAGTGAAGGAGGAAGCAAGGTAGCACTTTGCTGAGAGTGAGGATTAATGAGGAAGTGGAAGAGACTCAAGTCCCTTTATTTCTTATCTGGAGTTTCATCTTTTCTGAATTTGTTTATTCCTCTGTTATAAAACATATGACTTTCTATTGTCTTTCCATCTTGTTTGATGGTATATGTGTTCTATTTCCCCTTAATTTGTAAGTTCTCTGAAGGCAGAGTTCATACAAGTTCGGGTGTGAATTCTCATGCCTTAATCATAGCAGACAATGAAGACTTATTAAGAGAATCAAGTCTTTAAAAAATGAAATGCAGAATAATCCCCAAAAACTCTTTTAAGATTTTAAAATCCTCATACGCTTGAAGATCCACTGTATATTATAGAAAATTCAAATAAGTAAACCAATTATTTTATTCGGTAGTTATGAAAGTATGGATTATAGAAAACTGTACAAAATGTTAGCAATATGTACTGAACAAACCACTCCAGTGTGCATAGAATTGTTAAATAGCATACACATATCAATTATGGTTCAAAGTAAAAGGACAGATTCTTGAAATACAGCCTTATAAATTCCAAACTAAGCAGTGTATTCTACGTAGAACTTCAAATACAATTTACTAATAAGGATTTTTTTTTAAGTTGCCAATTATGTTCTTCCAAAATATTAACCAGGTGAAATTATGTAGATATTTCAAAAGGATAGGAAAGTATAAATAGTTATTCTCAAGAATTCAACATACATTAGTGGCTAAAAGTGTTGATATGCTAACATATTTACAAACAAAATAATAGATTATTATATTTGGTGAAAAGATTAGGCATTAACTTCAAAAGTCTGTATAATTATGGCTCTGGTTTACTTTAGAGTATATGTTTAAGCCCACAGTATGCAAATTAAAAAGATATTATATTCAGTGTTTATGTAATTGTGTATTTCCTCTAAAATTATAGTGAAAATATCTATAATTAAATAAATGCTCTCTTCAGTTACTGAGAAGTCTTATAATCTTTTTGCCTCTGTAAACAAAGGCCTATTTTAACATCCTTATGAAGTTTAGCTACTGATGATAATGCCACACATTTTTTACTATATTTTAGAGGGAAGAAATACTAATTAACTCTGCAAAATGAATTACCACATGAATATATCAATCTTCAATAATTAATCATAATACCAATGTTAGTGATAATACCAATCCAATATTACAAATAAGCTAATTGTCTTTTTAAATTTACATATTGTGCCTTTAGTGCTAAAACTGTTTCAGATATTTCTAAACATAAAATGAATCCTTAATTATTTTTATAATCAAATGACCTATCTTCCATTTGCTCATATAGTCCCAATAATCTCAAAGAAGCAACTACATCTGGATCTATTTTCACACTATTTGATGTAACTATTTTCAAAAGAAAAGCCAGCTCAATAAAATAATTACTCAATTTAAAGTCTAAGTTTATTATAAACAGCAGACTTGCAAACATTTGACTGCTAAGAACCATCAGCCCTGTTCATTTTATTCCTTTTAGCTTCATTTTACTTGTAAATGCATGCTTTTCCTTTCTGAAAAAGAATTTTTCCTTATTATTACCATTTTTTAAATCAGGAAAAATTAACTTTATTCATTTTTGCTATTATATTAGCCTGAAACTTCACATCTTAATATATACGGCATATATTATTTTTAAATTTCCAACATCTGTAATATACCCACCAACTATGCTTCCCTTGGGGACCTGCCATTGTTCAGTGGCTGCTTCCTTTCTTCCCTCACTATAGAGGTGAGAGCTGCTCCACCTTCTTTGATGGAAACTATTTAACTGAAGCTGTGTATTGTTTCTGCTTTCCATGACTAAGACAGAACTAGAGAATATTAGAGCTGGAGTGGACTTCAGAATCCATCCTGTCCACCCATCTTGCCTTATGCCTGAGGAATGAGATCCAGAGACGGAATATAGCTTGACATACACAGCTCAGTAGTGAGAGAACCAGGACATGATTTCAAATCATTTTCTTTACAACTGTATGTTCACATTTTTATGTGCTTCAGCTAAAATTTGCTTTCCCATTTCCCTTCTGCATGAATTGCCGAAGGTCATTCTTCTTTAGCTCTCCACAAAGGATTTTATGCTCGGGTATCATAGTGTCTATTTCCTTTGGATCATATCCATGCCTATGGATGTGGCTTACATCTTGCATGAATGCCATGTTGTCATGCCAGTCACCTCCCAGTGACCCATGTTTTGCTTTTTGTTTTTTTCCCCAAAGCGTATACTATCTAAGCAATGGGGTTATTTACTTCTCTTCTGTGTCTCCTTAGTACCATGCATTATCTATGGCAGTCCTCATTACTCTGGACTGTCATCATTCATTTGGTTGCCTGTTAGTCCTTAGAGACAAAGAAAATATTTAATTTAACTCTATATTTTTAGTGCCCAGGAAGGCTCTTAACTTGTTTTTTGACATTGTCCAAAGGCCCAGCACAGCCATGGGTCCAGAAAACTGTCTTGATCATGAAAACTTCTCTTCTTTCTCCCATCTTTCCTCCACCTCAAGGCCTCAGACTTTGTAGAAAATCAGGCAGTTATTTTGCTTTTGCAACAGAGCTGATTTTGGAGGTCGCCAGAGTGCTGGTGATTACTTCCTTAAGCTTTTCTCTCAGCATCAATTTAGAGACTCCAACCCCAGAAGATGTTCCAGGTAGGAAGAATCATGGAGGAGTCTGGTGGTGAACTGTATTCTGGGAAGTATCATCTCCACCGGTGTTGTGTCAAGTAGAAATCGATACAGGTGATAGATACAAAGGAAAGTCTTTAAATGTATTTTCCAATTGGGCATACATGTCAATTTGTGTTTATCACCTTTCTTCCATATTGATAATAACTTAATTCTCACAATCTCATGCAAGATAAGAAACAGACCTGATCTGAACCAAAGAAGAAACATTAATTCTCTCTGTAGCTCTGGAATTAGGCATAGACCAATTTGTAAACTGAAGACATCAACATGCTTTTAAAAAGATTTTGCTCCATTTATATCTATTTTGCCAGCACACGGAAATAAAAACTTTCAGAAATAAAGTAGCCACATCATTCAAAACAGTGTTCCTTAAAGGGTGGTCCACAGGAAGGAAACATTTAAGAGGTTGTTAAAACTACATATTTCTGGGCCACCACCCCAAATCTGCTGAAGCCTCATGAAAATAAAAGCACAAAATATTAGCACATGGTGATATTGCAATGGCAACCTGGTGTAGGGGAAGAAAACCACGTAGAGAATGAGGAAAAGTGAATTCTTATCCAGTTTTCACCATGAACTAAATATGACACCTGGAAAAGTGGCTTAACCAACCTGGACAACAGTGGAGAATATGCTGGAGTGTATGTTCTGGAAAGGAATTTGTTGGAGAATATGTTGTTAGTATCCTCACTATAGTCTCTGATTCTTTCATCCTCTTATGAAAGTACATTTTGTAGTTAGTTAATTATGTTGTATTCCCTATTCTAATTACTTTAAGTTTCCTAAGCATCCCATGGCCTCTTGAATATAAAGGAATGATTTTTTATGTCTCTCAGGCCATCTTTCAGGATCTTTAAGGTTAAAACATTTAATGTGACTTGAATTTTCACTGTGTACCAGATGATTTTACAGCTAAAACCTCAACAATTCTGTAAGGTAGTTTGACAAAATCTCCTTTTTAAACAAAAGGGCAATCTCATCCAATCAAATAGGTTGTACAAGCAAACTGCTTACATAATGTTCCCCTTCTACCCAAATGTTGTTCACAGTAGGATCTCAACATCTTTTTGACAGGCAATAGAAGTGCTAGAGCATGGAAACCTGCAGACACCTGCAGGAAGCGGACTTGCTGGCATTATAACCATTCTCTGGAGTGGTTGCAAGAAACGATTGACGAGAACTGGAATCCGATCCACTGGCCAAAGTTAAGAGTATATGTCACTGTACATTCTTTTTGGAAAGAGAAATTGCCTGAAGTCAGAATTTAAATCAATTTTTTATATGCTACCCCATAATAGTAAGAGTTTTTGTTAAGTAAGTTACTAAATATCTTTTTAAACAACATACAGAGTTTGCTCATCTTTTACTAGGCATTGAAAACATGACAAATGATATATCAAGCTTCAGGAAATCATCAAAAACACAGATACTATTTTTGTATAAAGATTGCTATTAATTATAATATCAACAATGAAAACAATAGCAATCCAATTAGCTCAATTCTGGCATGACAAGGACCCTAAAGATACCTAGAATATTACAAAGAATATTTAGTGGCATTGGAAAACAAGTTATAATATTATTTGTATCTCAATTGCCAATTGTCCATAAGTATGAGCCTGAATTTTTAAATGTATATACATAGAAAAAAAATACATTAAAAAATGCTAACAACTGTTATCTCTAAATTTTAGATAATTTAAAATTTCTTTCTCTTTACCTTTCTAAATATTCACAATTACTTAGAATGAATAGGAAATATTTCATAATCAGGAAGACATGTGTGTTCATTTAAAGAATCTCTTCAAGGAATGGGAAACTACTTATGAGAAAGTAACTGGGAATTCAGTTAGCAGTAGTTGGGATCCTAGGAGGATATATTGAAGAAAATCAGTGATTAATGGCAACACCAATTAGTGATAATTGCAATCCATCCGTTTGAATAAAACTAGGGAGGAGACATGTCCTTCCACATTAGGGATGTGCTAGGAGCTTCCACACTGTCATGTGGCAGGAAGCAGAGAAGGGAGGAAGATGACATTCTCTTTTAGGGAGAAAGGAGAGGGGATCTATCATTGGAATCTGTTTCAAAGGATTTGGAGGTGGGCACAATGAGGTTGAGACTGTGCATCGGATCCTGGTGTTGGCATTTTTAGCAAGGCTAACCTGGAGCATGTGGCTCAGCCCAGACCTCAGCTTTCTCATGCACCCCTCATCCTTTCCAACTGCAGTGTTGCCTGGTCTCAAATCCTTGATGCCCGAGAGTGGCTTTCTGTCAAAGTGAAATATTGAGCCATAAACTGGAATTGTACATCTCCCTCTCAAAATATGTGACCAACAAATGGGATTAAAATTATGTTGGCAAATGTGGGTTATAATGATTTTACCTATTGGGAGCTATTCATCTGTATGTTGTTTTTATCATTTCAAATGTTATTTGTGGAAGGAGAATGTGATTATTTGCCAAGATCTACATTATGTCATTTGCCCTGTTCTATAAACAGATTACACATACCATATAGATATAAGCATAGGCTGTGGTTAGCTAATTATAGTTAATGCAAATGCTCACATATGTACAATTCATTTTAAAGGGATTAGTTATAAGTGCCATATTTTAGTTAGAAGGACTTTTGGAAATACCTCATCATAGCAGGGCACCAGAGCCACTTACGCTTCTTTTTTTTTTTTAAATGAACACAAACCATATGGAATATGATATAGAAATCTAATTTTTGAAAAAATACCCACTAAGTATAAAATATACTGTGAGATTATTTGGCGAAAGTGCTAATCTATATTACAAATAGGATTTGTCCAGGTATACTTGTTGCCAAAAGAAAGCATTTTTTATTTAAAATCTAGTATTACAAACTGTTTCCAAACACATTCATTTGATTAATAAAGGTTAACAGTGAAGCACAGCATTGGCCCTCACAGCAAATAATTCAGATTAAAATTTCAGTATAAAAGACTTTTGTTTCTTAGAGAAAGTTAAAATAATCCCATCATGCTCAACAAATGCAGCATTTCTATTGTTCACACAAATTTCTGATCACCATGGCAGACGTTTCTGCTTACCTACTCAACGTCTATTTCCCATTCAGTTTTTGTAATATAACCTGATTTTCAGTGAGGCTGTACGTAGCCAGCTGCAAATTGCATTTCCTAACCTCCTTTGCAGGTAGAAGTGGCCATGTGATCATTCTGGCCAATGAAACAAAAGTGGAAGTTTCTGGGAGAGACTTCAAGGAAAACTCTTTAAAAGAGACTCAATTCCATTGGTAAACAACTTTTGTTCTTCTACTTCTTCCTACTTAATATGCTGGTTTTAGAGAATCCAACTTGTGACCATAAGGCAACAGCCATGCATATGAGTGCTGCACCATGGACCTCTGAACAGAAAGTTGGAGGGAGTCTGCCTGCATCACTGATGGTATTACAGAGTCCCCGATACCAGTTCTAAGCAGCTTAGCTCTGAGCTCCTTGTTTCACAAAACTAATACCATTGATTCAGTGCATTCCTTAATGATAAAAGTACAAATTATGATTATTAGCTGAAGTTTGCTGTTTGTAGATGTTGTCAAAGGCTCTTAAAAATGGTCCATTTCTCTGCCTGTGTTTGTACCAGCACCATGCTGGTTAGGTTACTGTAGCCTTGTAGTACCGTTTGAAGTCAGGAAAAGTGATGCCTCCAGTTTTATTCTTTTTGCTTAGGTTGCCTTGACTATTTGGGCTCTTTTTGTTTCATATTAATTTTAAAATAGTTTTTTTTTTCTAGTTCTGTGAAAAATGTCATTGGTAGTTTGATAGAAATAGCACTGAATCTGTAAATTGCTTTGAGCAGTATGGCCATTTTAATGATATTGATTCTTCCTATCCATGAACATTGAATGTTTTTTTAATTTGTTTGTCTGTTCCCTGATTTCTTTGAGCAGTGTTTTGTAATTCTCACTGTAGAGATCTTTCACCTCTCCCCTGGTTAGCTGTTTTCCTAGGTTTTTTATTCTTTTTGTGACAATTGTGAGTGGGATTGCCTTTGTAGATTTGGCTCTTGGTTTGGCTGTTGTTGGTGTATAGGAATGTTAATGATTTTTGTTCATTGATTTTGTATCCTGCAACTTTGCTGAAGTTGTTTATCAGCTGGAGATCAATGGAACAGAATAGAAAGCCCAGAAATAAGGCCACACATCTATGACCACCTGATCTTCAACAAAGCTGACAAAAATGAGCAATGGGTAAATAACTCCCTATTCAATAAATGACGCTGAGATAACTGGCTAGTCATATGCAGAAGATTGAAGCTAGACTCCTTTCTTAAACCATACACAAAAATCAACCCAAGATGGATTAAAGATTTAAATGTAAAACCCAAAATTATAAAAACCCTGGAAGACAACCTAGGCAATACCATCCTGGATATGGGAACAAACGACGTTTCATGACAAAGATGCCAAAAGCAATCACAACAAAAGCCAAAATTGACATATGAGATCTAATTAAACCTAAGAGCTCTGCACAGCAAACGAAACTATCAACAGAGTAAACAGACAATATTTAAAATGGGAGAAAATTTTTGCAAAGTATGCACCTGACAAAGTATCTGTGAGGAACTTAAATTTAGAAGAGAAAAACAACCCCATTAAAAAGTAGGCAAAGAACATGGACACTTCTCAAAAGAAGACATACATGCAGCTAACTAGAATATGAAAAAAGTTCAATATCACTGATCATTAGAGAAATGCAAATAAAAACTACAATGAGATACCATCTCACACCAGTCAGAATGATTATTAAAAAGTCAAAAAATAACAGATGCTGGTGAGGTTGTGGAGGGATAAAAACACTTATACACTGTTGGTGGGAGTGTAATTTAGCTTAACCATAAGGAAAGCAGTATGGCAATTCCTCAGAGAGCTAAAAGCAGAACTATCATTTGAATCAGCAATTCCATTACTTGGTATATACCCAGAGGAATATAAATCATTCTACCATAAAGACACATGATGCAAATGTTCATTGCAGCACTATTCACAATAGCAAAGACGTGGAATCAACCTAAATGCCTATCAATGACAGGTCGGATGAAGAAAATGTGGTACATATACACTTTGGAATACTATGCAGTCATAAAAAACACGTGATCATGTCTTTTGTAGGAACATGGATGGAACTGGAGGCTATTATCCTTAGCAAACTAATGCAGGAACAGAAAACTAAATACCACATGTTCTCACTTATAAGTGGGAGCTAAATGATAAGAACACATGGACACACAGAGGAGGAACAACAGATGCTGGGGCCTACTTGAGGATGGAGGGTGAGAGGAGGGAGAGGAGCAGAAAAGATAACTATTGGGTACTGGGCTTAATACCTGGGTGATGAAGCAATATGTAAAGCAACGCTTGTATGGATGGATCACCAGGTCAAGAGTTCAAGACCAGCCTGGCCAAGATGGTGAAACCCGTCTCCACTAAAAATACAAAAAAAATTAGCCAGGTATGGTGGTGGGCACCTGTAATCCCAGCTACCGAGGAGGCTGAGTCAGAGAATTGCTTGAACTTGGGAGGCGGAGGTTGCAGAGAGCTGTGATCATGCCACTGCACTCCAGCCTGGGCGATAGAGCAAGACTCTGTCTCCAAAAAATAAAAAATAAAAAACCAACGCCTGTAATCCCAGCCCTTGGGAGGCCGAGGGGGATGAACCACCTGAGGTCAGGAATTTGAGACCAGCCTGGCCAACATGGTAAAACCCCATCTTTTCTAAAAATACAAAAAATTAGCCAGGGGTGGTGGCACACACCTATAATCCCAGCTACTTGGGATTGGGAGGCCAAGGCAGGAGAATTGCTTGAACCTGGGAGGCAGAGGTTGCAGTGAGCCAAGATCATGTCACTGCACTCCAGCCTGGGTGACAGAACGAGAATCCGTCTCAAAAAAAGGAAGAAAAAGTTGCATTTCCCAGTGAAACTCTTTTTTTGATGAATAAAACGGTGTTTGAGTGACTCAGAAGAGTAAATAGCTTCTTCTTCATACACTTCGTGCATTGCTTCTTTGGCTATCTGGGAAGGCTTTTTACTTCTGAAGAATGCTTTTTAATATTACAGAGTTATACTCTTCTTTATAAGCCATGGTTTCTTAATATAAACATCTTTGGATGGTCTTCATGTGTTCTAAGGTTGTATATTTGCTCCAGTATTGTATGAGCAATTTTAATGCCAACAACTGGTGTTTACCATGAGAGTGTGGATGAACGTTCTTGTTTAAAGAAAAGAAGATCTCAGTGGTAACCAAGATCTCAGTGGTAACCACATATTCCATTCTATAAACAAAAGTGTCTTATAAATATTTCCATCGAAATCCAGTTCTAATATGGAGCTTATTGAACCTAAAACATCTGAATTATCATATCTGATTCATGACTTAGTTATGAAAGCCCAGAAGGTTAATGAAGTATCAAAATTATGTACATATATGTTTTGTTTTGTTTTATTTTCTTAAGATGGAGTCTCTGTCTGTTGCCCAAACTTCCCAGATTCAAGTGATTCTCCTGCCTCAGCCTCCTGAGTAGCTGGGACTACTGGTGTGTGCCTCCACGCCCAGCCAATTTTTGTATTTTTAGTAGAGACGGGGTTTTGCCATGTTGGCCAGGCTGGTCTTGAACTTCTGACCTCAGGTGATTCGCCTGCCTTGGCCTCCCAAAGTACTGGGATTACAGGCATAAGCCACCGCGCCGAGCCCATACATGGTTTTAATTTAAGTACACTTTGTTCAGTACTTCCTTGGAGAAATTAATAGATACTACAAAATGGAGATAATGGCCTTTATCCTACCCTATCATAATTATTACATGTTATATAACTTCTTTCAGATTAAGGTAGACGGGAGGTAGGTTTACAAACTAAATAAATTCTGAATATCTGTATAATAATGGTTTTCTTCTCTTTTCCGGAAATACATATTGGTTGATTTTTCAATTAACTCATAATGTTTCCTCTAATTTTAATATTTTTTTAAACTGAGAGTGTCATTTACAGCAACATGAATGGAACTGGAGGCCATTGTGTTAAGTGAAAGTGCTAAGTGAAGCCAGATACAGAAAGACAAACATTGCATGTTCTTACTCACATGAAGGAACTAAAAAAGTGAATCTCATGGAGATAGAGAGTAGAACAATAATAGATACTGGCAGCTGGTTAGGGTGTGCCTGTGGGTGGGAGGGGTTGGTTAATGGGTATAAACATACAGTTAGTGAGAAGGAATATGTTCTAATGTTCAATAGCAGAGTAGCATGATCATAGTTAACAGCATATTGTATATTTCAAAGTTTCTAGAAGAGAGGACTTGAAATGTTCCCAATACACCCCAAATACCCTAACTTGATCATTATACAGTGTATACATATAACAAAATGTACATATACTCCATAAATGTGTACAAAAACTACTATCAATAAAAAACTGCTTTGTCCACCATATTTAATCTCCTAATAATTTGTGCAATTGTTTATTACCATCATCTTTAATGAACATTTTTTATATAATTGGATAGTCTTGGTAAGTGATAAGAGTGGTAACCTTACAACCAAAAGGAGGAATTTAGGTATGCATCCCTTATTTATTATCAATATTTTGTTGTAGGACTTTCTCCTTAGTTCAGCTGAAAGCCAGGTTCTTGTCACACGGCCATGAGAGATTAGGCTCACAGACACTTTGAAGGGTGAGAGAAATGGAATTTATTGGGCAAAAAGGAAAAAAAGGGAAACAGGGACTCTCAGCAGGATAGAGTACTGCTGGGATAGGCTTCCCACCTAGCAGATTGAATTCCAGGTTCCACCCTGGAACAGGAGAGGCCAGGCTTCTCCCTCCATGCAAACTGCACAAACTTCTTGAGGCTCCAACCCGGTGCACACTCCTCCCAATGCACAGGCCAGTTGGAGTTTTTCTGGGGACCCCTTTACACTTGGCTATCTCAGTTTCATTATTCAGGGTTCTTTTTATCTACTAAGGGCACTATGGTGAGCAATTTTTAAATGCCACATATAAATGTGCTAGGTTAATAGTGGGAGTAGAGAGGGTGTTTGGAATTACCAAACAGATACGAAAAGCATTAACCTTTAAAAGCTTTTATTTATGTATAATATCTTCTATAAACAATACACTCCACCTGAATCACTTAAAATATATTCTATTACCATTTTTATGCTGTTTCCTAGAACTTGTCTAGAATTGTAATTTTATATTTGAGTGGGATATAAATGCTAAATGTTTTGAAATAAAGCCTTACAACCTGAGTATTAAAACCATGTAGGAATAATTATGAGTCTGACATCCCTAGGAACAAAACATACTTAAATCAATATGCAAATTATCTCTTTATAATAATCTGCATAATGAAGAACATTATAATTTTTCTTATTTTCACACAGCCGTTAACAAACCATCTGTATGCCTAATATTGATGCTGTCTTTCCCTAGTGTACTGGACAACCTAAGACAGGGAAATAAAGATAAAGTTTGGATTGAAGAGTGAGGTAAGTTTTAACATCATCAGACAGACAAATCATACATATAACCTTGAGTTAAATACCACACTTGCTTGTGGATTGTTGAGCATCAATTCTTCAAAACAGTGTCTGCTCATTTAATGAGAATTCATATTCTATCATGAAAGTTCTCGATCTTGGTTATATGTTTCCTCTCTTATGAACTTTTTAATCTTATTTTAAAACAACTTTATTGAGGCTTATTTTATATACAGTCTCTTGCCCCATAGTGATGTTTCAGTCAAGGATGGACCGCACATTCCAAGGTAGTCCCATAAGATTATACTGCATTTTTAGTATACCTTTCCTGTTGTTTAGCTGTTTTTTCTGTGTTTTGGTACGCAAAAACTACTGTGTTACTATTGCCTACAGTATTCAGTACAGTAACATGCTGTGCAGGTTTGTAGCCTAAGAGCGATAAGCTATGCCATATAGCCTAGGTGTGTGTGTAGTAGGCTGACCATCTAGATTTGTGTAAGTACACTCTATGTTCTTGGTACAGTCAGTAAATTGCATACTGATGCATTTCTCAGAATGCATACCCCCCATTAAACAACACATAACTGTACCACAAGTGCATGCATTTTAAGTGTACAGTTCAATGAGTTTTTACATATATATGGACTCATGTAACCACCCCCTCAATCATGAAATAAAATATCTCCATTATGCCAAAATGTTTTCTCCTGCTTCTTTGCAGTCTTGTCCCAGGCAACCATTGATCTTAAAGGAAATCAGACAGACACTCTTTTGTGTCTTTGTCTTTTTTCCCTTTAGTATGATTTTGAGATTCATCCACATTTTTACCTGTATCAGTGGTTTGTTCCTTTTAACTAAACAGTATCCCATTATATGAATAAACCATCATTTCTTTATTAATTCACCTGTTGATAGACATTTTGATTGTTCCCAGTTTTTGGCAATTATGAATAAAGCTGCTATGAACATTCATATACAAATTCTTGTGTGGGTGTGTGTTTCAGTTTATCTTGGGTAAATACCTAGGAGGGAAATTGTTGGATCACATGGTAAGTGTGTGTTTAACTGTAAAACAAAACATAACAAAAACAGCAAATTGTTTTCCAAAATGGTTGTAGCATTTTGTTCCCACTGGCAATATGAGGGCGTTCCAGTTCCTCCATATCTTAACCAACTTTTGGTACCATTAGACTTCTTAATTTTAGCCATTCTGACAGTTATAGCAAGCTTGTCCAGCCCGCGACCCAGGATGCATTTGAATGCAGCCCAACACAAGTTCATACACTTTCTTAAAATATTATGAGATTTCTTTGCAAATTTTTTTAGCTCATCAGCTATCATTAGTGTTAGTGTATTTTATGTGTGGCCCAAGACAATTCTTCTTCTTCCAATGTGGCCCAAGAAAGCCAAAAAATTAGACACCCCTGGTGTGTAGTAAGATATTATTGTAGTTTTAATTTGAATTTCCTTGATGGCTACAGATGTTGAACATCTTTTATGTCATTATTGGCCATTTTATATCTTCCTTTGTGAAGTGTCTGTCTTTCCTGGACACAGGTCTTTTAACAGATTTATATATATCAAAAGTATTTCCTTATACTTAGTGGTTTGATTTTAACAGTTTTCTTTAAAGGGCACATGTTTTTAGTTGTTTCCAAAGTCTAATTTTATATATACATTTTTTTTTATTTCATGGCTTGTGCTTCTTCTGTCAAAATATTTGGCTGTGAATAGACAAAAACATTTTTTCCTATGTTTGCTTCCAAAAGTTGTACAGATTTGCACATACATACAAGTCTATACTTAATTTTGAGTTAATTTTCATGAATGATGTGGAGTAAGAGTCAATGAAAAAGTTTTGGCCGTTCTTTTCCAAAATGCTTTTTTTTCCCCATCCCTATCTCTTTTTTCTCTTTCTGAGACTCCAGTTATGTATCTGTTACAATGCTTGATATCTTTTCATAGATCACAGACACTCTGTTCATTTTTGTTTCTTTAGGTTTTACTTTACCTAACCTTCAGTTTGAATAGAGTTTGAATAGTTTTTATTGTTTTTTTGTTTATTTGCTTTTGTTTGTTTGTTTTTTTGAGACAGGCCCTCTCTCTGCTGCCCAGGCAGGAGTGCAGTGGTGTGATCTTGGCTCATTGCAGCCTCAGCCTCCTGAGGCTCAGGTGATCCTCCCACCTCAGCCTCCCAAGTAGCTGGGACCGCAAGCATGCAACACCATGCCTGGCTAATTTTTGTATTCCTAGTAGAAATGGGGTTTCACCATGTTGCCCAGGCTGGTCTAGAACTCCTGGCCTCAAGTGATTCGCCCACCTTGGCCTCCCAAAGTGCTGAGATTACAGGTGTGAGCCACTTACTGGTTTGTTTTCAAGTTCATAGTTCTTTTCTTCCACAGCTACTAATCTGCTTTAAGTCTGACAGGGATTTTTTTCATTTTATTGTATATTTTAGTCCTAGTAGTTCCATTTGTTTACTTTTTTGTCTTCTGTTTCTGTTCTCAAGATGTTCATATTTTCTTTTAAATCCTTTGCCCTATTTTTGATTTTTAAATAGCTACTCTAAGGTTGTTTTTTCTAATTTCATCTTATTGATAAACAATTTTCTTATTGATAAATTTTCTCCTAGGTATGGATCATAAATTGATGCTTTTTGCATAGTTAGTTAGCAATTTGTGAGTGGGTGCTAGACACAGCATATGTTACATTGTTGAGTACTTCCATTTTGTTTTGCAATTTGTGAGTGGATACTACACACAGCATATGTTACATTGTTGAGCACTTGCATTTTGTTTTCTTCCTTTAGTGTTGAAGTTTATTTTGGCAAGCAGATATATTACTTCTACCTTTGCATAATATTTTTCACAATTGTTTAGAAACATTGTTAAGATGGGCCTAGAGTAGTCTTTCTGTAATCCTAGTTTAGCCTTACTACTAAGACATGACTTTCTGTGATCTCTACTGAATGCCCTCAATGTTCGATGATACTTTTTACTGCCTGGTTAGAATTCAAACACCTCCCATCATTGGCCTCTGGGATTTTTTTTTTCAGCTTAAAGCTCTCTGGTAGTTGTTCTTTTGCTGTCCTTATGAAATTTTACCCTAAGCATGCCTAAGTTAGTATTTAACCAATGAATTAAAGATTCTGAAATTGTTTCTCTGTGTAGGTCACACCTCCCAGTACTCTGCCCTGAAAATTCTAGCAGCCTCAGCCTCCCCAAATTTCATTCTCCTTTCATCAATTTATACCATCCTGCTCTATTTTGGGTTCTTTCCCTGAATTATAGTCTAAAAATTGCCTCCAAAACAAAAGCTTGACAATTTTATGACCTACCTCCTTAGCCACCTTTCTTTCAGGGATCATAATTCTAATCTGTCTATTCTCCAATTCTTGAAAACAATTGTAAAATATATATATTCCAGTTCTTTTGCTATTTATAGTTAGAGGACAAGTTCTATACCAGCTATTTCAGTTGAAAGAAGAAGGCTCACTCTTATAGTTTTATGGTCATAGTCATTTATTTTTACTTAATAAAATGAGGGTGGGTGCTTTATAAACACTCCTACTGTTTGCAGGCTTCTTTATTTTGCAACTTTATTTGATTAGGCATGTATCAGATGAAGTATTTTTATCACCATATGTTCCTTTCTTCTTAGTCTAGACCTATGACAATCCTCAGTTTTCTACAGTTCTCCCAGAAGCATGCATTGGTTTAGTTTAATAGTAGAACTCCTCTGTTAGGAGATGATATTCCTTTAGAGCAAATTTGTCCAGCCCGCAGCCCACAGGACAACTTTGAATGAGGCCCAACACAAGTTTGCAAACTTTCTTAAAACATTATGAGACTCTTTTGCAATTTTTTAAGCTCATCAGCTATCATTAGCGTTAGTGTATTTTAAGTGTGGCCCAAGACAATTCTTCTTCCAACACGGCCCAGGGAAGCCAAAAGATTGGACACCCTTGCTTTAGAGGTAACAAAGTCCTAACAAATTAGGGGAGGAAAAAACAAAACTGTTACCTTAATATAAAGAAAAAATACATATAAAACTTTACACAATATACAAATAAAAGAACACTAATACAAGGGTTGAAGTTAGGATGTCAGCCGGGCAAAGTGGCACGTGCCTGTAATGCTAGCACTTTGGGAGCCTCAGGTGAGAGGATCACTTGAGTCCAGGAGTTTGAGACCAGCCTGGGCAACCTGGTGAAACCCCATTTCTACAAAAAATACAAAAATTAGCTGTGCATGATATTGAGAGCCTGTAGTCCCAGCTACTCAGGAAGCTGAGGTGAGAGGATCACCTGAATCTGGGGAGGTAGAGGCTGCAGTGAGTCAAGATTGCACCACTGCACTCTAGCCTGGGTGACAGACGGAGACCCTTTTCCCCAAAAAATAAATAAAATAAGAAGAAAAAGATAAAAGGATAGGATGTCTGTTATGCTATTTCTAGAAACAACAAAAATTAGTGATTTTACATTTTTTATGAGTTTTAGAGTCATCTCAATCCAGATAAGGGTGTAAACCTACCATGACTGTTACCCTTCTCACTTGTTCTTCTTACCCCCAGCCCATTCTCTATCTGCTGGATAGCCCTGTTGAACCTCAGAACCACTCTTATCGTCCTTTCCTCTGCTCTACACTTCCAAGCCACTACAGTGTCCCTACTGTTTGTTCTTTGATTACTCTGGATTTTTCACTATTATTATACTTGTCAAATTGTGTAGCAAACAGCTGTTTATTGACCTGACTCCTCAACAGGACTGCAAACACTTAAAAGAAGGACTGGCCGGGTGTGGTGGCTCACGCCTGTAATCCCAACACTTTGGGAGGCTGAGGCGGGAGGATCACCTGAGGTCAGGAGTTTGAGACCAGCCCGGCCAACATGGTGAAACCCCATCTCTACTAAAAATACAAAAAATAGCCAGGCATGGTGGCGTGTGCCTGTAATCCCAGCTATTCAGAGGCTGAGGCAGGAGAATCGCTCGAACTTGGGAGGTGGATATTGCAGCGAGCCAAGATCGCGCCACTGCACTTCAGTCTGGGTGACAGAGTAAGACTCTGTCTCAAGACATAATATAGAATTTATCATGAAAATAGATTAATTTTAGTTCTCTTTTTAGCCAACAACAATATCTTTCTCATTTATAATTTGCCTATTTCAAGGCCCACAGATGATGGGTAAAAGAAAAATAAAATCATTTCCTTTTACTCAACTGATATGTGAGTTAGTTACTGTACTAGATTGTAAGCAGGGTCAATTTGTTATTTAATTCTGTCTTTCACAGATTGCTTACTGTAAATGGCCAATAAATATTTGCTGAATAGATGGAAGAATAAAAACTGAACAAACAAAAAAGCTTAAACTGGTATTGTCTCTCAATATACCTAAGTAAAATTAAGTATAGAAAGAAACAAGAGTCAAAAAATTATGAGATATAAACTCTTAAATATTTAAAAATGTTTATAATTTAGTTTCAGGTATAAAGAAATTTGTAATAGAATTTTTCCTTCAAAAAGAAAAGCTGGATTTTGCAAGGCCTATAAGAGGCTGTCAGTTACCACCTAAGGTAAAATCTTAAGAGTGGCTTTTGATTATAACAGATTTCATGCATAATAATATTGGGAACTGTATTTCACTTGTTACTCTGAATAGTAGATGTAAGCTTGGGTTTTTTTTTCTACTTATTAGTGTTAGATTCAGAATATTAAAAAAATTAAAAACTCTAATTTCTGAATTTCAAGGATTTTAAGATTTAAAATGTTCATAAGGGAAAGCACAGAGTATGGAATAGAGATCCCTTCCACATTTTCACAACACACACAAGAGAAAGCAGGCCTACAAGCAGAACCAAATTAAGAGAGATTTTAAAAGGTGTTTATTTAGAAGAATTTCTGGTATGACTAGTTTAATTTGAATAATATGAAAGATCCACAAATAAGATAATAGTTTAAAAATTTCAAAGAAAAATAAAATTGTTCAAATGTCTTTGACAATTAGAGTCCTATGCTTTGATATTCAAATGATTCTGTTGAGAAAAATAAAAAGATAAACTATTAATAATTTAAAAATACAGAAAATATTACCTCCCAAGAAAATGGTGTAATAATATAATTAAATTATGAACTTTACTTCCCTAAAAAATTGATATTCACTGTGATCTAATATTTTATGCTTGATCTCTAGAATATAGAACAAATGCAAATATTGAAAATGTTGTAGTTTTCTAACATCAAGTATAATTACTGAGACATTTTCTCTGTTACTAGCTATCATGAATCAAAGACAAAAATCCCTGGTTACTTTACTTATTAAAGCATGTAGTTCCTAAGTGCTCTTCTGATGAATAATGACAAGAATCCCAAGCCAGTGTCACTCACTGAACCAACAGATATTAAAGCCACAAGAATCCAAACGTTCGTCTGTTGAAGCCCCTCATTTTAGAAATAAGAAAGTTAAAGTAGTGAGAATAATCTCTCTGAAGTCACATCAATTGTTTTAGTTTTCTCTTCTCTATGTAATGGTGCAAATGTGACAGACTAGATATTTTCCACTAATACATCTTCTAAGGGCACCAGAGTTTTTCTTCAAAGTGGTCAGAGAAAACAGATAGTAGTATATTCAAAGAGTTAATATTTCCCCACTAATGCCATATGTAATATTATCAAATATGTGTTACAAATTTACACAGTACAACATGTGTACGTTTGAGAAATTGGATAGTCTCATTTAGTTGCATCTAAAATACATTAAATTAATTACTATTAAGTGAATTTATGTAGGAAAATAATTCATAGCATGGTCATCAGATCTAAGGAAACATGATTATTACTGCTCTATGTGACTGATTTGAAATAAAGCTTAGGTTAAAACTACAAAGTAGGTTTCTAAAAACATGTTTTCATGTATTTGAGAAAGGACAGGGACCTCTTTTTTCTCTACTCTTTTCTTCTCCATCATCACTTCTTAAGTTTTTAGTATAAATCTCTATATAGAAAACTAAAAGTATAGTTTGTAATTTATTGACCAGGAAACAGAATGACAGAGGGAAGCATAAGACTTCTATGAAAGACATGGAACTGCCCATGGTGTAGAATAGAAACAATTAGCCTGCATCTTTGGTCTAGCCATCGAGAGTTCACTGTTGCAAAATTGTATTCAAAAGTTTTTATCCTGCATGTTCTATCTATCGGACAAATAATTCCAGCACTGGAAATAGGAGTCATCATTTACTTGTGTAGCTGGGCAGGTCACAGGTTGTGCTGAAGTGTTGTGTTATCTCTGCAGCCTTGTACTACACAAAGCATCACTGCACATTTTTGAAAATCCATTAAGACTATGAAAGGCAAGCATACAAAATAATGTAATCCATGCTCCGATCTGATCTTACTGTGAAAGTCCACAGAATTGTTTATAGCGTCCCAAACTCAGCTTTGTGTTTACTGGGGGAAATGTCTGCCTCATAAGGGCATGGTCCTGCCCTGGTTGTACACATTTTTAGGAGACAGTGAAATACAACATCCTTTTGCAAAGCTTGATAGGGAATCTCTGAGAGGAATAGAAGCTTTCACAGACACTGTCTGAATGAATTCATTTTGAACACTATCTCAGCTAGGCACATTTTCATTGATATTTCAAAAATAAGTGTCATATTTCCAATTTTTAGACCTACTCTTTTGAACGATAACTGGATCCCTACATTTAATTATTCTTCTAGCATAAGAAGCAAGACTGAATGTATGGTAGCAATAACCATGTGCTTTCATTTTGTGGTGGGCAAGAGGAGGAAAGAAGCAAGTGTTTATGGGTTTATTCTACAACTCTGCAACACCAAAAGGAACAAAAAGTGTTTTGTTGGAAAAAAAATGCATTTTTAACCACATTAGCTTCAGTTCCTCTGAACAAAAATTACTTATTTTAACTAATTGAATTTTTTATTACACAACTGCTGTATTTGAATGGCAACATTAATGAAGAACCAAACATGACATGTGTTACCATCTTTACAGTTATTTTTTTCAGCCATTAAAGTAAAATCTAGCCTCCTTTGATAAATGTAACTTATGTTCAATTTTTGTAATTAAGAAAACTATTTATATTTTTGTTGTGTTACTTCACCATCTGACTGCATGTCTCTTTGCTGTAAAATGGCTTTGATAAACCCAATACCATATGTCCCATTGCTCATCAGTGCACCTCAGATGTGTCTTATGTTTACAAATTCATGAATAATAACATTTGGGAAATGAAAAGACAGGGAAAAACTCTAAAGATTTGTATCTCAAGATTCTGTATAGTCTGTACAACTTTATGCAGACAGCATATTATACGAAGCCTGCCAAATTTTTATTCTTTTAACATTTCCTGAGTATGATTTTTCTAGAAATGAGCAACTCCCAAAGTAATTGTATCAGGGACTGCAGACAGCTCTGTTCCCCGGGAAGGCCCAAGTAGAGAGTGCAGCATGAGGGTTTAGCTAAAAAATGACCAGTTCAGTGAATCAGGAATCCAAGAATTTAATATCTTGATCCTAATCCAGCAAGGGATGCACTAGATGTCTTTCCTCTAGTGATAAATTTTGAACTTATCAAAAGTGTGCTTTGCAATTTGCAATTGCAAAATTGTGGAACCAACCCAAATGCCCATCAATCAACGAGTGAATAAAGAAACTGTAGTATATAGATATAGGATGGAATACCACCCAGTCATAAAAAGGAATGAATTAACAGCATTTGCAGTGACCTGGATGAGATTGGAGACTATTATTGTAAGTAAAATAACTGAGGAATGGAAAACCAAACATCGTTATGTTCTCACTGATATATGGGAGGTAAGCTATGTATATTCTTAAGAAAAATGAAAGCATATGTCTACACAAAAACCTGTACATTAATATTTATACCATTATTATTCATAATAGCCAAAAAGTAGAAATAATCCAAATATCCATCAACTGATAAATTGACAAGCACAGTGAGACATAGCCATACAAAGGAATATTATTAGGCAATAAAAAGGAATGAGACATTGATACATGCTACAACAATCTCGAAAACGTTATGCTTAATGAAAGAAGCCAGTCACAAAAGACCACATATTGTATGATTCCATTTATATAAAGCATCCAACAAAGGCAAATACATAAGGACAGAAAGTAGATTAGTTTAATATAGTAACCTAAAGGGGAATATTATGCAGTAATCCCAGCACTTTGGGAGGCTGAGGCAGGCAGATCAGTTGAACCCAGAAGTTCAAAACCAGCCTTGGCAATGTGGCAAGACCCTGTCTCTACAAAAAAATTATCTGGGTATGATGACATGCACCTGTAATCCCAGCTCCTTGGGTGGCTGAGGTGAGAGAATCACCTGAGCCTGGGAGATAGAGGCTGCAGTGAGCTGTATGTTGGCGTCACTGCACTCCAGCCTGGGTGACAAAGTGAGATGTGTCTAAAAAATTTTTTTAAAATATTTGTTTTGAGGACAATTTAAAGACATAGGAAAATGCTCAGAAAACATTTAGGGAGAAAAAATAGGGTATATCTTTTTTGGAAGGAAAAACTGGTATTAGAAAGGAAGCCATATTTTTAAAAGATAATAGAGATATCTAAAAGTATGCTTTTACGATTTTTCATAAATTGTATTACATTTAAACTAAATGCCATTTTAATGTTCTAACATTTTTCTGAGGCAACAACTTTTATTATGAAGCATTTCAGAATAGAATGTAGTCTCTCAAATAAAATCACTCAATCTTTTGAATAACACACAACTTAAAATTTAAGTTTTTGATCAGTCCGAAATGCAATGAGAGAATGTCATTTTCTTCCTTTGAATTGAGAAATAGTATATATGAAATATTACTTTTATTGGAAAACTCCAGAAATATGATTATGACCTATGAAATCAGAACTGTATTTTGATTGATCACCTACAAATTGCCAGAGACTGCTAGACATGGCAAATATATAGGACAGAATCACCACCCTCAAGGATTAATAGGAAAAGAACACACACAAATAAGTAACTGTCAGTGTATGTGAGTGGTGAAATTTTAAACCTGTACAGCTCCAGAGGTTGTGAGAGGGAGGGCAAAATCACCTTTGGGAGGCATGAAGTGAATTGTCAGTGATTGCTTCTTATGGGAGATGATGTGTGAGCAGGGTATTGAAAAATAAGTAATAATTCTAAAATTCAAATGAAGACTATTAGAGCTGTGGGGTATGTGATGTTAGGCAAAGGGAACAACCTGAACCAAAGCAGTAAGATTTGACATCATTCTACGGTCTTGGGCCAACATGTAGTTCAGGATTGTTGTAGAGAAAAGTCCAATGGAAAAGAAATGTAATATGAAATTTAACAGAAGGACAATACTTTGGAAGACAGTGGATTGCATACATATTAGGATTTAGTCTGACTAAAGGTGTCAGAAATTCAAAATAATATTGGCTCATAGAAGACAGCAGTTTATTTCTCCCACCCATGTTATTGCTTGAGGAAGCCAGTCTATGACAAGTTTGGAAGCTCAGTGATGCTAATAGATTCAGGTTCTCTTTTGCTTGCTACTCCACCATTTTTTGTATCTCACCTCACAAGTTCAAAGAGCTGTTGTAACCCTAACCCTCATATCTACAATTCAGTTATTAGGAAAGAGAAAAGGATAAAGAAAGACACGCTACTTCTCTGTCAGTCTGTTCTGGCTGCTATATAAAATATCATAGACTGGGTAGCTTGTAAATAACGAAAATGTATTTCTCTTAGTTCCAGAGGCTGGGAAGTCCAAAATCAAGGTATCCGTATATTCCAGTATCTGGTGAGGCTTGCTTCCTTGTTTATAAACAGCCATCTTCTTGCTGTGTGTATCTTCACGTAGTAGAAAGAGTAAAAAAGCTCTCTGAGGTCTCTTTTACAGGTCCTGAATCCCATTCATGAGGGCTCTGCCTACCAAATCACTTACCAACGGCCCAACCTCATAATATCCTCATATTGGGGCTTAGGATTTTAACATAAAAACTTTAGGGGGACACAGACATTTAATCTATAGCACTGTCTTTAAGGACATTTAGCAGAAGTGCTACATAGCACTCTTGCTTACATGCTATTGACCAGAACTGAGGAATATATTCACAATGAGCTAAAGGGAAGCTGGGGATTTAACCTTCAGTTATGTGTCTTCTAAAGATGGCAGCAGGCAAGTGGTCCTATTATGAAAGAGAAAGGGAAAATGGATATTAGAAATCAACTAGCAGTCCCTGGAAGGCCATCCTAGGAATCTTATAATAAATCTCATAAGGCATAGAGAACCACTGCAGGCTTTAAGAGGGGGTAACCTGGCCAGCGTGGTGAAACCCCATCTCTACTAAAGATACAAAAATTAGCCCAGTGTGGTGGTGGGCACCTGTAATTCCAGCTACTCAGGAGGCTGAGGCAGGGAGAATCGCTTGAACTCGGGAAACAGAGGTTGCAGTGAGCCGAGATTGTGCCACTGTACTCCAGTTTGGATGACAAAGCGAGACTCTGTCTCAAAAAAAAAGGAGGGGGGGTGGGCACGGCAGGAGTAGAACAATCAGATTTATCGAGGTGCAAAGGATGGATTAGAGAGTGGCAAGTAGGGAGAAAAACTGGTTAAGAGGCTATTGCAGTAACCCAGACAAGAAATGAAACAATGGCAGTGGGTATAGAGAAAGGAGCATAGGTTCCCAACATAATTGGAGGATAGAATTAAAAGATCTTGATGACTTGTTGTGAAAGGGTAAGGGAAAGAGAGGGAGAGGAGATGATTCCAGAAAATATAGCAACATTCAACAAGATAAGAAAGAATTCAGAAGTGGACTTCGCAGAATGGATCAAAAGCATCTCAACTGTGCAGAAGTAGGCTTTACACTTAGAGGTCATGATTGCTGTGTTCCCATGTTTTGATATGAATTTGTGTGCTTTTTAAGCTTCTTTTTTCCCCAAAATCATCATTATAGAGTCTGTATGGAAATATCTATTTTTTATAAATATATGATGATTTAAAGAGAAGGTTTCAAAGTATATGAGGTCATAAATTTTTTCAACTTAAGCTACTTTAATCTCAGTGCAGTAAATACATGGTTTGGGCTGTTATTACAATGACATAATCTTTATTTACCAGATGTTTTCAGATATAAGGAAATAAGTACTAACATAACTATCAGTAAGAATTTATTGGCTTCTATTTAATTCACACATATGCACCAAGCTCTGTGCTAAATTCTTCTAATTTTTTTGCTTCTGTAATTACCCTAATTTTACAAATGAGAAAAAAATGATCCAGAGAAAATTTATTTAACCTGCCTGAGGTCAAATCAACTAGTAAGACACAGACCTGTGATTTAAACCTGGATGTGTCTACACTCTTGAAAACTCCATCGCCCAGCCTACACAATGCTTCTGAGGTGACTCTGTTTCTGAAATGGAAAGAAAAAGGTATACTAATGATCTTTGAAAATGTGACAACACAATTAGTATGTTGTATATGAAAAACAGGAAAAAAAGGTGAGACATTCATAAAGTAGTTCTCTCTATGCACTACATGACATCACTATAGAAAAACAGTAAAATAGCTGGAAACCAAAGATGGGGAGTAAAAAAGTCAACCCTCTGAACATTGATCTACAGCACCCTGGTGTCAAACCAGGCCTCCGCCCTTCAGCTCTCAGTTTTCTGGGCCAGTTATGGAGGTAAAATCATTAGTTATTTTTTTTTTAAATTGCTTATTCAGTATTTTTAATTGAATATTGACAAATTATAATTACATATATTTATGGGGCATGAAATGATGTTATAGCATATATATAAAATGTGAAATGTTTGAATTAAGCTAATTGACTTAGTTATGTTCTTAATCATTCAACAAGAAAGTACAACTTATGTCCATTAAAAATACACACACACACACACACACACACACACACACACACACAAAAAAAAAAAAAAAAAAAAAAAACTAAGTATATGCAAGTGATCCCAATAAGGTAAAAAAAAATTATGTCTTCCCTCCACTTACCTCTCAGCCCATATTGTATCTTTCTCAGGCTGATACCAAAAAGTCCTTGCCCTCTGCTCTCCCACTTTAAAGAACATGGCTGTGCTTTGGTCAAGGAATAGGCTGAGGCAGACATCCAGGCCAGAGTGACTCAGCGAGTTTGGAACGCAGGTGCACAATTCCATGTCTAATGTAAACACAGCTATGTAGCCATAACATGGGAAGGCCATCCCTTGTCCCTAAGCCACTATTGTCTGTAAAAGGTATAATTGCCCTGTTGACTGTGGAGGCATGCTTACACCCAGAGAAGGAGAGAAAGAGTCAGAGTTGTCCATCTTTGCAGATGCAAGGTAAGAGCCTGGACATGGCTCAGCTTACTCATGCCCAGTGAGGGAAAGAGTTAAGCTGCTGACCCTGAAGGCAAGGGAGAGCTGGCCATGCAGCTGTGTGTGGGAGCCAGTGGATTAAGCAGCCGAGACAGGGCAGACAGTGTGAGAAAGCCGTTGATGAGAGCAGCTGCTGAATAAAATCATCTTTCACCTGCCTACGGCCCCCCGAGTGTTCTTTCTGCTCATCCACCCACTTCCTTCAGACCTCAACATGGCAATTGGCATAGTTGTGAACCTGACACCTGCCATCTGCCATTTTCTTTTTCTTCCCCAAAAGTTCTGCCTATCTTTCTACTGCTTAACCTTCCCTAGGAGTCCTCTTTGCTTCCTCCTTCTTTAGGTCTCCTGCTTAGGCTGTCGGTTAATTAAGTCCAACCAGCTTTTGCCTGAGGCAACTTGTGGGAGCATAGGCCTCAGGAAAGTGGCAGGATGAGGGAGAGAATTGTGGCTTTTGATCTCATGTGGGTGGGATGAAAATATGCTGACCCTCCAGGTCCCTCATCAGAATGAAGCACAGCAAATCTTTCTCTTGCTGACATTTACCTCCTGTGCTGTATCTGTCTCTTTTTTCCCTCTAACCACAGCTGGATTCTCCTAACCTGAGACCCAGGTTGTGGTGGGTATGACGTCTCCAAACTACCACATTAAATGCTGGAGAAGTCTCAGGCAGTAGACGTGTCCCAGATAGAATATGACCTTCCCTGCTTTGTGCATTAGAAAACCAACCAGGAAATTCAATTTTAGAGATGCTTCCTTCCAGCAGTCACTTAGGAAGTTCATTGACATATGCATGAGTGTCTGGCCAGTTAACACTGGGATGAGGCAGCATGAATTAAATTTTCCTTATAATCTGGAAGAATGTATCATGGCCTCCACACTTGAGAAATTATCAGAGGCATATTTGCTGATTAGTGTTATGCAATAATCATTCCACCCTACGTTTAAAACTTTTTTGTATTTCAAACTTTAAGTTCTCTTGCCTAGAATGCAATATTCCAAAAATAGGTAGCTTGTCCTGAGCTTTCTGGACACTATGCAAGTCTGGAATTTATAGCAGTAAACTAGATTACCTCATGCTAAATGATAAAATCATTTCCAAACTCAGATTTTTTAAAATTCTTTTTTAAATAATTTTTTCTGCTTAATCTGTAATAACCATTCTTGAATCTGGACACATATAATTTGTATCTACAAATTGATAATAATAAAACTCAAACTTTTATTGAGTATTTAGTTTCAGGCATTGTGCTAACCAATTAAAAAATATATTCTAAACCTCACAATACTTTAAGTGAGTAATGAGTAATATTCCCATTCTACAACTGAATAAGAAGCTTAAAGAGTTGGAGATACAAGTTGAGATTATATTGCTATTGACTATCTAGCCCAGAGCCTAAGCTCTAAGCACTGTATCTTACTATTTCCCTGGTGTCTAATTAAGTGAATGCCTAGGATATGTCCTATTGACTCTATGGACTAGTACTTGCATATTATGGACAGCATTTATATTAGCAACTGCTTCTTGAAAATTCTAAAATGTTTACAAATGCAGTCTTATTTCCTATGATAATTTCTTGGTCTTTTAAAAATGTCTACTTTTTTTTCAACTAAAATGTAAAAATAGTCTCCCCTACACAAAGGATCTTGCAAAATGTTATCTAAGAAATCCTTAAAATAAAGGCCATGATACCTCAGAGCAGCTCTGAGATACATCAAAGTGCCCTTGTCAAGAGAACTTAAGTCTTTAGATAACGAAATGATGGCAAGCTCGGCACCAGAAGTTTCAGAATGTGGCAGGAGAAACAGAGATGCTGTTGTGGTTTTAGAGCCCTCTCCTCCAAAAAACATTAGATGTAAATCATTTTTCTGAATAGAATCCCTTTAATAATTTTTGGTCTTTTCTTTTAAACATGGAGAAAGTGTATCACCCTAAAATACCTCAGTGGAAATAGGATAAGAAGTCATTATCAATTCTTCCTCGTGGACATACAAGAGTGAATTTACTTCTTGACATTTTGTCATTTGTTTAAAGGAGAATGCACCTTCAGCTCCAGAAGTGTTGTGTCCATAGACATTAAAAAGTGAAGAGTGCAGGGTTTTCAGTGAAATATGGTAATTTGTTGGCGTTGCAAAATTACTTTGGATGTACGCTTCTAAATCTCTCTGGCAAGCATGAGGAAACCAAAAATACAAAATTATGACATCAAATTATATCAGAACTCTGAAAAGTGTTTTTTACAAACGTAGTGAAATATTTTGAGAAAATGACTTCCAACTTTGTGATTATGCCCTGTTTATCCAAGCTGATGAGGCTCTTCATAAAGTAGAATGGCAAGTTTAATGATTAACAGTCACAAAATTTTGTCTCATGTATAGAGAATTTAAGGGAACATCGATGTGCATTTTAGAATAGAAGTGCACTTTGTGAACTTGATAAAATAATATGAAATGAAAAAAAAATCTCTGGAGTGGAGGCAAAATTTTACCTCTACCCCTGAAGAGTCTCCAGCTGGGCCGGAGAATTCAACTGACGTAAGACAGATTAACAGGAGAAAAGCATGCAGATTTTTACATGTACATGGAAGCTCCCATAGGAAAATGAAGACCCAAAGAAGTGGCAAAATACAGCGTTAATATACTAGGTTGAGCAAAGAGAGGCAATTGTAAAAATAATAATAATAATAATAATAATAATAATAATAATAATTAAAATCTATCGGAGTCTGCAGGAAAATAAGAGGTTGTTGTGGTTTTTTGTGGTTGTTGTGTGTTTTTTACCAAAGTCTATTTGTGTGGATTTCTCTTGGTCTCAGCTCCCCATCTCCGATCATAAGAATATTTCTTTTCTCCTGGAATGCGGAGGAATTCTTTTCCACGAGTGTTTCGTCTCCTGTCTTTCTCTTGCACTTGCTGTTTTTCAAGTGCTTTTAGTTCAAAATAATCCTTATGCCAAGTGATGTATTTTGGGATAGCACAGTCGGCCATTCTTCATCTTTCAATTACAACCTTTAGGGAATGAAAAACTATATAAACATTCATTATTTTGACTAATAACTTTCACCAGAGATTTATTGTTGATCACATAATGTGGTGAAAAAAAGGTAACTAAAACATAACTTCCAACTGAAAGTCAGGAGGTCTCAGTTTTTATCCCCGTTCTGAAACACAACTTACTTCTGAGTGCCTCGGGGTTTTTTTGTTTTGTTTTTTTGTGTGTGTGTTTTTGTTGTTGTTGTTGTTGTTTTACTTTTCAAGTAAAAAAAGTCACACTTTATAATCTCTAAGATTCTTCTCAACCCTGTGATTCTGTACTACCTTAAAATATCCTCACGCCTGTAATCCTAGCACTTTGGGAGGCCGAGGCAGGTGGATCACGAGGTCAGGAGATGGAGACCATCCCAGCTAACACGGTGAAACCCTGTCTCTACTAAAAATACAAAAAATTAGCCGGGCATGGTGGCGGGCGCCTGTAGTCCCAGCTACTCGGGAGGCTGAGGCAGGAGAGTGGCATTAACCTGGGAGGCGGAGCTTGCAGTGAGCGAGATCGCGCCGGTGCACTCCAGCCTGGGTGACAGAGCAACACTCCATCTCAAAAAAAAAAAAAAAAAAAAAAAAAAAATCAACATCTGCTCGGCTCTTTTCTCTAGGACTCCTCACTGCAGTATATTTCTTTTTTTGTTTTTTTTTTGTTGTTGTTGTTGTTTTCTTTTTTTAAATATTATTATTATACTTTAAGTTTTAGGGTACATGTGCACAATGTGCAGGTTTGGTACATATGTATGCATGTGCCATGTTGGTGTGCTGCACCCATTAACTCGTCATTTAGCATTAGGTATATCTCCTAATGCTATCTCTCCCCCCTCCCCCAACTCCACAACAGTCCCCAGTGTGTGATGTTCCCCTTCCTGTGTCCATGTGTTCTCATTGTTCAATTCCCACCTATGAGTGAGAAGATGCAGTGTTTGGCTTTTTTTCCTTGCGATAGTTTACTGAGAATGATGGTTTCCAGCTTCATCCATGTCCCTACAAAGGACATGAACTCATCATTTTTTTTATGGCTGCATAGTATTCCATGGTGTATATGTGCCACAGTTTCTTAATCCAGTCTATCATTGTTGGACATTTGGGTTGGTTCCAAGTCTTTGCTATTGTGAATAGTGCTGCAATAAACATATGTGTTCATGTGTCTTTATAGCAGCATGATTTATAATCCTTTGGGTATATACCCAGTAATGGGATGGCTGGGTCAAATGGTATTTCCTGTTCTAGATCCCTGAGGAATCGCCACACTGACTTCCACAATGGCTGAACTAGTTGACAGTCCCACCAACAGTGTAAAAGTGTTCCTATTTCTCCACATCCTCTCCAGCACCTTTTGTTTCCTGACTTTTTAATGATCACCATTCTAACTGGTGTGAAATGGTATCTCATTGTGGTTTTGATTTGCATTTCTCTGATGGCCAGTGATGATGAGCATTTTTTCATGTGTTTTTTGGCTGCATAAATGTCTTCTTTTGAGAAGTGTCTGTTCAGCAGTATATTCCTTAGGTATTACTTTATATCTATCAAGAATTCATCCACAAATACTACATGTTAAACCCCAAACAATTTCTCTTAATTTTTTAAAAATAAAAACTGCTTGGTGGGCATGGTGGCTCACACCTGTAATCCCAACACTTTGGGAGGCCGAGGCAGGAGATTCACTTGAGTCCAGGAGTTCAAGACCATCCTGTGCAACATGGTGAGACCCTTGAATCCAAAAAAAATACAAAAATTAGCCAGGTGTGGTGGTGCATGCTTGTAGTCCCAGTTACTCAGGAGGCCGAGGTGCTAGGACAGCTTGAGCATGGGAGATAGAGGTTGCAGTTAACCAAGATTGCACCACTGCATGCTGCCTGGATGACAGTCTCAAAAAAAAAAAAAAAATTTAAAAATAAAAAGTACTTAAAACATATGCAAAATTCACCTTAAAAACAAACTTTTTGATGAAACTTTTTAAACTTTCCACCAACATTTAGGGGTAAAGCTAAACAGATTAATAATAAATCTTTGTTTTATATAAATTAAGATGTAACAAATTTTATAGTAAATCTGCCGTTACCAGCAAGGACATATTATCTTGATGTTAAACGTACTTGATAAACAGAAAATTCCCACTGTTTATTAATTTCATGTACAGAGAAATATGATCCAAAAAAATTTCAAAGCTGCATTCATTACCTTCATCAAACATTTCAAAGGTGACTTCATTAGCTGTCTCATCATTTTTCTGCTGTATGCTCCTCAGCACATAAGGGCTCAGTTTCTCAGCTACAATATTAGCTTACATTTTCAATTTATTGCTCAGAATATATGCCCTTCGGCTGTTTCACGTGTCTCAGAGATATGTCAGGATTGTGTAAACTTGATGCCAACATTAAGACATCTACATACACAGCTGAGAATCAATAAATGTTGACTGACCTTAAATAAATTTCAGCAGGCTTAAGTTTACGGTTTTTGCAAATGTATTTAAAGTACAGAAATTAAATGATGTGAATTCTATTTATTACTGGAATTTAGTGCTATAAAGCCCTACTAGTCTCTCAGATTATTTTGAAAGCCTGAAAGAAAAATCATAGTTTGGAAAAAAATGTTTTTGGAAGTCATAAAACTTTAACAGCTTGATAAATATTTAAAAGGTAAACCTTATATAAAAGATCAAATACAGAAATAGAAAATAGAGACACAAACAACTGAGGTATAAATAATAAAGGTATAAATAATTAACTAGAAAGCTTTTTTGAAGGACAATTTAAATGTATAATGAAATAAACATCTTCATAAATGATATGCAAAGATACACAACACACACACACACACATGCACACACTGTGGTAGGTAAGAGTCCATATTTTTTTCCCTAGTTGGTCAGTTTCAGTGATTTAAACAAATAGTAAACTTGTATTAGAGGACTTTGGAGTGTGAAGTGCATATATTTGTATAAACATGCACGTATGCATGTATGAATAATTTTTACATATCCTTTTTAAAAAAAACTATATTTTTAACCCAGATGAGTTGTGTCATGCATTTATTGTGAAGTTTCTAAATTCTTAACTGTTAATATTGTAATAAATATTCTAGTTAATTTTAAACTAAACAGTAATTTACTGATCACTTAAATCTATGTTGCTCACATATTAGATCACTAGAATCCTTTAATGTCATTGAAGTCTGCAGCATTGTGGTACATTGTTATCCCTCTAAATTTACAAGAGCCCATGAAGTCAGTATTACACTGTCTCATAATTTTCTTCTCTCCCAGTCATCTTATATACAATTACTCTTACTTTCCAACTGTGAATCTATTTTATGAGTGTATAACCTTTATATTGCAGTATTTAACTCACATAATAACAAGTAATATTTTATAGTGCCAATTAAATTCATAAAAAACCAAGATACACAATTCTTAATTATGGGCAAGTACTGTAAAATATACCTTTTATTCTTCAATACAATGCCACAGTTTTTTGTTCTACTCATGCTCCTAGAGTAATTATAATTACTTTTGATTTTATTCCTTTATAGCCAAAGAACAAAAAATAAATAATTCCACATTTCTTGTTTTAAGCATCCAAGTAGAATAACACTATTAAGTTGAAAAGGGCACATAAAACATTTTTGTTGTATCTTGAAATATTTTTTAAAAAGAGGAGTAGTTGAGTGTAAATGATTTTAGATAATCCATTAATATTTTAGCATGAATAAATCAGCTCCAAATGAAAATGCAAGAAATGACCTAAAATTAACATCAGCATGATTAACTTAGAATCGTTGCTTAAAATAAATCATCTTCAATATCCATTGAGAGGCTACTGTGGACATTAAGAGAAGCATCAGAATTTGAATTAAAGAAACCGAACATACAGTGAGTTGGGAAATCCATGAGGGACTCCAGAAACATGACATTGTAGAAAGATTTTTGAGATGTAGAGGAGAGGGCATGATTTTAAGCCCTACTTTTTCCACTCACAACTACATACAATGGGTTTATTTCTCTTCAGATCTCACTCACTCACACACTCACTCACATGTTGTTTCTCTTTGAACCTCTTTCTGTATGTGGATTCTGGGACACCAGGTGCTTTTACCACATTGGCTAATCCTCAGTTCTTGTCACCCAACTCAAACACTTAGTTTGAAATGTGAAGAGGTTTTTCCACATGGTATCATTTAGGGAAAATATAAATATATATTTATATATTTATAGAAAATCTAAATCTAAATATAGATTTTCCCTAAGTGATATCATATGGTTCCGAGGCTCTGCCTATTATCCATCAGCTGAGGAATTCCAAATTTATATCTCTAATTTTAACCTCGCCATTAATTCTAGAATCATATAATCAACTGCTGTCTTGGAATATCCACATGAATATATAATTCTCAGTTTTGTGCCACTATCAAAATAAAAGTCATAATTTTCCATCCCAAATTTGCACCCTCTCAACACATCAGCATATCATACTATTATACAACCCCTGTAAACCGGAAGCCAGCAGCTCATTCTTGATTCCTTCCTTTCCTCATTTCCCAAAATTCACTGTCAGCAAATTCTATCAATTCTACGTCCAAGTTCTACCTTAAATCCTTCTGGTCCTCTCTCCTTTCACCGTTACCACTTTGTCCCAGCTGTCATTTTTCCCTCCTGGACTACTACAGTAGCCTTCTCACTGGGCTCCTGATTCCAGAATTTGACCATGTGCAAATGATTCACCACTCAGTGGCCACTCCCTTTCTAAAATCGCTTCAATGGCTTCCCGTTGCATCGATGATACAAAGTAAATCAATTGGTTTGGCTCATTGGTTCCGCATAAATTGTCCTGTATAGCTCTCCCCCTTTATCTGCCCCTACTCACTTTCTGTATCTCATTCTAGTTGTATTGACCTGGTTTTGTTTTGTTTTGTTTTGTTTTGTTTTGTTTTGTTTGAGACGGAGTCTTGTTCTCTCTCCCAGGCTGGAGTGCAATGGCATAATCTCAGCTTACCACAACCCCACCTCCCAGGTTCAAGCAATTCTCCTGCCTCAGCCTACCAAGTAGCTGGGATTGCAGGTGCCTGCAACCGTGCCCAGCTAATTTTTGTATTTTTTTAGTAGAGACAGGGTTTCACCATGTTGGCCAGGTTGGTCTCAAACTCCTGACCTCAGGTGATCCACCCACCTCAGCCTCCCAAAGTGCTAGGATTACAGGTGTGAGCCACCACGCCTGGCCTGTTTTGTTTGTAAGCTCACAACAGGCAAGCCCTGACTCTACCCTTAGCTGGTTCATTTAGTCTTTGAATCTCTGCTCCACCATTACCACTTCAGAGGCCTTCCTTGAACACTCTGTCCAAATTATTTATCTGGATGGTTTCTTTTTCTCTGTTATATCTACCTTCCTATTTTCTTCATAGCGTTTGTCACAACTTGTTAAAATCCTGTGGGCTTGATTTTTCATTTGTTTATTATATATCTGTCCTCCCCAGAATGGAAGTTCTTTGAGGAATGTAACCTTGTTTATACGGACAACTCTTCCACCCTAGAGAGAATTTCCTGGAATATGATAAGCATAGAATAAATATTCACTTTGCCATTACAACCTTAGTTTATTCCTCAGCTGAGAGGAAGGAATGTCTACTTCCTAGTGTTCTTGGGAAAGCTAAATGACATAATGTGGGTATTAGGTATTATCACAGGATCGAGAACATGGGGAATACTCCAGGAATATGATACACAAACCCCAGAGTAAGTAGCCATGATCATGCCTGATCATACAAACATGGCATCTGTAGATCCTAGGGTAGTTCCATGATGATATAGGTCATTTCTTGGTAAATGATGGGTAAGAAAATTTTCTCATTTTTAAATAATTGAAAAAAGACAAATAATATTTCATGATACATAAAATTATATTCAAATTTCATTGCACATAAAGTTTTTGCAGAACACAGACAAGTTCTATTTACATATTTTCTATGGCTGCTTTCTTGCTCCAACAGCAGCATTGGCTAGGTGTGACAGAAATCCTGTGGACTAGACTGGGCTGTCATGTAAACATTTAGCTCTATAAGTGTGTTGTTCTTTTCTTCAGTGTCAACCAACCCAGTACTGACCTGAAACAATGTAATTTTTTCAGCATTAGAAAATGTCTTATAACAAGTTAATCTTATCAGGTTGCAGATAAACACTCAAAGGAAATTGAAACATTGTCTGCAAGCAGAGATGGGCTGAGCAATGCTATAAAGGCAGGCTGAAGGACAATTTCAAAAGATGCTAGGTGCATGTTACAGGTTTTGAATTGTCTCCCCTCAAGAGAAGTATGTTGAAGTTCCAGTCTCCAGTACCTCAGAATGTGACCTTATTTGGAAAAAAAGTTCATTATAGATATAGTTAAGATGAGGTCTGACGGGCATAGGGCATGTCTTTAATCTAGTGTGACTGGCATCCCTATGAGAAGATGGCCATGTGAAGACAGAGACACATAAGGAGAATGCCATGCCATGTGATGACAAAGGGACAGGTGGGGGTTATACAGCTGAAAGTATGGGAATGTTGAAAATTTCCAGCAAACCACTAGAAGCTAGGAAGAGGCAAGGAAGAAACCCGAGGAGCCTGGCCTGCCAATACCTTCATTTTACACTTCTAGTCTCCAGAATATGAGACAATACATTTTGGTTATTTGGGGCCACTCAGTTTGTGGTACTTTGTTATGGCAGCCCAAGGAAAGTCATCCAGGAGAGATGGGTAATTAGGAAAACAAAAGAAAGTAGAAAAACAAAAACGGTCTGTAACACAGATTATATATATGTGTGTGTGTGTGTGTGTGTGTGTGTGTGTGTATAATTTTTTTTATCTTTTACTTTATGTATTTATTTTTGAGACGGAGTCTTGCTCTCTGTTGCCCAGGCTGGAGTGCAGTGGTGTGATCTTAGCTCACCGCAACCTCTGCCTCCCGGGTTCAAGCCATTCTCCTGCCTCAGCCTCCTGAGTAGCTGGGACTACAGGCACACACCATTACGCCCGGCTAATTTTTGTATTTTTACTAGAGACCAGATCTCACCATGTTGGCCAGGATGGTCTCAAACTCCTGGCCTCAAGTGATCCGTCCGCCTCAGCCTCCCAAAGTGCTGGGATTACAGTCATGAGCTACCGCACCCAGCCTTGTATTTAATAACAATGTTAATACTAATAAGATAACTTTCTCTCTCTCTCTCTTTTTTTTTCTTTTTGAGATGGAGTCACACTCTTGTCACCCAGGCTGGAGTGGAGTGGAGCGATCTCAGCTCACTACAACTTGCACCTCCCAGGTTCAAGCAATTTGCTTGCCTCAGCCTCCCGAGTAGTTGCGATTACAGGTGCATACCACCATGCCTAGCTAATTTTTTGTATTTTTAGTAGAGACGGGGTTTCACCATGGCGACCAGGCTGATCTCGATTCACCTTGCTGACCAGGCTGATCTCGAACTCCTTACCTCATGATCCGCCCACCTCAGCCTCCCAAAGTGTTGGGATTACAGGCATGAGCCACTGCGCCTAGCAATAAAATAACTTTCATTGTTGGAGGACACTCCAGTTGTCATTGTATGATCAGGAACTGCTTTCATACATTATAGCCTTCAATTTGCCCAACAGTTCAGTGGACTGATATTACAAGGGGTGTGCAGGTAAACTTTAACAATGGACACTTTGGAGGGCTCAGGGAGATCCCTAGTTGAGCATTTTCTAGTTTCTGTGGTGTAACTGTTCCCAACATGACACGTTGAGCACGGCCTTAGTGATATCAAGTAGCTCATAAAATTCCCCACAAATTTAACACTTATTCTCATTGGTCAGTGCAAACTGCCCCATCATACCACAGGATAGCATTAACTTTCTCGATTTAATTGATAAGTAAACTAAATTTGTCATGATGAAATAACTTGCCCAAGAGCATCAGTGTCAAAGGTGACAGCCCAGTGAAAAACTAAAACAACTGACCGTAGAGATACTGCGAGATCGCAGATTCACCCAGAGCCTGTGACAACCATGAAAGTTTGTGCAGAGTGTCTGTGCGGTCTTATTGTCAGCAGCATCATTTTCACCACAAACACAGTTGCATCATCATGGGCACAGTACGTTTTGCTTTCCTATCTAATACATATATAGAAAAAGTCACAATAACTTATCTCGGCCAGGCGCGGTGGCTCACGCCTGTAAACTCAGCACTTTGGGAGGCCAAGGCGGGTAGATGACGAGGTCAGGAGTTTGAGACCAGCCTGACCAACATGGGTGAAACCCCATCTCTACTTAAAATACAAAAATTAGCTGGGCGTGGTGGCGGGCACCTGTAATCCCAGCTACGCAGAAGGCTAAGGCAGGAGAATCACTTGAACCCAGGAGAGGCAGAGGTTGCAGTGAGCCACGATTGTGCCATTACACTCCAGTCTGGGTGACAGAGTGAGACTCCATCTCAAAAAAAAAAAAAAAAGGAAAAGAAAAAAAGAAAAGAAAAGAAGAACTCACAATAACTTATCTCAAAAAAGAAATAAAAATATATTGCTGAACATTCTTGATATATTACGCTTGGCAGGGTCCAGCAAAGCCAAGGAAAATCAGATCATATGCTTCTGGCAAGTCTTCAACTCTGTCCCAATTTCCTTATTCTGTCTGCACAAACTTGTTACAGTTTGCAGCATTTTTCTTCATATAACTCTGGTGCTATTCCACACGAAAGCACACATCACCTGAGAATATCGTGTCAGAGTGGTGTGATAACATTCTCTGCAACCTCTCATTTATAGCTTCTGCCACATATTGAACGCCTGAGAGTTATGTTATTATGAAGCCATTTAGGCTGGGCAGTAAATTCAGTAATCATAGTCTCTGCCACCCCATCTATCCCAACAAACATACTTAAATAAAAGGGTGTGATTATGAACATGGCTTCAAGAAAAGTCTCAAGATCCCCTGCCATCCAATTGTAGTTCCTAAGCAGCCCCTTTCAGCCATCATAGAATTTCTGAATATCCATTGGTCCTTGATGTGGTACTGAGCCTATATTTAGGGAGTAAGACATTCTGCTACAAGATAACATTGGATCTTCTAGTGAATACTGATATTGGCTATTTTAAAACTTATTACTATAGCATCGGATCAACTTCTTGTTCATACTCAAGGATGGGAGTTTAGAAAAAAATAACAGAGAAATAATTTTTCAGAAGACATCTGTCTTAGTCTATTTTGTGCTACTACAACAAAAGTACCTGAGACTGGGTAATTTACAAAGAACAGAAATGGATTTCTCACCATTCTGGAAGTTGGAAAGTCCGAAATCAAGGCACCAGAATTTGGTCTAGTGAGGGCCTTCTTGCTACCTCCTCACATGGAAGAAGGCAGAAGGGCAATCTAGCCAAATGTTGTTGAAGCCTCTTTTAAAAGGGCATTAATCCCCAAATGAGGAGGCAGACCTCTTGGCTTAATTACCTCTGAAATGCTTCACCTTCTAATAATATTATTTTGGCAACACCTGAATTTTGAAGCAACTATATTCAAACCATAGATGCACCATTTATTTTTCTTTCAATAGGAAGTCTGGTGCAGGGGCTTACATGCTGTTATATTTGTTAGAATCTGTGAATCATCTATTATTGCATTTCATTTCTTTGTTTTATGATAAGAATAATATAACAGCCTAGAGTATCAGTGTATATATTACTACACATGATTTTCCAGTTCAGGCAGGATTCATCAGAAAACCTAAAAGCAACCCTGTACAAATCATCAGCAGAATAAATGGTTTCAAAACCTTTACATTTTAATGGACAGCAGGAACACACCCTTGCTTCAAAATATCAATTTCCAAATTCTAATAGAGATTGAGATCTCTGAGCTGTCAATGACAATTAAAGGGAGAAAAAGAAGCTAAAGTGTATAACTGTCAAAAGGAGAAGATTAAATCAGGTTCATAAGTTTACTCTAGTTTGCACAGAAAGATCAAATGACGAGGACCCTAACTATTCTAAGCAACAAGGAAAATATAATATGATTGGTCTTTTGTTGTGAAGGCAAACAGATCCAATCACTTCTACAGAGCAAGTACACAAGTAGGGTCCATGAAGATAAATAGTGCCAGGTTACACTCGCTGGGCCTGTAGAAGGTGCCCTGCACTCTCTTTCACAGAAGCACTAGGATGCTTGCATCGTTCAATTCTTGTCTTTCCTAGCACTTTGTAAATTGTAATTAAATGCACACTTTTGTTAGTTTTTCCTTATCTGTCCCTCTGCTTACAGTGGTGTTTCATTCATCTTTGCAAAGGTAATACTCTCTATGGAGTCATGTGTCTGTTTTTTGTTTGTTTGTTTCTTTTTTTTTTTTTTTTTTTGACAAAGTCTCACTCTGTCACCAGGCTGGAGTGCAGTAGTGCAATCTCAGCTTACTGCAACCTCCACCTACCAGTTTCAAGTGATTATCCTGCCTCAGCCTCCTGAGTAGCTGGGACTACAGGCACGTGCCACCATGCCCAGCTTATTTTTGTATTTTTAGTAGAGACGGTGTTTCACCATGTTGGCCAGGATGGTCTTGATCTCCTGACCTCATGATCCATCCACCTTAGCATCCCAAAGTGCTAGGATTACAGGTGTGAGCCACTGCGCCCAGCCGGAGTCATGTGTCTTTAAAGGAATGAATGAAGAATCTAAGCTTTCAGTAACAATAATCTCGACAATGATACTGTCACTCTTCCCCTTTCAGAGACAATTGTGTTATTTCTTCTAAAATGCTGATAGCTACTTTTTATTAAGCCAGAAATTTTGCTTTATCTTATTTTGTCCTCACAACCAACCTATGTGACAGATGTAATATTTTGAAAATTTTACTAATAAACCAAAGCTACCAATTATAGAACTCTCTGAATTAGATATTCTATAATTAATAATCAGATTGGGCATCATTTTCAAAAGCTTCATTTCTGGATTCAAGTAATAATTGGCCAGGCACAATGGATCATTCCTGTATTCCAGTGCTTTGGGAGGCTGTGGCAGGATCACTTGAGGCTGTGAGTTTGAGACCAGCTGGGGCAACACAGAGAGACCCCATCTCTACAAAAAGTAAAATGTTAGCCAGCCGTGAAGGCATGCACCTGTAGTCCTAGCTACTCAAGAGGCTGAGTTGGGAAGATCGCTTTAGCCCAAGACTTCAAGGCTGCAGTGAGCTATGGTCATGCCACTACACTCCAGCCTGGGTGACAAAGCGAGATCTTGTCTCTTAAAAAAAAAAATTTTTGGCTCTGTTCCTCACTAGCATGACCTTGGACGTCATGCTAGAGAGCATAATCCTCTATACTTCATTTTTCTCATCTATAAAATATGGAAAGAAAGTGCCTACCTCATCAGTGTTTTATGAACTAAAATAAATAATGCATATAAAACACTTAAAAGTCTGTTCCTGGCATGGGCACAAAGTAAATGCCAATATGTGGAATTACTCTCTATTTAATATCCACATTTTCCCAACTGAAAACAACTTTCCATTTTTCCTTATGGTAGTTTTTTCCCCTTTTTGATTACTTAGCCAGGAGAGGATTCCTTACTCATCAATGCCTTGTGTGTGGCTGGAAGGGCTGAATACTATACTTATGAAAAACCACAGAGAATTACGCTCTCAGCATTGACTAGATCAGGAAAAACAAAAATAATTATGCTCAACCATACAACAACCTGAAAAGGAGGGCCTGGAGGGCATGGTCACCTTGAGCCTTTACAGAGGAATTCATCCAATCCTTCCTCATTCTTGAAATTGAGGTGGGCCATCTGAGACCATTCAACTCTCCTCATTTTCAGAAATAAGCTGTTTCATTGTACAGTTGGAGAAATAAAAGACAGCTGTCAAATAACATCTCCATATCAAATAGCAAGATGCACAATGATCACAAAAGAAGAACAATTAGCCTTTGTCTGAAATCTACAGGTTGCCACTGCAGATTGAGTTGGCTCCACAGGCTCATGGATTCAGAAAGATTAGTTCATTGTTTAGGTCTCTTGTTGTCACAAAAGCACCTGGTAATGTACAGCATTTTTCAAAAATGTTATGAAATACTAGGCTGGTTTCTTTGTGGATCAATGAGTAGTCTGGCTCCCACAGAAAAAAGCATCACTTCGTGATGAGGAAGTGCATTCTGGGTTGGGTTTGGCATGACTTTAGGCTTAAACCCAACCATCTCCAAAAACGTCAGATTTTATTCTTGCAAAAAAGCAAATGTCTACAGGCAAAAGAGGGGTTATAATAAGAAGACAGAACGGAAGGAAAGCTTGGGAAAGAGATGACATATTATGAGCTGTCTTAATGCAATAAATGGCCGGGTGTTCTGTGGCCTGCATTCCTTTGACGAGGCCTGCTCAGACATCCCATGACCTAGATTCATTCTTTTTATGTTGATGTCATCTTAACCAGAAGCCAGATCTTGATTTGCTCTATAAAATGTATCCGGCTTGAGTTGTTTCTGCCAGGAACCACAGTTTCCATTTTGTTTTTGAACTCGGTGGATCTCTTATTGTATTTTCTTTTCTAGGACTATCCCAATATGACAAATCATGAATTCTCATTTGAGGTTTTCACCAAAAAGAGTGTTTGAACATTTCAGTTCATCTGTCTACAAAGTTATGATCAATCAATTTTCAAACTTGCCAGCAATTTATATGCTTTTTGAAATCATATGTAGCCTAGTACCATATGGAAAGAACCATGTCTGTCTGTATATGAGAATATTTTATCCTTTGCCTTTATTTGAGGTAATTTAAATGCTCTGTGTAAACCCATATTTGGGAAAATAAACAGCACAGATGCTGCCCTTTAACAGAGCACTTACTCCCACATTCGAAATATCTTTTAGAGGACACTCTATTAAATGAAACAAGGCTTACACTCATTTGACATTTGCAGAAAGGCTATCACAGCAAGTGAAGTTCCCTTGGTATTCCTAGAAAATTAATCTTAATTACCTTTACCAGTTAAGAATATCATCTGTAAGGACATTTTATTTAAATGAGTCACAGCTCCTCTGGTGTTCATTGTTATTGGGTAAAAGATGTAGATATTGCTTCTTGGTCAAATATGGTGTCCTTATGACTTACAATTAAACTGATGATTTCTCTTTGTCTTCCTTTGCTTTATAGGAGCCAAAATAATGCAGCTTCACATCTCCTTAATGGACAGAAGACTACACTGTTTTTGCTGCACCCAGAGATAAAATTATTGGTTTTGGAGTACCTTCACTGATGCCAGGTCTCATAACTTTTAAAAAATATTACTAAGTTAAGGGGAATTGAAGCAATGAAAGTCAGAGTAAGGGCGGGGGGTTCAAAGTTGCAAGCAATTTACTTCCTCTAAACATGACTGCTCATTTGTTTTTGAACAAGCTACCCTAACCAGCACTTTAAATATTCAAACACAGACTTCAAACATGCACCTTTTTATGGGAAGGTGGAGAGATCCTTATTAACCTGAATGCAGATATTTTAGAATGAGACGTTTGGTGCTCTCTTTAGTAATAAAAGTTTTTGTAGGTAAGCTTGGGAAACACAGTGAGACCTGGTATCTACAAAAAAAAAAAAAAAAAGAAGAAGAAGAAAAGGAAAGAAAAAAGAAAAGAAAAAATAAACTGGGCATGGTGGCATGCACCCACAGTCCCAGCTACTCAGGAGACTGAGGGAGAAGGATCCCTTGAGCCCAGGAGTTCAAAGCTGTAGTGAACTACAATTGCACCACTGCATTCCAGCCTGGGAGACAGAGCAAGACCCTGTCTCAGAAAAAAAAAAAATGTATATATATATATATAGTAGGCGGTTTAGAGACCACCATATCATAGATCATAGAAGTGATTTTGCTTTTTGAAGTACAAGGGTGGAGGGTAAAGTTTGGGGATAAAAAATGTTTCCTGAATTGGGTTTAAACCCATAGATCTCAGGTATGACTGCAGACTGTGTTACCAAAGTGAACTGGGGTCAGCCTGCCTGGCATAGCAAAGCTAAACCCTGACATCAGGACTGCCATGAGAGAAGGCAAGGCATTTATTGCAGGGCACCAAGCAAGGAGAATTAGGCAGTTCATTCTTAAGACCTGATCTCCTCAATGGCTTACAGGTAAGGGTTTTTAAAGGGAGTGGAGGTAGAGGTTACAGGCAAAGTCATACATCAACACATGGAGGCTGTACGTTGATTTGACCTCTCGAAGCAGGGGCCCACAGGCCAGAAGTAGATTCAAGATTTTCTGATTTGCAATTGGATAAGGAAGTGAAGTGTTGTCTAAAAATTGGGGGTCAACAGAAAAGAATGTTAGCTCTGGCTGGTGAGCATGACCTCCTCCAGGCCCCTTAGAAAGAAATTTAGAACCAAGAACGGCGGTCAGAGTTCAGTCCTCAGTTTCCCCCGCATCTGAGGTCTATGTGCCAGTGGGTCTCTTCAGTGGGGAATCCAGGTTTTCAAAGACAATTCAGGGACATATGTTAAGATGTTACCTTTAGTTTCTACAGGAGAACCAAATGTCTTGTGACCTTAACTTCCTTGGCTATTGTTTTAAGCTATATAACCTTCTTGCTTATCAACTTGCTCATTTACTTCTCACGTCTAGCTAGGTACCTGAAATTTCACTCGGAGGAACCCAAGATTTTCCTTTATTTCCATGCCTGGGGGGATCCCACAGGCCCCTAAGAGGGGTTCCTGTTCTGTCTCAACTAGAATCACTTGGGAGCTTATAAAATACATCCAAGCCCATGCAGTACCTCTAGAGGTTCTGAACCCTTGGGTCTGATAGGTGTGAACATCTGGAAGTCCAGATACTAAAGGACTTTGGACGGCCAGCCTGAAGAAGTGCTGCCAGACTAAGGGAACTGTGGTCAGAGTTTCCCACTTGGATCTCCAGTGCACCTATGAACCGACACATGAAGTAAGAGCCAACACCCCAAATTTCAACTAACCCCTCACTCACCCATCCACACAAACTCCAAACCAATACCAGCTTCAGGGACTAGAGTGGGCAAAGCTTTTAAGCCTAAAGTGACCCCAAGCTGGGGAAATGAAGGAGTATTCCATTGGATAAAAACTGAAATGATAATATTAAGATCAGACTTCTTAATCATTTAAATGAGTCTGTTCTTGTGACTGAAAGGAACCAGAAAGGTCAAGGCCCTGTCTGAAGTTTCATCTATGGGAGAGTTGGATCATTAGGTTGTTAGGTCTTAGACCAGAGTTATTTATTCACACCTTTTTCCATTGCACATAGAGGAAGAATGTTTGTTCTCTTTTCAGTATTCAACAGGACTTCTGTAAGGATCAACTAGATAGATGTAGAATCTGAGAAATGATGCTATTGTCTCACAAAGCAAGGAAAACCCAACCATATTAGGTCCTGATGTTTAGCCCAGTGTATTATTTAACAAAGCTTTAAGGAAATTCCTGAGTGAGAGTAGAGACAGTGGAAATCAAAAGATGCCCAAGGCACTGGGGAAAGTACTGATGGAAGCCATGATAAGAAACAGATACCGAGGGTCAAAAATTCTAAAAATGTAACCAACTAAGGGAATAAATGTGATGGTTGGCCAAAGATAAGATGCTTGTGCTCTGGTCCCCTTTCCTGTTGTTCAGAGGATTCTGGCTGGGGATGGGGCCAGGGGTGGATATGGGGAAATGTGTGGGGACGGGTCAGGATCATTTTCCACAGATGCATATTCAGTGATATTATCATTTTGGTTCAAAAATTATCTATTACAGTCTATAAATTTGAAATATACAGAAGTTCATATTCAGTTTTGTTTTTAAGAAAAAAAACTTGCCTTTGATTTGAAACATGAAAAACCTAATATAATTTTTTTCTTTTCTAGCATCTGTAGTTTGGGATAGTTTACTTTGATTTTCATTTCTGTCTGCATTGTAGCTATTCAGAAGGTCTTTAGGTTGTCTAGGCTGGGGAAAAAGTAACCTTTATAAGATGGGATGGAATCAATAGTAATGTCATAGATAATTTCAAATGCTGGATTAATTTTTTAAGGTTGATTTATAACCAGAAATAAAAATCTAGAGAAACCCAGGAAATCAGGGTCTTTACATCACTCAAACACTTTCCATTTTCTTAAGAATGAGGAAAGATGATATGTGTGGGTCCAGAGACAGCAGATGTAATGAGACAAGAAATGAGACAAGAGTGGTTTTCCTGTCCAAGGATGCAAACCTCTCCCAGTCTTTTGTGATAACATAGTAAATTATGGTTTTTAGGGAGCAATGAATGAGTGGTAGCACAGAAAACTCCTGAAGGGTGTAGTAATAGCATTGGAACAAGAAAATTGAAAGGCAGCAGACAGTTTTGTTACAACACTGCCCCCCCCCCCACCATACACACACATACCATAAAGAAGAATCTGTTTCAAGAAACTTTTTGTTTCTGGAATGTTAAATATTTCCTCCTAATCCCCAGGGAGTCCACATTATTATTACTGTATTAACATTGTTTACATTCATGATTTTTTTTTTGCCCTCCTTGAAGCTCAAGGGGGATTTAATAACCTTAAATTAGCCAAAACTAATAATCCAAAATGCCAACATGAAGACATGGTAACTCTGCTGTTCCAAGTTCCTGAGGAAATATATATGCATGGGCCATTAAATTTCCTTTACTATGGAGGTTTGAAGGGGCTATGGAAAATTGCAAGGATTTTGCAATTCTTTGCAGTTCTGGTTCTAGCAATATCTGTAGCCCCCATCCTGCAGTTTTTTTTTAATCAGCATTGAGACTTTGCATAGAAACCTATCTTCACTTCCAGAGTCTTAGGGACTTCCTCAGAGGAATGAAGCCAGTAATTCTCTGCTTCATGGATAGACGAGGAATGTTCTTATCTCTTCCCACTGGATAGCTGATAGAGATGCTTGAGGTGCTGGTGTTACAGAAAACTAGAGCTGGTCAGTAGTTAAAAAGGTAAAAATAGATTTTATTCAGGAACAACTGCAATAGAGGAAAATAGACCTTAGTATAAAACTAGGCTCAATATTACAAAGATAACAAGGACCACTGGAGATTTATAACCGAAGAACAGGTTGTGAGGGGAGGATGTTCAGTGGATAAGAAAATTACTAAGAGGTGACATCAAGGGCAGAGGGAATTCTTGCTAAACTTAGTTAACAGAATTTTTGCTGAAGGCAGGTCAGAGTGATCAGATGTCATTGGGGGATGGTGAGAAATGAAGAATTTGATACTGAGGGTGTAGCAGATATCAAGGGTAGGAGATACTCTCTAAACTGACTTAGCAGAATTCTTGCTAAAACTGAGTGATGTAGGCCCAGCAGGCCCAATGGGATTGATACTGAAGCCCAAGGTCCAGGCCTAGTTGAGAAGAGGGCTCAGAGGAACTGACTAAACTTTGGTTAAGGAGAAAGACTTTGCCTGTGGGAAAAAAAACAGACAGGAGTCAGGGAATCTGGGTGTTAGTGCTCTTCATGTGGGGGCTAGGAGAAGAATCCCAGCCATATGATTCCAATTCTTCCCCTGTCATTCTTATTATGGGTGAAAATGACCAAATTGGATAAAAAGGATGGGATGGATTAAATATCCATTCAATTTTCCAGTAATTCTGATGGTTGCTCAAGCCAACCAAAGTACCTCTAGGATATTTGATACATCTCCTCTGCCTCCTCACCCCAGCCCCATGCCAGGCCGCTTTCTGTGAAATTTCTCCAGTTATCAGAGACCTCTTATTTTACCCATCTGGCAAACCTACTCACAGCCATAAAGCAAGAAATTTCACCAACATTTTGATTTACTCAGGGAGGTACTAGAGAAGAAAATTCTGTCAAGGGAAGTAGTCATAAACTTGATTGAGCTTTCTCGGAAATAAACTTTGTTCTCCAATCTGGCTTTGCCTAACTTTTTATTCCAACCTGATCCTTTGGCTATTTCTCAAATTGGTCAGAGTTGGTAGGAAACAACAAATATGATTAATGAGCACTCCTTAAAACCAAAAATAACAAGAGAAGATTTTTGCTAATGTTCTTTCCTCTTGTGCTCCTCTTGCCACGGATGAAATCCGTGAACAGTCCTTTGACAAATGCATGGTGTCAGCTGAAAACAGAGTTGGGTTGAAGCGTGTACCCAACAGAGCAAATCTACCACCATCTTAAAAGTGCACCAACAGACATGTCTTTCCGTACTGGTGAGCCAGCCCTGTTATCTTTATATATGTAGGAAAAGCTTGCTATAGATGCACAGAAGTCTAAGAAATACTGACAGAATTCAAGATTCCATTGGAATCTATCATTATTGAATAAAATCTCAAATCTAGATTTTTTTACATTAGATGAAGAAACACATTTAACTACCCACCAGGTTAATGTAATATATATTACTTGCATGCCCTGAAATTTCTCTAGGAGCATAAAGTAAAAACTTATTTTGAAAATTCTAATTTGTATTGCTAATTTTTCAAAAGATATATATATTTTGTTAACACTACCAGTGTTAACAATGAAAATGTTTATTTAATGATATAAAAGAGCACTCAAGAAAATGCCTAATTTCTAGGAAGAAATGGGTTCTAAAAATAAAATCAAATGTATGCCTAAGATCTTTTTGAATTAGGTTATTAAAGTGGTACAGTATATATGGCCCCAAATATCTTTGATGATTTCCAATTGGTGATTACATCTTTGCTTCTTCTGTTTCTATTTGTGAAAACTGCAGAAACAAGTTATGACCAAAACGAAGAAATTTCAAATGCAGCAGAGAAACTCCATAGGAGGTCTTTTGGGCATAACTTAGCCTTAAACTGTGCCACCCAGATCAGTAAGGCATCTCTGTTATTCTGAAATTTGTGTGCTTGGAAACTTCAAGAAAAAAAAAAAAGCTTTTTATTTCTGGGGTTGAGACTGTTAACAGGAAACAAGACTTCAGCCACTAGAAAAGCACTTTTTTTTCTGACACAAATTTTGCCTTTGTGCCTTGATTGACAGCCATCCCACTGTCTATAAACAATCTACGAGTTACCCCAAATCACCATTCAGTTCCTGCCTCCAACATTTAAACATCGAGTGGTTTTGCGCTCAATAAAATTCCTTTTCATTTCGCCCTAGGTTGCCATGTCTCTTCAAACAGAGACTGAAAAGCCATGGTCTGTGTCAGACAGATTTTAATTTTCAGTCCTCATCCATTTGGAGGAACTAGACACAGGCAAACAGACTCTAGCCCAAAGCCTAGCAACCTGTAGTTTAAACAGCCAATGCATATGAGTCCCGGGATGGGGGCCTGGACCTGTTCACACATGAATAAAGAAGATTAAGATTTCCTTTCAAAGACGTGAAACCTTTTTGACAGCCAGTGTCAACAGTACTGTCTGCCTTCAATGTGAACCAGTCTTCTAGCACAGATTCCCACAGGGAGGTCCTGCTGATTAGCATGCTCGACACCACCATTCCATGTCGGTATTTAATTGAAGAATAAGGGTGTAAAGTTTTGCAAACTCTTACTTATCCACAAAGAAAGGGTAACTTACAGGAATTGTTGAAAGAAAATACCAGTGAACATGAACACCTACGGGGAGCATTTAAAAAGTGGAAGCACTGAGCAGAGGAATGAGGAACAGCGGTGATTTCTATTATCTAATTGCAGAGAAGTTAACAAAAGTTTCCTAGTCAAAATACATGTTTTGAAGTCATAAAAAATCAGCTCCTACTCTTAAGAGGGAAAAAAAAGCATAACTTTCTTCTCAAATCATGTTTTAAAATTCTATTAAAGAATAAGCATTTATTCTGAAAACATTTGGCAAATAAATACTATTTGCCTTTGCAGTTCAGGGAGAAATCTTTATTGATAAATATTTAAAAATTTTAAATATGACTCTTTGCACATGAGCCCTTGCTAATTTTAAATGAAATGGACTAGGCCTCTATTAAATAGTGAGTTCTGTATCACATTGCATGTCCTTAGGAAGAGCCAAAAAGAGGGAAAAAGTTATGTCTACAAATGCCAGCCTCACCAATTTAATTATCTCACTTCAATTACAAGTTCAAACACTTACACAAGTTAAAATATAGACCATGTCTGCCTTGAAATGATATACAACTATTAAATTACATGTACTGAATCATTTTGGGATGAGTTAGAATAGCTATTTACAAGAGCATAGCTGTTTTTTATTATGTGACAAATGTTTATGCAATTTGATGTCAACTGTTTATTCTTCAAGCCTGAATAAGAATGTAAAGCAAAATGTACTACCCGCATATATAGATGCCATGTTTCCTCACCAATGACACACACACCTTGAGTTGCTTTCCCGGTGGTGGTTAAAGGTTTGCACTGATCTCTCCATTTTTATTCATTTACTAAATATTTATTTACCAGCACCCTCTCTTTCCAGGGATTTGGGTAGAGGGTGGGAATGGAGGCTGTGCTGTCCTGGAGCCAGCTCCCACAGGCTTGCAGAGCCAACTGTGCACATCTCTTCCCAACTCTAGCTGTGTTCAGTGTCATCGCAGCTACCAGGGTCATCGACTGGTAACTTGAATCAGCTATGTTGGGAGTACTTACACCACAGAAATCAACTACTACAAATCAGGGCTTTTTTAAATAATCAGTTGTTAAACATTTATTAGCATCTCACTGGATAGAGAGGTGAGTGAAAAAGGTTTCTGCCTTCTTCCATCCTACGGCCAGGTGTTGCCTCTTTAACTTTGCAAAGAGTGTCTTCAGAGACAGTGGTGAATTTGTGGCAATATAGCAGGAAGAAACTACAGAGAGATTGAGTCTAAAGCTTTGCTCTCTGGGATTTGGGCAGAGCTGATATAAGGCCAGAATGTCTGTAAATCAGAATCAGAGCTGGATAAGATGACAGGAACTGGGAATCAAATCAAGGTTTGGACTCCTCAAGGCCAGGATGAGGCTTAAGCCAGAGTGAATTCTCAAATAGGAGACAACCACGGGGAAAGAGAAAGAACACCAGGTCTGAGCTATCCAAGATAAGGTGGCCTGAAAAGCTAAATGTCTGAGCCTGTCTTAGGTCAATGCTCTCTGATCATTTTCATACCTAACATACTTTGGCTGCCAATTAACTAACTTCTATCCTTTTCCTGATGGCAAGGAGTGCTCTAGAGCAGTGGCTCTCAAATCTTACCATGTAAGTCTTGTTATTAATAAAATACAGATGGCAGAGGCTTGGCCCCAGAGCCTTTGATTTAGTAGGTCTGGAGTGGGGCCCAGGGAATTTGTATTTCTAACAAGCTATTAGGTAATTATGATGCCCCTGGTTAAGGGATGACACTTTGAGAACCTCTGCTCTAGGATTGGATCAAACATCTCAACTTCACTTATTTCAGAAGAGCAATTAGCTTTGCACCACATGGCATCATAACTGTCTTTCATTTATGAATTAATGTCTGTAAAAACCCTCCCCGGCTACATGGGAGAATAAGAAATAGTTAACTGTTGCACACTAAGAGGATCCTTCGTCATCACCTTTTGGTCTTTGTGGGAAGATGCTATTTTGGGATACATCTGCACAATTCTTTGAACTTCACAGCCTCAGATAATTGCCTAGAACAAATAAATGCTTACGTGCTATATAAAATACTTTATGTACACACACAAAATACTTTATTGCAAGAGCAGTCATCACAAACTACATTCTTGTGCATGGGTACTGCTGTTATTGTCTAGAAAAAGGGAACCACATACGTATTCAACAAATCAGCAATCGCTTTCTTCAGTTAGCCTCCCAGAGTTGTATTTTTTTTTAGGAGAGAAGCTCTTGCTCTGTCACCCAGGCTGGAATGCAGTGCCATCAGACCATAGTAGCTTACTGCAGGCTTGAACTCCAGGGCTCAAGCAGTACTCCTGTCTCAGCCTCCTGAGTGCCTGGGGCTTTTTTTTTTTCCACTTCAGTAGAGACGGGGTCTCACTATGTTGGCCAGGCTGGTCTTGAACCCAGAGCTCTATTTTGATGCCAGCCATGGGAACATAATAGCAATCAGCTGTAGCCATAGTCACTGCAACATAGATCATTTAAAAAGTATATTGATAACTAAAAAAATTATTAGGAAATACTCATTTTATGACCTGGAAAGTGCAATTTAATGTGATTATGTAGAAGGACGAACAGGCTAACCTCTCCTAATGTGCTCTTACACCTTTCCCCACCTCACTCCTCATTGGATTCTAGCCAGTTCAGCTTGGTGGTCACAGAATTGGGTCTCAGACAAGTGAGATCTCATTTGTAATAGGGAACCATCAACATTGTTCAATTAAGTGGCTATCACTAGGGCCCCATTATCAAAATAGCAGCTCCATGGCCTATCATTCCACCATTAAAGCTGATTCTTTTGGAGCTTCAAGATGTATTCATCTTAGAAGTAGTCTCCCCCTTTAAATGTGAATGACTTCTGGGAATTCTCAGCTTGAAGTGGGATATTAGCTCAAAGGCAAACATAACTTGCCTCATAAAGCTAGCACTTCCTGTACACACAAAGTCTTTACACTTCTAACAATTTGGGCCAAAGAATCACCCATTATTAATCACAATTATTTCTAAAAGTAAATACATTTTAAGTTTATTGCAAAAAACAAAAAAACATATATAATATTGAAAAAGAAATCTGACATTTTTGCTGATTTTTTTTTAACTCTGAATGTACAGGATATTATGAAAAATTCAGCAAGTAAACTAAACAAAAAAAGAAGAGGGAACACTATTAACTAGAAATAAACAAGGCCAGAGAAGGATAATTGGGATTACAATAATCAACAATGACAACATCAGAGAACTTCCTCCTAAGTTAGATTGTATACAATATTGACACAGAATCTTTTTAAATGTCTGCGTAACAGATGCTGCTTGAGAAATAATTAGAGTCCGAACCTGGTGTGCTATTCTACACATATTTTGCTGCATTTACTATCAGCATAAAATACATGATAAAATATTTTACAGCCTCAGTTTTACTGGGATTCATTTTAATTTAGGTTAACTTGAGAAAATTAAAACAAGCAGCTATTTATGTTATGAACATGTTGTATAGAATTTCATGAATGAAATTTTAATTGATAACACATTTTTCATCCCATTCACATCATTTCATATGTTTCACAAGTAGAAGTCAACTCATATTCTAATTTACTGAAATAAATATGTCTAGACACTGAAAGATTTTAAGGAAACATACAAAGATAAGTATGGCAGATACACAAACACTCTGAAATTGGTTCTATTCTCTCAGATTTCAGTTATTTATAGGAGCTCATTTTCAGGCTGAAGAGTGGGGTCTGGTAGCAGTCAGGGACTTGTCATTTTAAAACATAATTTCTACCACAAATAAAAGCCCTTTTTATCCATTTCAAAATTTGTTCTATTGAATTCAAATCAACTTAGAGAACCATGGGTATTGTTTTCACAATTCACATAACCTTATAAAACATGACTCCTTCAAGGTGGTTCATGAATGGCCTCTCACTTGTGGTTCTGGGAGAAGTCATAATAATCAGAAGCAAAGAAGATGTTTAGTTCCACCTCAAAGTTGAGGCTCACATGGCTAAACACCTTACTTCTCCCTTTGGAGATTTTCTTTCTCTCCAGACAACATATTGGTTCTTTCCACACAATCTGGGAGCTGTATCTCTCCAGCTCTTATCTTATCTCTCCTTCCTTATCTGCACTTGGGGTTGGGTGGGGACCGGGGCTGGGGGTGGTATATGTGTAAATGGTCTACTCCAGATTGCTGAAGAGAGAGCTAATTGCTCAACTTACAGAAATTTTGTAAGCTGGCTCTTAAAGACAGCCATTTCAAAATTTGAATTTTAAAAACATAAAAGTAAATGAATCACATACTAAAAAGTAAATGAATTATGTAGTATAAATTATTTACTAAAAGTAAAATGAATTATATATTCATTATATAAAGTGTATTATATACTAAAGATAACAAACCCACAAAACATCCCTTTCTACTTGATTTTCCTTATTTTCTTATTGCCTATGCATTAGGTTCCAGGGTACCATTACAGATTTTGAAGCTGAAGTGAGACTATTTTCTCTAAGTTGGGTGATTATTGGTGATTTCTTTCTTACACAGCATTTATTCCTTTTTTTCCGATTTTTTAGGGGTGTCATCTTTACCTTCCATCACATAATATATATAAAGAGAATTTTTCTTAGCTTTAAATGAGTTGATAAGAGGACAAGAAGAAAGTCAAGGACTCCATTTCCAGGATTAAAAGCGGTTTTTTCCTTTGTCTTCCAAATCCTAGCAGTAGAAGCATTTGAGTTCTGCAGAAATTACTGAAGTGGTTCAAGTGTGGGCAGTCAGGACACTCAGCCCACCATACTCAACCCCAACTCAACCTCAACTCTCAGTACGGCAGAGAGACGGAGAACTCAGAGCTATAACTTTCAGGAATTCTCAAAACCTCAGACAAAATGCATCTTTGTTTTACCACCTGTTAAAGTATATCCTCATCTGCCTCAGTGCACATAAGTATACAACACTGCAGATTGTGTTTAACTTCATTTGCAATTAATTTAACGCATTTTGTATCCAACATTTCTACTAGGAAATAGTATTAGTCTATCCCCAAACTAAAATTCACTGCAAAAATGTAATTCACTCAAGAAAAATAATGATAATTCTTCAAACACCTTGAGATGTCATTCAACAATCATACCCAATGGGTAAAATTTAGAGTTCAACATTTAGCTTGCATTTCTTTCTAACCAAACATCTCAAGTTCAAAAAATAAAGCAGATTGTTTTGTGCATTTGTTATCACTACCACATCAATGGTCACCTACACTTCCTGAGCCCCAAATAGAACTCTCAGAGAAGCATTGTGTATTTGTCAATATCCTGGAGTTTCAAAACTCCCAAGTGTTGCCACCATTTGACCTGAAATTTCCTCTCTTCTCAGATTCCTGCCTCTAAACACAAAACAAACAAACCTTTACTTAACTTAGCTCATGTGTGAATTTTTAGGGTCATTTGTTTCATATCCAGAAAGACTTCAAGTCTCTTTGCTAAATTTTGATTTACCTAAGGCCAGTAGCCTGAATTCAACTTTAGCAGTCCCAGGGCTCAGTAGATTTGCCCTGTAGATTCTGTAATTGGATATTTATGTTCCATGTATTTCTTCTTTCAGAGCATAGCAGAAGTATAGGGATAACACCTTAGCTGAATGTTGGCCCTAAAATAGCTGCTCATTTGTAGCACTCAGACGAAGCTGAAATTATTCACATTCAGCCGACATTTCCGTTAGGTGAGATGCTGCCTGCTAATTCACATTTGCCTGGGATTGCTCCTCAGAGTTCAGATTTAATTTTGATAACATCAACTCTATCATTTAATAAATAATAAGCAGTAAAAAATTAAGCCTATTGTTATTGGGCATTTTGAATGAAAGAAAAGCAGTATGGCATATTAGGTTTAAGGGTTCCTCAATATCTTAATCTATATTGCCTTCGGAAAGAAGCAATCCTTAGATAAAAAAATAAAATACTTTAAAATTTCTCTCCATTTCATTAGTGCATGAGACTGAGACAGGTATTGTCACTCTTGCCACTGACTCAGTGACATGTCAGAAACAATGAAGTCTTAAATATATTGCTCAAAATTTCAACTGCCTATATATAGCATAAAATTAATTGCATTTAGAAAAAAAAGTTCTGTTCTCTTAGCAATTTTCAGGTAGATCCTAAATGTTCTCGACACAAAAAGATTCATATGTGAGGTGATAGATATTATGATTAGTTTGATTTAATCATTTCACAATGTATAAAAATATCAAAACAACATGTACATCATAAATATATAGACTTTAAAATTTTTCAATTATACCTTAATAAAGCTGAAAAAAATAAATTAACTTAAAATTTTAAAATTAAAAAAAGGTCAAAGTTTTGCCTACTATCACATTTGAATAACTTGTGCATTGCTTTATTTAGTTAAGCGATCAACATTTTATTCATTCAACAAATATAAACAGAAGCCAACATGTGACAGATATTGTGAAATATATCAAGTAGGATCAGAAGCTACAAAGGAAACTTGTATTCATTGCACCTGTTTATCTCAAATAGAGCTTTCTAATTTAATTCCGTTTCATTAGAACACTACATACGATCTTCTGAAACTGTGGGTAGTAAACTTCAAGTATAAATTAACTAAAACTTTGACAATATGGATAAATCCCTTTTATTCATGTTTCTTAGGAAAATGACATTTAAAATGGCTTTTAAAATCATCTGAAAGTAGAATTCTGTAAAAAAGAAGAAGGCAGTTGAGAGATTTGAGACGAGGAACCACAGTTTTCTGGGCAGTCTAGATAGAGCAAACCACCCTAAGTCTGAGTTTTTGATTATCTAGCCATCACCACGACTCATCGGGGCACTCCTAGCGGGGCCTCAAAGTCTTCACTCCCTAGTTTGGCATAACACTATATGGGCTTCCTTCAGAACTGAAAGCACTACACTGGCTTCTTAGAGACTGTGAGCTTTGTCCCACCTACCTGACCTTTACGTAGAGGCTGTTAAAAAACCTTCAATAACTGGCCCAGTCTCGAAGACCCTTCTAAGAATCCTCATGCCCAGTTCTTTCTTTTTTTTTTTTCTTTTTTTTTTTTTGTTTCAGATGGAGTCTTGCTGTCACCCAGGCTGGAGTGCAGTGGCACAATCTCAGCTCACTGCAACCTCTGCCTCTCGGATTCAAGTGATTCTCCTGCCTCAGCCACCCGAGTAGCTGGGACTACAGGCATGTGGCACCATGCCCAGCTAATTTTTGCATTTTGAGTAAAGTCAGGGTCTCACCATGTTGGCCAGGTTGGTCTTGAACTCCTGGCCTCAGATGATCTGTCCGCCTCGGTCTTCCAAAGTGCTTGGATTATAGGTGTGAGCCACCACACACGGCCTCATGCTCAATTTTTTCTTAAATTAATCCAAGAAAAACATCTTGATCCAGAGTAGACATCCAAGTGTCATTAAAAATTAGTGTCATCAGGTGATAAAAATAAGCAATTTAAGAAGTATTACATAGCAATCCCATATTTTATAAATACCAGAAGTTGATATAGTAACTACAAATGAATTAGGCCTGTGATAAAGGGCCAGGTGTGATGTGATAACATAGAGTAAACACAAATTTTTCTATTGAAGAATCTCTGATTTTAAAAAGGGCAAACATTTCAATATAAATTCCTATAAATAATACTAACAAAGAATCTTTTATAGTTAAGTGTGGAAACATTTGGAAGAGAAAACAGGAGTACTGCAGCAATCTAAAAAATCTGATGATACACTTCAGAGATTACACAATATTTTCCAATTCAAAATAGCCTATTTTGTTGGGGTATTTTTGGGACAAGTTTCAATAGCCCTGGCTTCAGAAACACTAAAATTATAAGCATTATATTCCAATTATAAAAATATTATGATGTTGCTAATACTTTATTAGTAACACAGGTCCATTAATACCCTGGAAACTTTGCCTGGAATTTATTTGAAAAATACTTTATTAATCCATGGACTCAAACATTCAGAGTTTCTGATTTAAAGCATAGGTATTACCATGTTTCTGGTAAAATAAAACACCCATACTCAATCTGTTGGTTGATGTATATCTGTGATTGTTTCACACCTCATTTGACAGAAACATTATGAGGTCTGAGTTGGTATTTGTGGAAAACTCTGTATATTTTTCTCATGGCAAAGAGCCAAGAATAATTTTACTTGTCTACCACATTTTATATAGTGGTGTCTTTGAAAAACACTTACCAAAATAACCTCAATGGAAGTCTAATCTTAGATGGCTAACAATGAACAGATATTGTGAACAAAATGTGAGAGAGGTAGAAAGACTAAAAATACTAAGATAAGTTAATATAGGGGCAAGAATTAGGAACAAAGTCAAGATTATGGGTTCCAGGAATGTAAAAATAGTAAAATTCTGTAGAAATGACAGGTTTGACGTCAGGGGCAGAAAAGGACCAGGAAAACAAAAGTAATTGAATTTTAACAAAATTCTGGCCAAATGTCATCAGTAAATAGTGTATTAATAAAATGGGAAAATGCAGGGCAAAGCTGGCAGGAAAACAGATGGGTCAACTTTGGAAAGAAAGGATCTTACAATTAGGACATTTCGTGCCTTCACAAGGCAACTTGCATAGGAGTTCCAAAAGGACAGTATCCAAATATCCGTCTCAGTTGGAGCAAATTCTTGTTGGGTCTTCAAAGAAGGATCTTGTCTAGAGTTCCTGATATTAGACAGACCTCATGAGATATTCTTCATGAAACTACTTTGATTTTTGTGTCTCCAAGCTTGACTAACTTACTCAAAACATTTCTTCTCTTTCCTCACTGAGTTTATTTTCATTTGCTTAGTCCTTCTGTTTGACAGAGCTGGCCTTCTCCAGATTATATGCTGTGAACATCAATCTAAGAAAATGGCTTTTATGAGGTTTGGTACTTAAGAATTTCACAGTTAGTCCTATGATACAATTTTATAAACACATTGAAAGAATAATTCTGATTTTAAATCGATACATGAAGTGATTTATCCACTGTCCATTTGGCTTAAAGGAATTCAAGTTTTCTGAAGTGAGGATTTGGTCATTTGGACTGTAGTTAAATCTTCTAAATGTGCTTCCTTTATAGCTAACCCAACATGAGGAGATCACATAGTCTCTCAAGATCCAATAAAAAGTAACTTCTTACTTTTTACTTTCAAGTCAGACTAAAACATGTTACAGAAATTTTCCCAGAAGATTTTCTTTACAATTGAAAGATTGACTAATTAGATATCCTCTGCTTTATATAAACTATACATACATTTTCCTGAAAAAGGAATGATCACTCGTTAAAACCCTGGTTATTCTTCCTCCTTGTTCTCTACCTCTCTGGTTCCTTAATCTCAGGTTCTTTTTCTGCCTTCCCTGTAGATGGAATTTTAAAGGGATGCATTCTCAGCCTTTGCAGTTAACTTCCCTGTGGGAAATCTCAGTTTTGGCCATGGCTTTATCTAACACTTATTTGCGCATGACTCTAATGTTTACATCTAGCCAAGCTCTCCCATCAGAACACCAGAGCCAAATATCCAACTGCTAACTAGACAGCTCCATGTGGATGTCTTACTGGCATCTCAAACTTGAAATGCTCTGAAATGAATTCCCTATCTTCTCCAAACCTATTTCTATATTCCTGTCTCAAAGAATGTCTAATCAGGCATTATAATCTCACATTTGAGAATTGTGATTGCCACTAGTGAGTATCCTGCCTCCCATCTTGAACTGTTTTGACTGTAATTCATATTCCATGTGGCTTCTCTTCATTTACTCAAGAAATACTAAAAGAACACCAGCTATGTGCTGGGCAATATTTTAGGCATTGTGGATGCCTCCGTGAGTTATAACAACAAAAAGCCCCTTCTCTGATGAAATGTGTATTTTAAGATGGTAGACAATAAAATGCATATAGAATATGTCACATTCTGACAAGTCCTGTGAAAAATAATAAAGAGAGTATATTAGTTTGTTAGCACTAGCATAACTAAGTACCACAGACTGGTTTAAACAATAGAAAGTTATTTTCTCACAGTTCTGGAGCCCCTAAGATCAGGATGCCAGCAAGGCTAGTTCTTTCTAAGGCCTTTCTCCTTGGCCTGCAGATAGCTGCTTCTTGCTGTGTCCCCACAGGCCCTTTTTCTGTGGACATCCCCTTCCTGGTGTCTCTCTTCTGAAAAGGACATAAGTCCTAATGGATTAGAGGGCCACTCCTATGACCTCATTTAACTTTAATTGCTTCTTTATATAAAGGCTCTGTCTCCAAATGAAGTCAAATCAAAATGTAAATTTTAGGGGGATGCACTTTGGTCCGCAATAGAAGAATACATAGCATGTGACTCTGCTTCTCAAAATCCTTTAATTACTCCTTGTTGCCCTCCAGAAAAAATTAAGTGTTCTTTCCTTGGCATACAACATTAGCAGACCTATTCAGCTTCTTCCCTGGGTGGCATAGCTTGAGCTACATTAAATAAATTCTGCCAATGTGCTGTTTTCAATGCCTGAAATCTCTTCTTGCTCTTATCTTTCTAGAAAAGTATTTCCATACTCCATAACTAAGAGGAATCCTCTGTAAAAGCTCTTTCTCCTAGGCAGAATTAGATGTTCAATTGTCCAATAGCTCTTGTTGTATATCCTTATTATAATACTTAGGAATTCATATTTATATGCTCACTTAAATGTCTATCTCTCCACTAAACTTTCATTTATCTGAAGGCAGGAATGATGCTACTTTTTATTCATAGCACTTACTAGAGAACTTTGCACCTAATATGCTTTATTTTTTATTTTTTTGTTTTACCCTCATCTTGTGATTATACTAATATGCTTTAATTAAAAGACAAAAGAATTTTTGAATAAAGCATAAATCACATGTTAAAAAATCAAATGTTAGTTTTATTGTCCAAAAAGTAATTTAAAAATCCTATTGTCTTTTTGTAAACCCAAAAATTACAGCATATATTTCATCCTATTTGGGAATAGATATAAAATACATCTGTCATTTGAGAACAGATATAGATCTTTATCTATCTATCTTTAGATATAGATAGATATCTATCTATCTATCTTTAGATATAGATAGATATCTATCTATCTTTAGATATAGATAGATATCTATCTATCTTTAGATATAGATTGATATCTATCTATCTTTAGATATAGATAGATATCTATCTATCTTTAGATATAGATAGATATCTATCTATCTTTAGATATAGATAGATATCTATCTATCTTTAGATATAGATAGATATCTATCTATCTTTAGATATAGATGGATATCTGTCTATCTTTAGATATAGATGGATATCTGTCTATCTTTAGATATAGATGGATATCTGTCTATCTTTAGATATAGATGGATATCTGTCTATCTTTAGATATAGATGGATATCTGTCTATCTTTAGATATAGATGGATATCTGTCTATCTTTAGATATAGATGGATATCTATCTATCTATCTTTAGATATAGATAGATATCTATCTTTAGATATAGATAGATATCTATCTATCTTTAGATATAGATAGATATCTATCTATCTTTAGATATAGATATCTATCTATCTTTAGATATAGATAGATATCTATCTATCTTTAGATATAGATAGATATCTATCTATCTTTAGATATAGATATCTATCTATCTTTAGATATAGATAGATATCTATCTATCTTTAGATATAGATAGATATCTATCTATCTTTAGATATAGATAGATATCTATCTATCTTTAGATATAGATAGATATCTATCTTTAGATATAGATAGATATCTATCTTTAGATATAGATAGATATCTATCTATCTTTAGATATAGATAGATATCTATCTATCTTTAGATATAGATAGATATCTATCTATCTTTAGATATAGATAGATATCTATCTATCTTTAGATATAGATAGATATCTATCTTTAGATATAGATAGATATCTATCTTTAGATATAGATAGATATCTATCTTTAGATATAGATAGATATCTATCTGTCTTTAGAGATAGATAGATATCCAGATATGGATATACATATTGTTAGTTTTCAGATGGGGTAAAAAAATTTCAGATCATACAGATATATATTATATCTCATGATGTTCAATCTATTCCCATCTGTCATGAAATATAATGTAGAATCTCTGATTTTATTATTCTACTTACAAACCTGCCACAATGTTTTGGATGCTGGAGAAAAGCAGGAGACTCTTGGGACAGATACAAAGGTGATGCAAAAGGGCAGGTGATGCCTGTGCATGAGGTGGGTCACATTACAGAAGGAAAACCCTGAGTTTAAGAAGTCCTAATCTTTTATAATGGGCAGTAAGCAAGCTTGCCTGACTTTTGCCTTGAAGGAAGACATTATCTTTATTACACTAAAGAGTAAACAAACCTGCCTTTTGCTGCATCTTCCAAGGCTGTTTGCTGTACAAACATCCTTGGAAATATCATTGAGAAAAAGGTATAAAATACTACTCTCCAGGTGCTCACAAGAAGCGCAGGAGTGTGAGAGACCAATGAAGAATTGTCTCACACCAATAGTAAATAACTTCGCTTGTTGATTAGGTTATTTAAAAATGTTATTAATTAAGGTAGGTAGACAGGAATACTGACATAGATAAATGGCTTCAGAAGAGAACTTCCTACGATGTTATCCTAAGTTGCCTTCTTTACAAATCAGAACAGAGCCTGTTCTTTTCAAAGCAAAGACGCTCATCTATTTTCGTGCTGCTAATAAAGACATACCTGAGACTGGGAAATTTACAAAAGAAAGATTTGTAATGGACTTAGAGTTCCACATGGCTGGGGAGGCCTCACAATCATGGCAGAAGGCAAGGAGGAGCAAGTCACATCTTACATAGATGGCGGCAGGTACAGAGAGAGCTTGTGCAAAAACTCCCATTTTTAAAGCCATCAAATCTCATGAGACTTATTCATTATCACAAGAACAACATGGGAAAGACCTGACCCCATGATTCAGTTATCTCACACTGGGTCCCTCCCACAATATGTGGGGATTATGGGAGCTACAAGATAAGATTTGGGTGGGGACACAGAGCCAAACCATATCAAACATCTTTCAGGAGAGTTTTCTGAAGGACTCTATTGCCACTCTTGCTAAATGATTTAAGTGACCAAACATTAAAAAAAAAACCCAATAAACTGTCTATGATGGTTAATTATCATTGTTAAGTGTAGTGGCCAGTAATCAGGGCCCTGTAATTTAGTTCAGCTTCTTCCCTGGGTGGCATAGCTTGAGCTCTATTAAATAAATTCTGCCAGTGTGATGTTTTCAATGCCTGAAATCTCTTCTTGCTCTTATCTTTCTAGAAAAGTATTTCCATACTCCATTATCTAAGAGGAGTCCTCTGTAAACGCTCTTTCTCCTAGGCAGAATTAGACGTTCAATTGTCCAATAGTTCTTATTACATACCCTTATTATAATACTAAGAAATTCATATTTATGTGCTCACTTAAACGTCTATCTCTCCACTAAACTTTCATTTATCTGAAGGTAGGAATGATGCTACTTTTTATTTATAGCACTTAGTATGTTATGTTAGTGCAGACACATTAATAAATATTTAATTTAATTATTAAATCATGTTAAGATAAGTCTTAAGATACTGTAATCATATGACGTAATTAAGCATTACAGACTTGCAATAGAAACCCCAATCTTTGTTTCAAAAACTTGATTCTTTTAAAATTACGTAACAATCTTGTTTCTTAAACTTACAGTACCATATCCTCAATGGTTCTCATAATCCTTGTTTATATAGCATGCTACTAGTATACTTATAGAGATAGCATACCCATAAAATTGAAATTGTCATCTAATTATTATGTCGTTATTTTAAAAATTCAAAGTAATCTTTTTATATAAGAATGTACTGGCATCTATGTTTCCCCATTCAAAGATAAATTATATTTTTAAAAGAATTTTAGAAATTGTATTTCTGCTATAAAAGAGAGACTGCCTTTTATAAACTCATAAGCTAAACACTTATTTTAAGAGTTAGAAGTAGAGTAGCATAATTAATAATCTCAACATGGGACTAAGTCTTAGAAAGGTTACAACATTGTTAGGGTTACCAAATGTTGATCAAAGAGAAGGCAGGGATGGATGCAGTTGGATGGCATAATTTCAATCAACAGATTCAATGAGTCCTGTCTACTATAAGATATCTTATAAACATAGCAAAGTTGACATTCACAAGCTACAACCTGCAGGCCAAATCTAGTTCATTGCCTTTTTTTTTTACATAAAGTTTTATTAGAACATACTGTGCTCATTTGTTTATTATTGTAAACTGTTTTTGCAGTGCAATGGCAGAGTTGAGTAGTTGCAATAAAGGCCATATTACCTGAAAATGCCAACATATTTACTATCTGGCCCTTTACAGGAAATGTTCGCTGAGCCCTGGAGTAGAGAATAGTCACTCCAAATGTTTTATAAAGACTGAGACCAGTTAGCCAAGTTTCTAACAGTACTAAGCAGAAAAGAAGTTTATTAATGGCTACCGAGTAGCTTACAGACTCATCAGGAGGGTTAGAGAACTGATGTGAGGTACTCACACCAGGAACAATGTCTACAGTTAGGTTGTGGAACTGGCCCAGTGACAATACCACTGCTAAACATTAAATGCTGTGGCTTGTACCTCCAATACCATTAACACTGGTTGCTGGACCCCACACTTAACATCACTCCTTCTGTCCCAGGATTCAGTCCATCCCTGACTACTGCTGTTGTCAGTGAATCTCTGAGGCAGGACTGAGGAAATTTAGTTCATTTGCTTGTACATCAGCTGCAGGGAATCCCTGAGCAATAGTATCTAGCACTTTCTACTCCTGCCTTCCATGAAGATCATAAGATGGGGCATTCCACAAAGAAGGTATTCAAATATTGGATGGCCTAAATTAACGGCTTTAACTATAATACTCACTTGAAACCAACTGGAAATACTATAGCATTGAGTCAATTAGTAAACATTTATCATTGAATGGTATTACATGAAACAAATTAGAATTATTTAAAAAATGAGTAACGACTCAAAAGATTTATAAGAGCCAGACAGGTAAGATAGAGTAATGAGATAGAACAGGTTAAAAATTAAAATTGAGAGTGCTGATGACACTGGCAAACAGGAGACCATTAAGACCAGATTAAAGACAACTAGTGGCAATTGTTATTTTTTTAAAAACTTATATAAATGTAAAGGCTACAAGTGCAATTTTTGCTACATGGATGTATTTTGCAGAGGTGAATCCTGGGCTTTTAGTGGCGTCCATCACCCAAATAATGTACATTGTATCCATTAAGTAATTTCTCATCATCCACCCCACTTCCACCCTCCCACCCTTCTGAGTCTCCAATATATATCAGTTCATACTCGATGTCCACATGTACACATTATGTAGCTCCCACTTATGAGTGAAAACATGCAGTATTTGTCTATCTCTTTCTGAGTTGTTTCACTTAAAGGCCTCCAGTTTCATCTATGTTGCTGCAAGGCATGATTTCATCCTTTTTTATGGTTGAATAGTATTCCACTGTGTATATATACCACATTTTCTTTATCCAATCATCTGTCAAAGGACAATTAGATTGATTCTATATCTTTGCCATTGTGAATAGAGTTGTGATAAATATACAGGTACAGGTATCTTTTTTATACACTGGTTTCTTTTCTTTTAAGTATACACCCTGTAGTGGGATTGCTGGATCAAATAGTAGCTCTATTTTTATTTATTTGAGTAATCGCCATAAGTTTTCCATAGAGGTTGTACTAATTTAAACCCCCACCAACAATGTGAAGGCATTCTTTTTTCTCCACATCCTCACCAATATCTGTTATTTTTCATCTTTTTAATAATAGCCATTCTGACTGGTGTAAGATGATATCTCATTGTGGTTTTAATTTGCATTTCTCTGACAATTAGTGATAATAAGCATTTTTTTCATAGGCTTATTGGCCATTTGTATTTCTTCTTTTGAAAAAAATGTTTATTCATCTATCCATGTTCTTTGCCCACTTTTTAATGAGGTTGTTTGTTGTTGTTGAGTTTTTTGAGTTCCTTGTATCTGAGTATCAGTCCCTTGTCAGATGCAAAGTTTGTAAGTATTCTATCCCATTCTGTAGGTTGCCTATTCATTCTGTTGATTATTTGTTTTGCTTTACAGAAGCTTTTTGGCTTAATTAAGTCCTATTTGCCTATTTTTTAATTTTACTTATGCTTTTGAGGTCTTAGTCATAAATTCCTTGCTTAGAACAATGTCTGGAAGAGTTTTCCCTAGGTTTTCTTCTAATATTGTTGTAATTTAAGGTGTGACATTTAAGTCTTTAATCAATCTTGAGTCGATTTTTGTGTATGGTGAGAGATAGAGGTCCAGTTTTTAATTCCTCTGCATGTGGCAATTCAGTTTTCCCAGCACCACTTATTGAAAAGGGTGACCTTTCCCCAGTGTATAAATTATTTTGCACAATATTGCTATGTAATTTCTTCTGAGGGAATCAATTCTTTGAAACACAGAATTTGAAGTATAAGTCTGTAATGTGTAAGAACTAAATGACATAATTTGTGGAGGCTTATGGATTTGAATTTTTATTAATATGTCTACACTAATACACTTAAATAGAAGAGTTGTAAATATCAGCCAACGTGACTTATTGTGACTGTTTGCATTCATTCATTTATGCCCCTGAACTAGGAAGACCTACACTGAATGGACCCCTATGGACTTGGATTCTTTCAGGAAGAAATAAAAATATAACTAGAATATAGAGTTATTGAAAATTTATAAGTTAGCTATGAGTTTGCATATGGCATTCTCTAGCCATAAAGTTGAAACCAAAATTATAAAAATTAAAAGATCAATATAATCCAGATGTTTCCATAATCTAATATTTGATATTCTCAAGTGCGGCTCTTCTGTGTTTCCTTGTCTATGAAGCCAACGGATAAGAAGCTAATAAATGCTTGTTATATCCTATGGTCTCTATCTGATGATAATATACAGATAATTCAACTATGAACCTGAAAGCAGGCTAATAAACAAATGCTTCAATTCCATAATATAAATTTACTAAGTATTTTGAGAAAAATCACAGCCATCTGTAATCTGACATAAACAATAAAATCAAAGGTAGAAGAAACATATAAAACTAAAAAATCAGCTGAAAAGTTAGAGGGCTCATACCTATCACAGTCACCATGAATAAGGTTAGGTGAAGTTTACGTAGATTTAAAATGTTCCAGAATTCATTTAAAATAAATGTGAATTTTGGCAAAGCCTAACTCCACATGCAGTTTTTAAAAAATAAATTTGTCTTTTCCAGATTTTTTTCTGAAATCCATCTAAATTTATAAAGAGTTATCTCTATTCTGCAGTAAGTTTCTATTTGGAGTTTTGGTCTTTTGTTTTGTTTTGAAAATTACTGGAGAAAAACGTGATATAAAATATAGAAAACATTCTAGGTTGGAATGATAGCAATAAAACAGAAAAAAATGAAAAATCATTACACCATGTTAGTTAATGGAATCTTCAAGATAAACCTTGTTCCATTGATAATAAAGAGTATATCATCTATTTTTATATTTTCGAAACTAACATTTAAAGCTTATATTTCCCTGAGTAGCATGGGGGATATGAGAACTTTTTCTTCATTGCTTTCAAAACCAAACAGAAATCTTGTCTTGGGAACTTGTAGGTTTAACTATCTGGCATTAGGTATAGTCTACCTAATGAACATCTCTCACTGTTATAACCATTCCCAAGCCATGTGATACTAGGAAGTGTACACTGAGACCTGAGACCTGAATGAGATGTCACGTTTAGGATCTTAGAGGGCCCATGGCATGAGGCTTGAATGTCTCACCCTATGCCTCTATGATATCACATGAAGGGTGCTTTGACAGCTCCATAGAAAAGTAATATGTACCAAGTTCTCGGCTGATTATTGATCGACAAAGTTTCTTTTTGTTGTGTATCTCTCATCTGTCTGTTTTCTTCCTATTGATCCCATGAATTTTATAATTATTGCCTTTTATTACACTTGAGATGTTTTGATTCTTATAATTAAGACAGTTTTAAAGTATTCACATTTAAAAGGAGATTACAGGTTTATAAATAAAGCTTCAGCTTTATTTATAATGATATAAAATTAGAAACAAAAGAAGTCTGTCAATAGGGGACATTAACTAGGTAAATTAGAGAACATTAATACAGTAATATACTAAGTAGTTACCTCAGTGATATAACTTTAGATGTGTGGACTTAAAAGGTGTACATATTACCTTAAAAAAAACTTGCAAATCAATGTGTTTGGCATGCCCCTTCCCTTTTTTAAAAGATATATACATTTGTGTGTGTATGTTTGCATAAGCACAGAGAAAAAATATTAGAATTAAAGAGGACAAAGAGACTTTTACTTCAGAGCCCACATAAATTTTAAAGGGCTATGAGTGATTTATACTTTCTATTACATTTGTTTTTCTCTATTTTTCAAGTCAAACACCCATTAATTAAATGGTTGTATGCAAATAACTTTGCCAACCACTGTAAAATGCAACATCTATTGGGGAGTTTTAAATCTCTGCCTCAGGATCCTTTGACCCAAGTCAAAAGAAAATATGTTTCCTGTTCAGTTTTCATTTCAATATATGAGGCCTTGTGATTAAAAATAACAAACCTCCTATAAAAACATTGAATTACCCAGCCATCCCACATCACTAGATGATGTTCTATTCATTCTTGTTCAGATCTATGGTTTTTTAAAAAACTTGAATGCATTTTTTCTCTTCAATTTCTGTGGCTTTTTAAAAACTATTTTCTACACAAAAGTAAGAGCAGTAAATTGGCGTGTTCTTCTACCTTGAGGATACAACACTGTTATGAGAGGGTATGGAAGAAATGACCTCAAATTTTCTTGTGGTGCTTACGTATTAGTAAGAGAATGTGCTCTTTACATTTTCCTTTGCTCGTAATGTTAACAGGTTAATGTTATATAACATGTATTGGTTATGTACTTTCAAGGATAATACTTTTGAGTACTGCATTGCTCCAGGAAAGAAAATGTTTCAGAAAATTGGCTCTTCTTTCATTCATTCTCAAATCTCCATTGAGGACCTATTGTGTTCTTAGCATCCACACTATGTATTGCAGACCACCTCTTTTGCATAGTAGTGGCACAAAATCGTCTGTCATACTAAGAATTTTAACAATTGGGGTGAAAATGTGGTAACTTTAGTTAATATTAAATATCCATTCTGTTACTAGCCGGACCTGTTGTGACCCTATTTTTGGGCTCAGAGTAAGTGTGTGGCTGTGGAGCAATACTTCCTATAGGTAATGTTCAATGGCTTATAATGGAGATAATAATATGATGTGATGTTTAATAAGCAGACTCAACGAATAGAGTGCTGTTGGCCCTCCTTATCTGTGGGTTTCACCTCTGTGAATTTAACCAAACTTGGATGGGAAATATTGGGTAAAAAATGGATGGTTATGCCTGTATTAACATGTACAGAATTTTTTCTCATCATTATTCCCTAAACATGACAATATAGCAACTATTTACACAGCATTTACATTGTGTTAAGTACTATAAGAAACCTAGAGAGGATTTAAAGTATAAGGGAGGATGTGTGTAGGTTATATGCAAATACTACATCATTTTATATAAGGGACTTGAGCATCCATGAATGTTGGTATCTGCAGGGCTCCTGGAACCAATCCCTTGTGGATACTGATGGATGCCTGTAGGTGTTGATGAGGATGTGGAGAAATTGGAAATCTCACACACTGCCAGTGAGAATGTAAAATGGTGCAGCCACTGTGGTATATATAATTTTCATTTTATATAAGAGATTCGAGCATCTGTGGATTTCAGTATCTCAGGGAGTCCTGGAACCAATCCCCTGAAGATAATGAAAATGACTATATAGTTGTTATGTTAGTTGTAATTTAGTTTAGCTTTAATCACTTAGACCTGGCTACAATTACCACTCCTAACACAATGAGAATAATTTATTCTCATAAGAGTGATTTGTGCAAGGCAAAATGTCTAAGGGCTTTCTCCTCTCTACTGAAATACACGCCTCAAACCAATTTCAGAAAATTTTATAAAAATATTTGTTAGGGCAATACCAATTGCCCTAACCAATACCAATTGCCCAATACCAATTGCTTTGAGAACCACTTTCTTCTTTTCAATTAGAAATCATAGTAACTCCTGATGACAAGACTAACTGCAAATGATATATACCACAGAGGACATTGCAATTTATAATAGTGTTTCTTTTCTAATAAACGGCCTCATTGAAGAAACTGAAGTAAATCATTGAGAGTAAAACTGATTGTCTCTTTAAAAGGTGATCAATTAGCTCTCCAACAAATCATTCCTTGACTATAATTTATAATGCTATTTAAGTTATTGGTGATGTTTATCTTCACTCTTTTCTGGCCCTTTTACCATTTATTTCTGGTTCTCTCACTTTGGGCACAGGGTAGATCCATACTTCCCCACCTTCTTTGAAGTTAGGCATGGCCAAGAGAGTTGCTTTGGCCAATGAAATCTAAGCAGAAGTTGTTAAGAACCCAGTTGAAATTTGCCACACCTTCCTCCCCACTGTTGCAGTATAGTTACATCAGGAAGAAGCCTTTGTCATCCTGGGTCACTGAGTAACCAAGATGAGTGGAATCCCCCATAGACCTACATTGGATGGGTAATGTGCATGAGAACCAAACTTTTTGTTGTGTTAATCCGCTAAAATTTGTTGTTTTTTTTTTCTTAAGACAGCAAAATCTAATCCATTCTGACTAATACAACACCTAGATAGAGCATCCTCCTTTCAATTCTAGCACCTGTTTCTCCCTTTCTTTTATTCTAATTCCTTTTCATTAATAACATCTGTTAGGTCACATCCATGAAGACATAATATCCTTTGTGAATTTATGAATTTAAAGAATCATCAGGATACAGCCAACTCCAGTATTATCTTCTAGGAGAATGAGAATGATAGAGTGCAACACATATTTAAAAACAGTTCACTAGATGAAGTATTGTACCCTGAAGAAAATAGATACAATATACTTTCATTTCGTTCTCTTCTAAAATACTTAACAAACAATGTCTTATCATCCTATCTCATTCAATTTATGTGCATGAATACATTCCTGGCAAAATTAAACTCCTGTAATTCTTAAAAGTCTACCTCTGGGCAAAATATATAACAAACCAGAAGAATAAATCCTAGATTTTAAAAATGTCATTTATATCTTCAGTATTTGCAAAGCAATTACTAACTTCCCCTAGACTTAAGACAGCTAGAGTCTAATGTTGATTAAACTTGCCAAAATATTTTGCTGTAAGCTTAGAGAAAGTAATAAAACATTGAAGGAGAATACCCAACATAGCTGCAGTCTGTTCTGTTAGTTAACATTTTAAAGACCTAAGAAAAAGCTTAGATGGAGCCAAAAACCTGTATAATATCCTATGTTACCTCACCATTTGTCTTTCACCAAATGACTTCCCAAATGCTGTGAAGTAAAATTAAGTTTTGAAATTTTCTGAATCCTTTCAGTGTTTCATGTAAGAAAATGTTTATTATTCATAAGCCATCTTTAAGAATTTAATTAATTCCAATAAAAATGTATGCTTTGATCCTAATGATTGCATCTTAGTCACAGATAAGTAAGTAAGTCACAGAATCCTCTACAGACTAGACTACATGATTTGAAAATACAATACACACTATATAATTTGAAAATATAAGGAACAATATTTTCCTAGAAATAAATTTCCTGAAATTGTACTCATGTTTCCGCAAGTCTTCTTTTACCTTCTTTTGATATTTTGAACCCTAAACACCAATAGATTCATTTCTAAGACTAGAAGGCACATTTGAATCCAATGATTGGATGATTGGGAGCAGTGTTGGCAGGAATTAAAATGTTTTTCTTTAACTGTATTAAAACGTGTTTCTCTGCAACATGGACTTCCCTACTTGCAATTTTGAGTTTCTTACTGTTCAAGTAAGTAAATACTGTAGTATGTTCTTCTTGCAGCCTGATTTATAAAATCAAATAGAATAATGCAATAGAAAAAATCCAAAGCAGATTAATTAATTAAGATTATGAATACCAGGCAAAGTTTTTCTCAACTTGTATGCTTAATATAAGTCCTTGTATATTAAGAGGGTAAAAGTCTATTTATTTGACTTGGTAAAAAATGAAGAGGGGAGGCATAGATGAGTCTTGGAGAACATGGAAACCATTAGGTTTCTGCTTTCTGCTTTTTAGCTACATAGAAATTAAGGTCACAGGAAGGTCACCTGAGGAATTGGCAAAGGCCCATAAGAAAGATGGAACTGATATGTTCAAGTTGTTATTAACCGTTAATCGATCTAATTACTCAAGAGTCTATGTAAGGCATGTTTTTCTAACTACATGATAAAAACATAATTGTGATGGCAACTGCCAAGACCAGCTCAGTCGTGGAGACCCTAACCCAGCAGCGCTAGAGGAATTAAAGACACACACACAAAAGTATAGGGTGTGGAGTGGGAAATCAGGGGTCTCACAGACTTCAGAGCTGAGAGCCTCGAACAGAGATTTACCCACATATTTACTGACAGCAAGCCAGTGATAAGCATTGTTTCTGTAGATTATAGATTAACTAAAAGTATTTCTTATGGGAAACAAAGGGATGGGCTGAAATAAAGGCATGGGTCTGGCTAGTTACCTGTAGCAGGAACGTCCTTAAGGCACAGATCACTCAAGTTGTTGTTTGTGGTTTAAGAACACCTTAAGCGGTTTTTCACCCTGGGTGGGCGAGGTGTTCCTTGCCCTCATTCCAGTAAACTCACAACCTTCAGCATGGGCATCATGGCCATCATGAACATGTCACTGCTGCAGAGATTTTGTTTATGGCCAGTTTGGGGGCCAATTTATGGCCAGGTTTGGGGGCCTGTACCCTGCATGTCCCCCTTCTTTGTTTTGCAAAGCGATAAAAGCAAAGGCAGTTTTGTCACGTGAGCTACTTCTCACAGGAGTCAGGATCCGCATCTACAGACTATACAAAGACAAACAACACAGATTGAAAGCACAATCATCATTGAAATCACAGAGCCTCCAAGTGTTTTTATCCATTTTAATGGGTTACTAGCTGCTAATCTGTCTGCAGCTCCTTCAGGCACTCCAGTTCCTGGCATGAAGGTCAGGTGTGCCTGGGATGCTTTAAATATTTGTTCTTTTAATTTTGCAATGTCCAAATACAAGTTTGTAAAGTGTCCTTCTAGATGCCTTTTTATTCTTTCTTAAATTTTGCTCTCATTAAGAGCTATTAATAGCTTCCATATGTTTAGCTCCTAGAGCAGGCCATATCATTTGAGGTTCAGATGCCACTATACCACCATGGTTCCAGATAATAGGAACTCTTGCCATACTTCTTACAATTTCTACCATCTGACCGTTTTGTTCAGACCAGCTGAACATAGTGTGGCCATGGCATGCAGACTGAGAGGTGCAATTCAAGCCAAACATCCCCTTAGGGGACCAATTAACAGTGATTCCACAGGAATCGTATGCAGCACCTCTGCCTGTTCTACAATGCAAGCTTCCCAAACAAGTACACTCATTTTTTCTGGCCAGGTTCAATTTTGTTTACAAATAGGTTTTTGATGGCAGTATGCCTCAATTATAGGAGCAGATTCATTATGGTAAATACTGAGATCAGAAAGCATGTGTAACTGTGTCATAGAGTGATTACATCCAGGCATTATTGCCAGCCAAGATTGATAAATATGCCCAGTAAGTATAATTGTTCTCTGTGTCAGCCCTTGTTGAAGGAATACACATGGAATGGTGATCATCACCATCATAGCTATCATTAAATTATTCATTGTGATATAATGAATAATTATATCACATTCCAGTAAACTCATTCCAGTAAACTCATTCCAGGACAACCAGTTGTCCTGCTTTCCTCAGGTTTTCTTCCACCATCTGTGACAGCTTCTTGATCTGTCCCCAGGTGGGTGGCTGTTTTTGACAAGTGTTGCTTGTGACAGTTGGGGTCCTCCTCAGCATCAGTCTTGACATGGCTGCAACCGGGTTGTCCTCGGGATCCTCCTGGAATCTCTTCCTCAGCATCTGGCTCATGATAAGGTTTCAGATGTTTTGATAGTATCCAAATCGGCTGTTGATTCAGTCCTGCAGAAACACAAGCATAACCTCTAACCCAAGTTATTATTTTACCTATTTCCCAACTTTTTGTTATCGGATCTCTCTATCAAACAAGTTGTTCTGCTTCTGTCTTTGCAGCTGGTTTCTGTAGATGCTGTTCAGCTGCTGATAACATCTGGCCTTTAGGTAGGCTAAAAAAATTTAAAGTTAATAATGCTAGATTCAGTTGCATATGGGGTGTCCCATAGTCCCTATTTCTCCCCCTTTTTTGTTTTTGCAACTGCTGTTTCAGGGAGAGTTTCATTCTTTCCACTATGGCTTGTCCTTGAGAATTATATGGGATACCAGTAATGTGTTAAATATTCCATATGGAGAAAAATGTAGCTAGAGCTTGGCTAGTATAGCCTGGGGCATTGTCTGTTTTAATAGAAGCTGGAATGCCCATCACAACAAAACACTGCAAAAGTTGACGTTTAACATAGCAGAAGACTCTCCTGATTGGCATGTAGCCCAGACAAATTGAGAAAAGTTGTCCACAGTACACTTACATAATTAGTCTCCCAAATGAGGGAATATGTTTGACATACATTTGCCAAAGAGAATTAGGTTCCAATCCTCGAGGATTAACTCCTCCTGTAAAAGACGAGGAATGCACCATTTGGCAAGTTGGGCATTGCTGGATAATAGCTTTAGCTTCTTTCCAGGTAATGCTGTATCTGCGTTTGAGACCAGAGGCATTAATATGGGTTAAATTGTGAAAGTGTCTGTCATTAGATATTGCATTAGCAACTAGGCAAATAGCCATTTGATTCCCTGCAGTCAAAGGTCCTGGAAGATGTGTATGAGCCCTAATGTGAGTGATGAACTGCACATTTTCATTAATTGTTTGGAATGAACCACATATGAAGAATCAGAAATCACATTAATAGGCATATTAAAAGCAGTCAATACCTCAATTACAGCTACAAGCTCTGCTTTTTGAGCTGAAGTATAGGGCGCCTAGAAAACTTTACTTTTTGAAGCAGAATAAGAAGCTTTACCATTACTAGACCCATCTGTAAAAACATTCTCAGCACCTTCAATTGGTTTAAATTTAGTTATTCTAGGGAGGATCCAATTAGTTAATTTCAAAAATTGAAACAGTTTCATTTTAGGAAAATGATTATTGAGAATACCCACAAAGTCAGCCAAATGGGTTTGCTAAGTAAGACTATTTATAAAAGCTTGCTGTATTTGTGCTTTTGTGGGAGGGACAATAATTTTTCCAGGATCATATCCATCTAATTTAACAATCTGAGTTCTCCCATTACCTATCATAGTAGTAACTTGATCCAAATAAGGAGTTAGAATTTGTGAATTAGTATGTGGAAGAAAAAGCTGCTCTACAAGATCTTGCTCTTGAACAATAATACCAGTAGGTGAATGCTGAGTTGGAAAAATTAGCAAATCTAGAGTCTTCTCTGGATCTATTCTATTTATTTGAGCTTTATGGACTTGCATTTCTATTAGCTGCAGCTTTGTCTTAGCTTCTTTTGTTAATTGCCCAGGGCTAGTGAGACTAGCATCTCCTCTAAGAATAGAAAGTAGATCACTCATGGCATAGGTAGAAATGCCTAGAGCAGGCCATATCCAATTAATATCTGCTAGTAATTTTTGAAAGTCATTTAATGTTTTCAATTGATCCTTATGTATGGTTACTTTCTGTGGCACAATGGTAATGTCATTTACTAAGGTCCCCGAGTAGGAGTAAAGAGTAGTAGTCTGAATTTTGTCAGAAGCTATAATTAAACCAGCATGAGAAATCGAATTTTGCAAGTGATCATAACATTGGAGTAATATTTCTCAAGTAGGGGCAGCACAAATATATCGTCCATATAATGAATAATGTAACACCGAAAATTTTTTTATGAGTAGGTTCAATTGCTTGCCCTACATATGTCTGGCAAATTGTTGGACAGTTTAACATGCCCTGTGGCAACACTTTCCAGTGAAAGCACTTACCAGGCTGCAGGTTGTTTACTGCAGGAATTGTAAATGGAAACCGTTCACAGTCTTGCTCAGCTAAGGGGATAGTAAAGAAACAGTCTTTTAAATCTATGACTATTAAAGTCCAATTTTTTAGAATCATAGCAGGAGAAGGTAATCCTGGCTGTAATACTCCCATAGGTTGTATAACAGAATTAATGGCTCTTAAATCAACATTCTCCATTTACCTGATTTTTTCTTAATTACAAAAACTGGAGAATTCCAAGTGGGAAATGTTGGAGCTATGTGTCCGTTTTCTAATTGTTCAGTAACTAATTCCTCTAAAGCCTCCAGTTTCTCTTTACTCAGCAGCCATTGTTCTATCCCAATTGGCTTATCTGTTAACCATTTTAAAGGTATAGGTTCTGGAGGCTTAACAATGGCCGCCATCAAAAATAATATCCTAAACCTTGGTGGGAACTTTGTCTTTCTGCTTGAAGCTGTTCCTTCAAACCTTGCAAATGTTTTCCTAGTCTCATACCAGGGACATACCCATTTCATGCATCATATGTTGACTTTGAGGGCTATATAACTGCTCTGGAATTAGAACTTGTGCTCCCCATTGTTGTAATAAATCTCTTCCTCATAAATTTATAGGTACAGAAGTTATAATTGGTTGAATAGTCCCAGATTGCCCATCAGGCCCTTCACAATGCAAAATATAACTACTTTGATATACTTCAGGGGCTTTACCAACTCCAACTATATTAAATTGAGTGGGTTGCATTGGCCACATGGACGGCCAGTGCTGTAGAGAAATGATTGAATGTCCACTCCAGTATCTACGAAACCTTTAAATTTCTTTCCCTGAATAGTTATTTCCCAGGTAGGGGTTTATCAGTAATTTGATTCACCCAATAAGCTACTTTGCCTTGTTTATTTGTGCTTCCAAATCCTCCTGTTCATTTAATTTCACTTTTCCCCATTTCCACATACGGCACAATCAGGAGCTGTGCTATACACTCTCCTGGCTCTGCTTTCCAGGGAACAGTAGGTATAACAATTTGAATTTCCTCATTGTAATCTGAATCGATGACTCCTGTTTCTACTTGTAACCCTTTTAAATTTAAACTAGACCTGCCTAGAAGTAGTCCTATCGTCCTCATTGGCAAGGGTCCACAGACTCCTGTTGGACTTTTTTGTGGGGGTTCCCCAGGCAGAAGGCTCACAGCTTTTGTGCAGCATAAATCTACTGCAGCACTACCAGCTGTGGCAGGGGACAGACATTGTACAGGGGTGAGGGAATGGCCTGATCTGGAAATGCCCCAGTTTGGAATGGGTCCCAGGACGGGCCCCTCATGGCGTTTCCCGAAATGAGGTTCCCATCTTTATCAGACTTAGAGTGACACTGATTAGCCCAGTGTTTTCCTTTTTTACATTTTGGACATATTTCAGGCTTAGCAGTTTTCTTTTTTCCCCTACCTGGTGGCCTGACTCGCTGATTTTTTCTACATTCTTTTTTAGTATGACCATGCTTCCCATAGTTAAAACAAGCTCCAGGAAACCGAGTATTTCCTTTACTCACTTTCAGTCCTGCTATAGCCTGTGCCAACAAAGTAGCTTTATGCAGATTGCCTCTGATACTGTCACAGGCCTTGATATAATCAACTAAATGTGCTTTCCTTCTAATAGGTCGCAGAGCAGCCTGGCAATTGGGATTAGCATTGTTGAAAGCTAATAATGGCAACACGATATCCTGAGCAGCTGAATCTGCAATCACCTTATTAAGAGACTCCTGTAACCGAGCTATAAAATCTGCGTACGGTTCTTTTGGTCACTGCCTTACAGCACTAAAGGAAGGGTATTGCTGTCCTCCTGAAGTGATTTTTTCCCGTGCTCTAATGCACACTCCTCTAAGCTGTTCTATGGCTTCATCCTGCATGACCACTTGTGCATCTAAACCAGCCCAGCTGCCAGCCCCCAAAAGTTGGTCTGCAGTTATATTAATTTGAGGTTGGGCCTGGGTATTGCAAGCAGCGTGAATGGAAGCTTCATCTGCCCACCAAGTTTTAAATTATAATAGCTGAGCAGGAGTTAGACAAGCTCGAGTAAGAGCATCTCAGTCAGTAGGAATCATCCGACTGGAAACAGCAACATTCTTTAACTCCCATTACAAAAGGAGAACCTGGTCCATATTGATTAATAGCCTATTTAAACTCTTTAAGTAATTTAAAAGGAAAAGGCTCAAATGTAGCTATAATATTTCCCTGTTGATCTGGGGGGTGTATTCTAACAGGGAACTGCCAAGTCTCTAAATCACCCTCTCATCTAGCTTGCTGAATTCCTGCCTGATAGAACTGAGAGTGGCCGCTCGAGGCGCTGCTCAAACAGTCACTGGGGCAACTACTTTTTGCCCAGTGTCTCCAGAAAAGAAAGATCTGGAGGCTCAGGCCACTCTTTTTCTTCAAAATAAGGAGGGGGTGCAGAAGAGTAGGGATGAACCTCTTCCTCCTTTGCTGCTTTAGTTTTAGCTGGCAAACAAAACTGCTCTGTCACCTCTTCTGTTACTTCATTATACTTTCCTTCCTCCTCATCATCAGTGTGAAAAGTCTCCAAGGTGGAATGAACCAGAGCCCACACTTGTCTCATTGTTACTCTGATGCTTCCAAGCTCCCCTTCTTACTCACCACAGGGACTGCTTAAGAGTACTCGGGTGTCCTCCAGCTTAGTTCCACGTTCTCCAACCATCGCTCCAGAAGCCCTTCAACCTGGGTTCGAGCCTCCAGCTCAGTCGTGGAGACCCTAACCCAGCAGCGCTAGAGGAATTAAAGACACACACACAGAAATATAGGGTGTGGAGTGGGAAATCAGGGGTCTCACAGCTTTCAGAGCCAAGAGCCTCGAACAGAGATTCACCCACATATTTATTCACAGCAAGCCAGTGATAACCATTGTTTCTATAGATTATAGAGTAAAAGTATTTCTTATGGGAAACAAAGGGATGGGGTGAAATAAAGGGATGGGTCTGGCTAGTTACCTGCAGCAGGAACATGTCCTTAAGGCACAGATCGCTCATGCTATTGTTTGTGGTTTAAGAATGCCTTAAGCAGTTTTTCTGCCCTGGATGGGCCAGGTGTTCCTTGCCCTCATTCTGGTAAACCCACAACCTTCAGCATGGGCATCATGGCCAATGAACATGTTACAGTGCTGCAGAGATTTTGTTTATGGCCAGTTTGGGGGCCAGTTTATGGCCAGATTTGGGGCCTGTTCCCAACAGGCAACTTCAACAAATTATGTCCCAACGTAACTCTTAAATTTTCATTGAAAAGGTAATCAAAAGCAAAATGATTTACATAAGTGTACTCATCATTTATCCTCAATAGATTTCTCTCAAGCAATACAGAGTCATTTTACAATGGAATTTTGCACATTTTGAAACATGATTATGGAAACACCAAAAGTAACATTAAGACTCCATGAAATTGTATTTACTAGACTCCATCCCCAATTTACAGACATTCCCACTGAAACAATACCCAGTTTCTTCCAGAAGACCGAGTCTGTTGCAAGGCCCCTATTTTGCAGCCATCCTTGCTCCCTTAAAATACAGTGTTCAGAGGTGAGCGTTCCCTACTGTGAACTTCAGCCACAGACTTTGGAACTCATGCTTCCTCAACTCAATATTCCCATCCCTAGCAGTTCCACCAGGTTATATCCCAAAACTGAAACATTTTCATAAGACAATTATTTCATTCTCTTCTATGGATTCTTTGCTGACCAAAGCTTTCTTGGCACTAGTTCACTTTTTCTCAACCAGAGTATGATATAATTAAACACAGAGTAACCTATACTACACTGTCTTTGAGTTTCCATGAACACTAAGTTGAACTGAATTTCAAGAAACTTTGATTAATTAAAATCAAATAAAGAAAGTGAAATGATCATTTGATAAAAGATATGACAAAATGAGAACCTGATACTTTAAAATGGATCTAGTTTGTTTTACTCAATTAAGATAGGTAAATAAAGCAACAGGGCAATAAATCAATAATGAAACATCCTAAAACAAAATAAGTTGCATTCCTTATTGTTGACTATTATGCAAACTATCCTTCTCTCTCTGCTTCCTTTCCTGACATCTGCGTTGATATATCCTTTACTAGAATGAGTTGAATAGATAATGTAGAATCTGACAAGAAAAAAACATTATTTCTTTCTGAGCTTGATCTTTATACTTTTTTATAAAACTGGGATTTAGACTGATCCTCTCTAGTCTTCATTCAAAATTCTTCAGCAATTTATGTGGAGGTTATTTTCATATAGCACTTCAATAACAGTTTTTGAAAGATAAAAATAATTATTGGTACAGGACACTAAGAAGAAAAAAAAACCTCATTAATTGTATAAATTGCTTGATTTACTGTGGAAATTTACAAAGAAACCAGAGTATGGACAATGTTCCTTGAATTAGCTTATGTGAAAATAGTTCCCTGAGGTTCACTTGCTGTCTGTTAGGAAACAGTGACAACATTAGACTGAAATCATTTTTACAGGCAGAAGTAAATCACACACCCTTCTCTATAAACATTATGTTCCTAACAGGCATCAATGTTTGCTTATTCTTCAGAGTATGAAAAAATATGTTATTATAGACTTGCCTTCCACATACTTTAAACAAATTTAATATTTTTATTAGGGTATAATTTATGCACCATAAACTTCACCAATTGTAAGTATAACAGTTGGTGATTTTTATGAAATTTATACAAATGTGCAACCACTACCACAATATAATTTTAGAACATTTGTAGCATCCCCAAGGGTTCCCTTATGCCAATTGGAAGTCAATCCTGCTCCCTCTGCCGTCCTCAGGTAACTGCTGATGTGCTGTCTCTATAAATTTACCTTTCCTAAAAATTTTATATAAACAAATACACACAATATGTTTCCTTTTAGATCTGGCTTATTTCACTCAGCATAGTGTTCTTGAGGTTCATCCATGTTGTTGTATGAATCAGTAGTTCATTTCTCTTCGTTGCTAAATAATATTGCATTTTATGGATACATAATATTTTGTGTATTTATTCACCAGTTAATAGACATCAGAATTGGTTCCAGATTAGTGCCATTATCAATTATGTTGCTAGGAACATCCACATACATGTCTTTGTGTGGTCTTATGTTTTCAATTCTCTTGGGTAGGCAGGCTGCATCATATGATTAAGTACATGCTTAATTTTTAAGAAACTGTCAAAAGTATTTTCCAAAGTGATTAGAGTGTTTTCCATTCCCAACAGAGGGAATGTATGAGGGTTCAAATTTCTCCATATTCTTACCAACATTTGATGTTTTCAATATTTTGGATTATAATCATTCTAGTGGATGTGTGAAGTGGTATCTTGTGATTTTAATTTGCATTTTTAAGTGACTAATAATATTAAACATCTTCTCAGATCCTTGGTGGCCTTTTGATATCTTTTTAGTAAAATGTCTATGAAAATATTTTGATCATTTTTAAATTATTTTCTTGTTATTGAATTATAAGAGTTCTTTTATATTCTGAATATAAGTCCTCAAATATATGATTTATAAATATGATATCCAAGTGTATGTTTTGCCTTTTAATTTTTAATTATATTTTTGGAAGAGCAAAAGTTTTAATTTAGATAAAGTCTAATTGAGCAATCGTTTTCTTTTTTTTTTTTTTTTTTTTTTTGAGACGGAGTCTCGCTCTGTCGCCCAGGCTGGAGTGCAGTGGCGGGATCTCGGCTCACTGCAAGCTCCGCCTCCCGGGTTAACGCCATTCTCCTGCCTCAGCCTCCCAAGTAGCTGGGACTACAGGCGCCCGCCACTACGCCCGGCTAATTTTTTGTATTTTTAGTAGAGACGGGGTTTCACCGTTTTAGCCGGGATGGTCTCGATCTCCTGACCTCGTGATCCGCCCGCCTCGGCCTCCCAAAGTGCTGGGACTACAGGCGTGAGCCACCGCGCCCGGCCGCAATCGTTTTCTTTTAAGTAATTTGTTTTGGGTGTTATAACTAAAATATCTTAACCCAACCTATGGTTACAATACTTTCTTTTATGTTTTCTTCTAGGAAGTTTTACAGTTTCAGCCCTTACATTTAGGTTTGTAGTCCATTTTGAATTAATATCTGTGTACAGTGTAGGGTAAGGGTCTAGGTAACTTTTCTTTTATACATGGATATTCAATAGCCCCAGCAGTCTTTATTTAAAAGACTGCTCTATTGTTATGGAATTGTCTATGTACTCTTGTCAAAAAAAAATCAGTAAATGTAAGGGGCTTATTTCTACATTTTCTATTTCCACCTACTTTTAATAAGAAAAGTTCCAAAGCATTTGGTACACATAGAAAGGGACACATAAACATGGTGAATTGGTCATTGGTGCTAAATTATAGATAGTTTTCAAATTACAACGTTACCTCTGCTCATATAAATTTCCTTTTCTCTTAAGATGCCTTTGGGTTTTTCTTCTACTTTGCTACCAACTTTGCTTTTTGTTTTTTAACTACCTACTTTATTTAATCTCAATTCTTCATTGCTGAGAAACATCGCAATAGGTTAAGAGTGAGCTAGTAAATCAGTTTTCAGAGAAAGGAAGGGCATGAGTCAGCAAAGCCAAGAGCCTTTAGAAATCTAGATTCCAAAATAGCCTGGAACCTCACAGTACAGACCATTGCCTCGGAGTCCTGCCTTATTGATAGAAACAGGGGGCAGAGAAATTCTAGGCAGAAGAGGGCAGGTTCCCGGTGAAACTCCACCCTCAGGCCAAAAAGCCTGAAACTGCAGCCCGAAGTGAGAACTTATATCCCTGCTTACCTGCTTGAATGTTGCCTTTTCATAAAGCACCCATGGCCCTGCCCTACCCCATCCTGTATATATAGAAACCCCAGACTCAGCCAGTAGACAGAACTAGGGCTGGACATCAGAGAGAGGTGGCTTGACATTAGAAGGACAGCTTGAGGGCATAGTTTCAGAGTAGAATCCAACCAGAGATGACCGTACTTCAGGGGAAGATTACCTACCTGCCCCATCACCTTTTCAGCTCTCCTTCAGCTCCTCAGTGCTGAGAGCCACTTTCATTGGCAATAAAATCTCCTGCATTTACCATCCTTCAATTCATTCATGCAACCTCGTTTTTCCTGGATGCTTGATAAGAGCTTGGTTGCCAAGAGTGCAGATACAAAAGGCTGTCACACTGGCCCTTTGTCCTTACTGGCAGAGGGCAGCTGCCCACACAAAAGGCAAAGGGCTCACTGAGCTGGTCACACTTATGCTATCCTCAGACAGCAGAGCTAAAAGAGCACTGTAACACACCCTCTGGGGCTTTGGGAATCCCAGGCACCCCTGCCAGGACACTGCCACAGGGCCTGCATGGAGTTCTCCTGCCGGTGCTAAAGCATCTGGCCAGTTCCTGCACCTGCTCACCTGCATTCTCTCTCCCACGAGGGGTAGAATGCAGCGGGTCCAAGTCAGTGGAGTTTGATCCCGCTCCGCCAAAGCAGCCAGCTGGTTCCAGCGCTCCTTCACCCCAGTTCCCATACTTGTTTGCTTGAGCACTCTCTCCCACAAGGAGTTGAGACTGCGGGCTGAGTAAACAAGGCACCCCTGTCATCCCATGAAGGGGTCAGGGAAATATCCTGCTTCACTATTAGCAAATTTTCACTGACTAACATCGCTTTTACATGATCCGTTTGTGTGTTCTTAAATGACTAATAATGCCAACATGGGACCTAAGGCTTTTTGCTCAACAGGAAAAGACACTGTCACATCTGGAAATAAGATTTTGACTCAATTACTTTGGCTTTCAATTTAATCCCCACATTCTTTGTTATTTTCTTATAAGATTGTTCCAAATATGTAAAATCTTCATTGTATTTCACCTATAGCAATCCCAAAACGTAGTATCCCAGGAGGCTATTTTTGTTCAAATTTTTAAAATAACTTTTCTCAATAATTTTAGCACCTATAAATCTTTATTATTTCTCAGTTATAAGGTCTAGTTTGTGTAAAAGAAAATAGAATCTTGAGACCCCAAACTCACTATGCTAAAAGGAAAATTAAGCTTGGGAACTGAGTCATGCAATGCTGCCTCCCTTTTGTTCCCTAACAGAGAGATGTAATTTGACAACCCTGCGGCATAGCCCCTAAATTTTTCAGGAAACATATTTCACCCCCCATAAACTAGTGAGTTCCATTGAATCTCACCCTGACAATGTCAATTATCAGCTTATCTTCCCAGGTACAGGTTAAAGTCAAGACCAGAAATCATCCCTCCACCTACCCTAAGACGAATACATACTAGATTTTTTTCCTCTACTCCCTCTTTTCACATGTAAAATGTAGATTTACTGAGGCTCATCAGAACCTCACAACAATGCAACCACTTTCCTCACTACCTACCCTCCATCCCTTTTTTCCCTCCTGCTTGCTCTTTCCCTTTTAAATAACAAAGTTCCCAAAAGCCCCTTTGAAAAATGCACAGGTCACAGATGATCCTGTGACTTGTGTTTTTCTTCTCTCCCCTGGCTAAATAAACCTCTGCTAATTGAGACCTGCCTCAGTCACTTTCTTGTTATCATTGGTTTTTAGTTTTCCCTTCTGTCAATTTAGAATTTTTACATAAAAATACTTACTTCAAAATACTTTATTTATTTAGAAACTATTTTTATTTAAAAACTGTCTCGCTCTGTGACCCAGGCTGGAGTGCAGTGGCTTGATAATAGCCCACTGCAGCCTCAAACTCCTGGGCTCAAGCAATCTTCCTGCCTCAGCCTCACAACTAGCTAGGACTAGAAGCGTTGGCTACCGCACCCTGCTAATGTTATCATTTGTATTTTTATATTTATGTAATTATTTTTAAGTATTCTGAAATATACCATAGGAATTTATTTACCCCTATGATTTTGTATTTTTTATTTGGTCTAAGCTGAGCATTTAACACCATATAACAGTATAGGATTCATTTATATTAAAGTGGTGTCAGGAAATTGGCAACGTCTGTTCAGGTTGTGCATGCTCATGGTAAAGCCACAGTTAGAGCAAATGAAGCTAAAGAGAGGGAACGAAGGCGAAATTGCAGCAGCTTAACTCACTTAACCAAATCAGCAGACTTTTCTAACTGATCAAATGCCAACAGTACTTACAGCATTCTCCAGTTGCAAAAAAAAAAATAGAGACAGAAAGTAAAAGAAAGAGAGAAATGTTAGCAAATTTCTGATAGCCTTTTTGATTTTTAGTTCATAAGCCAAATGGAACAATTGAATCAGGGGAGGATATTCAGAAGTCAATAGGTCAGAGACAAATACTAAATGCAAAGGAGTGATTGCTCATAGCTAGGGTGCCTGAAAAATAGGCTCTGTGAACCCTTGCTTGAAAGTATGCGAAACTACCATGCCCTGCCCTTGGTGCTGGAGGTAAGATAAAGCAGCACCTAAACAGCATCTTTCAAAGGTCTTCATTTGACAGCATAGCTCTCCCTGAGCATTCTATCCTATGGCACTAATGGCCCTGGAGACTCTGCTAATATTTCTTTCCCCTTCAAAATTCACAGCCCAATATCATGTCTGGTTTATATTTCAATCTGAGCAATGAGTAGGGAGCAACCCACAGCCACATTGAGAGCCAGCCTTGAAAATCAGAGGGACCTCTTGATTTTGGACACGACTTTTCAGGATCCTTTTGAGAAAGTGCTGGGCACTGCAAGCAACATGTGAGACACCACGACGTCTGTTTTATCCATCGTGTGCCCTGTGCCTGGCATGGAGCCTGTCCCACAGTAAGCAGGCAAGAAATGATTTTAAGTGAAAGATTGATTGGGCTGACTGGACTCTTTCTCCATTCAAAATAACCTTTCATATTTATGCAACACATAGTTTACCAACTTCACAGAAATGAAAAACTTTGTGTGACGTGTTGGGGCTAACAAGATGAAGATGGACTCCTGCCATCATAAGGTTCCTGATCTAGGCACAGGTAAGAGCAATGTCCCATTCAAATTACATTACAATTCTGAAAATGAGTTTAAGGTTTCCCCAAAACAGTCTTATAGGCTGGAAAAACACCTTTGAGGCAGAAACCAATCCCAAATATAGCCATCTGGACATACAAGATAATTGGGTCTCTCCTCCCTATTGGATGTTACTGGCTGCCCAGGCAGAAACATGTTTTGATACAGATGCTGTCTCACAGACATCCTGAGATTTAACCTAGATAGCTGGAAACCAGACAAACATTCTCAATTTTACTATGATTACTAAAGTTTTTTTCTTTGGCAAATCTTAGAATAATGTCACAATTGAGCAAAAGCAGTCCGGTAGAATGCTGGTTTATGTTTGTAACACTTCAGCCCTAATACGCAGAACAAAGTCTATATTCCACAAGGAAAGACTGACTGCTCTATTAAACTGCATTCATATGTAATATAGACTAAGTAGAAACAGAACCATTTAATGAGATTTCTATATTCTCGATCTTCTCGGGACTATAGATAATCCTCTTCAAGTTAGTTGTTAAAATCTACTTTCAATATTTTTTTAACAAGAAAGACCATAAAGACAACTGGAATCTTGCCTAGATTCCACAGCTGATAAAGGTAGACTTGGACATTATTTCAAGAGATATTAGAAAATATTTAGAAATGTCAAGACTAAAAAGATGACTCCATAATTAATAATAATCAACTATTTTATTATAATCTATTATAGTTTAACGGAAAAAAATTAATAACCATTAACAAGGTTCTGTTAAACATCACACCATTTTTCCTAACATATTAGTTCAAGTATCATTTGTAGTTAGACAGAATCGCTATAATAAAATAGACAAAAACTAATATGTTGCATTTCATCACAATTCAATATATACTGTGAAATTTCACGGCTGAGTTTGATTTTGGGTGTAGTGTTGACCACTTGTGCCTGTGATTAAAACTATAGCATGTTTAGAGTACGTGGACAGCTAAGGGGTCTGTGAGTCACCCACTGTAACATTGAATGGAGCAACAGATGCAGAATAATTAAAGCACTGATTCTGTGATGCCTATTTAAGTTCCTCCTAGTTGATTTGGGCTGGACTTTGAGAAACCTCACATAAAATTAAGATATCTAAATATTAAAGACATATAGCAAGGACATCACAGTTGGCCCTCTGTATTTATGGGTTCTGCATCCGTGGATTCAACTAAATGGCAACCAAAAATATGTGGAAAAATATTGTGTCTGTACCGAACATGTACAGACTTCTTGTCTTTATTCTCTAAACAATACAGCATAACAACTGTGTACATAGCATTTACATGGTGTTATGCATTGGAAATAGTCTAGAGATGATTAAAGTATACGTATGGGAGGATGTGTGTGGATTATATGCAAATACTACACCATTTTATATCAGGAACTTGAGCATCCATGGATTTTTATATCCACAGGGATTCCTGGAAACAATTCCCCACAGATATCAAGGGATGATTGTATTCGGCCAGAAAGTACATCTCAAAGAGTAAGAATTAGGCAAGACATAGTTGGATGTTGGCACTCCGTCTAGCCTGAAAGCAGTTATAGAAGAAGGCTTTCTGAGAAGCGGTGCCACACGTCTTTTCAATGTCATCACAAGAGTGCCTGGTCTAACTCTCAGGGGATACGTGCTTTTTGCCTGCTCATTTATTGGGGAGTGTCTGGAAAGAATCTATTGTTCGTGACGTCGCCTATGTTCTCCTTTACTTCCCTATTCAGTCATTGGGTTGGAGCTACATTTTAAGGCAAATAAATAAATAAATAATTTTAGTAAAAGTTAAAGCATCTTGGAATTTTCCACTTCAGAAAGTTTATTAAAATTATATTTCTCTGGTGATGGCAACTCTTCTTCAGGGAACATGACGCCCCATTAGTTTCCTTTTATAACAAAATCAGAAAGAGCTGAGGAAGTTAGACAGTCAGATAGGCAGCTTATAGATTTGAATCAAATGCATTAATAGGTAAGAAAAAGTGATTAATGCCAGGTGAACTTTCAACACAGGTTAAGCAGTCATGTGTGAAAGTGTTGTTACATTATTTTCAATCTACTGCACTGAAAGAATAGTGAGGGATAGAAATGCATAGCGGGAAGTACTTAGGTTTTAGTATCAAATAAAGTTGAGTTCAAATTCTCGATCCACTAGTATGTAACCCAGAATAAATTATCTAGTTATTCTGAACTTTGGTTATTATACCTATTAAAAAATTAAAAATAAATACAAAATTTGAAAAAATAGTAAAACTGCATAGCATGATTGTGAGGATTGAATCAGTAAATATATGACTGATATATCATTAGTTACACTAAAGTACAATTATTATATTGAGTTATTATATAATTATCTTTATAAAGTATAAATATTATTGTATCTGCTTTCATTTTATTAAAATTATCATTTATTTTGTTTATAATCAGCAATGCATTATATTTTTGAACTATGCAATATTTACTTTATTTTTTTAGCAACTCCTTTTCAAGAAACTTTTTTTAACAATCAAAATACACAATATTTTAAATAGCAACTGTTATTCCAATATTCTATATAAAATATGTCACGTACACAAAAAGTCAGGTTTGTCAGATATTATGAAATCTGTATATAAAATATACACATATACATATATGTATACATATACAAGCATAAGTACTTATTTATTATAGCAATCTATGCTTTTTGAAAGACAGTATGGAAACAAGTGAAGCATTCAAGTGACATGGTATAAAAATTTCTGATAGTTGCCAGGCGTGGTGGCTCTCACCTGTAATCTCACCACTTTGAGAGGCCGAGACGGGTGGATCACAAGGTCAGGAGTTCGAGACCAGCCTGGCCAATATGGTAAAATCCCGTCTCTACTAAAAATACAAAAATTACCTGGGTGTGGTGGCGGGAGCATGTAATCTCAGCTACTCAGGAGGCTGAGGCAGGAGAATCGCTTGAATCCGGGAGGCGGAGGTTGCAGTGAGCCCAGATCATGCCACTGTACTCCAGCCTGGGCAACAGAGTGACTCCATCTCGAAATTAAAAAAAAAATTCTTATGCCATTATGACCAGTCAATTAATTTATTTATCTCTGAATTTAACACAGCTCTTGTAAAAGGGTTTTGGCAGTAGATTGCAAGATTATTCTAAGATTATATCCCAAATTAGATACTCTTAAGAAAGATCTGTGCTCCTTTGCACAACATCTTTTGGGATGACTTTATAGAGTGAAGTTTTTTAATCATGAAAAAAAAAACACCAAAATGAGAAATGTTATTTCATTTATGGACATACTTTTATACATATTAAGCTTTTCTGCCTAAAATTTCTTCAAACTTTGAGTGAGTTCATGATACCAAATAAAGAAAGATTAATTAAATTCATTCTTAACCTTTGTTATGTAATGAAATTCATGCAATATTATGTGTTTCATGTTTTGTCTCAATTGGAGGAAGTTTACAATTAAATTTTGTAAATAATGGCAATAGTTTACTCAACATAATTTTTTCTGTTAATGAGAAGAAGGAAAGATTAATTAAGCTTTGTCCTTTTATATATTGAAATTTATTATATCTGTGACTTTAGTATAAAGTGCTTCATACCAGCCTATGTAAGTGAAGCAAAAGTTATTTACTGAACTATCATTCACTGGCTACTCCATTTATTTCTTCTGGTCATGGTGATATAATCCAACTGAAAGATCTAAAATGTTTAGCCTGCTCTTCTGACATATCTGTTATACAAGTTGCCTGAGTTATGGGACAGTCTGAAACCACAGAACAGAATGAAGGAATCATAAGTGTCTATGAGTGACAAAACTTATAAACACAGAATCTTCTATCCAGCGGTCCAATTGACTGTTTTCACCAAATCAGTAGAATGGGGCTCTGGGACTTTTTGTCAGACAATAAAGAGAGTGCAGTTGGCCCTCCATATCTGCAGGTGAAAGATTCATAGATTCAACCAACCACAGATGAAAAATATTTGAAAAAAAATAGCAATACAACAATTTAAAAATATACAAATAAAAAAGCAATACAATGACAACAATTTACATGACATTTACATCGAATTAGGTACTATAAGTAACTTAGAGATGATTTAAAGTACACAGGAGGGCATGTATAGGTGATATGCAAATATTACACCACTTTTCACTTTTTTTTTTTTTTTTTAAAGATGCAGCTTTGCTGTTACCCAGGCTGGCCTCTCACTCCTGGGCTCAAGTGATCCTTCCTGCCCCTGCCTCCAGAATAATGGGACTACAAATAGTCCCATTGTGGAACTACAGCAAGCCATTTTTGCCTGGCTTACTACCATTTTATATAAGGGATTTGAGCATCCACAGATTTTGGTATCTGAGAAGGTTCCTGGACCTAATTTCCCCAGGGACACTGTTGGGGGGACTGTAGTTTATTTCCTGTGGGAGAGTCTAGGTTTTGCATACTTTATTTTCTCCAAATAAAACAAAAGTGGCATAGATAACCTAGTTAATAGACATTTACAAAGTTCTGATAAAATCCCTTAACCTAAATTTTGAAGAACTATTAATAGAAAAGTTACATTTTCCTTCTTGTTGCACAGCAGTTGAAGCTGCAAACTTTCAAGTCCTTAAGAATTCATATCAAAGAAGTTTCATGAGTAAAGTTATTCAGTAGGTCATCTTGCCCTTTGATGATTTGTATTTATATTAGACCTGGAATCATGCTTGCCTATTAAATAAATCAGTAGAGAGTGCCATTGTCCGCCAAGAAAAATGTCAGCCTGAATTATTCCATTGTATTCCTAATGCATAGAGAGCTATTAATTCAAAATATGATCCACAAAACAAAAACTAGACATGTTGGATATCTCTATGAAATAAATTAAGAGGCATAGTTATGTACAAAAGAAAATGAGAACAAATTGTTAACAGGAACTCCAAATGAGGGCTTTTTAAAAAAATACTGAAAACCCAACACTTTCTTGTCTGCACCCAGGTTTCATCAGCAACCGCCATTAGCTTCCATTACCTTTGAGTGGACATTCATATAATAGAAATCTGAGTCCAAGAGTTCATATCTACTCAAATATTGGAAGGCAAAGTACAATGAACCAACTGCTGAATGTGCCAAATTTCCACAGGAATTAAGCTTAATCCTTGTAAGCTTGCTTGTTGAAAAAGAAGAAACCCACCAAATTATGTGTTTAGAAAATTAATTTACACTTGGCAACATTTACCACCACATGTTACTTTTCTTGTTTCATTTGTTTTCCATTCTGCATAAGCCGATCCAGATACTTTTGCATGCACCATATTTTCAAATAAAAATAAATACATAAGTAAGATAGGCATTTCTTTATAGCATTTGTAGACAGCCTACAAACTAAAATTCCATTGTTTTTCCTTTTTGTTTTCTAGAAAACATTTTTAACAAAGTTTTATAATAAGCACAGTCATTGAAAACACAGTGTACATATATTTCCATGTGTATGTATAGTTTGTACGTATCTATTTCTTTGTAATACTTCATATATTTTCAAAAAGAGACCGGGTGCGGTGGTTCACACCTGTAATCCCAGCACTTTGGGAGGCCGAGGCGGATGGATCATTTGAGGTCAGGAGTTCGTGATCAGCCTGGCCAACACGGTGAAACCCCATCTCTACTAAAAGTACAAAAATTAGCCAGACGTGCTGGCACACGCCTGTAGTCCCAGGTACTCGGGAGGCTGAGGCAGGAGAATTGCTTGGACCCAGGAGGCGGAGGTTGCATTGAGCCGAGATCGCCCCACTGTACTCCAGCGTGGGTGACAGAGCAAGACTCTGACTCAAAAAAAATAAATACAAACCATTCAGAATTGCCAGTCTGTTTTAATGCTCCAAATTGTACTGCAGAACTTGAGAAAATGTACCACGTAGAGACAAGAACTGAGGGGCCATGTGTCATGCTGCTCTGAAAGCATCCAGAATGATACACAACAAATGATACAAACTGTGCTCAGAGACTAACGAGAACATTCGTGTGTTGGGTATAGGTCACATTGCTTTCCAACTAAATCTTCCAAAAGAAAATGCATTAAATTTAGTGACATTTAATCAATAAAATAAGCCATTTGATTTTCTAAGTTGTGAATTCACATCAGGTTGTGAGGTAGACAATGCCTTCCTTCACAGAGGAGCTTTGGGAAGACATAGAGCATTTATTACATTAGAAAATGATTATTTTGTAAAACAACGACAACTTACCCCACATATACAAATTTGTGCATTTTTCTTACCTACTGGGAAATATATCATTTGACTTTTACCTGTGACTAATATAGAACATGTTTTACAAATGAAATATTAGTCTGTTTTATCTTTTATTTACACCCGCTTGGTGGTGTTCTTGATTAAGATCTATGCCAGCAAAGGGACAGTGTGTCTCATAATATTGATTACTGGGGAGAAGTATGTGAGAGAAATAGCTGTAATCCTGGATATTTTTCATTTGGAGTTGGTTAAAAAATGTTATTTAATAAATGAATAGATGCAGATATGATATGGAAAAGAACTGGCAACTTTTTGTTTTCTTTGACCAAAGGCAAGTATTGCTCAAGCAAGAATTTGGACTTGAAAACTCAGGAGTGGTACTCGGTGTCCTGTTACTAAAAGGGAAGTGGCTGTTAATAAGTCAACCCATTTTTTTCCCATTAAAGCAGTATCCGTAATGTAGAAATTAAACATGTTTATGTTATCTGTCTTTGAAGCAATTACAAATGACTTCAGCATAAAATATCAGAAGCAGAAGATTTTAGTATAAAATATCAGAAGCAAAAGATTTTGGAATTAAGTTATTGTATACAGCCTTCAAATTTCAATGAAAGTATCTAGACTTTGAAATATTTCTTTTATTCCCCTTGAGATAGAAGTAAATGTAAAAGTACTTTACCTGTTTGCCAATCAGCTGAATAACTTCATAACATATGTTTACTTCAAAAACCTTTTCATGGGCTGAAAGACTAACTAAAAGATTCCCTGGATAGTCTCCAGTTATTTGAAATATCACAACCAGTTTTTAATACAACTTTGAAATAGTCCTCATATGAAACATTCTACATGCAAGCACATAATTTTTAAACTTGTTTCTTGTGTCATGAAAATATAACTGTCACCAGAGAACTGCTTTAAAAATCCCTGAGATTATAATGGTAGAAAATTTTGTAGTCTACTGGTTATCTATACTTTCTATGTATATTATTTTCAAGCTATTGAAAAATGAGATGGCTGGGTCAAATCAAACGAAGTCAGTTTTCATTCTCTTTCCCATAAGGCTACTTGTTTATTAATTTTCCTCTTAAGTTATCCTATTGATGTTTCACTGTTAGCTTCCTGACATTTTATAAACATTTGTCAAGGTGTTATTAAGTTTCAGGTAGTAGGCTCATTATCTGAAGCACAGAGCATATTAATTTCAAATGAGTATTTTCAGAGCAGAAGATTTTTTTCTGGGCTACCAACTTTACTAAGTCTTCCAGGTTTGATTTCTGAACTCCTTACAGAGCATATGAGCAACATCTATTCCCTCCCACTACTCACTTACCATGTGTTTCCTGTGTGGGAAAAAAGTGTACATTAACTTCTCAACATCAGTCCAATAGACATGGGTACTTTGTGACTCTTCATGAGCTGATTTTCCAAACCTGTGCTTTTCTTCCTCTATTTCTGGACTGTGGTCATTATGATCTGATACAGGTCTGAAGTGTCAAACTTAAGGGCAGTGGCTCTTAACCTGGGTCTGAAGTGTTTCTCACTTGGAGATCTGACAAGTCCGTGGACAGGATTTAGAAATTTCATGAACTTGAATGCAGGCAACAAACAACGATATTATAAGCGATAGTTTGTTATTATTGGAATTATTATTATTATATCATTACAGTGTTGTAGATCTATTGCCATATAGTTAGAAATTATTTGACCCGTCACTGACTTTTTTTATTTAATGTTGATGAAAGCACATATTTTACCACATTACAAATGAGTTTTTTTTTATTATTTTGATAACTGTATTTCAATGTAGTTGGTTTTCTTTTGTAGTCTTGGGTATTTCACTTTGTCAATTTAGGAACTTATTTTGAAAAGGGGCTTGTAGTTTTCACCAAAGTGCCAAAGGGGTTCATGGCATCAAAGTGTAAAACCTCCTGAGTTAGTCATTTAGAAGAAGAATTCTGGGAACAGACTGATGCAGATTTCTGTTTGCTGGTGGTGGCCCATTTCATTCAACAAATGTTTAATGAGCAAAGCACTATACTTGGCTTTGTGGGAATATCAAACTACTCTCAAAGAATAGTATTTCTGCTTTCCAGGATAGAATATTTGGAGGACAAGAAAAACTAATTCATTGTGTAGTCACATCAGGATACATACAGGGTGTGTGTTAAGATCCAAGATCGTGTATCAATTTAGACAAACTTATATACAGCTGAAGGCCTTAACAGAATACAGATACACCCATAATCCTATTATAATGATAGCAAATTGGTCCTTCTGCACGACTGTCTAAGAGTTCCAGCCCTTGCGATGGCATCCGAAAGCTCTCTCCTGCCATAGTGTCTCTTTTCCCCTCTGCACATTTGGTGCTCCTTTCCCCGAAAGACAACAGCAACAAATAAAACAAAAATTGAAGTGTGGTATGCAAAATACTACAAGGGCACTTGGCCACTGTAATTGTATTTCTGAAGGAAAGTAAACCATGATCATGAAATTAAAATTTTAGTCTTAGGTATTCAGTGACATCCTTTGCTTCAAAGCATTCACTGAATAAGGGCCCTAATAGCAACTGACAAAAGCAAAGAACTTCTACTTAATTATAGTACAGGTATGTCATATATCTACTGAGTATCTTCATATAATAGTCATAAATATATTTGTTCCAAATGAAGAAATGGATTTCAGTTGCTTATATTGCATTTCTGGGCCATGGACAAATTTGCTGCTTATAATAAAATTGAGTGCTTACCACATCAGTTACTATACCAAGAACAGATTATCTCATCCAATCTTCACTACAGCCCTATGAGAACAGGTATCATTATCTCCATTTTACAGAACAGGAATGTGACTCAGAGGAGGAGAGTAAGTTGCCTAAGGTCATACATCTAGCAAGAGACTTCAGCTGAGGATGTGTGTGTGATATTGCTATGTAAACAAATTATGAAAAACTTACTGATTTGAACAACACCCTTTTATCAGATCACAGTTCCGTGTGGCTAGGCTGAGTTCTCTGCTGAGGGACTCGCAGGCTGCCCTAGGGTGTTGGTGAGATTATGTTCCTATCTGGAGGCTCTGGGAACAGAATCGCTCCCAAGATCATTGGTTGCTAGCAGAATTCATTTCACTGGGGTTGTAGGGCTGAGGCCCCTGTGGTCTTGCTAGCTATCCACCAGGCACCACTTCCAGCTTTTAGAGGTCACTCTCAGGTCCTTGCCAGGTGGCCCCACCATCTCAGCAACAGAAAAATTTTCATATCACATCCCCATCATACTTTGAATTTCTCTCGCTTCCCTTTCTTTGACCATCGGGAGAAAACTCTCTGCTTTTAAAGAGCTCGGGTGATTAGGTCAGGCCCACCTTGATTATCTCTGTGTCTTTAGGTCTTTGAGATTTTAATGACATCTGAAAAATCCATCCACAGCAGTACCTAGATTAGAGTTTGATTCAATAACTAGGGGTTGGAAATCAGGGGGCCTTCTTAGTATTTCAGGGCTGGGCAAGGTAGCTCACATCTGTAATTCCAGCACTTTGAGAAGCTGAGGCAGGAGGATGACTTGAGCCCTGGAGTTCAAGACTAGCCTAGGCAACACAGTGAGAGCTCATCTTTACTACAAATGTTAAAAAATAAAAATAATAATGAAAAAAGTTAGCCAGGCATGGGCACATGTAGTCACAGCTACTTCAGGGGCTGAGGCAGGAGGATCACTTGTGCTGTGGGGGTCCAGGTTGCAGTGATCTGAGACTGCGCCACTCCACTCCAGCCTGGGTGACATAAAAACAAAAGAAAAAGAAAAAGAATTCTACCCACCACAGGTTGTACTGCATGAAACTTCCTGCCTCCTGCAGGAGAGAAGCCAGTGTAGGCCTCGTTTTCTGTTGGTGATATGTCTTCTACGTTTTACACAGAAGGGCAGCATAACGGCAGGACAAAAGCCACACTAAATGGAGATCCCCAAACAGGGTTCATGCTTAGTTTAGTTTGATTCTGATATTTGCTTATATCCTCACACCTTTGCCTGTGGCTGCCCATGGCTCTCAGGAATACAACCCAGATTTTACCATTGTTAATCAGCCTTGCATAATATATTCCCTGCTTATCTATCAAGTCTATTCTGGAACTTTTCTTTTTGTTCTCTGATTCTTTTGATTTCAGGAATATTCTATGATACATTCTGCCTCAGGGCTGTTGCATAGATTATTTCCTCTGGCTCAAACTCTCCTGTCTATACCCAGTCATGAAATAAATTATCTTTCAGAGAAGGGAAGTTTGTATGCTGCTACCTTAGATTTTTCTACTTAATGGATTCAGACACTACCCTCTTTTAGGTTGTAAGCAAGCAGAAAACAAAGATGGAGGTAGGCAATGAAAAATAGTGTTTAGCACCCATCCCACCCCTGATGCTAACAGCTATGGGGACAGGAAAGCTGGAGAAGGAATGCAGCCACCAATCGTGGTGTGGTGACAATGGTGAGAAAACCACCCCTGAGGGAAGCCAACTGAACTAGCCAGGAAACAGGGGGCAGTGTCCTAGACTTACTTTGGGAACCACACCTATGGCTATCCTTTCACAGGCCCATCCTAAATACTTGTTCTACTTCCTAGCCATTATTTTAAGGATTTACCCTGGAATGCTGTCTATTTGTGGTGACACTTGAGCTGAGCTAAAGGGATCCTGACAGCTGGCTCTCGGCCCAGCTTCCAGGCATTTGCCTCAAAGTAAAAGCCTCGTCGGCCCACATCATAGAAACTATGGGATCATCTTAGGTTCTAATACACAGATTGTCAGAGTTCGCCTGTACAAAAAGCTCTTGCCTACTGTGAAAGCTTACTTAGATGGGGCAAAATTTTATTTTTCTACTCATTTTAGCAAATACAACTGAACCTGCCTTTGTGAGGATTATGACAGGGAAAGAAGTCTAGCATGGCTGACTTCATCTGGCTTCCAGCCTCACAGGCTGGCTGTCCTCACTCATTCCTGCGCCTAGGCCAAGATAATCAGGAGAAGAATTTAACTATGAAGTAAGCATGATAGTAGTCTCTGCCTAAATCTAACCCCCTTGGCTCAGGGATCAAAAACCCCTTTTGTAAAACTAATGAAAGGCCACAAGATTAGGATTATAGGAGGGGCCTGAGTTCTATTAAGATGTAGGTGTAATGAAACGATAACCAGCCATTGTTCCTTAGGTTACTCTTCTATAATCCTCTACTGCCCAGAAGTCATATGGCCAGAGGTCGCAAGATTTGTGACTTCCCCAGTTGCTCCTATAGATACTATCACTATACTAGAACCTAAGATTGGTCTTTTGAGATGTTTTTGAGATTTTCGCATTCTGGCATCTGACTGACTCCACCCAGACCCTAGACTCATGACTCAACCAGTCCTGTGCCCTCCCATACTGGAGGTGAACTCAGCACATGAAGACCATTTTCCACACCCCTATGATTTCATCCCCAACCAATCAGCAGCACCCATTCCCCAGCCCTCACCCACCAAATTATTCATGAAAACCCTAGCCTCTGAGTTAGGAAGGCTGATTTGAGTAATAAATTTCACTTCTGCATGACTAGCCTTACATTAATTAAACTCTTTTTCTACTGCAATACCACATTCTCAGTAAATTGGTTATGTCTGTGCAGAGGGCGAGACAAACCCATCAGGTGATTACACAACCTTTTAATTTTATACTCAATGCATCTCTAACTTTTATTCATAATAGTCTTCAGACATAAATAATATTTTCACAATTCTATTAAACTAAAAGTTGAAGTATTGTATAACTCCATCAGTGAGATATTGGAAGTATGTGACAAATGGCAGTTTTCCTCAATAACCCTTCCCATTCATGGACCTCTCACTTGACCTTCAGATCTAAGCTTAAACATAATTTCCTCATAGGAAATCTTTGATAAGATTATCCTTGTGAACTATATTCTCCTAGTGATAGTTACTTTATCTTCATACAAAATACATTTATTTGGAAGTTTACTCTGCAAACGCCCATCCTTATCATATTGCAAGCTTCATACAGGCAAGAATGGTGTTTTTATTCATCACTGAATCCCTATACTAAGCAAAGTATCTACGGCATAGCTCACTCTGAATAAATATTTTTGAGTAAATAAGTGAACAGAACATGCATCTGCATTTTAAATTCAATGTTACTTTTGTCTGATGATCTCTTCAGTTCAACATGCTTTAGTTTACCTAGAGAGTATTTTGAAATATTATATTGACTGATTTTTTGCATCCATAAGTGGAATAGTGTCAACAAATTTAAATCAAAGCCTTATAATTCGGTAATTTCCATCATGCACAGTAGACTGAAATTGTAAAGTTATATTTACAAAAAGTACAACTGTCAATTAGACTTGAGTGACCAAAAGCCACAAAGTCAAGAAAATTCAAGTTTAGAAAAGAGTTTGCTAAGTAAGGATTCTTATTGGATTCTAAGCTGGAAAAGAAAGAAGTGGAGAAAGGGGAAGGGCTAAAGGATTCGGAAGAAATAAGAACTTTTTAGATGGAGATCTCAATATTCTCAAAGAAAGTTAGTTAAGGGGACAAATAAACAAAGAAACCATAAGTAAAGTTTCACTGTGGAGCAGTTACAGGCCTGGTGTGACTGTAGGACTGTTTGGCAAAACTGATCTGTACAGTGTGCAGAACTGGGGATCATAGGTGGGTCACGCATATGGAAATTGAAGTCACACATGGTGATAGAAGCATGTGAGTGGTAACAAAGACACTGCAAATGAGGGAGAAAATTGGAAAAGGAGATTGAGAATATAGTCAAATGACTTGTTGGGCTTCAAAGGCAAAGGGTTTTCGAAAGAGGATACAGTAATAAAAGTATATTGTTTAAGGAAATATGACATGGAATTTCATTGTGAAATGGTGTTGCTCGTCTGGGATGATACCTGAGGTTTGTTGTCTCACACTGAGGAAATTAAGAATGCAGATACACAAGGAGTGAGGTTAAGAGCAGAGGTTTAATATACAAAAGAAAGAGAAGAGCTCTCTCCTGCAGAGAGAGGGCTCCTGAACAGGTTTCTGGTCTGTGGCAAAATGCAAGGGGTTTTTATAGATGAGCTTGAGGAGGCAGTGTCTGATTTACATGGAACAGGAAAGATTGGTCAGACCGGGTGTGCCATTTGCATAAGGCATGAAAAACTGGTTAGGGCTAAGTGTACCATTTGCAAAGAGCATGAAAAGCTGGCCACCCCCCAATCATTTATGATGCAGATGGATTCTCCACCTGGTTGGTGCCATGTTGCCTGTTTCTTCACTGTACATGTGGTAACAAAGAAATGGGAAGAAGATAAGAGCCTCCATGCTGGACATGCCTGGCCCCAAGGTAGTCTTTTTCTATTGGCACAGTTGCCAGCATTCTCCCAAGCAAGCTTCCAGCTTGTTTATCTATGTTTGCAGCTCAATATTTCAGCCTACTCTTTGTTAGAAAAGAATAATTTCTTGGGCTGCATTTTTTTTAGAAGGGAAATTCCACCGAGGACTCCGTTGCCTGTACTATCTGCCTAAATTGTTTCTTTCTGTCTGCAGTATCAATTCCACATAGGGGGGATGAGGATGAAAGGGGTGTGAAGTAACACTGTGGGTAGTGTTTGAAGGCCCTAAAAAGGCCAGTTGAGGAGTTTTTTCATTTAATAAGCTTGGCCACTTGGCTCTGGAAGTGAGAAAAAGAGTAAGGAAGAGTATGAGCAACACATACTATGCTCTGCTCCTGGAGAGTCTTCACCTAAAAGGACTACATGTGATACTGGGTTTCCAAAGAATAAAATGCTTCTCACGTTTTCAAAATATAGATTTTCCAAGATACAACCAGAGGATAACATAATGGCAAGAGTATTTAAAAAAATTAGCATAAAAGTCCTGAAAATTTCAAATTCCAGGTATCACATGTGTCAAAATGATTTATAGATAACAAGAACTCTTCTAACAAATCCACCAACTACTGATTAAGTATTGTCTTTCTTGAGAGACAACTTCACATTATGCCTGTGTATGCAAACTAGTCCATATTTTACTTTTCTTACTTTGAGGAACAATCCATTGGCAGCACTTTTAAAAACTAGCCGTAGGTCCTTATGACCCAGCAATAAACGTGCCATCAGTCTGGGGAGAACTTTCTTGTCTGAAGAGGACAGAGTAAAATAAGTGCCTCCTAGTGGTCCCCAAACCTTTAGTAGAGTGAGGTCAATCGTATTCCTAGCTTAGGAAGACGATCTAAATGATAGCAACTTTTACTCAGCAATCAGAATCCATCACACACTCTAAACACTCATTTGGCAGCAATGAAGGACCTTATATTTATATTTATGGTTTAAAATGCTTATATTTCTTGTAGTTTATTCTAACCACATAAGATTATTAACACCAAGAACCATATCTTATAATTCTTTTGTAACCTGCATCAACATCTAACTCAGTGCTAGAAACGTACTCAGAACTCATGAAACCACTATCTGATTAAAAGTTACAAAGTCCCAGGTTAGAAAACCAATGATCATTCTTGCTTTATACAGCCAGAACTCCCAGGCCCCTTTAGCTTACATTGGATCTCCTGTTCTCTTGTAAAGGCTGCCTATCAAAGCTAACCAAATGCACACAGGAACCCCATTATTCCCAGCAAGGTTTTCCATTGCCTAATTAATTCAACCTTACTCTTTCAAGATTTCCCAGTGAGTAGCACTATTGAGTCCGGATGACTTAAGAGGCTGGCTCCCACAACAAGTAATTTTATGAACTGAGGGTGAACTAGAAGGAGTGATAAAATATTACCCGTCCCTATTGCTCTATTTGAACTAAAGCTGTTATTTTGAAATTGGCTATCCTTTCTAAATACCATTCACATAGAACTAGGTTTTAAATCAGGCAGACTTTCTAAGAAGCCAGACCTGTTAGATGGGAGAAGGGTAGTGATGAAGTAGAAACTGGTATTAAAATATCCACAATGCTTCTCCCTCACCCCAACACACACACCACACACACACACACACACACACACACACACACACACACACACAAAGGTTTAGAGGCTGTTCAATGTGGTGCTTCGTATGAGTTTAATTCTTGAAAGGCAAACCAGTGCTTTCTTATAAGAATAATAAGGAAGCAAACAAGGCTTTTCTTTTAGTGCATGGACTAAATCTGGAGCATTTACAGGTCCCCAGAGCCCAATATCCTGCTTGGCCAACAATTATCAATCCAATCCTCTGGAGAAGTTTCAACAGACTTCCTCTCTGAGATGATATTTATATCTTGATTCTCTTAGTCTCCTCTTTATCACATGTTGGCTGTTCATCTTCCTTCTCTCAAACACCCAGATTATAATACTTGGAAAATTACTTGTCTTTCCTAGTGGATTTATTATGCCTCTCCCTATTAATACTGGAAACAGTTAAGTCTAAGACTACGGTCATCCACTGATCTAGAATAGGCTGGAAGTTCTTCAAGAGGAGGTATTTATGTAGAAAGTAAACCAGTGAACAAAGAATAAGCAACCTCAGTTTGTTTTGTTTAGGTGTAGGAACAGGGACTATGGAATATAGTTACACATAAAGACATTTGAGAGCTAAAGAAAAACCTCTGGCTTAAATCGAAATGTTGAGTAAGATTTTCCAAAGCTCAAAACCAAACCTATTTCAATTTCACTGCTTGTTAAACTCTTTCATTTGAAATCCCTCTCAGTTGCTGAATTGTCTGCTTTTGTAGGAAGAAATTGTGATATTTTTTCCTTCTTGTCCTAGGTCAGTTTTAAAAATCAACTTTATTGAAGTATAATTGACATACAATAAATGACATCCATTTAAAGTGTGTAGTTCAATAAGCTTTCACAGATGCATACACCACAATCAAAATACAAAATATTTATATTCATCACCCCAAAAAGTTTTCTCATGCACCTTATTATCTATCCCTTTTGCTGTCCCTAGCACTGTGGGCCACCACTGATTTGCTTTTTGCTTCACAGAATAGTTTGTATTTTTAGTATTTTATATTAATGGAGTTATGCAGTATGTACATTTTTGTTTCTGACTTCTTTCACTCAGCTTAAAGATTTTAGATTCAGCCATGTTTTTGCATATATTCATAGTTTGCTCTGTTTTATGGGTGAGTGGAATTCTATTCTATAGATATATCACATTTTGTTTATTTATTCAACTGCTGATATGTGTTGGAGTTATTTCTAGCTTTTGAGTATAGTAAATAAAGGTTTGGGTGGACATGTTTTTATTTTTCTTGGTTAAATACCTAGAGGTGGGATTCTGGGTCATAAGGTAAGTACATGTTTTACTTTTTGAAAATCTGCCACAGAGATTTCCAAAGTGGCTGTACAATTTCACATTCTCACCAGTGATTTGTGAGTGTCAGTTGCTCCAATTCTTTATTCGCACTTGGCATTACCATTTTTAGTCTTTTTAGTTTTAGACATTCTAATGGGTAGGAAGTGACATTTTATGTGGTTTTAATTTGCATTTCCCCATGAGTACTTGATGTTGAGCATCTTTTCATGTGCTTTTTGGCCATTAATATATCTTCTTTTGAGAAGTCTGTTCAAATCTTTTATTCATTTTCATGGGGTGTAAGCCTTCTTATGATTGAGTTGTGAGAGTTCTCCATATATTCTGGATGTCATTCCTTTGTCAGAGATATGTATTGTAAATATTATTTCCCATTTGTAGCTAAACATTTCATTTCCTATTTCTGTCTTTAAAAGACCAAACTTTATTATTTTCATAGTCTAATTTATGAATTGTTTATTGTTTTATGATTCATATCTATTATGCTCTGTCTAAGCATTCTTGACCCTCTCCAAAGTTGCAGAGATTTTCTCGTGTGTGTGGTTTTTTTTCTTCTAGTCTTATTCAAAGTAAATCCCTTCTAGAATAATATAGTTTTGAGAATATCTCAAATACTATTTATTCAGTTTACAAATTTTGATATGTGTATCGGTAATGTCAGGGATCCTCAGCATTCCCAAATGGAATAAATGGTCCATAGAGTAATGCTGAACAGAAAATCAGGTTTTGGTGTAGAGCCATTTTTTTCATTTTCTTTCTTTTTTTCTTTCTCTCTTTCTCTCCTTCCTTCCTTCCTTTCTTCCTTTTCTTTCTTGCTTTCATGCTTTCTTTCTTCTTTCGTTTTTTCTTTCTTTTTTTTTTTTTGTAACTCTAGAAGCAGCTAAGATTCATCCATAGAATTTACAGCCAGAAGATTAGAGAATAGCGATATTTTCGTCTGATTGCCACCAGTTTGTAGATAGAAAAACTGAAGAGTCTAAAGGTTATGTGATTTTCACATGAACACATGATTAGTTCTTTTTTTTTTTTTTTTCTTTTTAAAAAAGACCAGGTCTCACTGTGTTGCCTAGGTTGGTTTCAAACTCCTGGGGTCAAGCAATCCTCCATCCTCAGCCTCCCAAAAGGGCTAGGATTACAGGCATGAGAAACGACGCCCAGCCCGAGTTCTTTGCTTTTTCTACAAAGTTGTCTTCCTTCCATGAGCAATAATCTGAACCCTCACATGCAGTTCTGAAGTAAGAGTCTTCATATTTCAACAAATATTGATTATGAACAGGAGATCATTACTGAGAATATGCCTTAATTGAAGTTCCAATCTCAAATATGCCTCAGAAGAACTACCTGAAAGTTGCTAATTTGAAATGAGAATTTCGTTATTCCCCAGGTAGCACCTTTCTAAATGATAGGATGTCAGAAAAACTCTTTCTCCAAATATTCCCTATTTATCCACTATATTTAGTTAACTATTGCTGTATTGCACATTACCACCAAAACTCAGTGGCAACATCTGGGAAAGAAAAGAGAAGGGCAAAATGGGGTGGTAGGAATGTCACTTTCTGGGATCCTTTGTCTGGAAGCAGCCCCACCCTCAAGAGGTATTAGGAAATACCTGTACTTGAAACAAAATTGTGAAATCCACTGAATTTGTTCTATTGAGTCCAGCTTGTAGAATGGTTATTTCGTAGACTGAAATTGCCACACTGACCCTCAAAGTTCCTACTCATGTGGGACTTTTCTATGGAGAGCAGGAATTCTGCTAATCTGTTCAGTCCTTTTGATGAGAAAAAACGCACCCCCTCTGGGAAAAAGCAGCCTCTGGGATTGTGGCTGGGTGCATTTTGAGACGAAATAGTCATCTTTGTCTCCTGTTGAAACAATCCTCTGGCACAAAGCTTAGAAAGGGGAGGATGCAGTGCCTTTCAGCCTAACTCATCTCCCTAGTTGGGAGCTTTTGCGCAGGGTACATACCACCTATCTGGATTCAGCAGCATAGATTTCTAGAAAGGAGTAAATTCAGCATTCTTTGTTGTCTTTGCAGTCAAAAGTTGAGCTTAAATTTGGAGGTAGAAGACCTGAATTTGTGTTTCAGTATTGCTCCTTACTTAGATAACAATCTAGGGCAAATATCTCTCAAAGTTTCAGTTTCCTCTTCTTACATGAGGCTCTATGTGACAGATGAAAGTGTACATGACATAATCCTTGTGGTAATTAAAGATAATAATATTTTGATGTTTTATAAAGTATAAGTTTTATGTGACAGAGCCAGTTTGGTTATCTTTTGAATGAGTCTATGATATGGATTCTCTATTCTTCAAAAGAGTTAGGGAGGCTGCAGAGTTCACGGCTGGCCCATAGACTAAAATTGTGGACCAAGTGATCTTCAAATCTATGTGTGTCCACAGAAATTCTCATTATCATAAACTTACTGGTATGCATAAATGAATACCATTTCTTGCATATATTAGTGGCCCATTTCTTGCATATATTAGTAAAGCTGTGTTTTAAAAAAAACACTTAATGGAGAAAGAAACAAAAGGATTACAAACACAAGTTAGAAGCGTGGCTGAAAATCATAGACATTTAATCTCTGTCTAAAAAATACAATAAAATTGTATGTGTGTTTTTTAATTTCTTAAATCTCCCCCGAGAGTAGAGAGCTATGGGGGAGTATTAAATGACAGGACTCCTTCAGTCTCCATTTTCTCACATAAATAAGTCCACCCCCTCAGTTATCTTTCTTATTTCTTCTTAAACATCTCCCCCAATCTTACCATTATCTTTACGGTACCAAAAAAAAAAAAAAAAAAAAGAAGAAGAAGCGGCAGCAGCAGCAGCAGGTGGGGGTGAGGAGGGAAGGACAAGCTATTGCAATTATGGCAACAACATGAAAAGGAAACCAGACACAGAAAGAAAGACTGCAAAGGGAAAAATTTAGTGTAGATGCAAGATAAGATTAAATACTTAAGTATTGACAAACTTGGCCCTGTTTATGGGTCTCGAAAAATTTATATGCTGGATCTTAGGGAGCAACAGAGGGCCGTGAAAGGCTTGAACTTTTTGCAAAGCAAGAACATCTGGCTCTGAGGAAGTGGCCCAGGCAGGAAAGGCTCTGCCTGTCTGGTCCTCCCTGGTTCCCACATCAATGTTGGACTGTTTTCCCCAGCTCAGGACCTTCCTGAGACTTCCTGTAAATAGGCCAGCCAGTCACAGCCAGGGAAACTGATCTCCCTCCCCACCCCAAAGACGTTGTGAGAAAACCCATTTTCAACCCACAGTAGCCATGAAATTGCAGTAAAAAACAGTTCTAAAGAAAAACAAAACAAAAAGCCCATAAAATCTTGTCGAACCGACCTTTCCTGAAAGGAAGCAAGTAGGAGAAACAGTGGGGTGTTTCTAAAACTTGAATCAAGTCCAGGCTTATTTTAAGGGAAAATATAATTCTTTCTGATCCCTGATGGTGTTTTAGGACACTTTCTTCTCCCATCAGCACTTCTCAGACCCCAGTCACAAAACAGTGACTTACAAAAAGACATATCCATCAGGGAGTGGTGGTTCAAGCCTGTAATCTCAACACTTTGGGAGGCAGAGGTGGGAGGATTGCTTGAGCCCTAGAGTTCAAGACCAGCCTGGGCAACATTGTGAGACTCTGTTTCAATAAATTAAATGAAATTAATAAAAAGATATTCAATGGAAACAGCTTTCGATTGTGAGTTGTTATTGTAGTTGGTATTTATAACTTACATGTTTTTGGAGTTCCAGAACATATCTGTGGCTCCCAGGGTTGAGAATTAACATTACAATGGAAAAGATGCAACTTAAATATGCCTGGTATTGAATCTCAGCACAAATACTTATCAGGTATATGATATTGAAGAACTTACTTAAATATTCTGTGCCTAATGAGGTTAATACAGGGCCTGGCACATAGCAGAAGCAAAACACGTGTTCCTAGTCTGTATTCACAAACGATGCAGAGTATGGGTTTTCTATTGTCCCTTGCTCTATAATCTAGAAAAACATTCATTGGCTGCCTCAGTTTGTAAGATATTTATTTCTTGGCTCTTTTTTTCCTTTTTTTTCTGGCTTTTATCATTACAAATTAGATTTCAGAAAAACATACTCAAACTTCTGTCTTAAGGAAAATTGGTGGTGCTACCATTTCCAGATCTCAGAGGAGCTTCACCTCTTGATTTATTTCCAGGCACTGTGGAAGTTAGGAACACATAGTTTAGCATCCCCTCCACACTCATAGAAATGTTGGATAAAATATAATAAGAAAGTAATTTTAAATACATTGTCAATTTTTAAAAAGAAAAGAAAAATCTCATTAATATACAAATAAAGAGTGTTTGCAAACCTAAAGCTAAAGCTGCAGAGGAATGGGATCTGGATAAAGTCCTCAGAAGAGCAGAGTTTTATGGCCTAAGCTGAGATAGAAGAGGTCTCATGGTTGTGTGAAGAGGGATAGGATAAATCACAGAGAGACCTGAATCAAGCCGGCAGGCCTCGGGGAACACACTTTCCATAATGCTGGAGCTGGAAAATTCTGCTTCCTGTCTAAAGAACCGGATATTTTAGGGGATTGCAGAGAGCAGAAAGAAGCACAAAGAGAAATTAAAAACCCAGGTCAATAACACATGCAGGAGTGCAATGTGAATTTATACTACCTTCGTGGTATGGGAGCCTATAACAGATAGAGAAAATAACACAACTGGTTTGGATCTTAGGGCCCAAGAAGTAAATGCAAAACTTAAAAAAAAGGATAGAGGACTGCTTTAATATCTCAGAGTTATGGGAGTTCTACAATAAGTAAACTCCACCAAAGTTAAACTCACAGTTAAAAAAATTATTAGCCATAGAAGAAAATGTACCATCAACAGGGAGAGACGACATATGCAACCAATAAGAAAATTTAAACCCCAACGTCAAGAAAAAATGCTAGAGCAACTGATATATAACTGTTTAAAAAATAATTTTTGACAAAATATCATCACATTGAAGTTGTTAAATATCATAGACAAAGGACTAATATCCAAAGTCCATGTTGATATATGTGTGTGTGTGTGTACTGAGTGTATGTGTGCATGTGTGTATATATGTGTGTTATTCTGATGTAGACTGGAGTAATATTGGAAGGAGATACACTTTATGGTTTGGGGTTAGAGTTTTATTAAGGCTGACAGACCAATCTTAGGAAGGAAACTTTTGCAGGAAACTCTGCATAGAGGTGGGGCCTCAGAAGATTTCCTTGGTTTTATTTAAGAGGAATTAGAAAAAATCCATACATCAGCTCAGGACAGCAGCAAAGGAATCTTGCCATCCACCTGAGACTTGCCTGAGACAAGTGAAACCCGGAGGCCCTAGTAGAATCAAAAGCAAAACTGCCTTTTGAGAACACAGTCAGAATCCAAGGGACACAAGCAACTCCTGCAGGAGGTTAGTTCCCAACCTAAATTCACAACCACAGAAGAAAACATGAGGTCAAATGAAAATGTGCTACAAGAGAATTAATGCCCCAAGGTCTGGCCATAAGAACAGTTTAATTTATACCATAACTATCTTTAGAACATTGAGAGTTGAAAAGGAAGATGAGGAAGCTGTAATGATTGCTGTCATGTGTACTAAAATACTTGTATGTTGGGAAAAGTGTAGAGATAATTCTAGACCAACTGAGATTTTAAGAAAAGCTTCAAAGGACAGAAATAGAATGGATAACTTCCAAACTCATGGAGGAGGGGAGAAGTAATAATAATAACAATAAATCTAGAATAACCCAATAGAGAAATGAAGAAGGGGAAAAAAGAAGCAAGGGGCAACTGTGGAAAAAAAACTGGTATAAGTAAGTCCAAATATATCAGTAATTACAAGTTCTTAAAGCTATATAATATCCTATTGTATGTATTTGTACATATAATACATATTAGGGACTTCTGAACTATGCCAACATTTTTGACACATGGTTGCAATCAATATCTTTGGGTCATTAATTGTCAGTGACTTCCCTTTGGCATCCTCCTTTGTCAATTCCACTCAACAAGCTTTTCCTTTTACTCACAGTACCGTATATTACTTAATAGTCATATCACCATACGCTATATAATTTACTACTTAACAAGTAGTGAATTTCTCCTCCTTGCCTCTCTACTATCTTCCCGTTCTTTATTATTTTTCTTGATCAAATTGTTACTTATTTGCATATTGATTTATAGAGCATTTTTATAATGAAAAGTATCATTTGATTGTTAAATGTATATCAGATTTTTTTTCTGAATTAGTCCCTTGGATTGTCATTTTTTAATGTAGTTATCTTTTGGTTTCTTTTTCAGTTTAGGACCAAATTTATTGATCTCATGGTTTCTGTTTTTTAAGTCATATTTTAAGAGGTCTTCCCACACATACACAAACACACACACTCACTCGTGCATAAATGTGCATATAGTGCCTATGCCTATGTAAGGGTGTATGTATATGTGTATATATAATGCATATAGACTTACATATATAATATCGCCTCTAATGTTGGTATGTTCAAATGTTTTCTCCTCATGGAATTTATGTTTGTGTAAGAGTTAAGATAGGAAATTGTCTTTTTTTCCTAAATATTTACCATAAATTTAAAAATACAACTCTCATCTACGGATATGCAGTGCCAGCTTTACCAAATGGTAAGTCCTTGTATATCTCTGAGTCTATTTCTGGGTTTTCTATTATGCTGTGCTATTCTGTATATCTATCATGTAATTCTACCCACTATTAAGTTACTGTAAATTTATAATATGTTTTAATATCTGAGCATTCAACTCAAAAACTTCTATGCCACTTTTATATGTATATTTTTCTACATGATCTTTAGCACCACCTTGGAGGGTTTAAAACACACACTACAAATATATAACACCCTTCATTCTTATTGATATAGCAGCTTTTATTTTTATTGATATTTATAGATAGATTTAGAGAAAAACTACTTCTTTGTAATTTTGATTTTTACTGTTTTAAAACAGGGTATGCTTCACTCTATATTTATCAAACTATATTTTTATACTCATGAATCAATCTTCTCCCCCTACCCTGGTGATATGGTTTGGTTGTGTCCCCATTCAAATATCAACTTGAATTGTATCTCCCGGAATTCCCACATGTTATGGGAGGCACCCAGGGGGAGGTAATTGAATCATGGGGGCTGGTCTTCCCTGTGCTATTCTCGTGATAGTGAGTAAGTCTCACAACATCTGATGGGTTTATCAGGGGTTTCTGCTTTTGCTTCTTCCTCATTTTCTCTTGCCTCTGCTATGTAAGAAAACCTTTCACCTCCCACCATGATTTTGAGACCTCCCCAGCCAAGTGGAACTGTAAGTCCAATTAAACCTCTTTTTCTTCTCAGTCTCAGGTATGTCTTTATCAGCAGCATGAAAATGGACTAATAACCTGGTAACCACCAATCTACTCTGTCTTCATGAGATACACTTTCTTAGCTCCCACATATAAGTGACAACATGCGCTATACATTTAATCTTCTTTTGTGTAAATTGGGTACATTTAAAGGATTTGGAAAGGTTTAAAAATGATGTAGATATTGCTTATTTCTTCTTCAGCATATTTCCAGATAATTTATACACTAAGTTGCTATTAAGAATGAGATTTTTCTTCCATTGTCTTTGCTACTGGATGTTATTAAGACATAAAAAAAACTTGATTTATATATGTTAATTTTAATTCAATCAAGTTCAAAAACCTTATTGAATTCACCGATTTTAATAAGGTTTAAGATTTGATGTTTTCTAGGTATTGCGTCATATTATTGGCAGTGATATTTCTTACTTTCTCTTGGGTTTTTCCTCCTTTTCTCTCTTGTCAGATATATCACTTACTATTTCCAAAACAACGTTACATAATAGTAATGATAATGAAATTCTTATTTGATTTTTGGTTATCATGGAAAGGCTTCCAATGTCTTCGGGTTGAGTTAAAGTATATATTTCATTATTTTAAAGTAGTTATATGTAAAGCATATATTTTGTCATATTAGTTTGCTTCTATTCCTATTTTACTTAGAGACATTTAAAAATATATATACATTTTTTAATGGAAAAAATGCCTTTCAGTATCTTTGGAGATCATGATATTAATAGATTTTTTAATATTGAGTCGTAGTAAAAATCTTTTTTTTTTTTAGGCGGAGTTTCACTCTTGTTGCCTGGGCTGGAGTGCAATGGCGCGATCTCAGCTCACCGCAACCTCTGCCTCCCAGGTTCAAGCAATTCTCCTGCCTCAGCCTCCCGGGTAGCAAGTAGCTGGGATTACAGGCAGGCTCCACCACACCCGGATAATTTTGTATTTTTAGCAGAGACGGGGTTTCTCTATGTTGGTCAGGCTGATCTTGAACTCCCGACCTCAGGTGATCTGCCCGCCTCGGCCTCCCAAAGTGCTGGGATTACAGGCGTGAGCCACTGCACCTGGCCATAAAATCTTTTTATGGCTTTCTCTTGGTCAGGTGCTATTCTCTTTGCTTATATTTTAAAATTTTAACTTAATATTGACAAATATTTCCCATGTGCTACTTTTTAAAAATTTGGGGATCAACATTGCACTGGTTTCAAAAAGAAGAACCAGAAATTGTCTTTTTTTGTCCATGTTCTACAACAGTTTATAAGGCTGTCTTTTTTCTGTTCTTTAAAAGTTTTATGTAAGTTTCTGAGCTAACTCTCTGGTTCTAATGCCTTAGGGGAGGCAAGTGGGTACCTTGTAACATTATTTCCTGTTTGGAAATTGGTCCTTTTGTGTCAGTTTCAATTTGTTACTTTTTCCTAGAAAATCATCTATTTTATGATTTTCAAATTTATTTTTTTGAGTTGAGCAAAGTTTTCATTCATAATTCCTTTTATTCTTCTGTGTCTGTGGCTATTTTCCCATTCTCATTTTTTACTTTTATATTTCCCCCTTTTCATAATTATATTTGCTAATAATTTTTTTACTATATGGATAATTATTTTTCAAAAAGATGACTCTTAGTTGTATTAGTTCTACCATTTTTCAGTTTTCTTATTTATTAATGTCTGTTTTTACTTTTTTAACTTATTTTCTCTTGTTTTTATTTTTCATCTTGTTTCAAATGTTTTTAGTTGTATGCATGATCTGTTAATTTTTAATCTTATTTGTTAATATAATTACTTAGGGCTTTTCTCTCAACACTGCTTACAGTGCAGCCACAGCTCTGATTTATTTTTATGCCATTTCTATCTTCTTTATATCTTTGTTATGAGTTCTTTATTTATTAGAGGTTTTTTCTTGCTTTTTTATTAGTATGCAGATATTTGAATTATTATCAGATTATATTTACAGTGCCATAAATCTTTAGAATTTACTGAGATCTCCTTGGTGGCCTAATATTTGTTTGATATGTGTTAATAGTCCTTGAAAATTTGAGAAGAAGGTACATTCTAAATTATAAAATGATATATATTATATGTAATTATATTTAATTTTAAAATCTAACATATTACTTAGGTCTTCTCTATCTTCATTCGTTCTTCACTTGACTTGTCAAAATTAAGAAGCAAAAGTCTTCTGCTCTTCATATGTTCAGTCTATTTATCTGTCTCTCTGCCTCCACCTCCCTATCTGTGTCTCTCTCTCTCTGTTTTACATATTTATATTTTAGATAATTTATATCTTAGATACTAATGAAATTTGGACGATCTGCATAAATTCTGCCCATTATTATTATAAAAAAAATCCTACTTGTTTTGTTCAGTCTTTTTACTCTGAATTCTACTTATCTAATATTAAATGTTATGACTACTAGTTTCTTTCCTCTTCAATTCTTGAAATGTTTTTTCCTTTTAAAAACAATTTTCCACTCTTTTTAGTCACTTTGTTTTAGATGTGTTCCTTATTTATGCTTTGTGAATTTGTACGATGACCTTTGTTATTATTCAGGAGGTTTGCCTTCTGCTTTTAGAAATGTTAGCAGTTACTTCTATTAATATAACTAGAACTTATTATAACATATTTAATTTTCTATGTCTATGAATAGTATCAACTAACTCTTAATATGAAGACACAAGAAATTAACATATTCCACAGCCTTTCAGTTCTTTCTTTCCTTTCTTCTCAGCATTGCCAATATAATACTTGATTATATGATTTCCATGGTTCTTGTAGTCTTTGCCTTTCTGACATTAAGAAGACAAACTTTAATTATCTGGTTTATCAGCTTTTAAATTAATAAATTAACTTGGCTATAAAGTGAAAAGTCAGTTTTATTTATACTACAAACTTCTTTAAATAATTTGTGTTTCTGTTGTGGGTATATATTCCAATGGTAGAACTACCTACACATCACATTCTTAACATTGGAAATCCAATAAGATTTTTATGTCTCTCTAAAAATAATTATAATTTTAAAAGCAAAGATTTTTTCCTATAGTCAACTGAGAGTTAGCTAGCAATTTTAAGAAGAAATTTAGATAGGACAAAGGCATATACAGCATAGAAAAGAATAAATCCAATGGCACAAGAGTAGTATAACTCAAGTTTGTTACCGAATATTTTAAGTACATAAATTTAAATCACATCACTATAGTACTATTTTGCATGTAATAATGTTGCAATAAAATATTGCAAGACAAAGATAATATTTGTGAAGTGAAATAAAAATGCTTTGTCTTAGCTTCACCTGCATGGTGCCTTATGTAAACACACTGCTGTTTGCTCACTAGAAAGAATTAGTTGAATATACATTCTCAGGACAGCTTGACATACAGTCAAGAGGTACAGACTGTACTACTTGTCTAACTATGCAAACTTTTCATTTTGAGTTAAGTAGAAGAGGCAGTTTCCAATGTGTTTGTCTTTTGCCTGAGAACCTCTTTACATCTCGTGTAACCCCAGGAGAAAATACCACTGGGGTTACTTAGAGGAATTCGGACTACTAGAATTGGATCTGAGTTTTATTTGCTGTGTCAGGAAAAGCCTACTTGTCTACAGGGTGACTGTTGCTATCTCAGAAGAAGTTCGGTCTTAGTTGTTTAGGAAGTCACATATGGGCAGTCTTCACATTGACTTTTTTATATGCCCTTAATCAGTTGCGTCTACCTTATACTGCCCCCTAGAGTACACAAAGTCCATTGACAAGCGTTATCTTCCACACATTTTGAGTGTGCCAATCACAAACTGCATCTTTAAGTCATTTCTCTATTGTTCATTCATACATGTATAACCGTAAATAAGATTTACAACTGACCTTTATTGTGAAGTACACATGCTATATCGTACTGCTTCTCTAACACTGCTCAAAAAGAATGTTAGATGTCAGTAGATAGACTCAACATACCTATCATCAGAGAGATAGACATAGTTGCATTAACTTTCATAGCATTGACAAACCTCAGCCTCCTTGCTTGAAATGTTACCAATACTAATGCTATTTACCCCAATCATAATCATCATCGTAAGACAGCAAGCCTCCCTCCTACACATTTGTAACTAAACTCAGTGCTTCCAACTCAGAGATGGTTTTCAATCAATATATCCATTGTGTGAAAGTAAATGCGACTTGGCCTTCAGCCAAGACTATGCCCAAGACATTAGTTCTGTGTTCCCTGAGTGAATTCAGCCTTTCTTATAGGATTCAGGTATTTAATCACTCCATGTCTACACAATATCACTGCGAGCCCTGGGAAGCATTACCACATTGCTGTTTTTATTTTGTCACTCACTCCCCTTACTGGTTTGTTTTTAGAGGTTTAACTGAGCCTTTAGCCTAAAGGCTATTTCCTTTACATGTGTTATACAGAAGTATGTAGGAATTTCGCCAAGAGGCAATATAATGAGTGTTGGAAATGGGACAGGTTTTGGGGTCAGATGGACCTGCATTTGAGATCTGGCACTGTCACTCACTTATTGAGCAACCTGGGAAAGTTTACTTAACGTCTGAAAATCTTATTTTTTCATCTGTAAGAATGCATACTACACTCCAAATTGCATAATTATTTTGAAAATTAGAAATAAAGCCATGTATCTAACAGATTTTTAAAAAGTAAATAGCTCAGGGGTATGTAATGTATTTAAAAGAAAGGATTCACAGGAAAATATGTGACTTCTTATCTCTACTATCAAAGAAAAGAAAAAAAAAGAAACATTACCCTAAGAAAATAAGATATCCTTGGGTTTTTTTAGTTCTAATGTTTAAATTAATATGTTTCACATAAAAAATCTTCTACCAGTTTTCGATTACAGATGACTTAATCTAACAACCACCATCCAGTAAGTGTGAGGACTGTGCTAAGTGCCATGAGAAACTCAGGACACACTGCAAGAGCCTGGCACTTACTGAGGCTCAGAAAACAATACCCCAAAGTCTGGCACTTTGGCATGCTGGGTACTTTGAACTAAAGGAGATTGGAAGGCCTGAAAAGCAGTCTCAGAAGCAGTATCTCTCTGACCTGTTCCTGCCTGCCTATCTCCCACCCCTCGTTTCCTCACAAAGCAAGCCATAGAGACTAGAATTCCTCTTTCTCAACCTAAAAAATACGTCTGTAACTTTCCCCTGCCTTTCTGTGTAAGATCTGGCCATCAAGACATTTTTTGACCTACCTTCCCTCATTCCAGGAAGGGTCCTGTCCTGTACCCGGGAGGAAGAAATGCTACACAGAGAAGCCAAGATGAATCTGAACAGACAGCCTTTGGTGAGTTTCTCCCCTCAGTTTATTACTATTAGATTATTCCCTTTTTGTCTGATCACATTTCTCCATGTCTGTCTATTCTTCCTGGAGCCTAACCATGAACAATAGACACTTTTCCCAAACTCTTTGGATATGTGTCTCTTCATTTGGCAATTTTGATTCATGTCATTCATAATAAAATTGTAGCTGTTAAGTGTAGCATTTTCCTATGTTGTCTCAGTCATTTTAGTTAGTTATCAACCTGATAAAGTCATGGGAACCTCTTAATTTGCAGCCAGTTGGAAAGACATGTGGGTGGTATGTGGGCCCTGAAGTGTGGCTGGTGTTTGCAGTAAGGACAGCCTTGTTGAGGGTCCATGACCTTTAACCTGTGGGTCTGGTGCTGACTCCAGGTGATTAATATTAGAATTGTATTACAGTATACCAGTTGGTATCAGAAGACTTGCTCAGAAAGTTCAAACTCAACTGGGGAGAAGATAATGATAAAACCAATACCAAAAATATAGAAATTATCTGGAATTGCACTAGGAGGTATTTGAGATACTCAGAAGATTTCCTGAAATAAAACACTGTATTAGTTTGCAGAGCTTCTAAAACAAAATACCACAGACTGGGTAGCTTAAACAACAGAAATTTATTTTTTCACAGTTCTGAAGACTGGAAGTGCAAGATTAGGATGTCAGCAGGTTTTGTTTCTTCCTGAAGCCTTTCTCCTTGGCCTCTAGATAGCCTCCTTCTTGCTGGGCCTCATGGACTTTTTTCTGTGTGTATGCACCCTATTTCTTCATTTTCTTATAAGGACACCATTTATATTGGATGAGGATCCAATCCTAAGAATCTCATTTTATCTTAATCACCTTTTTAAGGACCTTATCTTCAAATACAATTGCATTCTGAGATTCTGGGGGTTAGGAGTTCACATATAAATTCTGCCCAAAACATGTAGTATTTGGACTCATCTAATAAGGTGTCAGTCAAAAACATGGTAGTGGAGGAAACTGCTAAGGGAATGAGTATAAAGAGAATATAGATAAGAGCTAATAACAAAGTACTTGGGAATAGCACATAACAAAATTATAGAAAGTCAAAAGTTAGAAATCTAAAATACTTAAAGATCAAAGTGGAAAGAATGATGATAAATCATTCAACTATTATAATGCCACAAGTAGCTAATGCAATTAGTTTGCTGGTTACTCAACTAATAGGACTATATCACTGTGGCTACTGCAACAATTAATTAACTGGGGGAAGAGGAGAACCTGGAAGGCAATCTCCAAAACAAGTGGATGAGGACGGATAAAAGGAATAATGAATGTGGGCAGAAAAAGAAAAAAGAATAAATTACCAGCAGAATATCTGTGTCATGAAGCCTTTTATTAAAAACTAACCTCTGATCCATACTTGGAGGATAAGCTGATTTCCTCTTTGAGTATCTCTGATATCCTAGGCATGTAAAAAAAAAATGCAAAATCTTCCTCCCCTTCCTCCAAGACTGGGAAAAAAATCTCACTAATTTTGCCTGAACTCAACGACATTGCAAAGGAGGATAAAAATGAAATTTCTAATAGGTTAATCAGTTATATAAATTAATAGAAGTACTACTGACTTTTTAATATTTTAGTATAATATATATAGCAAACAATCTAGGAAGAAATGATTCTTTCATTTACTCCCTAGATGTTAGAAGACACTGAGGCATCAACAGGGTTTAATTCCATACTCTGTCATCGAATATAGCAATTGTAATTGCACCAATCAGCACTTTGTGTCAAGCTCAAGATTTGTAAATGCACCGATCAGCACTCTGTGTCTAGCTCAAGGTTTGTAAACGTAACTGTGTCTAGCTCAAGGTTTGTAAATGCACCAATCAGTGCTCTGTGTCTAGCTAATCTACTGGGGACTTGGAGAACTTTTGCGGCTAGGTAAAGGATTGTAAACGGACCAATCAGCTCTCTGTAAAACGGACCAATCAGCTCTCTGTAAAATGGACCAATCAGCTCTCTGTAAAATGGACCAATCAGCAGGATGTGGGTGGAGTCAGACAAGGGAATAAAAGCATACTGCCTGAGTCAGCAGGGGTGAGCAAGCAGAGGTGAGCCAGCAGGGGTAACCTGCTCGCATCCCCTTCCACGCTGTGGAAGCTTTGTTCTTCTGCTTTTTGCTATAAATCTTGCTGCAGCTCACTCTCTGGGTGGGGCTGCCTTTATGAGCTGTGAGTTGTAACACTCACCGCAGAGGTCTGCAGCTTCACTCCTGAGGCCAGTGAGACCATGAACCCACCGGAGGGAATGAGCAACTCCAGACACACTGCCTTTAAGAACTGTAACACTCGGTTTGAGAGTCCGTGGCTTCATTCTTGAAGTCAGCAAGACCAAGAACCCACAAATTCCAGACACATAATGACCATAGCAACTTAATCAGAACTCAGTGAGTAGTAGATTTGAACTTAAGAAAATGCAACAAAAACTAAAGTAGGTTTTACTAAAATATATGATTTAATAAACTCTAAATCTACAGATTTTGCTGAAGTTCTTATAATTGGGTCATAGCAGTAAATTCAATAAACGACTTCTAAAATGCTTTAATGGTGTTTGTGTCCTGGACATGATTTTCCCCAAGAAGAACTGTTGTATTCACCCTACCTTTAACTGTTTCTAGTCAGTTCCACAGATTCCATAAAAGTTAACTCCAGAGCAGAGAATGATGCCACAGTCGGGATAACATCCAATATTTGCAATCAGAAGAAATATGAGGTAACACCACCAAATAAATAATGTATTAACACTACAGAATTTCTTCACAACTAAAAAGAATGGACGTTGTTTATTGTACTCTACCAAAATACCTAGTGTTCTCTTTGAAAATAAGGAAAATAATCAAGACTCTCAGTTACTATTCAATTGTGTTGGTTAAGACTATTGCTAGAACACTACATATTCATTTCTATAGGTAAGAATATCATGATGAGGTAAAAACATCGAAGAGAGCCTGTATTCTAAGTTAGCTAGGAGATTAGACTTTTATTTTCTTCTTTGATAGATTATATAATTTTCCACAGCAGTGTACATAGAAACCCTAATATGTTACTACTTATAAAAATGAGACTTTTTGGCTGGATGCAGGCTCATGCCTGTAATCCCAACACTTTGGGAGGCCAAGGTGGGAGAATTTCTTGAGCCTAGGAGTTTGCCCAGCCTGGGAAACATAGGGATATTCTGTTTCTACAAAAGTAAAATACAAAATTAGCTAGGCATGGTGGTGCAAGCCTGTGGTTCCAGGTACTTGGGTGGCTGAGGTGGGAGGATCACTTGAGTCTGCAAGATTGAAGCTGCAGTGAACCATGATTGAGCCACTGCACTCCAGCCTCGGTGACAGTGAAATCCTGTCTCAAAAAAAAAAAAAAATTAATTAATTAATTAAATTAAAAAGAAAGATACTTTAGAAAAATGTCTCTAGTCCCTTCTATCTGGGGCATTTTATTCTTTGCCAAAAGCTGTAGCTCTTTGTATCGTTTTATATCCATAATCTGTCATCTGTCATGTACCGTGTTTATCCATGTACTTGATTTGTATTTATTCTCTCTTTTTTTTTTTTTTTTGAGACAGAGTCTTGCTCCATCACCCAGGCTGCAGTGCAGTGGCACGATCTTGGCTCACTGCAAGCTCCACCTCCCGGGTTCACGCCATTCTCCTGCCTCAGCCTCCCAAGTAGCTGGGACTACAGGCGCCCACCACCACGCCCAGCTAAATTTTTTTGTATTTTTAGTAGAGATGGGGTTTCACTGTGTTAGCCAGGATGGTCTCGATTTCCTGACCTCGTGATCTGCCTGCCTCGGCCTCCCAAAGTGCTGGGATTACAGGCGTGAGCCACTGTGCCCGGCCGTAATTATTCTTTTCGTGTTAAGCAATGGTAAAAGAACTGACTGAAAATAAGAATATTAAAAAGTTTCTCTGCTAAAAACAGAAAATTATGTTTGTTACCATTCCTACTATAACCCCAGTGATATGGCTCCGATGAGTGGAGGAACACCAGGGTTCTTGGTCTTCATGCCAGTTTAGATAAAACAACACAGACATACGTGGAGTGGTTTTAAGGAGCAGACAGTTTAATAGGCAAGAAGAAAAGAGAAGGCAGAAGGAAAAGGCTCCCCGATACAAAGACAGAGGGAGGGGGCCTCCAAAGCCAAAAGAGGAAATCCCAAGTGCAGTGGATACCAGCCAGGTATATGTAGAGGCTGGAGGAGGTGGTGTCTGATTTGCATAGGGCTCAGGGGATTGGTTTGACCAGGCCTGTAATTCACGGGGCCTGAAAAAGCTGGCCCTCCCACCCTAGCATTTAATATGCAAATGCAGGGCGCCACGATGTTCTACAAATGGTGGGTATATGTGGGAGCGGCCATGTTGCCAGGAACATGTGGGGCAAGGGCAAGAAGGCCACGGGAATCACCATGTTTGGGTAGACGCAGTTTCTAATGGCTTGCATTTGCCTATCAAAGGTTGCCAGCCGCTCTAAGAGCCAGGGCATTCCAATTCTGGAGCTGCTTTAAAAATGAAAACTTCCCAAGGATCCCTTTTCTTTTCTATCTGCCTAAAATAATTTCTTAATAACTCCTACAACACAATGATTTTCAGTGAAACAAAAGCTGCTGTTTTATTTTTGTTAAATTGTTTTTCTTAGCTAAAGAGATAAAAGTGAGGATGAGGGATTCAAAATGTGGTTTACTTTATAGAGCTTGCAAAACTCACAGCATTTAAAGCAGTTTTTAACAGGAGTATGGGGATAGGGCTTGAATGAACTTGGAAATGCCATTCAATTGCTAAAATCATATGCATCACATTGTGTTCGTCTGCACATACGTGCACTTTTCTGGTAAGAAGTTTCAAACTTACAACAAATTTTCAAAAGAGGTCTATACTTTTGAAAGTATAAGAAATCACTTAGTTTACTGACTTTCCTTATTTCAGGCCACATCCAAAAGTACAAAACAGCACATTTACATTTTGTATTTCACATTTTTTTCAATACTTACCTTGGGAGCCATAGGCCCTGCTAAAGTTTTGCTGAAAAATCATGGACATGATGCAGATTAATTAAGAGGAGAAAAGGCATATAGATTTATTTAACATGTATACACAGGAGCATTCAAAATGAAGACCCAGCTTCTCCATGAGTTACAGAAACTTATATACCATCTTGAGTTTGCAGAACGAATGGGGGCTTGCATCCTGGTAAGACAGGATATAGGAAGAAGGAGAAGAGAAATTCTATTGAGGGGCAATAAATGACTGTGAAGGAGAATGATTGGATCAGGGAACAGAGATTAACTTTGTAAATAGTTTTCTTTGAAATTTAAATGATCCTTGGAGACAATCATTGTTCTTATTAAAAGGTCTGTTCAGGTATTGGTCACATCTTGGCCTTCTTTTCTGCAATAGATAATGAGATAACAGAGATGGGAAGAAAACACAATAGTTCTCATTGGTAGGTCTGGATCCTAAGCAGATAAAGGAACTTCAGTTTATTTGGGAGAGACAGTGGTGGTGAGAGGCCAAAGAGATCTTCAGGCTTCTTCAGCTCAGCATGTCAAAATGCCATATTTTGGTATATGAATTTCTGAGCCCCAACATTCTCCCATCTGAAACTTCCCTAGGAGTTTCACAAACTAAAAGCTGAGTTAGTGGCTGTGGAAGAGAAAAGTTAAGCTAAAATATGAATGGCAAATAATTCTATTTAACCAATCTGTGAATAGGTCAATTAAACACCTCTTTCATTTTAGGAGATAGCATTGCAGATGGGCTTTCAAACAGAAGAAAAACAGGTTAATTTTGGAAACAGTCTATAAACCAGTTTCCTTACAGTCTGCAGGGCAGTCAGTTGAGGTGTCCAGATGTTAGACTCAAAGCCCAGTTAAAGAGGAAGCCAGCAATGGCAATCTGACAAGATTTTTTTTGCCTGTTTCAAAAAGTTTAAGCTTTAGCTTATAGGGCCTCAGGAAAAAGGTAGTAGCAATTCCATTGAGTCCAAGTAAGAAAAATCCTTTTGAATTTTTTATTACCAGATTTTAGTGAGGATAAACAGCTGATATTTCTGGCTTTTAAACATTTTTTTTTTTAACCAATGACATCCTCCCAAGTACCATAATCGAGGTTATAACTTAAGCATAAGGTGTCTTCAAAGAGGTGGCAAACACTTTTTACAAGATATAAAATTACCCCAAAGATAGCTCAAAGAAAGGAAAATTTTGGTAGCCATAAATGGAGTGTGACTCACATTTCTGTTTGGCCAGTCTCTGGAGTCTCAGCTGCTCAGCTCATTTTCTACATACAGAAGCCAAAATGCCTCATATGCCCCCACAGATGAAAGACAGGAAATCAAAATCTGTCCATGGAAGGGAAAATAATCAATAAATTTTGGGAAGGTAACACAAACGTCAATCCAGAAAGCACTAAGTCCCTTGCCAGAAGTTTAATCCAGGCTGCTGTGGTAAAAGGGCAGACCTTGGCTACTAGGTTACAACATGAGGTGGTCTTTATTGTTCTTCCCAGAAGAAATCCAGAGCAGACAGTTTCAATTTGCAAAGGATTTTAACTTTGTTTTAGGTCAGATTTTTTTTTCTCTTTTAATTTAGTCAGAGAATTCTCAAGGCTAACTGTGACACCATTATGTGTCCTTTTAAAATGTATTTTCCCATTAATTCTTTCCAATTAAAAAAAATCTCTAAAATCTTTTAAAATTTATCTTTTGGCCACTGACAATTAGAATTTTCAATGACATACTTAATTCCAATAGTGACTTTATCCAAAAGCCTCTTCATGTAAAGCCCAGGTGGTAATTTTCCAGGTTTTTACCATGTAAGCAACAGTTGTTCCCGGAGAGGGTGTAGAGGAGGCGATCCCCATGATCTCCACAAATTCATTCTCGGAAATAGACTCAACATAGCAAAGATGACAAAAACCCCATAGGGTTGGGACTTTTTAAGACAAAACTCACCTAAAAGCTTCATACATTCAGAATGAAGAGTGTGCTGCTTAAAATATTACATGCCTCGGTTTGCAATCTTTCAGACTGGCTGCCTAATGTGAACCTGAAAAATCACACCCTTTGGATGATGGAGACTAAGAGAGGACCCCCACTTAGTCAGTCATGCTCTCAAGGACATAAGACAGGATAAAAGGAAAACCTCATCTGTATTACAGGGACCCATAGCAAAGTTTGTTTTAATAGACACCCATCTAGCCAGAACCACCAAACCAGCCAATCTTCAGGGCTGGCTGAAACAATGGGCTTATAGGGGTTCTAGGCCTATGTTCTACACTATGGTACCCATCTTCACGACAGAACAACACAGAAAGACAAAGACAAAGGAAAATGGCAACAACAACAACAACAACAAATCACCTATTTCTGAGAGGAAAGGGGGGGTCGAAGAATGTGAATATTCATACCTCACAGTACTGAAAGTACACTGGAGTCACTATAACCCAAGACTCATCACACAAATCCTTTTTTCTCATTAATAAAATCATTGCAGATGAGACAAACAATGATTTTTTCCCATCCACTCAACTGGAATGCAAAGAGAGAGAGAGGTCAGGAGACTGGCTGGTAAGAAATTCTTATCCCTTTGCTGGCAGGTCAGGTTCCTGGGTTCTCTTTACTGCAGCTTATAGAAGAGAAGAGCAGCTTTGATTACCCTGCTCACTGCACTATACTGTGGTGGCCATAGGCTCTTGGTCCCTTGAAGTTTCACTGAAAAAAAAATCACTGACATGAAGCAGATAAATTAATAGGGGAAAAGGCATGTAAATCTATTTAGCATGTATACACAGGAGCCTTCAGAATGAAGACCCAACTTCTTCATGAGTTACAGAAACTTGAGGTTACAAAAGAATGGGGGCTCGCATCCTGGTAAAACAGGTTATGGGAACGGTGGAGGGGGAAGAGGAATTTTACTGATGGGCAATAAATGATTGCAAGGGAGAATGACTGGATTGGGGAACAGAGATTAACTGATCTGTAGAGACAGTAATTATCCTCATAAAAAGGTCTGTGCAGGTATGGTCACAGCTTCTTTTCTGCAGTAGATAATGAGATAATGGGGAGGGAAAGAAAAAGACAAATTATTCTCCTTGGTGGGTCTGGATTTTAGGCAGATAAAGGAACTTCAGCTTCTTTGGGTGAGATCATGTGGAGATTAGGTCAGAGAGACCTTGAAGCTTCTTCAGCTTAGCATGTCAAAACATCATATTTTGGGGTAACAATTTCTGAGCCCAACATTATTATGTCAACCCCTCCAGGAAACTGCAATTGAGCAGAATAGATAGTAATGATACTAAGGTTATAAGGGTGTTAAAAGATAACATTTTTTAAGGGTAAAAGCATTCTTCTCAAAAAATATAAAACACATGAAGATTCTATTAAATTCATTAATTAATAATGGAATCAAATGTTAGAACCAGTTCAGAGTAGTTCTTTTTAATGACACAAATGTAGGGAATAAGGAATGCTAAAACAAAATTTTAAATAAAGACAGAAGTGATCTATCTACAGGACAATAACCAACTGCATTCCACAAGGACCCAATTTGTTTGTATTTCAACTGAAAAGAATCATTCACATTATTATGAGTTTTAAATCCTTCAAAAACAATGACAAGCACAGAGATTGCAGATGGGTACACTATAAAGGCTGCCAGCGATCTCCCCCTCCCTCATTTCGAATCTGTCACAATTTTTCTGACATGCATTTGCAGAGAAATTGTGATGAAGTTTTTTTCTGTCACACAAAAGGCAAGCATCCAATTTGACTGAGGGAGTCAAAGGTAGTCCCCACAGAAGTGGTATTTAAATGAATGTTGAATGAATGTGCATTAAGTAAAGAATATCTATGGGGACTTAACATTTGAAAGGTTCTGGGGCATCTGAAAAAACAGAGCAAAGCTGTTGGATGACAATGGAATGCTAATTTAGAGTCGTGTTTGGAAGAACTGAGGTCCCAGTGGTGGAATTTGAGTTTATGATTTCCCAAAGTACGCCTCCTAGAGGAGGAAGTATACATCAGTGCTTGATGGCTTTGAGAGAGTCTTGAGAGTGTAGCCTGCAGCTTCTCAATGAAAAATGTCAAATTTATCTGCAATCATGTTTTATCTTAAAATTTCGCTTGGTTTTTAATATAACAATCTATGAGATTACAACTTATTGAGTAAAATTTATTGTGCTTAGTACATGAGAGGAAAGAAGTATATATTGGTTTTGAATTTTGGCTGAACTGACATTCCACAAAGTCATCCCAGGCTCTTAGCCAGACTCTCTGGGTACACTCACTTTGTCTCCGGAGATATGCAAGCTCCTCAAATTAAGGTGCAAAACATGCATTGACTACAGGTTACTAAAAGCTTTTATTGGTCAGTGAAGTCACACGGTTAGTTTTATTATGTTTGGGGAAAATTACTGCCAATTCCATGAAAGAAGATTTGACCCAGCACCAGTGGGAAGCAGTGATCAGAAAATGGGCTGCCGAAACAGGCTTGGACTGAGGGTGTGAATGGGAAGAAAAACGCTATCTTACAGAGGTAATTAAAATGTTCTGACCAATTATCTACAGGCGAGAAAAGAGAAGGGTCAGGTATAACATTTCTGGTTGTATTCCTGCAGACAGTTTGCTGGTAGAACTGGAGTTAGCAACTATGCCACTGATAGAAACAGGAGACAGCCAAGGGTCCCCGGAGAAACCCTGCCTTCAAGCCTAAAACGCCCTGCAGGCTGAAAAACCAGCTGCTGGTCCTGGATGAAACCCACAACCCAGAGGGAGAACTGCCCCTGTTTGCCCGCCCTTTCCCAGCCGATTCTTTCAGAATAAGGCCCACATGCGCACCGGGGAAACGGGGTCGAGCCACAGAAAGTTGCGCCTTGTTCAATGGGGAGGAGTCTGGTCTCTTCAGTTTTCCTGTGCGTGGCCTGGAATCAATCTGTGAGGTGGGGGCCTATTGGCAGGATCCCCTCTCGCTTTCTTGAGAGTTTTTTTCTTTTTTTCCTTTTTGCCCAGTAAATTCTGTTCCCCACACCCTTCAATGTGTCCACGTGCCTAAATTTTCCAGTTCTTGATATAAGAACCTGGATTTAGCTGAACTAAGGAGCAAAAATTCTCCTTAGAATTTTTGGAAGGTTGGTGTAAAGTTAACAGTTGCAGCCACCTGACGGTTTCTAAATCCCAGGTTTCTTGTATTACCCATTGCTCTTTTTCTCTAGCCTTTTAAAGCAGACCTGTAAGAGACCAGGCCAGCTTTAGCATTTCTTTTGTCTTTTAATCTGTAAGTTTTGTGCTTGAGCAGGAAGCAGACAGGTTACCTTTTTAAGACACTAAAGGAGATGAGATGAAATTATTTGTATGATCAAAATGCATATTTAGAATGTGCATCTGTAAGTTTTCCATGATTAAGTTCTTGGGAAAAAATTTTCATTTTCCTACTTGGGATTAAAGAAAATTCATCATAATAGCGTAGTTAGAAGAGTGAATGTGAGGATGCAAAGCCAAGCAATATTTAAATTTACCAATCTAAGAAGAAATCTTTAATCTGGCATTATGGCCAATGAATCTCATGTAAAATTTTCTTCCAGATGCCCACACAGCTTAACTTTTAGAAACACAACACAGGATATTTCAGAGATAAGCTGTGATGAGTTCAGGACACGCTACCCCCAAAATATGACACAGTGGCATATGTAATATTTTAGGTGGAAGGAATTTGAGAAATATCATGAGTGGGAAGTGTCTTCTGACCTTCCCATGAAGCAGATCATAACAACCTCATGTGAAAGGTGCCCTCCCTATACCCAGATGAAAGGAGCAGCCTTCTCTCTGAAGACACAGGGACACAGACAAGAACTGAATGAAGGGATTTTGCTCAGTTTTCCCCAGTTTACTCATACCCTTTATGCTATCACATTTTCCCATAACTTTCCACTTTTCATTAAACCTAGAATAAAAACTCTCAGGTTAAACTGTTTCTTTGCGTCTTCATTTCCTTATGAAAACTCCCATGTCACATAAAACTTAAATAAATGTGCATGCTTTTCTCTTGTTAATCTCTTTTGTTACAGGAGTACCAGCCAATGCACGTTAAGATGAGTAGAAGGAAAAGATGTTTTTCCTCCTCTATAGCTACATAGTCACAAACAAGGCTGTACCTGTATAAGGTTTCTTTGGATAGCAGTGAGTAAAACCTACGCGGAGAGGTTCTATGCCGAAGGAATTTTGCTTACTGGAGGACCAGAAACACACGCGCGCGCGCGCGCACACACACACACACACACACACGGGCAGGGGACAAGGGCGTGGCAAAGGGCTCAGAGTGATTAGGGAACATGAGCCTTATGGAAACCAAAGGATCCTGGAAAGCAGTAATAGTCATTGCTGACATTCATTAATAGCTTATTATGAGTGTGTGTGTGCAACACACACACACACACAGAGAAAGAGAGAGAGATTGATTCTGCTTTTTCTGGAACTAGAGCTAGAAATGTGGTTTAGGAGGGTTAGGATACAAATCCTATTCCTTTGGGATTGCATCCTTCAAAGGGTGTATGAGGAGAATTATCATTTCTTTAATAGTGCTTGGCCCTAAACTTTCCCACAAGTCTGGTCATGGAAAGCTTTCCCAAGGAGTTCTGCTTTGAGTATTTATATCCGTCTGACTTCTAGGAAAAAGCCAAGAAATAGACAGAGAGACAAAGAATACCCTAAAGACACTTAGAGATGTACCAGATTGTAATGTTGCAAATTTCTTAGGACAATATCATATATCAGAAGAGAGTGGGTTTACTTGGATAGGAGTCAGAAATTTGGGGAAATAATGGCTGTGTTAGCAAATGCGCCTTCACCCTACCAAGAAGGCTTGTTTTTCTTAGCACACAGTGGATTTAAAGTTACAGCCTGAGTGGATATTCCCAGCTCAGTTGATTTCTCATGAGCCACATATATTCACATGCCCCAGACAAGATTATTTCCAGTTTTCAGCACTCGTAGTTCTGGGAAGGGAGAGCTAAATTATGTGAGAGCACTCTCAGTGGGGGGACACATAGAGAGAGTTGTTCTAGCAGCAATAAAACTAGGGCAATAAGGGGAATTGAAGGTTAGGCAAGTCTGAGGCCTCAGACATGGTGTTCAATCAATTATAACAGAAGGACCTGCATTGATTCCAGCTGAAATCTTAAGTAGGTAGCAGCTAGATTAGCCTCAACAGAGAAAACAATTATTTTGGGGGCTACCTGTGGAGATGAACTCCCTAAAAAGCTCTAATTTTTAGAAAATATTTCTTATCGTTTCAACAAACATTATGAAGTATATTCTGGACACTGGGAATAGAAAAGTGAGTACGAAGACCCTTTCCTCAAAGGTTTTCTAGTCTTTTCACAAATTTCTTATGGGTTTGACAACAGAAATGATACTTGAGAATATTTATACCTATAATTAATAAATTAATTTTTGCCATGAAGAAGGAAGACAAAAGAACATCCAAAAATTCATAAAATACTCTCAACAAAGTAAAAGTTTATTCCACATTGAATCAAAGTATTAATTTCATTTTCTGCAGATTTTTCAAATTGGCACTTGCCGTTAATAAGAAACTTTTACTTTGTTTCCATGATTTATATAAGGTAATTTATATCATTCAACTTGCTGTAAAAGTTGAGACTGTTGGAATTTCTTCAGTAGTTCCACTTCCAACCTTGTGCAGGAACTATTTCTAACTTCCTATTTTCAGTCTCCCCATCTGCAAAATGGATTTAATGACACATTCACCCAATAGATTTTTAAATAAGTATTTAAAAAGCAAATATAGGGCTGGGTGCGGGGGCTCATGCCTATAATCCCAGCACTTTGGGAGGCTCAGGCGGGCAGATCATTTGAAGCCAGGAGTTTGAGAACAGCCCAGGCAACGTGGCGAAACCTATCTCTACTAAAAATATGAAAATTAGCCTGGCGTGGTGACACATGCCTGTAATCCCAGCTACTCAGGAGCCTGAGGTGGGAGAATCCCTTGAACCCGAGACGAGGAGGTTGCTGAGATTGTGCCACTGTACTCCAGCCTGGATGACAGAGTGAGACTGTATCTAAAAAAATTAGAATTAAAATTAAAAAGTAAATATATATATAAAGCACAAAAAAGAGTAACTTACTCATAGTAAGCTATTAATGAATGTCAGCAACGACTATTACTACTTTCCAGGGTCCTTTGGTTTCCATAAGGCTCATGTTCCCTAATCACTCTGAGTCCTTTGCCACGCCCTTGTCCCCTGCCCGTAGTGTGAAGTGCTATTCCCTATTTAGAGAGCAATAGCCACTGCTTTATGTTCTTCACCTGGGAAGGGCTGATCCAGCAACGATCCCCAACAGAGGGATTGGATCTTTTTCTTCTTCTTTCTCACAAAGACCAATGGGAGGCGGAGACCTAGGTAAGTGGGTCTGCTCTGTGTACTGGAATTTTCACTCAGGTGGGCAGTTCCAAGGTCTATATGGGAGGGGAGGGGAGGAACAAGCATATTTTCACTTTCATTCTCACTCTGGGCTAGGTCTCTTTTATACTTGATTTTGGTGCTCCATGTTCTCATGCTGTTGTCATATTTCTCACATTAAACAGAACCTGGGAGCAGGAAGCAGCCAAGGGAAGAGGTGATTTTTATTCAACCCTTCAAAATGCCAATGTTGTTAATAATATTGTAGCACTACTAATAATGCAGGTGAGCAAAGAATTAAGCTTTCCTATTTGTCAATATAATATTTGATCATATTATATATGAGGCAGACCAGCTTTTGTTTCCATAGGAAGCTTCCTCTAGCTGTATCCTGTGTCCTAGTTCCTGCAAGGTCTCTGCTGGTTGGCTATTAAATGGACTTACTTAAGGTTTAGTAGAAGCCATGACAAGTCTCTCTCTCTCTCTCTCTCTCTCTCTCTGTGTATGTGTGAGAGAGAGTGTGTGTGTGTTTATGTCTGTGTTGGGAGGAGTAGGAAGAAGCATGGAAGAAGGTATTTGTATCAATTTTTGCAGAAGAATGGATTCAAACCTTAGCATACATCAGAATCACCTGGGTTGGATCACTAGGATTCAACCTCAAAGTTGCTGACTCTGTAAGTCTTGTCAAGTATTGTGTGTGAATTTGAAATGAGAATAGTGTAATTTTTTCTCTATACTTTAAGGCTCAGTAAAATAGAAATTTTAGGATCAGAAAACACAATAACCAAATTTAAAAGCTCAGTGAATGGGCTCAAAAGTGGAATGGAGGGAACCAAAGAAAAAGAATCAGTGAACTGGAAAATAGAACGGAAATTGCCCACTCTAAACAAAGAGAGAAAATGGAAAAGATATTGAACAGCACCTCCAGGACATATAGTACTATAATGAAAATTTTTATGTTCATACCATCAGAATTCAAAAGGAGAGGAGAAAATAGACAAGGCTGAAAAAGTAGCCAAAAATTATTGACTGAAAGTTTTCTTCTTTTTTCTTAATATGTTTTGAAGCTCTGTTACTAAGTCCATAAACATTTTAGCATTGTTATATCCTCTTGATGAACTGACTGCTTTGTCATTATGAAAGGATCCTTTTCACCATTGGTAATTTTCTTTCTTCTGGAAGCTACTTTATCTGATATGAATATTACCATCCTGGCATTTGTTAAATTTAGGGTCAGCATAACAGATCTTTTTCCAACTTTTACTTGTAACTTATCATCTTTGTATTTTAAAGATTCTCTTGTAAGGAGCATGTACTCGGAGCTTGGCTTTTTGCCTAATCTGCAATCTAGCCCTTTTAAATCAGTTGTTGAGACATCTACGTTTAACGTAATTTCAATATGATTTATTTCAAATGTACCATCTTGCTATTTTGTGACCTATTGTCAATGTGTTGTCCATGTATTCCTCTCGTTGTGCCTTATTAGCGTTTGACTTTTTCTTTTAATGATTACATTTGCTCTCCTTGATTGATTGATTAATTGTAAGTCTTTTATTTTAGTGGGTCATTTTGGATTTATAGTATACATCTGTAACTGACCACTGCATATATTCAAGTTATTTTATATCACTCACATATAAGAACCTTAAAATTATATGCATTCCTTCTCTTTTTCCATGCTTTGTGCTATTGTTTTCCTTTTTTAGTAGACTTGTAAAGAACCGTTTTAGATTTACAGAAAATTAAAAAGAGAGTATAGACTTTTTAATACCCTGCATCCAATTTCCCCTATCATTAACATCTTACATTCATATGAGACATTTTCTATAATTAATGAACCAATATTCATACATTACTATTAACTAAGGTCTATAACTTTTGTTTATTTAGTTTTTAACTAATGCACTACCCAGAATTTCACATCACATTTAGCTGTCATGCTTCCTTAGGCTTCTCTTGGCTGTTGTAGTTTCTTAGATTTTTCTTGTTTTTGATGATCTTGACAGTTTTGTGTACTGCTGGCCAGATGTTTTGTAGAATGGGAAGATATTTTGTAGAATGTTTTCTATATGGGAGGGTAGTCTATTGAAGTTTGTCTAATGTTCTTCACATGATGAAACTAGAATTACAGGTTATTAGGACGAGGACCACACAGGTATAGTGCCATTTTCATTATATTATATCAACATATTATTAATATGATTTATGAGTATTGACATTGGCCTTGATCACCTGGAATCCTGGATAGTGTGTGAGTTTAAAAACTACAGATATACAAACTATAGACTTTATTAATAATATATTGATATTGATTCATTAGTTATAGAAAATATTTCATATGAATGTAGGATATTAATGATGATTGTGAAGTTTATTTACTGTAAAGTTACTCTATTTTTCCTCCTTTCCATACTGTACACTTTGAAAGAAAGTCACTCTGTGAGCCCACACCTAAGGAGTTGGGGAGCTATGCTAGTTGGGCAGTAAATTATCTGGAACTCATCTGCATGGTAGATTTGCCTCTTCTCTTCCATTTGTCATTGTATTCACTTGTATTAGTATGGACTCATGGATACTTATTTTATACTTTTGGCAATACTCCAGTACTTGTTGGTCGAGTTCTTCTTCTTATGTAGTTTGTTCTTCAAGTTCTTTGGCCAGTGCAAACTCTTTCAGCTGTCTTCTGGATTTCTTTGACATACCCCATCAGTGTGTGTGATTTTTTTTTTTTTTTAGCATGTCCTTACTCTCTGACATTACACAACGCTCCAGTTTCATCCTGCATGTAGTCAGCTTTATAATAGAATCAGCCATTTCTTCATAAAGCCCTCGTTTCTTTTGTTAGAAAATAGTATTAGAGACTAAGATCAGGTAATAAGTGTGCTCTTTGCTATTGGGATGTCACCTCTTTTAGGTCTTCTCAGCTGACAGAGCAAAAAAAATGTGTTTATACAAATATGTGTATATACACATATCTACAAATATTTCTATGTGTAACCCTATGTATACATCTATAGTAAATGACATGATTAGGCTTTGTATCTTCACACAAATCTCATCTTGAATTGTAATGTCCATAATACCCATGTAGTTTCCCTCATGCTGTTCTCATGATAGTGAGTGAGGTCTCATGAGATCTGATGGCTTTATAAGACAGTTTTCCCTGCTCTTGCTCACTTTCTGTCACCTGCTGCTATGTAAGACATGCCTCTTCCCCTTTTGCCATGATTGCAAGTTTGCTGAGGCCTCCCCAGCCATGCAGAACTATGAGTCAATTAAACCTCTTTTCTGTATAAATTACCTAGTCTCAGATATATCTTTACAGTAGTGCAAAAATGGACTAATACAGTAAGCTAAACATGAGTTCACACTAATGTCTCCAACTTGAATCCACTGCCATAGACATCATTCAGCCTCTTCCATTGCTTACCTGTAACTTCCCACTCTGCAGTGAGAAACCTGGATCTCGCCATTTGCCATTTATTTACTTAATTGTCCCATTTCATTATATGTGTATAACAGTATAAGGATTGTCAACCCATACTCTTATGGGAAACATCTTTATCAAGTAGAATACTCATGAGCAGTTCCTTTTGACTTTAGTCCCACAGACTGTACTCATTTCCACAGATACTTAGATTAGCATCTTTTCCCCTCATTCCCTAAGTGAGGTTGTTTCATACATTTGTAAAACAGATTTTGTTGGCACCATCTGAATTCCTTCCTGAATCCCCTAAACTCCTAAAAGAAACTTTTAAGTGTGTATACATTAAGGTTCATTATAATTGTATAGGATTAGAAAAATATATAATGATTTATATTTATAATTGTAGTACCATACAGAATAATTTTACTGCGCCCCAAATCTCTGGAGCTTCATGTATTCTTCCCTTCCTCCTCTCCCCTAACTCCTGGCAACCAATGATCATTTTTCTTTCTCTATAGCTTTGAGTTTTCTATAATATTATATGTTATTATATGCATCACATAATTGGAATTATACAATACGTCGTTTTTTCATACTGGCTTCTTTCACTTAGCAATATGCACTAAGTTTTCTCCGTATATCTTCTTGGCTGGATAGCTTATCTTTTTTGATTTCTGAATAATATTCCATTGTGTGGAAATATCACACTTTATCCATTCACTAATTGAAGGACATCTTGGTTGCTCCCAGTTTTGTTGATTATAAATAAAGCTGTTATCAACATTCACATGCAGGTTTTTGTGTGATCATAGGTTTCCAAATCAACTGGGTTTTTTAATGTTTAGTTTTTTAATAGGCTATGAAATTGTCTTCCAGTGTGGTTGTAGCACTTTGCATTCCTCCAGCAATGAATAGATTTCCATCTGCTGTGCTTCCTCACTAACATTTTTAGTATTGCCAGCTTTTTGCATTTTACCCATTCTAATAGGTGTGTAGTGGCATCTGCTTGTTTTAATTTGAAATTTGTGCCATTATTTACATATATTTAATTCTACAAATGGTATAAACACCGTGATACTTTGTTTTTATTTTGGTTTTAACAGTTGATTAACTGTTAAAGAGATCTAAGTAAGAAAATATATATATATATTACCCTTAATAGTTACCTGTTTTGATGAATTTTTCATTTGCATAAATCAAGATTTATATCTGCAAGCATTTTTTTTCTGCTTAAAGGACTTCCTTTAATATTTGTTTTAGTAAGAGTTTGCGGGCATTGAGTAATTTCAGCTTTTTTAGGTCTGAAAATATTTTTGTTTTGACCTTATTTTTGAAAGATATTTTTGTTGGTTATAAAATTATAGGTTGACAGACTGTTGGTTATAAAATTATAGGTTGACAGATTGGTTTGGGGTTTTATATTTCTTTTTTGTTGTTGTTCATTTTATTTGGTTTGATTTTTCAGTAAATCATATTGATCCACATTCTTCTGGCTTGCATTATTTCTCACAAGAAGTCTGCTGTCTTCCTTATCTTTGTTCTTCTATGTATATGTCTTTTTTCCCTGTGGCTTCCTTTAAGAGTTTTCCTTTACCACTCGTTTTCATCAATTTGACATACCTTGGTGTAGTTTTTTTGTTTGTTTTTTTTTTACGTTTCTAGTGCTTGGAGTTTATTAAACTTCTTAGATCTGTGGGTTTATAGTTTTTATACAACTTGGAAAATTTTCAACTAGTATTATTTAAATATTTTTCCTTCCACTTTTTCCTCTCTCTTTTTTCTTAGGGACTGCAATTATGCATATAAAAGCTGTTAAAATTGTCCCATAACTCAATACTTCTTTCTCCTTCTTTTTCTTATTTCTGTTTTCCTTTTTTTCTCTTCCTTTCCTTTTTCTTTGTTAATTCTTTTTTACTCTTTGTATTTCATTTGAAATTGTTCCTATTGCTATGTATTCAAGTTTATGAATCTTAATTTCTGTGAGTTTTCAAACAGCTATTAATCCTATTGTGTATTTTTTAATCTCAAACATTGTCATTTTCTCATCCAGAAGTTTGATTTTGGTCAGTTTCTGTATTTTCTAAGCCTCTATTTAACATTTCTATCTTCCCTCTAGCTTCTATTAGGTTTGTGCAAAAGTAATTTTGATTCTTGACATTGCAAGTAGTGGCAAAAACCCCAATTGCTTTTGCATCAATCTAATATGACATATGAGATAGTTATAATAATGGTTTTTATATCTTTGTCTATTAAATCTATAATTCTTCACTCAGTTTCTATTGATTGATTTTACTTCTCATTGTGGGTCACATTTTCCTGCTTCTCAGACATTCTGATAATTTTTAACTGGATAATAAATACTGTAAATTGTACCTTACTAAGTCCTGATATATTTGTACCCTTTAAATATTCTTAAACTTTGTTCTGAGACACAGTTATTTCCAAATAATTTGATCCTTTCACGTCTTGATTTTAAGCTTCAGCAAAAAGGATAATAGCAGTAGTCTTATCTTAATTTTTCCCCTCTAAAGAGGTAAAACCCTTCTGAGTGCTCTACTAATGCAGTGAATTATGAAATTTGGCACTCTGACTGGTGGGAACAGGAAGTATTCAAAGCCATATGGGAGCTCCAAATAATGCTCCTCTTAATCCTTTTGGATGGCTCTTTTCTTGGTCTTAGGTAGTTTCTTTACATGAATGTGCCGATAAGTACTCAGCTGATGACTTGAGAGAAGTATTCTGAAAATATCTGGAGTTCTCTCTTTCAAATTCTTCTGTCTGTTGTCCTTTGCCCTGTAAACTCTATCTTCCTTGACCTTGCTAGACTCTCAGCTCTGTCTCCTCAGTCCAGAGAAATGAGAAAATTCTGCCTAGGTTCTCCTTTCCTAGGCCACTGTCTAAAAACTAGAAACTTTTTTAGGCAACAGACTGAGACAATTGTAGGGCTCCCCCTGTTTGTTTCTGGCCCTCAGTGATCAGTATGTTTCATTGTCTAATGTCTAATAGCTTGAAAACTGTTTTGTTATATAATTCGTCCCTGTTTAGTCCTCCCACCTAAAAAATTAAAACAATGGGCAAAGTATATGAGCTCAACATTGGCCAGAAGTGAAAGTCTTATTACTCATTTTTAAATGGATGTAGTTCTATTTCTGCTATTTGCTCAAGAATAATTTACAGAGTAGCAGGAGAACTAATCTGGGGCTGTAGGCAATTTTAAATGAGATGTGTTTCCACAAACTCTTCATCATCATAAACTTTTCATCCTGTGCCTAGAGGGCACATTTCTACTGAGGTGAACAGATTATCCAGACAGGTTGCATAGTTCAAAATTAAGCACTGTGTTTTATTTCTACTAGGCTATTGAATTGATTTAATTTATGCTTCATTGATGTTGATCAGGAGCTAGTATTTTCTGTTTCTTGTTAACTTGACTTCACATTCAGATGATTTCTCCCATTTGGTAGCAAGGATTTAAAAGAAATCTACATCCCACAGGGATGTTTATTACTTCAGGCCACCCACACTCCCTTAGGACTCTCACTTTTAAAGAATTCTATACCTGACTTAAGATGTGAAGCTATTTGTTTATTTTGGCTTTTAGCAACCTTTTTCAATTCATCTGAATTACAGAGTATATGGCATACTCTTTACAGACCGTGGTTTGGAGAAGTAGCTATTTTCCATGTTCACTGCAAATAGAATTTTCTTTTTATATGTTTCTTGTTGTTGTTGTTGTTGTTGTTCTTTTGAGTTGGTTTCAGCAAGGGTCATAGATTTCACCATTACACTACCATCATTCACTACAAGCCCTGCTAATGAAGCTATATGTCTCTCATTCATCAAAGTGTGAAACCTCAGCCACCTTTCTAAATATGGGGAGCAAAAAAAAAAGAAGGATGTTAATCATTTATCTGCCAATAATTTTTAACAATTTTTCTTACATTTATCTCTTTTCACTGCCACTAAACACTAGTGTAGACCTTTATCATTGAATGCTCATCTACAGAAATCTTCCTTTTATGTGTTATTTAAAACCTTCATCTTTAAAAAGAATGTTCGTTTCGACTTACAATATGAGATGAAGGTATAAGTCTTGGCTTAGATGTTACCTTTTCTGTAAGGCCTACCCTGACTACCATATTAAAATCTTTTAAATTGTAATCTACTCTCTCCTGGCACTACCTAACTCCCTTTATCTTGCTCTACTTTTTCATTTTTTTCATAGAAATTATGAAAAAGCTCTGAAATATATATTAGAGGCATATTATAGTTATATGATATATAAGTCATATTATAGAGAGTCTATCATATGGTGTATAATTTTATATACTTCTAATATATGATATAGCTTATTTTTTATTATGTTTATTGTCTCTCTTTGTTGGAATATAAGCTCATAGAAGCAGGCTTTTTTGTTTACCTAGAATAGAGTTTGACATGTAGAAAGTTTTAATACACATTCATTGAATTAATTAATAGAACTATTAAAAAAGAGATAAGCTGTGAGAAACAAATGAAAAAAGGGAGCTAATTGCTGCATTTGTTGAGTTTCTTGGCAGAAAGGCAAAAATGTTACAAGCTACAAGGCTCACTTTTGATATAAATTGAAAATGTACATGGTTTGGCCTAAATTTGGGGTGTATAGCACATGTGTGGCCACAGGAGTTACTTACATCTAAGAGTTATTATTTCTGCTACCCTCTGGACTAGGGAACAAACCATAAATTAGCCCTGTTTTAACTTTACATGGTTCACTTTCACTGGAAATGTTTAACCAGCTTTTTAATAGTCATCCAAAGAAAGGAGTAAAGGCATATATTTTGATTTTCCTTTCATTTTCTATAAGCTGCAACTGTTAACCAAGAGACCACTGTGTTTGTAAGTGATCCCACAGATAAAATGTAGGTTGCATAGAGTCATGATGTTCTCCTCCCTTTTTTAGTTCTCCCCATTTGTCTGGTGAGAGGGGAAAGGAACCTAGTGTCTCTGTGTATCAGCCACACAAAGCCAGGGGCAATGTGAACAGTGTGCTGAAGCCAGCTCAGAGTACCTGGTAAGAGCCTATTATGCACATCTCTTGCCAATTGTATGGTCAGTGATAACCTCTTGGTAGCTTGGAATCAGCAATAGTTAAGATTACTTACACCATGAGAATGGGCATATACTACAAATCAGGGCTTTATATTAGGGGAGATAAGGTTGCTAAATATTTACTAACAAACCACTAAAACTGACCTTAACACATCCTTACCCCCTGGTACTTTTATCAGTCTAAGGATATTTAACAGACACGAATCTCAAATATAGACTGATTATGATTGAACTTTGATATCTATTAGAGGGAAAAGAACTAGTATGATATTCCACACTTTGTAATGCTATAGCTCTTGGATTATTGGAAGTATATTTACTTAACAGCTCTGAAAAAAAAAGAAAGGTTAACCCAAAAAATCAATGTCGCTGACAGATGAGTGAAATAATAAACACAAACTCTGCAAAGCTTCATGCTGAGAAGGCGCACACGTCACTCCAAACCTCTTTGGTCTGGCTATCAGGCTGGAAATCTCACAAACTTGAGCTGGCGAGGGAGATTTCCAATGTTTCTTGGGTTTGGCTCAATCAGGGACGCCAAAGGCTGGGTTCACTTTCTTCTGTGGTATTGCTTTACTTCCGATTCCACAAGAACCATGAAGTGAAAGGATCAGGCAAACAAAACAAAGTACATGAAAAGGAAAGCAGGAAGGGAATTTGACCAGTAACTTCAACTCTCAGCAAGGATCTGGTTTGATTTTTATGGCAAAGGCTCTTGTGTAGTTCAGACCAACTCGAGCTCCCCTGCGCCTTCTCATCCCCTCACATTCCACTCAGCAAGATTTCAACGCAGAGATACAGGGCCGATGCCATGAATTTATTGCTTTGGCTTGTGCCAGCTCTTATGAGGATCTCTGGCAAGAAATGAGAAACCTGCTTTTGGCACCAATCAACTTGGCAGATGAAGATCTTCAACTTGTCGTGAAAGCAAAGTTGGTGTGTTTCCCATACCTTGTATCAGAACATACACAGCATTTTATTTGTTCTCTGAAGATTATCTGCTCTGTTGAAATGAAGCTAAAAAATTAAAGGGACAACTTGATTATCCTGTCTTTGCCAAAGATGTTCATTCCAGAGCGGAAGCCCATCCAACAAAACAGAATGCCATTCCCTCTTCTCAGTTAAAGGTTCTTTCTAATGCAGCATTAACTTCCACATGGAAACAGAAGCACAGGAGGATTTTACTACAATTTTCAAAAGAAAAAAAAAATGAGGTGTGACTGAATAGAGAAAGCCAGGAATGTCAGGGAATGAGGTACTACGTTGGGAGGGGTGCCAGGATTAGCCATGGTCTCTCTTTCCTTAGACCCATCAATGTTCAAAGCTGCCTGCTATGGCTCCACGTGGGAACTCCCCTGCCCAGCAATGAGTTTGGCCTGTTGGCTTCCAGGAAGGCACCTGCCACACCTTTATCCATGGCTGGCCTTTGAATACCTGTGCAACTTTGGCCTCCCTGGAATTGTACATATATTTAAAGTCTGTTGAAAAGTCTGAATTAAGGAATTTAAAAAGGCCAGGAATTCTCTCTCTAAAGACCAGAGAACAATCATAAATATTTATTTTGAATCCTCTACTACCCAGCTTCGGCCTGATCAAAGGGAAAAATGGTGTAGTAGGCTCTTACAGAAGGGTGGAAAAACTGGGACCAGACATTTGTTTGCTATACATCAGATCACTTACTCTTTCTGGCCAAGCCAAGGCACTTACATGCACTAATGAAGGGGGCTAGACTTTAGTGGCCACATCCCTGGCTTCACACATCAGACAATTGGGATTCAAATTCCGGCTCCATCACTTCTTGGCTTGGGCATTACTGAGAAAGTGAAGTCTCAATTCCTTCATTCATCATATAAGGACAATTATAACAGATTGATTTTCTACAAGGAAATAAGTGAGTCAGTGCATATAAAACACCCAGTAAAAGCCTTGTCTCACAGTAAGCACTAAATATATGGGTAGCTTTTATTATTACTAAGCATATCAAATTAAGCCTCTCCCAACTTATTTTATAAAACAAAATGCCCCCAGGCTACAATGGAGGGTACAAGTCAGTAGAGGCCCTGGTTTCAGGTTGCCTGGCTGGACTCCTCTGTTTATGGACATCAGAGCAGCTTTCTCAGCATCATAGCCTGTTCCTTTTCTTGGTGCTCCGTTTGCTATACTGCCCAACTGACAAAGAGCAGCATCCCCCAGCACCACTTTGCAACTCTGACCCTTTGGTTTAATGTTATTTGTTTTTAATTAATGCCCAGAGTATTATGATTGTTATTAATATCCTTTTGTTTGTTCTGGTTGTCTCCAGTCTTTTTAACATCAGAGGTTGGGGAATTCCCTGGAACCGGTTGTTGGATTTTCAAGGTGGGAGGTTGAGGTAACCTCTCTTCCAAGAAGGGGAAACTCTTTCTTAATTGCTTCCCCAGGAAAGAGCCAGGCTTGGATATTCACCCAAAGTAGCTGGTTCTCTTTCCTATATATTTGTTTATTTACTGAGAGCCTACTATGTGAAAACATAGACCTACCCCTAAGGATACAAAAATAAGTTAGAATCCATCACGGAAGAGGTTTCTCAGAGCCAAGTGGCTGAGACTATCAGTTTATCATTGTATGTTACCCAAGGGAAGGGACAAGGAGCTAGAAACATAACTACTATGATAAGAGCAGCACAACATACTCTCCAAGTTCATGTCCTGAATCATCAGGTCATAAATCCCTCCATGACTACACATCATGAAGTTATAATAAAGTCAGCTCACTCTGGAAGACACACACCTGCCAGGTTAAAACACAGTACAAAGGCCTTTCAGTCTCTAGGTTCATGGATCTACCCTGAAAACTACTGCACCATCCCAGATAAGTTAATTCACATTTCTTTTTGACTGACGTGTCTCATCTATATAATGGAGATAATCATAGTGCTACCTCCAAGGGCCACCATAAAAATTAGATGAAATAATGCATATAGAGTACTCAGGGAAGTTGCTGATATTTGAAAAACCCTCAATACATATTACTAGCAAAGAAATAGTAATTTCACTAAAGGTTATTTAACAATGTGCAATTGCAAATTTGTTTCACAAAGAAAATTATAGGTATGTTTAACTTTTGCTTATAAAGCAAATGGAGTCTTTGAAACTCTTTAACTCACTGTATCACCATTAACAGAACTTCAAGTTGTGGTGTTTCTCATCCTTGGTTGCATATAAGAACCTCCTGAGAGGAATTTACAAGTACCCATGCCTAGGCTTCACCCCTAGATATTCTGGTTGATTACTCTGGGATTGGACCCCAGCTTTGGAAATGTTTAAAAAATCTCCCCAAGTGATTAGATGGTACAGTTAGTTTCTAGAACAACCTGAATTAGAAGAATGACAAGTAGAAGTTGATTCTTGTTAAGTTGAACCTGCATGCTCCAGTGTTATGTTGCTTTTGTAGTTTAGCTGCTATGGAGGACAGTAGGAAGTCACAGTCAAGTAGGGTATTTTGGAAAATGTGACACTTAAACCGAATTCCAATTTTCTGGTTAAAATGGTCATGTCTAATTGTTAGACCCTCAGAGAATGCTGAAGACCCAAGTTTCTAGATATCTGCATTTCTACAGTCATTTCTTAAGAGTATTAGGTACAAACACACTTCATTTTATTGCACTTTGCAGATATTGTGTGTTTTTATGAATTGAAGGTCTATGGCAACCCTACTTCAAAGCAAGTCTGTTGTCACTATTTTTCTAACAGCATGTGCTCATGTCCTATCTCAGTATCACATTTTAGTAATTCTAGCAATATTTCAAACTTTTTCATTATTATCTGTTTTGATGAGCTGTGATCTTTGACATTACTATTGTAATTGTTTTAGGGCACCATGGACCACACTCATATAAGACAGTGAACTTAATAAATGCTGTGTGTGTTCTGACTGCTCTGCTGAGCAGCTGTTTCCCCATCTCTCTCTCTCTCTCTCTCTCTCTGTCTCTCCTAAGACTTCTCTATTCCCTGAGACACAGCAGTATCGAAAATAGGTCAACTAATGACCCTACGATGGCCCCTACGTGTTCAAGTGAAAGGTAGAGTCACAAGTCTCTCAGTTTAAATCAAACGCTACAAATGATTAAGCTCGGTGAGGAAGGCATGTCGGAAGACAAGATAGGACAACATCTAGGCCTCTTGCACCAAACAACCAAGATGTTCATGCAAAGGAAAACATCTTGAAGGAAATTAAAAGTGCTACTCCAGTGAACACATGAATGATAAGAAAGAGAAACAGCCTCGTTGCTGACATAGAGAAAGTTTTAATGGTCTGGATAGTTGATCAAACCAACTATAACATTTCCTTAAGCCAGAACTCAACCCAGAAAACAGCCCTAACATTTCAATACTGCGAAGGCTGAGAAAGATAAGGAAGCTGCAGGAAAAAAAGTTGGATGCTAGCTGAAGTTGGTTTATGAGGTTAAAGGAAGGAGCTGTCTTTATAACATAAAAGTGCAAAGTGAAATAGCAAGTGCTGATGCAGACGGTGCAGCAAGTTATCCAGAAGATCAAGCTAAAATAATTGATGATGGTTGCTACACTAAATGACAGATTTTCCACGTAGATGAGACAGACTTCTATTGGAAGAAGATGCCATATAGAACTTTCATAGCGAGAGAGAAGTCAATGGCTGGCTTCAAAGCATCAAAGGAATGAAGCAACTGCTCAAACGTACATCTGTGGCAACAAACCACATGGTCTTATTGCTATAACACACTACCTCTGCTTTTCCCCTTCAAGTGATCTATGTCTTGGCACAATGACATTCCTTCTAATATGAAGGCTATATGTTTAAATTTGGCTATAATTGGGAAAGATTTCCTATGTAGACTTCATTTTCCAATGATTTTTACAACTGTCAGTACCAAAAGAGTTTCCTGAGATGTACAGTTCTGTTTTTGGAACACAAATAAACCAAAGATAGAAAATAAGTTAAAAACATATCAGTAATGCATATGAAATTATATAATTTGTTCCATAAAATGTAGGAGATATAATATCCTCTTTATTCCACTTGATAAACTTCACAGCCTTGAGAAGCTAACTCCCTTCTTTTCCATCTGAAACTTTCTTCTATCTTGAGGCTCTAGCATCATTCAAACCCAAACTTACAGATAGATTATGAAATATAATCCTAAATAAAATAATTGGACTATCTTGCCTAGATGTTAAGTACACAAGTGCTAAATTCCTTGAGATCATAAATAAAAAATCTAGACTAGGTATAATAAAGTCAAGGTGAGTCTTATTTTAGATGAACATTTTAATCTACCTTACAAATGTATCTAATTGCAAACTAGTTTTCTCAATGTACAACAGACAGTTTTTTAAAAAGGATCATGATCAGTTATATTTTCTCTAAACTCAAGAGTGTCTACAAAGCCTAAATTACATGACCTAGAATTGCCCTTTTTTGGATCCATCATTTAAATCAAGGAGAGAATTTGATCCAATATTACTCAAAATAAGCCATATTATGCTGCAGTAACAAATAAACCCTTAACCTTAGGGGTGGAATAAAGGTTTATTTCTCACTCATATTACCTGTTTAATACAGGTCAGCAGAGCTCTATTCTACACAACCATGAACCCAAACATCTTTAGATATTGCCATCTCAATTGGTAACATCCAGGATCACTGCAATAGAAAAAAAGAGATACAGAGAACTCACACTTCTCCTAAATGCCTTGGACTGGAAGTGATATATATGACTTCCACTGATGGCTATTGGCCAGAACTAGTAATGTATAGTTGCAGCAGACTGAGAAATCTTTCATGTATCCAGGAAGAAGAGGAGAATGAGATAGAGTGAACAATACTGATCTTCAGCACAAAATATTTCACAGTGAATTCAAACAACAAATATATAAAAGATGTTATAACCTTGGCTTATAACCTACTCAAGCTATACGAGATAACTATACAAGATGTATACTTTCCACACTGAAGCACACATTTTTGTGGCTCAATGTAATCTATTGATAACGTGATCCTGATTATGCTCTAAGGAAGTTTTCCTATATATGCTAATTACCTATAGCCTAAAATATTTTGCAATATCTAGTAAAAAGATTTCCACAAGCACAATTTTCCTCTTTTTCTAAGAATCCAAATGGTGAGGTAAACTTTGGGCTAATCATTACATCAAATACCTACTTATAAAGGGCCCTTCAGATATGGTTATAATGTCGGAAAACTGCAAGTTTACCAGATGAGATGCAAGCTCTTTTAGAGCTTCCATGTTTAAGCTGTAGGTTGGCTGTTTCCCCACAAGAAGCCATGTACACTGCACAGCCTCAAAGCCATGTGCTCCTGCTACCATTTGCTAGGCAATATTTTAGAGCAAATGTCTCTGTAATAATTATAGTTTTCAGACATGGGGTCACATTATTATTGTAGTTTTGCATGTAGCACTTGGAGTTTTTCAGGCATATTTTAAATAATTATAATAGTGAGAAGAGTTGCCAAATCATAACTTCCACCAATACCCAAATCCACTTATGTTAGCTCTCCAGAGACAGACTCTGTAAACATCAAAGACACAAATGGACAAAAAGCCACCATAGAAATTTTACAAAAACAAACAATCGGCAAGAGCAGTGGTAAGAGGGCCAAATGCATGTTGAAAAGCTAACACATATTTATAGTGTGGGCAAGCCACAATCTGCAGCATAAGAAGAGCTCTGTGCCTAGGACCAAGGGGATGCTCGATGCTCCTTCCTCTCCTGAAAAGTAGTGTCTTACAGGACTCCAAGTTCAGCAGCTAATAATAGTTATTGTCTTTATAACCAAACGAAAACATGTTTGATTAGTTGTAGACAAAAGGGAAGATAGATAAAAATGTTGCAAATTAAAACTACACTGAGATAAACTAGCAGGAGTCATTTGTAAGCTTAATCCTAAATGTGTTAGTTGTCCCTTAAACACTAATAACTAAAGAAAAAGGAATTCTCAAGCAGGTGCTTCCACACACTGACTGAAAAGACCCCAAATTGACAATTCTTTAGCTTTACTTTCTAAATAAGGGAAGTTCTAAGTTCTTTACATCCCCCTCTCCTACTCATGTATAGTTTTTTAAATTTCATCCACCCACAGGAAATTTCTACAGCCTCATTAAACCAGACTACTAAAGGTTGTTGAACAAACGAACATGCCTGTCTTTCCCCTGAAACCCAGCTGTGCTTACAGGAACCGGGGACCTCAAAGTGCAAGGATTTTGACCTTCCACTTACTAGAAACAGTGTGTGGGCCACCCACTCTATCAAGTGTACATAAAATCTTTACTCTTGAAATCACTTTTTCGGTCTCTTAAGTGCTGGTATGTTCATGAGACATCTCTTCACTGCAGACTCTCATTGGGTGATGTTAGCTATTGCCTTGATTTCTATTATGCACTGTTTGACTGTCTTTATGTTGATGACATTCAGAATCTTGGATATGGCTCCAGTCTCTTTAAATTTGAAATGTCCCAAATGAACTCAACATTTCCCCCTCATTCTAAATAGATTTCACTGCCAGGTGTCCTGGCCAGAAATCTGACCATTATCTGTGACTCCTCCCTTCTATCTTTAATCAATTCACTGCCTAAATTTCTCTATCTATGCAGTTCTGTGTCTCCAACATTGATTACTGCAAGAGTGTCCTAGCCATTCACCCTGCCTCTGATTTTGTTCCTTTACAATTCATTTTCCACCATGGAGCCAAGAATTGTCTTTCTAAAATGCAATTCTTGCTATTTACTTGCTTAAAACTTCCATGTGTTTCTCTTACCCTCTGAATGTAATATATCTTTTAACAGCCTTTATGGTTTGGCTGCTACTAACTTCTCACTGCATCATTTGGCAGCAGTGTGCATCTCCCTGTGTTCCAACCATATTCAAATGTTCATTTCAGCTGATATGCCATGCTCATCTATGTAACTGAATCTTGATATAGTCTGCTCTCTCAAAATATTCTTCATCTCCTTTCTTCAAACCTATTCCCAACTCTCCTCAATCTTCCTGAATTTCACCTGAATAAACCTCATTCTTTAGATTGAACAGGGTAACCAAAGCCCAAGATTCTTTATCTGCAATGCAGACTAGATGGTCCTCAGGTGTGGGTCCTCAGCATCCTGTATTTTGTTCTTAAGATTTACTGTAACTGACTGTCAGTGTTGTTCCCACACTAGCCACCTAGCTCCATGAATGCAAGGACTGTGTATGTCCTACTACTGCTGGGTCCCCAGAATCTAATACAATAGTAGACATATAGTGGCTGTTCAGTAAGTATTTGTTGAATAAGTGTTATATGAAGCAGGGTGGGGGATCTGACATTCTGTGGATGAGATATTCCCTTATTCTAAGGAAATGAAGGGCAATAGTCAGTTCATAAGACCTTTCTCTTTTCTCTGTCTGGGTGTACCCTGGTGGTGAAATCATACAAGGATAGTTATGGTTCCTGCCTGTCTCATTCCTAGAGGCTCCATCCAAGGTGAATATTTTCTTGGCCTTCCAGCTAAAGGAAGAACAAGCCACTTTTTTATGGGAGTATATTCTAGGAAGAATATAGTGCATATAGTGTCGGATGGAGATTTGAATCTAACTGGGAAAATTTCTATGAAAACAGCATAAAATCATGATTTTCTATTGTCTTACCAGCTGTGACAACCTCTCTTTTCTCTATTTTTCTGGAGATGTTTTTATTGGCTCTTTTCTGCCATTTCTTTTTGCCTGACCTCTAAACCTAGGTATTCCTTAGAGAGGCTAGATCTGTTCAAGCCATAGGCTTTCCTCAGGCAATGTGCATAATTTCATCATTTTCACAAACCCATATATGCATATGAATGACATGTCTGTATCTTCAGCATTGCACTTTGGCCCCCATATTTGCTGAACATTTTAGATCAAATGTCCTATAGGTAGCTCCATCTCAACATCCCTACATGGAAGTTAACATCTCCGGCACCAAATCTCCCTTTTTTTTCTTTTTTTCCTATTGTCCTACTGCCACTCCCAGTCCCAAGCCACAGACTGAAGAGGCACTATTGAAAACTACCTTACCCTTCCCTTCTATGTGCAACAATTCCACAAGAACCACTCTTAAATAGATTTTGGTTCTATCAGCTCCCTGTTTCTGGAATATCCCAACAACCATTAGACCTTTACTATCGTTTGCCCTAATAAAAACCTAAATAGACCTTCATCATTTTATGTTAACTCTTGCAATAGACTCCTAACTAGTTTCCCATTTCCAGGCTTGCCTATTTCTAGGCTTGCCCACTTCCTGTTTCACCTACTCCTGCATTTTTACTTGCAGCTACCAAGGTGAGCTCATCTAACTGTTTATCCAATAGTGTCACTCTCCCCTCCCCTGCTGAAAATCTTCAGTAGCTCTCTTCAGCTATGGCTCTCATCCTTGGCTATTCATTAGAATCAAGTGAGAAGCTTTTTCATAAATATGGATGATTGGCATCCCTCTCAGTCCAACTGAATTCTCAATCCCGGAGTGTGGGGCCTGAGCATTTGGGATTCTGCTGAACAGCCAGTGTTGAAGACTACAGGTGGCATATGAGAATTTTCTCATCCCAATCCCTGCCCATTTCTCTACCCATCAACTACCACATCGTATCACACTCTATCTGCACTAGTAATAAATATCATGCATTTATTGCACTCATTGCCATGCACACTCTGCCCACTCAGACTTCCGTACTGGGTTTATTCTGTTGCTCCCACTAAGACCTTCCTACCTACCTTTATTGCTCCATTGACTCTGTCTCATCTTTAAAGGACTTGCTGAGGCATCATCTCTTCCAGGAAGACTTCTTTGACTTCCTACACACCCCACAACTTACCCACTTCCAAGTCCAGGTCTCAGATATATTCACAACTGTTCTTTCATGCTCCCACAGTAGTCTGGCCTGTAAATGTTTTTGTCATTGCACACTACAACATGTTATTTAAATTATATGCTCATATGTGTGTTTCCCCTACTAGACTGTGATGGCCTCTATGTCCAGAAGGTCAGAAGTTACCTCAGCCCGCTCCAGGGACACACGGAGGCCATAGCATAACGTGGGGCCCAAAGCCATCTGTTCACAGCAGTGATACTGACGTATGGAATCTGAGGAGCATTTTGAGAAGCTCTTTTGGTGCAGGTTTTTCAAGCCTCATCATTGCAGTAACTCTGGAGCTATGTTAAGAAACCCAAAAGAGGCAAAAAGAGTAATGAGAGCCAAGAGGGGTGCCAAGAGATTCAGGTTTCATGTGTGACATTTGAAACAAAAGATTGGGAAGCGACCTGGAGAAATTTCCTGATTTGGTATTTAGCTGTTCACTGGCCTTGACCTCTGGCCTTGGCCATGAGGAAATGGTTAAAGTCATTGACAAAGAAAAGAGAGCAGAGAATGGTGTGTGTGTGTGTGTGTGTGTGTGTGTGTGTGTGTGTGTGTGTCTGTGTCCTGCCTCATAGCCGTTGATGAAGATTTTCTCCTTGACTAAACACCAGCCAAGCTCCTCTGAGTCCTCTTCTCAACTAACCCTCAACCTTGGCCTAAAACCACAAAATGTCAGCATAAACAATTTCATCCACCCCTGTCCCCCACTTTAAAAGACATGAACAAATACTAACATAGTTTCTAACAGCTCAAGGGCATATCCTTAGGATGATGACTCCAGCGCCATAAGTTCCTGACTGAGAAAGCTCAGGGTTGCAAAACAATTTACTGTTTTGTACCAGCCAACACCTGAATAGGGTCCCTGTCTCCCAGTCTTGGAGGGGGAGTAGGAATCTAACTTTGATAAATGCCAGTTTGCAAACCAAGGTAGCTCCACATGGACCAACCCCACTTTCTCACATTTTGTAAATGTCCACTTCCCTGATTCTGCTCAAGCCCCTGCTGTTCCCTGTCCCTAGCTCCTCATCCTTCCTCTATAAGGCCTAGCCACCTCTGCACAAATCGTAGTTCAGTTCAGTTCACACTGGACCTACTTCTCTATTGCAATTATTTATGACTAATGAAAATTTGTCTTTACCACTTCCCTCGGTGTCTGGTTTTCTTTATCTTTGACAGCACCTTCAGCAATACACATTCTGATATCCTGGGGGATCTGATTTTTGAGGCTGATGAGGCACTTAGTAGGGTAACTATTTCCAGGAAAAGCTCAGTGAGCAAGAAGAGGATGAAAACCAACCAGGCAATGGTTGGAGGAAAGCGCGGCTCAGATGAAAACATTAGGAGTGACATTTTTTAAAGAAAGAATATTTCTAATAGAAAAAGCATTTGGATCCTCAGTTAAACAATTTCGAAGAAATATTCCTCATGGCAAGGAGTTTTAAATAGAAGAACGTTCTGGTCCCCTAAACTTACTCTCTTGCCTTCTCTCCTTTCTGATTAAAAAATTTACTGTTTCTAAACCTTCCTTTTTTCTACCTATAAAACATACAAATTTTATTAAAATGAGTCACATGAGTTTCTATACACAAGAAAATGTTAATGTAAGAAAAATTATTATATTATTTGATTTAGGGAATTGACTTAATTTATACAATCTGAATTATTTTTATTCTTTATCCATGTTCTGGCCTTTAACAACATTTGTTTCCTTGATATAGTTCCTTGTTATATAGTTTTGTAATTTAACTTTATGTCTTAAAGGTCCAGAAAGCAAACTTAGATTAAGACAAATAAAATAAAACAGACAGTAGAGATATCAATAGATTTACTTAGATCCATTCACTTAACATCAATGCATAACACATTCCAAAAGCGAGCATATATTAAATTTAAAATGGATCATCTTAATTGGGTTCAATAATTGGATAAATGGTCAAACGATTTTCATTTTCTATGTTTTGGGCCATGCATTTCATTCCTTATTGATTTGCTTTACTTAATTAACATATCAATTATTCATTTTAATAGGAATAGAGAAAATAATCATGAGAAAGAGCAGTGGTAGAGAATATACTTCTCACTGCTGCACACAACATGTATGGCAGGTGATGATACCAAACAGCTAATTTCTGCAGAGACCTAAATGGCACATCTTGGCACATGTGGATAAGTAGAATGTTTAGTAATCTAAAAAATGAGAAAATATTATAAAAATAGAAGAAGTAGAAAACCCTAGACAAGTTAAAATACAGAAAAATTTTAAGCAAAGTTATTTGAATCAGGCAATATTTAATATATCAAATATTAATCTTAATAACTATTTATAAAGTAATCTAAACCCAGGACTCTAACCATGTCAAAAGGCAGCCGGCCTCCTGACCACCCCACAATCCTTTGCCAGGATTAGTGTTCTCTGATTACATACTTGGGCACCCCCTGGCTACGATAGTACTTGTTTATTATTGAGATTATAAAAATAACCATTCTCTAAATGATTACACATAGTAAATAAAATTAGAACTATACATAAGGATTTGAATAACTGCATTTCTTTAAGGACCACTTGCAACTTCTTCTCTCTGTTTCACAAACCTGCAGAGGAGAAATGAAACAGAAGAAAATGTGCTTAATAACATGTTTACATTATAGCATATTAAAAAGAAAAATTGTGATTTTAATGCTTTCCTCTATTCCAATGAACTTTTGAAAGGATATTGACATTAGAATACTACCTCTATTAATCATATTTGCAGCCAATATATCAATTTCTGATATCTGTGTAAAATTCTAATCACATTAGATGGTGATATGGTTAGGCTTTGTGTCCTCACCCGAATCTCGTTGAATTACAATCCCCATAATCTCAAGGGAGATACCAGGTGGAGGTAATTGAATCATGGGTATGATTTCCCCCATGCTGTTCTCAGGATAGTGAGGTCTCACAAGATCTGATGGTTTTATAAGGGGTTCCTCCCCCTTCACTTGGCATTTCTCCTTCCTGATGCCTTGTGAAGGTGTCTTGCCTCCCTTTTGCCTTCTGCCATGATTGTAAGTTTCCTGAGGTCTCCCCAGCCATGCTGAACTGTGAGGCACTTAAACCTCTTTTCTTTGTAAATTACCCAGTCTCAGGTATGTCTTTATAGCAGTGTGAAAATGGACTAATACAGATGGCAAGGGAAAATATTCATGTTTCTAGAATATTTTACATGTTTTTTCTGCTTTGTATCATAGTTATATTTAATATTTTTGATTCGCCAATTAGACCATAAACATTTTGAAGGAAGACCTTCAATCTCCATCTTACTCACATTACCTGAAGTAATGCTTTGTGTGTGGCATTGGCTTCGGAAATATTTATTTGATGAAAGAGAGGGAGAAAAGTTAGAGAGGAAGAGAAAGAGAGGGAGAGTCTGGTTGTTTTTGCACACACTTTTTATTTATCTGGAATGCTTTACTTACTCCAACTAACCCCAGCTAACTCTTTTATCAACTGCATATTACATTCCTTTAGGCCTTACCCTTAGACATTACTTTCTCTTGACCCTTTGACTACTAGTCAAGATAGAACTCTCCTGATATGCATACTTATCCTCATGCTTCTATAATCACCATCAGCGCATTTTCTGTAAATAGCTGTTCACTGTGTTTCTTCTCCACAATTTAGTAAGTTCCATGATAAGAAAACCTATGATAGGTGCTGTATCACCCATGATAATGACTTGTGCTATTCTCTGACAGTAGTTCCTGATCCATTATAGGTTTTAAATATGAATCATATGAGTGATTTACTTGGTTAGAGCTCTTGAACAGAACAGCAGTATGCCTGTATGTCATACAAAGCACACTTGATGGGCTGAGGAAGAGAACCACGTGATAGTTGTGTACCTATATCCTTAATATATATCTCATCCTTCATAATGGATTCATAGCTTTCTAATATACAGATTGCTATAGTTTTTCTAATCAGTCTCTTTTTTGGTTATTAGGTTGTTTCTATTTTTTACATGCTTTCCGTGTTCTCTTGTAAAACATTTTTCATGCTTTATTATAAAATGTATGGCAATGAACATAATATTCTGATAGCTATATCATAGTACATTGAAGAAATTATTTATTTAGATAATGTCCTAATGCAGAATTATTGACTCAAGAGCAATTACAGCAGAGCAAAATTAAATGAGCAGACAAGGGTAACAGTAAACTCCCCATTACTCAAGGTGTTTATGTAGAGTCTGGGTGACCATTTGGTAGGGGTATTGCAGAGAAAAGGCTAGCATTAAATTAGGGAAGGAGTAGCTGGTTCTAAGTTCTTTCCAGTTTGATATTCTGTGATTCTATAAGTGGTAAGGACAATCTCAACACCTTTGCTTTTCTCTGGAACATACTTAAGAGATGACAAAGTGTTTTATTTTTTATCTTTGTGTATCCAGTTCATAAAGTAGCCTCATATTCATGGACACGAAATTGTTCTGAGATCCTATAACTGCAGGGGATATATAATAGCATCATAGAGTCCATGGCCTGCATGTGGGAGAATATGTTTTTCAGCTCATATCTATCTAGAAGATATTATTTTTCCTGTCAAGGAGAAAGGGTTTAAAATCCCCATCCTCCCACCTTAGCAAGGGAGAGTGCAGACTAAATGAGAACTCCAAAACCTATAGAACATGCACACACACACACACACACACAGAGAAACACACACACACACACACACACACACACTCTTAGGAAATCTTATAATCTTATGCAGGATACTTGGAGAAAAACCTATTCTCATTAGAGGTCATGAGGACTACGTACTTTTTTAATACAAATCCTGAGCAGTTTTAGAAGGTACCCGCCATTACCCGACATCGATATTAAGTGCCCTGAGCAAACATACCAGAGTAGACCAGCGTAGGACAAGAAGAGCATGGAACGCAAAGAAGAAGATCAGCGGAACCTGCACAACAAAAGAAACAGAGATAATATGCCAGGCCAGGAAAAATCATCGATTAAATACCATTCCCTAGCGCTTTAGCCAATTTCTAGTGAAGATTAATTGAAATTAATATTAAAACTACATTTATAGTATGTACTGTGCTGCCATTCTGTATTTTAACTCCTTAGAAGTGTGTATATCTTCATTCCATTATTCAGTCATTTTCCACTTAAACCTCCGGTAATTTTTCCAATAAAATGTAAGGCAAAATGCCCCTCCAGATAGTGTTCTGGATATGTATGTAGTCTGTGTGAAGATCCCATATGAATTGCAGTCATAATTGTGATGCCCAAGGTGGATTAGGCAGGAAAGCCATGGTCTGCTCTGCAGACTGCTCCCCTAACACAGCTTATTCAGCCCCAGACAGGTACACGCTACTTATTGTGATGCTACAAAATTATAAATTAGTACCATATTATCAAGAAATATGATTTCATGAGGTAGTATATATATGTGTGTGTCTGTGTATGTGTATATGTGTATATATATATATGTGTGTACCCATATATATGCACACACACTATATTGTCTGGTTCATAGCATTATAGGCTAAATGTGATTCCTCTAAACCCAGCCCTGAGGCAGAAGAATATAAGACTATCTTTGAAGGAAGGGAAAAGTAGTACCTAGTGGGGAAATGGGGCATGACTATTCTAGTTCAAAAGAGTGACAAAATAAAACAGAGGGTGAAAGCAGATGAAATAAGAAAGATAAGCATTTCCACATGTCTCGAAAAGAATGGAAATAGATTAAGTCCAAATTTTCCACAGCATCTCTTGGAACACTAGCCCTACAAGATGTTAATCTAGATGATTCACAAACAAATGGTTCATTGGTCAAATAATTTTGGACAACATCATACTATATCTGATTTTTGAAGCATCGAAATATACAACAGCACATTTAAGATTCTTAGAAGTCCTACACTAAGGAAAATGATTTAACCTGATATTTAGCAAAGTTATTTTATAGTAGATTTTTATAGAACAATCACTTTTAAAAATCCTATAAAGCATTCATTGGTTAAGTGCTACTTCAACTCGAATGAAATGGCTTATTGATTTGGTTGTCATTTCATACATTCTGCAGAAAAATGGAAAAAAAGCATGGATTTTATATTAAGCTAGAACTGAGTTTAAATCTTATCTTCACCCTTTCCTATATATGTCACTTTGAGTAAGTTAGCATTGCTCAGCATCCTTCACAGAGGATGGTTCTAAGCAAAACACCTTTGGAAGTATCAAGTAATGGGTATTTAACATTTTTCGGTATTAAAATTTAGATGAATAGGAACTACAAAAAAATATTTGGATTGAAGGTGGAGGTTGTATATGGAAGGTAGATGCTGGATACAGCTGGAGAACTTGGTGAATTGTTAGAAATCTTATACATGGAAGGGTTTGAAATAAAATAATGATGTATTTTTGTTCTAGTGTTCTTTGCCACCCAAAGACATTAAAGGTGCTGGCAAGGGAGTGGTTGAATTCATGCTCTGTATTAGTAGTTCTTAAATTTTAGAGTGTATAAGAATCAGCCAGAGGGCTTTTTAAAACACAGGTTGCTGGGCTCCAACATCAGAGTTTCTGATTCAGTAGATCTGGGATGGAGCCCAAAGAAACTGTGCTTCTAGTAATTCCCAAGAGATGTTGATGCTGATACTGCTTGTTTGAGAACTTCACTTTGAGCATCACTGTTCAGTGTAGCACAGACCTTAGAGTGAAGGATGAAGCTAGCTGTGGTCTTACATACTTGGAGATAGATGAGTAATCAAGTGTCTGGGTACCAAAACAAGACTGAAGTGCAGGTTTAGTAGAAAATGAGGAATTGTAAGGGAAGGAGGTTTGTGACAGATAGCAGATTACAGTAATGTAAGACTTTAGAGTTGGATGCTATTTCACATTTGATAAGAAAAAAGTATATACAGCCTATGAGAATAACTAGATTTGAGAAGCAAGGAATTATAATGGCAGGATATTGGGTAAGTCACCCAAGTAGCAGTTAAAATTTTCTGATGAAAATAGTTGCGGTAGAGAGGAAAACAGTGAGCCCGATGGAAGCATCTCACAGGAATGAAGAAAAGTGATTGGTAAGACTATAGTGACCAGGATGAGAACAGAACAACAACAAATGTTAGGAGCCTTAAAAAAGGAATTTCAGGTAGAATGTTGATGCTATCTCATGGTGCTTGGCACAGGGCAATGGAGAGAAGCAACAGCTTCCTCTGGAGGAGGCTAACAGGGACCCAATGTTTTCCAGGAGGAAACCATTTCAAATAAGACCAAAAAAAAAGCATGTAAAGTATTATTTTAATACCACTGAAGAACAATCAATTTGCCAATCAAGTTCCAGTCCCATAGAGCATGGTGCAAAGATCTGGAAAATATTCAACAGTACAAGTGCAGGAGAAGACTTTATTTTGATTAGAGTGTGGGGCAAGGGAGGGTGGCCAAGGATAACAGAGAATAAAAAAAAAAAAACAGAATTATCTGATTTCAAGTTTCTGAAATAACCTTTGACATAATGCTTTTCTTGCATGGAAATCACTTAGGCATTCAGCCTGGTACTGCTTCCTTTTCTTTTGAAGTAGGACTCCCCCTATACTAGGGATAGCCCATTATTTCCTATACTTGTGGGAATGTAAGAAATGAAGCAGCTTTGATGGGGAAAACAAATAAGAGAGTGGCCATCAACTCTGAAAATAAACATAATATTATGGATTAGAACACTATTTCTTCTTGAGGATAACGCCATATGCTACAAGTTTTTTCAGAGAGAAACAGCAAAACAAATCACCTAAGGCAATACATGACAAAGCACGTGTTGGGATTAAAGTGAATTCTATGTTGATGCACCATGTTCATTGCAACTCTGATGAACTATGATTACTACAGAAGAACAGCACATTGAACATATGATATGTCATTAAACACATCCTGTTTTCTATCAGATATCAACAAACCACTTATTACACGCATGTATCTGTGTTTCTAGAGGTTATGACCTCCCTGAATAAACAGAAGATAAAGATAGAGACTGAGGTGTGGCCCCTTCTCAAGTGATCTTTAAAAGTTACGTAACCAATTTGAACTAAATTTATTCATTTATTCATTCATGAAGTTGATTCAATAAATATTTGTTAAGTAAAAAAATTATGAACGCATAAATATCTATTAAGTATATGTTGAACATTTACAATGAAAAATAGGGATTTTAAGATTAAACTTTTCTTAATAGGCTAATTTTTTATAATTAGGTAGAAGTGATGTATAAACTATAAAGCCTTATATAAGTGGTAGAAACCTTAAAAAAAATTTTAAAGTTTTAAAATGGATAATCCTATGTGTCCTAATATGGAAGAGAAAGTCACATATAATTTATGTCTAAGAACACAAGAAAAAGCTATGTTTTTGGTCTGAAGAATGTTTAATTATACTAAAGACGATATACAGTTTTGAGATACTTAGTCAACATTTCAAAACAAGTCATTTTGAAGTAATTTGGCAGCATGCTTTGAACAGTTGTTGTACTTTTAATAGCTTACCATGGGATTGAAAACATACTTAATGTAATTACTAAATGCTATTTATTTTATTCTGTCAAAATTCTAATTTTTATGTTTATCATATATGGCTCCCTTAATTTTCTGGATGACTTTGCTTGTAGATAATAATTTGGAACACTGTAAATATAACTACATCAAGTTGAAGTTTCTATTAAAAGCAGATTTTCTACTCAAATGTATTACTGCTTCAGTTTCTTTATATGTTGTTTTCCCTTATGTTCTTATTTTATAGTGTTTTCTTTATGTTAAAACTCTTTCAGTGCAGAGTGAGATCATTCCTCTCTTGATGTTATCTTTACACACATCCCTCCCACCCTGAAAGGATTATTTAGCTTTTAGGGACACAGTGAAATTTCGGAGTGGAGGATCTGGTCTTGGGTTAGATTCGAATTTAAATTGCACTTACTAATTCTGTATTCTTGGGAAAAAATATTTAACAAATCTGAGTTTGTAAAATCATATTAATAATACCCATACAATACATTGTCACAGGGATTAAATAAGATACCACTACATGGCACATAACAATCAAAATTTAATAAATGTTACTTCTGTCCCATTTCCTCCTCCTTCAGAAATGCATTTGTTTCTGTATAAGCTTTAAAACGTCAATGGCTCATAATAGGCTTTAAGGAGAAATGGAATGCTATGATTCTAAATATCTCTCCAAAAGAGATTTGGCGGATCTATTTAATGTTAGTGATTGCAGCAGTGGACCATCTGGAGCGGCTGCTGCGAAGACACCAGCTGTAGTAGGGGAGGCGTGGCCAGGGATGTGCACTCCATGGAGCCAATGGGAGCTGGGAAAAGGTGGAAGCTGCCTGCGTCTGAGTTGGCAGGGTGGGAGCCCCGCCCAAAGGGCACAGGTGCAGCTGTTCAGTCACGGCTTTGGACCCAGGCATCCTTGTGCTCTTGGGGGCCCAGGAAGATCACCTGCCCCTGCAGGCTCGGAAGTGACTGCTCCCGCTGCCTGGCCTCTCCCCTACTCCTGATGCCCACTCCGACCTCGGAGCAAAGTTGTGGCTCAGTTCAGGCACTGTCACAACCCAGCTGGGTGTGCATGCACTTGGGGCAGAGCTGACATGTCAGCCCCCTGCTGCCTCAGCCCCCTCCAGATTTTGAGCACCGACAAGCACGGGAGAAGGGTCGAGGGGGTGCTGAGGGCAGCTCAGAGCAGGCCTACAGGCGCCCTATGGCACAAACAACCTGGGCACCATGGGCACCGTGAATGGCAGGTTGATGGCGGCAGGAGGTAGACAGGCTCCAGGGCAGAAAGTGCTGGGTCCCCAGTAAAGCTCTACCTTTAAGCTGTGCATGGACTGAAGCCTGGGGGCTGGGCTGCCAGTTCTGCAGACCAGAGTGAGAACTTATGATGCTTCTCCTAGGCGCACGCATGGACCAGTCAGTACACACTTCCTCCCTTCTGAAGCCCATAAAAACCTGGATTCAGCCAGACTTGGTCAAATGTCGGGACCACCTGTCTGTGGAGAGGAGCTACCCACTGTGGGTCTCCTCTCAGGCGAGAGCTGAGCAGATGTCAGGATGACCTGCCTATAGAGAGGAGCTACCCAGTTGGAGTCTCTGGAGAGCTATCCTGGCACTCCATAAAGCACTTCTTGACCTTACTCACCCTCCAGTTGTATGCGTACCTCATTTTTCCTGGATGGAGGACAAGAACTTGCAACCCCCCAAACAGCAGGACTGAAAGAGCTTTAACACAAACAGGGTTGAGACATGCCCCTCACTCACCACCTTGCGGGCTACGAGAAGTAGAGAAGAGAGAAGGAGAGAAGAGCTGTGGCCCTTCAGGGACCCCAGAAGTAGGAGCTCCCTGAGCCAGAGCTTTGACACCCTCTTTGGGGCTCTGTGGTTCCTGGCATCTCCAAGATTACAGGCACCACCACATTCTTCACTGCCAGCAGCAGAAGCTGCTTGCAGTATGCCTAGTCCAGCCGCAGCCTCAAAGGAGACAATGTCCGTGCTGGCACCTGGAGCTGCCTGCCCTGCCGCAGCCAGCATGCCTGGCTGTGTGTAGTAGCCAGACCCTGTGCCCGCTCACTCACGCACCCCTTACTACTCTGTGCCTGGCTTGCCCTTGGCAGGCATGGGATCTGGGAGGGTAGCACGAGCCAAGCACAGCCTGCCAGGCCAAGCAGGCAGGATGAGACCAGCAGGCTCAAGCAAAACTAGGCAAAGATGCCACTGGCCACAGAGGTTTCCAGCTGGTGAAGCAATACCCCAAAGATCCCCAAAGATTGACATTAGGCTAGTGTCACTTTTCTCAATTTATTATTCAGTTAGCTCTCCATTAAAATATATGCTAACTCAGTAAGAAAAAAGTATTATGTCACACTTTTGGAGCTCTGTGCTTAGAGCTCTTCTTTTTAATCGTCACATGCCATCTTTATTATGCCTACACAAGTAGTTTCTTCAGCCACCATATCTATCCTCAGACTACCTCCAATGAGACCATGCCAGTCAACTTCTATACTAGCTCAAACAATGGAAATACAGTATAACATCTGCTCGAGGGAATAGTTTATTCATTGGTTTTCTTCACTTAAGTCTGAAGTGGAGGAAAAAGGAGGTAGGTTGGGATTAATGATGGTATAACACTGGGTCCCCCATTTAGGAGTATGAAATATTTACATGATGAAAATCCTGAGTAATGGGTTCTTTTTTGTTTTGGAGTCTCACTTGCTAAATTGCTCAAGCTGGACTCCAACTCCTGGGCTCTTGCCTCAGCCTCTCAGTAGCTGGGACCACAGGCATGCACCATGGCTGGCTCCAAAACCCTTTCCTCCAGCTTGGGAGAGCACCTAAGAGCATTGCATAAGACAAATATATCACCTATGAACTCATCTAATAGAGAGGTCACTCTTTTTGCCCCAAATTAGGACTATAAAACCTTTCCCCTGTAGTGCTAAATTGTATCAGAGGCATAAATTGAATGTAGAAGCCATAGAATAATTAAGAGACACAGAAAAATGAGCTCTAGTTTTACAGGTGAAAGAGAAATCATTTCTAGTTAGTAAGTAAAAGGCAGAAAGTATTTAGCAGAGAACCCTAGAGGAGAGCATTTGCCTTTACTATCATGTAGTTAGTATATCCCTTATAGTTAAAATCTGACAATTGGGCAACTGTAGATGCACTTGAGTGCAAGCCCTTTCTCTGCAATTTACTAGTCTGGGACCACCGGGAAGAAGCAAGACCTTAGCTGAGTCTTCTGACTTCCAGGTTTTTTTCCACTTCATGATAGCCTCCAGAAAAAGGAAATGAGCCTCCCACTGAGAAAGTTAAGTGGCAGATGTGTATGCTCACAAAAAAGGGTGAATCATTAGTAATTACAGTGAACACTTAAGTGGCTGGCAACAAAACTATATAAAGGAGTAAGAATATTATGTCAATAATTACATCAGTAAAAGTAAATAGAAACCTAATAATAAGCAAAAGACTGAAGTCCTTGTAGGAGAGCAGATAAACTAAATATAGTTGTCCTATGGGTTCCAAGACCCCTGCGGATATTAAAATCCAAGTCCCTTATAAAAAATGGCACAGTCCCTTATAAAAAATGCTCAAGTCCCTCATAAAAAATGGCACAGTATTTGCAAATAACCTATGCATATTCTCTCATATATTTTAAATAATCTCTACATTACTTATAATAACTAATACAGTATAAATGTTATGCAAATGTTTTTATTTTTTATTTCTTTATATATATATATATTATTTTTTGATCTACGGTTGGTTGAATCTGCAGATGCAAAACCCAGTAGATACAGCAGGCTGATTGCATTGACGCTCTTTTCATAAATAGAAACCATTTTATATGGTACATACTTAAAAGTAAAAACTTAGAACTAATATTTATCAAGCACATACTATGTTTGGCAAAAATAAAAACCATTAGAAAGTAAATATTTTCCTACTGCATGAAAACAAAATGCAATAATCTGAATATTTAATGGTTCTGCCCAAATTTATTGAACTATATTAGAGTGTAAAAATCCCTATCCAGTAACAGCAGGATAAATTATTTGGATAAAGCATTTCACTGAAAGTGCATAGAATAGCTGGATAAAATATTTTTTAAAAACCTGTGTGAAGGCACCAAACATCTATCAAAGCAGTAAAGTATTAAATGGCCAATATCCCAGATAATGAAGAAATAAAAAGAAATGAGCACAGAATTTGGAGACATGCTTCCTCTAAAGGTATCTACCAATTCCAGAGAGACTCCTGAGAGGCTGAGACCCTAAAGAAGGGTTGTAAAATCCTCCCAGGCTAAAGGAAAAAAAAAAGTGGAGTTGTAATCTTACTGAGAAATGTTACCCAAATAAATTCCCTAGGTTTTAAGCTTCTAGGCCGAAAGGCCACACTGGAGGAGTAAGGGTAAAATGGAAATATACCAGCCCTCTCAAGGAATAAAGCCCAACTTAAAATCTTTTTTCTTTTTTATTTAATTCAAATAATCTCAGATTGTTAGTTTCCCTGCACCTCTGCTAGAAGCAAGATAAAATACTCTCTAGAAGAAGATAACATCATCCTAGGCCTCAAATTATCTTTGCAACATATCATATATAATGCTCAACACTTAATCAAAAATAAGCAGACACACATGATGACAAGGCCATGTGTTCTAAAGCCAAGAAAAAACACCAAAGAATAGAAACACCCACAGGAATCACATAATGAACTTATCAAACATGGATTTTAAAATAAATATGCTTAATAAGAAAATTAAAGATAATATCTAGAATTTTAGAAAGAAGTAGAAACTACAAATGAACCAAATAAAAATGCCAAAATATAAAAAAACTACAAGTCAATGTATATATTAAACAGCAGATTTGATAGCATTTAAAGAGGGAAACACACTACATTTATTCAGAATTATACTCAGAGTTAAATGGATGAAAATATGTGAGCAGGAACTAAGGGGAATTATTTTGCATATAGTTAGAATGTCTAGCATATGTGTAATTGAAGGCTTTGGTGATTTTAAAACATAGTCTTCAAATTCTTTTGTTTTCCCAAGTGGTAGAACCATGTCCATTGACCTTGACTGTATTACCTACAACTGCTTGACCAAACAAAGATGGCAGAAGTGGTGCTGTGAGTTTCCAAGCTTAGGACTTAAGGAACAGGACTTTTCCACTTCCTGTCTTTATTCTTATAATCTAGCTACAATCATGTGAAAAAGTCCAAATATTTCATGGAGAGGTGCATGAGGAAATGTCTACAGGAGAGAAATCAAGGTCTTTGGCCTGCAGCCTTGAATAAACTCTCAGCCAACAGTAACCACCAATTCACTAGACATGAGAGTTAACCATCTTGCAAGTGTATCTCCAGCCCCAGGTAAATCACTGCAGCTGACACGTCATGGAAAAGGCATGAGCCTCCTTGTTGAGCCCCGCCCAAATTGCAGATATATGTACTAAATGAGTGAGTATTGTTTTAGACCACTAAGGTTTGGGGTGATTTGTTAGGCAGCAATAGCTGAATGGAAAAGGAACCAAAACAAGACTCAAAAGAGAACAAGGCACAATCCACAGCTACCAAACATATAAAAACGATAGATTTAGAAGCACTTTGCTCATCCAAGTCTAATACAAAGAACCTAGGATTAAACTGAGCTTAATAACATGTAGGCACACTATGATAAAACTGCTGCAAAAATAAAAGACAAATGGAAAATGTTAACATTTGAAGACGTAATAATCTAACAGGTGACTAAAAATATTATTAGTAGTAATAATCTACAGGTGAAAATAAAATGACAGATATCATTTTATCTTCTCAACACAAAGAAAAAATGATATCTTTGACGTGCTGAAAGAAAAAAAACTTTCTTGATTTTTATACTCAGTGAAAATATCCTTTAAAAGGAGAAATTGAGAAATTTCAGGCAAAGATAATTCACCACCAGTAATTACAAACTAAAACAAATCTTTTTTTTTATTTAGGCAGAAGAAAGGTGATCCAATATGGAATTTCAGAGATATTGAAAAAAAGGAATAGTGACAAACAGAATAAAACTGGGAAAATATAAATGGATATTGGCAATATTTAAAAATAATAATAAAGCCTTATGGTGTTTTAAAATATACAGGGGATTTAAATACATGCCAATACTCCTATAAAATTCGGGATGAAGAGATACAAAGCTAAACATTTTTTAAGTTTTACAAAGCTAAAATATAAAAGGACCAATTGACATGAGACTTTTCTACATTAAACAATACATTGTTGCAATCTCAAGAACAACTATCGAAAGAATCTTAAAAGAGTATATAACCTTCAAGCTAAAATAGAATAAAAGAGCAATAACAAAAAAATTATCCCAAAAAAGGCAAGAAAGAAGGAAAATGAAAACATAATATAGTGGAGAAAATAAAATATAAAGTATAAAGTAAGTTGGTAATATAGTAAATTCAAAAATAAGTATAATAATAATTACACTACGCACAAGTAAACTAAATGAGTTAAACAGAAAGGACTGCTAGAATTGATTAAACAAATAGCCTAACTACATGTTGTTTTTGAAGAGAATTGTCTGATATATGTGATTACAGAAATAATGAAAAGTTAGAGAATAAAAATCATATACCATACAAACCAATTTTTAAAAAGCTGGGGTACCAATGTCATAGAATGTGGAATTTAATGCAGAATTATTTGCTAGGGATACAAGGAAATATCTCCTAATAATAAAAAGTTCAATTCACCAGGAAGATACACTTTTAAATTTATATAAAACTAATATAGCACCAAAATTTATAAAGCAGGAACTGATACAAAGAGAAACAGTTAAATCCATAGTCATAGCAGGAGGTGTTGACACACAGCTCTTGCTAACTGATAAAACAACACCCCCCAAAACATACAGTAAGAAGACGGAATATTTGAACAACACAATCAGCCACCTCTACCTAATGGACACATAAAGAAAACTCCACCCAACAACAGCAAAATACATTTTACCATTGTTTTCCTAGAACTTGGTGCTTCTAAACATTTGCCCAAAGCTGGTCATTTACTGGATCATTAAGGAAGTCTCAACACATTTCAAATGATTTAAACCATCCATACAGAGCTTGTTCTTTCAACAAAATAAATGCAGGATGAAAACAAAGCTGGACTTAGAGGAAACATTTAAAACTTAAACCTACATATCAGAAAAAAAATGCAAGCCTGAAATTCAATGAGGCAGGCATCTGCCTTGTGCCAGATATCTTCTATTTTTCTGCCAGATATAATTTCTGTCTTTAATACCAAGTTCTTTGCTTCAGGGGACTGACGTTTGTGGTCTATATCAACAGAATTCCCAAACCCTCTCCTTATATGTAGGTTTTGCCATAAGGAGCCTCAGCTAAGAAGGAAGGAATGGAAGAGAGTAAAAATTGAGGGTATTTATTCTGCCTGAATCCTTCCTCATCTTAATCTAGCTTGTCTTTTAATATTTATTTATTTATTTGTTTGTTTGTTTATTTATTTATTTTGAGGCAGGGTCTTACTCTTGTCATCCAGGCTGGAGTGCCCTGGTGCAATCACAGCTCACTGCAGCATCGACCTCCCCGGCTCAGGTGATCCTCTTGCCTCAGCCTCCCAAGTACCAAGTAGCTAGGAATACAGATATGCACCTAATTTTAAAAGTACTTTTAGTAGAGATGGGGTTTCGCCATGTTGCCCAGGCTGGTCTCAAACTCCTGGGCTCAAGCAATCTGTCTGCCTTGGCCTCTCAATTGAAGGTTATAGTTAAAGTTAAATAGATGAATTAAACCCAGTTGTTTTTCTGAAATTCTATATGCAATTAATAAAGGGGATACTTAGCTCTACCATATTGACTGATGAAAATAATATTATATTTCTTCAAGGGTATTTATAAAATTCTTGCATCTGATTTGATTTATAAAAGCATGTTATTTAGCACTTAGGTATTAAATCTCTAGCCAAGATGCTCCGAAAAGTACAGAATAAGTAACATCTGCTATCTGTCCTCAGGGGTATTTTATTTTAATTGAGGGGAAAACATGAGCATTATAAAACAATTGCAAAAGTTTGAAGATGGCAGATTTGGCTCTTAATTGTTAAGTTTCAATACATAGGGCCTTAAATGAGAAAATGACAGCAAAGTTGAGGAAAATTGATTTGCAGTGGCATCAGTAAGGATGCTTTGTTAGACTGCAATTATTCTGAAACTAGATTCATTACCACTGCAGATACATTGAAGATGTTACTGATGATTTTTTTTTAAAAATTGTCAGTTGACAGTGAACCTTTCACGAACTACCAAACTAAATTCTCTACATAGAAATGTTTGTAATAAGTGTTCATAAGCAACACAAAAATATTATTCTAAGCTATTAGAAAATCAAGAACACTTTCAACACTGCCTATTTTTTAATTTGTGAAATGTAATATGCAAAAAAGTACTACAAAAAGTATAATTCAGTTAAAAAAAAATGACCCACTGATCACCATCTAAGTTAAGAAATATAATTCTGACAGCCCTGAAGCTCAATCATTATTACCTGCACAAAACTATCTATTATCTTATATGTACGCATTTACTTGCTTTTCTGTATATTTTAACAAGGTATCAAAGCATATTTAAAAACAATTGTTTAGATTTTTCCTGATTATCGTAGAAATTTTGGTCTCATTTGATTATCGTAGAAATTTTGGTCTTTTAGGTCATCCCTGACCTAAAAGAGAAATGCTTCAGTAATTCATCAAGTATGATGTTTGCTGTAGGATTTTTGGAAATACGCTTTTTTTTTAGATTAAGAAATTTTTCTTACGTTTCAAAGCCACTGAATTTTTTGTCATGATTAGATGTCAATATTTATCAAACACTTTTTATGCATTATTGACATTATTTATCTCATTTATTATGCTAGTGTGGCTAATTTCCTGATTAATTTTCAAAAATTAATCTGGTAATACATTTCTGCAATAAACTCAATGTAGTAGGGATGTATTACCCTTTATACATGATAGGAATTGGTTTAGTACCAATTTGTTTAGAATTTTTATATCTATGTTCATAAGTCAATTGGCTTATTTGGCAAAAAGTTTTTCTTTCTTATAATTCTTCTGTTATGTATTGGAATCGAGGTTAGCTAGTCTCATAAAATGGATTGGGAAGTGTTTCCTCTTGTATTCTATGGAAGTGTTTGCATAATATTAGAATTATTTCTTAAAAGTTTAAAAGAATTCAGGCCCCATATGGGCCTGAATATATTTTAATATGAGGTTTTTAAATTATTAATTTAATTTTTAATAGATATACGACTACTCAGATTTTCTATTTCCTGTGTGTCAGCTTTGGTAAATTGTATTTTCTAGAAAGTTCTGTGTTACATTTGAATTTTCAGGTTTGTCTAACAAACTTTGAAAATATGTATCACTAATACATGTAAAATTGAATGCACAAATATATTCTTCATGGTATTATTTAAAATGATTTTAGGCTGGACACGGTGGTGCATGCCTGTAGCCCGAAAACTTTGGCAGGCCCATTGCCTCCTAAAGAGGCAGATTGCTTGAGCTCATGAGTTTGAGACCAGCCTGGGCAACATGGGGAAACCTTGTCTCCACAAAAACTACAAAAATTATCTGGCATGGTGGCATACCCCTGTAGTCCCAGCTACTCGGGAGGCTGAGGTGAGAGGATGGTGTGAGCCCGGGAGGCAGAGGTTGCAATGAGCTGAGATCACACCACAGCTCTCCAGCCTCAGCAAGAGACAGAACTTGTCTCAAATAATAATCGTAATTAAGTTTTAAATGGCATATGAACTGTAGAAGAGTGATTAAATAAGTTATAGTACATCCAGATAATAAAATGCTATGTACTTATTTTAAAAATCATCTTACACCAGCTGGGCATGGTGGCTCACGCCTGTAATCCCAGCATTTTGGGAGGTCGAGGCAGGTGGATCACCTGAGGTCGGGAGTTCAAGACCAGCCTGACCAACATGGAGAAACCCCTTCTCTACTAAAAATACAAAATTAGCCAGGCATGGTGGTGCATGCCTGTAATCCCAGCTACTCGGGAGGCTGAGGCAGGAGAATCACTTGAACTTGGGAGGGAGAGGTTGTGGTATGCCAAGATTGCACCATTCCATTCCAGCCTGGGCAACAAGAGCAAAACTCCATCTCAAAAAAAATAAAAAATAAAGAAATTATCTTACAGAGGACTATTTGACAATATGGAAAATATTTATAATATAATGCTAAAGCCACTTTATAAAGCTGTATATAGAATGTATATTATCATATATTATTGTATGAATGATTGTATAGATGATCTCAGGTGTGGATATGTATGTACGCACATGCCTGTGTGAGAGAGAATGCACATGAGAATCTTTTTTTTTTTTTAATTACTGCATTAAAAACAACACAGTAATCACAGAGGGTATTTTGGGATGGTGAGATTATAGGTGATTTTAATTTTACTATTTATTATTTTTCCTTATTAAACATATCCCCTTCAAATTAAAGCATCGTATTTCCTCTTTCCATTAGATAGATTCTGAGAATTACCTAAATGCCATCAGACAAAACTAATTTACCTTAAGTTCTGAATGTGAATCTTTGTGGACTTAATCCTATCAACACTATAGAGTATATTTGTGAAAGAAGCTGCTGGTTAGCAGGAAGGATTCAGACACTGTTAACATTTTTTAAATGCAGTATGACAGTATGAATTGAAAACCCTTGGGCAGCTAGAGGGAAACAATTTTGGCTAACAAGGAAAACTTATTACCTTATCAGAGGGTAGAGATAGCAACCTTAAATTCTGACCAAGGTAGGAATGGAAGGTAAATGAATGAAACAAATTGGTTGGAGAACATTCTGGATTGGGAGAAACCATGGCAAACTGGACAGTATGTTCGGCTCAAGCTAATTCTTACTATGAGAGAAGGCAAGCCTAGTATTGCCGTATCTTCTGTTTTTCAAAGAGAGTATCCAAACTTTTTGAGATCTCCTAATTTTTAAATGTTAAATTTATTTTTGTTAAAAGATTGTTCTGGCCAAACAAAGCACATCTGCAGACACACCCAGCCCATGGGCTGGTAATTCATAGTCTCTTCTTCTTAAACATTACAATACAAAGATAAACAATCACTTAGTGCCTTTTGAAACCCCAGCCTTAGCTATCAGCTTGAGCCCTGGGAGAGGCTTTTAACAAAAGCAGTAAGCCATTCCAAAATAGCAGTTTTTCTCAAAAGTTATATCTAAAATTAAGAAAGAAATCTCAATTAGAAGAGAAAATATGTAAACATAGCCTCATAGACAATAAATTCCCTGAATATCCCTCCTCTGCATATGCATTTATTTTTCATTTAAAGAGGCCTAATCTGAATTCTTTATTTTGGATTCAGAACACCAACACTGAAGCAAAAGAAAAGCCGAAGAACGTAGAAAGCAGAGTGTGCTAACTTCTGTAGAATTTTATTTATTTCTGACCTCTTATCAACAAAGTAGCTAAAGAGCCCTGAAAAGTCACTGTCATTCTTTTGGGCTTCAGTTTCCTCACTTGTAAAATTAAGAGGTTGGGTGGATATTTCCTATCTTTAAAATTTTATGAGTCAATGAGACTACCTATACAGTGAGAAAACAGCCACATAAAATTTGCAATCCATTTATAGGAAGTAGTCATGTATACTTTGGAACTTCAGGTAAGGGCTTACTCTGAAAATTAATCAAGTTTTACAGAATTAAAAATATAACCCAGTTACATATATTTACTGTTGTTTAGATTAATAACTATACTCAGTAAAAGCAAAGTTTTAAAAAGCACTTCTTAAATTATTTGTTTCATCCTCCTATGAGCTAGGCTGCACTATTGGTCTAACTTTACTCTCTGCCTAATAAAGAAGATAGATAGCTTTCTTAAAAAAAACCCAAATTACTCTACAGTCTTTTGTACAAAAAATGTGTCTCAGGGAGGTGCTTACTCTTTGAGATAGGACTAGTGCAGAGGTAGTTTAGAACCCAGTTTTCTTCTCATCAATTCATGACATATGCAAAGAGCCAGACACCTGGGCCTCCTCAAGTTTTGAATTATTTGAATCCAAAGCTACAGATATAAATGCTCTCATTAGAGTTCTTCCCTATGCAAAGGTTTTCCTGCTATCTACTTAATCAATTCACACTTCTTATCTTTACAACCTGGACCCTCTCTGCTCTTCTCATGACTTAGTTTTCCAGGCATATTTCCTTCTCACCCCCTGTGTCTAATGTGTCTCCCCAAACAGTATTAATTGCTATGTTTCCTGGGCCATCAAGTGTAACCAGTATTCTTCCTGTCTTTGTGTCCTTGCCCATGCTGTGGTTCTTGCCTATATGACCTTCTTGTCCATCCCTGCCCTTCAAAATATTATGCATCCCTCAGTTCAAACACCATTTGCCTCATGAAGATCTCTCCAATCTCTCCAATCTCGTGTTTCTACTGTCAACTCTGTGATATTTCCTTCCTATGGTTTCTTTAACATTTTACTTCTCTTAAGAAACAGTGTGCCTAATGCTTCAGATGCTTATGGACTTCTCTATAACTTGATAGGGGAAACACACAAGAAAGCCCAACATATGGTAGCTTCTCAGTATATGTATGTTGACTTTTCAAGATCCACAAATATGATTGCTTTAAGGGGGTAATCTGGCCCATAGGGTTTATGAGACTCATTGGAAAATCTTAACTAAATTCCTGGTTTGGGATAAAAATCTCAGATCTGTTTAATTTGAGGAGGTGAAGCAGGTCAATGCTTCAAAAAGAGCCAAAGAAAATCATGAAACACCTTGGCTGGTATGAATATGCTCAAGTTCTTGCAGTGACAAAAAATATACAAAACAATCCATAGAGAAAAACAATAGGCTTTGCTTGCAGTCAGCCAATACATTCCTACTTGTGAAAGATATGCTCCATCTGATATAAGGCTGACCTATAACCTACGTCCATCAAGGTTAAAGAATGAAGTAGATTTTCTTTTATTTTGTAGTTGTAGGCCACACCTGGAGCAAATATAAGAATATTCCAAGACAAATAAAAAGTGTTTAATAAAATAATTAAAAACATGTGCCGCTCCTTTATAACTCTGATTTTTAAAAATAACAAAAATTTGGGCCATGCATCCCCTATTCTAACTTTTAAAGACTTCAACTCCACGCATTGCTCCAATCCAAATAATTATGCATTGTAAAAGAATAGTTCTATCATCTCATTGTTTAAATACAGCCTTCTCTGATGCTTGTTATGACATTTTCTGGTGAGTATTGCACATGACAAAGACATGTTAATAAACAAAGCAGGTAGTCTGAAGCATGTAACCTTATATATTGTTGAGCAACTTGACACATTTTTCCATTACACTTAATAATACTTTATGTGGTGAGATTAAGTTTTATATGTTACTAAATGTTACTCTTTAAATTTTTTTCTAGGGCCTTAGGAATCAATTGGACCTTTCATAATATCACAGTTTTACCACAAACATGGGGAACATTTCAAAATAAGAATAGCACACAAATGATTCAGAGGCATTTGCCCTCTAGAAACTGTAAAGAAGTTATTCAGATCCAAATAATTCTCTACAACCAGTATTATAATGAAAAATTGCAATTTGGCATTGGAATGTTTTGCTTTTAACAAATAATTGACAGTAATTGTTTTTACCTTATTTTTATATTTATGGGTTAAAGATCAATCCTAAAATATTTATGATAGTAGCATAACAAATATGCAGATATCTGATATACCTAATTTAGAGATTTATCATCTGATAAGAGTTTAGATGCCCTGAACTTTTTAGACGCTTTAGAACTTTCTGAAGCTCATAATATGTTGAAAATGAAGATGTAGGATTAAAAAATTATCAAGCCTGGGAAGGTCCAGGCTGCAGTGAGCTGTGATCACGCCACTGCACACTGCACTTCAGCCTGGGTGACAGAATGAGACTCTGTTTAAAAAAAAAAAAAAAAAAAAGCCAGACATAATGCTTCACACCTGTAATCCTAACACTTTGCAAGGCCAAGGCAGGAGGAGCACTTGAGCTCAAGGAGTTTGAGACCAGCTTGGGCAACATAGCAAGACCTTGTCTCTATTTAAAAGCTAAATATATAAATAAATAAACAAATAAATAAAATTTTTAAAAAGGAAAAATTATCAAGATTTCTTTTGATCTTCTGAAAGAACCTACTACAGACTACTAGAAAGTTTTGTCTTTTTTTCTTTAAGAGCTCATTTTTCTAGCTGTCTTCATGTGTTTTTATTGTACTACTATTGTTGTTTTATTCTTAGTTGTTTCCAGTGAGTGTTATGTCTTTTCTCTACAAATATTTGTGTTGTGTGAGATACCCTAGCTGACCTTTAAATACTAACAAAGCACCAAAGTCCTGTCTCACTTTTTTCCTGAGAAATGTATACCCAAATCTCTAGTGCCTATTTCTGATGCCACAATCCTCATGAAGCCCTGACACTTATCTGACCTAATTGACTATTAACTCATTTTAGCCTTTATATTCCATACAGTGCACACTTTCTGACCCATCCCTTTCATGTCGTCATTAGCTAGATCAATCTGTTAGTACCTTATCTTGAGCCTGGTGACATAATCAACTCTAACACCCCAGTACCACTATCTCAAATATTGCTCAAATACAAATCTTGGGAGACTGCCTGGAAACAAGTAACCTGAGGTTAGGTGAAGGAGAAGAAACTTTTTTTTTTTTAAAGGTGAAAAACCTGGCCACATTCTGGGTGGCCAATGGAATATGGTAGCTCCACTTATTGTACTAAGCTCTTCTGCTCTCAGGAGTCATAGCATCAACTGTGTCACTCCTAGTAATGAGAGGGGAAGTCATGAGTGAAGCATGGGTCAATGAAAATGAATAGGACTGAGCCCAATCAGGAGACCTTCATTCTAGTCCTGCCTCTGCCACTAATTAAGTGACATGAACAGGTCCACAGTCTCTTGGAACTTCAATTTCCCCATCACTAAATTGAGAGAATTAAGACTGAGATGATTAGATTAGATTAGCCTCTCCTAAGCGCTTAGAGCACTTCTTCTTCCAAAAATTAATAGATTCTGCAAATTATAGGCATTCTGAAAATAGACGTGCATAGGCATTCTACAAGAACTCAAATAGGCTGGGTGCGGTGGCTCACGCCAGTAATCCCAGCACTTTGGGAGGCCAAGGTGGGTGGATCACCTAAGATCAGGAGTTTGAGGCCAGCCTGACCAACATGGTGAAACCCCATCTCTACTAAAAATACAAAAATTAGCCAGGCGTGGTGGCATGTGCCTGTAATCCCAGCTACTCGGCAGGCTGAGGCAAGAGAATTGCTTGAATGCAAGAGGCAGAGGTTGCAGTGAGCCGAGTTAGCGCCACTGCACTCCAGCCTCAGCGACAGAGCAAGACACTGTCTCAAAAAAAAAAAAAAAAAAAAAAGAAGAACTCAAATATATTTTTCAAAAGCTGAACTAATCAAAGTCATGCAGATCTCATTGCCACAGGACTACCCAGTGATTGGATTATGTAAATATTTTAGAAGAGTCTCTGTGCCATTTCCTCAAGTCCAATAATGGACAACATTTCCCCCATTTTAAACCAGGATGCTTATTATATTTGATCTGTTCATTTAAAATTATAGAGTTGCTTTGCTCCTCTTGAAAAGCTGTTGTTATATCAATGATATGGTCTTACAATTATGAATTTCTCAAATATTGTAATATGCAGACTTTACCAAAACTTATTTTTCCACAGAATTGTTTTTAATAGCTTCTCATGAAACTAGGGCCCAAAGAGGCAGATTTAATCTGGTTCTATACCCGATTTTGAAAATATCATACTTCCATTCCTCAAATAAAGAGAAAACTAAGCTGATGAAATCAAGGACTATAGGAGTAGAGAAACACTTGCAGAAAGGTGGTATAGGAATCTCCAAAAATCAGGGGCTCCTGAAAAGCAATAAGAACAATGGCAAAAATAATCATCAAAATTAACTTTTTTCAGAACTCTGGCAATAAACCAAAGGCTTACAACAACCCATAGAACATTAACTCAAGAAAAACGGCTGAATCTCAATAAGAACAAGTGAGTTATGTGGGGTTTTAACTTGCCGTATGTCAATACACTTCTCTCTAGCTCTGCAGTAGCCTTAAAAATCAGCAGACTCACAATGACAGTGGCTGTGAACCAGGCAGCCTAGCAACTGTTAGAGAGGGAAGGATGTATTTGACGTTTTCCCAAATGCGGCACCCTCAGACAATTGTCACTCCTTGACTTATATGGAAGCTGCCTTAAAGGGCTGTTCTTTATTTCACTTGAATTAAAGCTCACTCAGTGAGAACCTCTGCCCTTAGGATGTTTGTCAAAAACAATCAGGGACAGTAGGGTTACATCACAGCTGTCTAAGGGAGTGATACCAGCTGGGCTAAACAAGAAGCTTACCAAAAAAGTTTAGAAGAAAATCTGGTAAATGAGACTTCCATGGAAGGCCACAGAGATGTGTAGTGCTGTGCACCTATTAGGAAAGACTCCATAAAGCTCTACATAAGGCTCTATCTCTCACCTCTGGTTGACATAGAGGCTCTGTGGAAGCAGAGTTAAAAACTACTTGAGTGTTCATAAAATGCCTTGACACCTGTCCAGTCATTAGCTGACCACTATGCTACTTAGCAGAGACTTCAATGGCTGAGTACAACAGGTAACATAGACTTGACCTGCATTACTTCACAGAAGTTGCTAGATAAAGAAACAGCAGCAGCAGCAGCAACAGCAAAACAAACAGCAGCAATAACAAACCCTAGGAGAAAGGGTCTGAAGTCCAGAGTTTCCACATTATGTTATATTACATGTCCAGTTTTCAACAACAAAACAAAAATAATAAATGACATGCCAAGAAACAAGAAATTGTGGCCCATAAATAGGAAAAAAAAAAAAAAAAGCAGTCAATAAAAACTGTCCATGAGGAAGTCCAGATGATTAACTTACCAGACAAAGACTTTTAATCGGGGCTACTATAATATATTCAAACAACTAAAGGCAATTATGTCAAATAAATTACAGTATGAGAATGATGGGTCACCAAATGGAGACCAGCAGTAAAGAGATACAAATTATAAAGGGAACAAACTAGAAATTCTGAAATGGAAATAAAAATCCACTAGAAGGGCTCAACAGCAGATTTTAACAGTCATAATGGAAAAAATAACTTGAAGATAGGTCAATGTACATTATGCAATCTGAGGAACAGAATAAAAATAGAACAAATAAAAATTAACAGTTACCTATAGAGTATATGAATATACATATACAGAGTATCCCTTATCCAAAAATCTGAAAATCCAAACTCCAAAATGTTCCCAAATCTAAAACATTTTGAGCATTGACATGACGTACAAAGGAAATGCTGATTTCAGATTTTAGATTTAGGATGTTTATGGGTCCTCAACTGGTATGTATAATACAAACATTCCAAAATCTGGCTAGGCATGTGGCTCATGTCTGTAATCCTAGCACTTTGGGAAGCTGAGGCAGACAGATCACTTGAACCAAGGGGTTCAAGACCAACCTGGGCAACATGGTGAAATATTGTCACTACAAAAAGTACAAAAACTAGCCAGGTGTGGTGGTGTAAACCTGTAGTCCCAGTGGGAGAATCACTTGGCCCCAGAAGGTTGAGGCTGCAGTGAGCTATGATTGTGCCACTGCAGTCCAGCCTGGGTGACAGAGCAAGAGCCTGTCTAAAAAAAAAAAAAAAAAATATATATATATATATATATATATTTATATTTATATACTGGGCACAATGATTCATGCCAGTAATCCCAGCACTTTGGGAGGGCAGGGAGGGGAGGATTGCTTGAGCCCAGGAGTTCGAGACCAGCCTGGGCAATATAGCGAGACCTTGTTTCTACAAAAATAAAAAGAATAGCCAAGTGTGGTGGTGCACATCTGTAGTCCCAGCTACTTGGGAGGCTGAGGTGGGAGGATCGCTTGAGCCCTGGAGGCAGAGGTTTCAGTGAGCTGTGATTGCCCCCCTGCACTCCAGTCTGGGTGACAGAGTGAGACCCTGTCACATTGTCTCAAAGAAATTTTTAAAAACAGAAAAAAAATTCCGAAATCAAAAATATCAAAAATCTGAAACACTTCTGGTTCCAATAATTTCAGATAAGAGATACTCAACCTGCATGCACCTATAAGTTTAAAGACCCTCATAGCTTATGAATATAACATTTGTTATGTTAATAATAAATGAAACTAGATTAAGCAGCACTTTCACATCACCATTTATTTATTATACCAGGTTTTTGTAATTATGAACTATTTAGACTTATTTATACCAATACATTTTTATACGTACCATATTTTTCTCCCCCTCATTTCCTGTTTTCTATTGGAAATTAATACTTTTTTTAATTTTTGCCAGTAATTTTTTTAATCTTCAACTTTTATTTTATTTCAAGTTCAGGGTGCATGGGCAGGACGTGCAGGTTTGTTACATAGGTAAATGTGTGCCATGGTGGTTTGCTGCATAGATTATCCCACCACCTATAGGTATTAAGCCCAGCATCCATTAGCTATTCTTCCTGATGCTCTGCCCTACTTCAGACAGGCCCCAGTGTTGTTCCCCTGCATGTGTCCATGTGTTCTCATCATTCAGCTCCCACTTATAAGTGAGAACACTTGGTGTTTGGTTTTCTGTCTTTGCGTTGGTTTGCTGAGGATAATGGCCTCCACCTTCATCCATGTCCCTGCAAAGAATATGATCTTGTTCCTTTTTATGTTTGCCAGTAATTCTTAAAGGTTGACAACATGTTTACCAGTTTTTCTTCTAATATTTGCTTTTTTAATACTTGAAAATCCTTCTGGAATCAACTATTTTTCTACTGAAATATAACCTAGAACAATTTCTTCAGTAAAGATCTGTGAGTAGTGATCACTCATACACAGTAGTTTCTCTGGGCACAAGATTTACTCTCAGCCTTTTGGAAGTATGTAGTTTTAACTGAAGAAAATTCCACTGTTTAACTTTACTATTTTTATACAATCTATGTGCTTTTTCTTGTTGTTTTTTAGATTTTCTTTCTTTGTGATATTCTGTATTTTTACAATGTGAATATCAAAATAAATAGAGTTTGTTATGCTTTCCAATTTGAGAATTAAAACTTTCCATTAATTCTGGAAAATTTTTTAGTCACTGTATCTTTCACTATTGCCTTTCTTCTATTTTCTCTTGTGGAGATTGTACTATATGCAGCTTATAATATATATGTATGTTTGTGTATGTATACATATACACATATATATTAAAAGCTGTATCTATATATGTTTGTAAGTACATGTATGTATTTTTATATATGCATACATACACACATACACACACACACTCATACACACACATATCACATGCCACTTAACCTGAAATTTCAATTTTCCATCTCTTTATATTTTTTATTGCTTTCTGGCAAACTTTCTATTTTTCTTTCATCTAATTCTATCTTCAGAATTTTTTAATGAGATATTTAAAACATTAAGTTTTTAATTTCAGTAACTATTTTTTTACTTGGAGAAGTTCTTGATAATCTTTTAAATATCTCTTTGTCTTTTTCCTTACTTTAGAATTCTTTCAGTATGGTTCCTTTTCCTTTTCTATCTTTAAATATCTTTTTTTTTTTTTTTTTTTTTTTTTTTTTTGAGATGGAGTCTCACTCTGTCACCCAGGCTGGAGTGCAGTGGTGTGATCTCGGCTCACTGCAACCTCCACCTCCCGGGTTCAAACGATTCTCCTGCCTCAGCCTCCCGAGTAGCTGGGATTACAGGCGTGTGCCACCACGCCCGACTAATTTTTTGTATTTTTAGTAGAGACGGCGTTTCACCGTGTTAGCCAGGATGGTCTCGATCTCCTGACCTCGTGATCTGCCCGCCTTGGCCTCCGAAAGTGCTGGGATTACAGACGTGAGCCATTGCGCCTGATCTATATCTTTAAATATCTTAAGCATACTTTTAATATGGTCTCTTTCTGATTGTCTTATTTCTTTCCTTTCTCATCATTCTAATTCTAGTGTTTTTAGCATTTGCTGACTCTGTTGTTTTACTATAACTTTTCAGGCAGCTTGTAATTTGATTGAGAGCTCGTCTTCAGCAGGAGTTGATATTTAAATCTTTGGGAGTTCTAAATGCCCCAGTTCTTACATTTACACATGAGAGGACCCTGTGAATTTTAATGAAGCTGGCCAATTGTTATTATAATGTGGGGTTTCTGACAATACAGATAGTTTAAGTTTGAACCGAATAACCAAAGTACAGAGCTGAGAGTTTGATTCCCTATGTGTATCTTTACATTTTTCGTTCAAAGTCTAATACCAATAGCAAATTTCATGGCTTGTTCCACAGTTAGAGAGTACAGGTATTTTATTTCCCTTTTTATACCTGAGTCAGTCCTTGCAGGTGACAGGCTCTATACCGTGTCATCATCTCAATCTCCCTGCCTTAAGGAGACCCAGGGCCAAATTACCTATTGTTACAGACATTAAGACCTCAGGAAGAACTAGGACCCAAACCCAAGTGGGGAAGTCTTAATGTTTTATGACAGCATTAGCTTTCATCTGTGACTTTGGCTATTATTTCTTTATTTGGGACATTTGTGTTGTTTTGTTGGTTTGGTTTGGTTTGGTTGTTTGTTTGCTTGTGTGTTTTTAGCTTATTTATTTGTGTTTTTAAAAATCTAAAATGTAATTAGAGGGTACTGGCTAAATTGATTCTAAATGTTTTGTGTTTTGATTTTGTAAGCATTGAACCCACAGTCTGGAGGACCTGTCTGATATTATTTGGCTCAGTGTCCCCACCCAAATCTCATGTCAAATTGTAATCCCCATGTGTCAGAAGAGGGGCCTGGTGGGAGGTAGTTGGATCATGGGGGCAGATATCCCCCTTGTTGTTCTCTTGATAATGAGTTCTCACGAGAGCTGATGGTTTAAAAATGTGTGGCTTTCACTGCTCTCTCTCTCTCCTTAGAAGAAAGTGCTTGCTTCTCCTTTTCCTTCTGCCATGACTGTAAGTTTCCTGAGGCCTCCCCAGACATGGGGAACTGTGAGTCAATTAAACCTTTTTTCTTTACAATTACCCAGTCTCAGGCAGTTCTTTATAGCAGTGTGAAAACCGACTAATACACTGTCTTGCATGTCTTCTCCATGTATATTTCTTCAAATTTTAGCCTTCCTTTTTCTCCAGACTCACATTTTATATTCAAACTTATTTATAGATGAGGAAAGAAGCCTAGAAAAAGAAGACCCAAAGTTTAACAATACTATGAAGCTGATTCAGAAAACATAACCCTCTGACTCATTGAAATTTTTCTTCTAGTTCTCAACTTTTAGAATAAGCAAATATTACCAAAGTATGAAAAATGCAGAATTCAGAGTCCCAGCCACAGAGATTCTGATTTAGTAGGTCTGAAATAGAGTCCCAGAATATGAGTGTTAAACAAGTACCCCAGTAGATTCAAATATTTGGAATTTGATTTGTTTAGTGACTTCAGACCATAATCTGAGAGATTAGAAAGAAACACAACCCTGACACAAGTTTTTTCACACTTGAATTTATACTTTTTAATTAAAAGCAAAGAAAAAAATCTATTTAATCAAGGGTTTTGCTTATCTTGCTTATAAAAAGTTTATAAAGCTCCCTATTTAATTGTTCACAATATCTTTTCCTAAAGGTGCTGATTTATAAAAATTTATTTGAGCTAAGTCTTATTTTTAAATGGTGCAATAAGAAATATGCATTACCCCTGACGTTATTTGGAAGCTATCTGCCAAGATGATCTTGTCTCAAGAGAAATTAGACAATCCCATAAAATTACCTAGGCATAATTTATAGAAAGCTGAGTCAAGAAACAGGTGTTGTTGAAATGATAAACTTGTCATCTTCCTCACTCATAAGTTTCTAGGATATGAGCCTGTAAATTCTAAATCAGATACTGGGCTCACAAAGATTTATGTCATTTATTTCCTTTTCCTGAGACAGAGGCAGATGATCTATGCATATCTAGCCAGCTGTTCTGCAAACCACATGCGTTGACTGAAAGTATCAGTGGAGATACCAATGCTTCAGTGGCTCCAATGTATACATGTCCCAGCACCTGGTTGATGGAAGCTACTCTTATTTGCATCTCTGTGCTGGGAGCTTGGCTACAATGCTAACTAGCATTCCATTTCCAGATGGCTCCCATTACTACCCAATTACTTTAAACCCTGATTTTATTTCAAGCAATTTACCATTGTCAAGGGTCATCTCCCAGTACAACATTGCTAAGATCAAATATTTTTGGTTCTAGTTCTATGGTTACAAGAGTTCAGGAATGGACTTTCTTAGAGTGATTGATGGACCATTTAGCAAAACCCATGGATAAACTATAAATCCAATATTAAAATTTTAATAAAAGTATAAATAACTTTTATAACAGTTATTCATAGTTATAATAGTTATTTTGTTTTATTTTTTAATTTCTAGCTGTCCTGATAAACAAGTTGGAAAAAAATAAATCCATTCATTTTCTCATTCATTTACTAATTCTTCTGATATTTATTGAAGGCTTATTTTGTGTCTCAATAAGATGAAAAAGGGAATGGACCCTTTCCCTCAAATAACTTGTACCCTAGTAGAAGAGAAGAAAATTAAAACTTATTGCCAAAATATTGTAAAAATATAAGCAGAAAGGCAATGCGTATTAGGTGACAAGGGTTGAAGAAAGTTCTGGGGATTTGCATATCCTTTACATGATTAGGCTATGTTTTCTACTCTTAATATTGATTGGAGATATATGGATTTAAGGAAAAGAAAAGAAGACTAAATTTGAAACTGGATATAATATACTATTTTGATGGATTATTTTCTTGTCTAAGTTTTAGTTTATTATAAAATATAGCACACTCATATAATTAACATGCTCTGCATTCTATAAGGATGTTGTTTACCAGTTTTGCCCACTTTGGGCACCTCTTGTAGGATCTAACAGTAAAACTAGCACACTTTCCCATATTGTGTTTATACAATACACACCCACAGTGCTTGAAGGTTTTTTTTAACATGAAATTTTCGAAGGCCTCAAAAGAATTGGTGAAAAACCACTACAGCCAAAATCTAGAATGAGAGATTATGTATATTTAAATATGTGGGAAGATGGGGGGATGTGGATATGTTTGCATTTTTTCATAAAACTTTTGGAGCACTATTAATACTTTCACATTTGGGGATTATTTTCTCTGTATCCCACAGTATTATATTTTCTAAACCATTTTACTTAGGATTCCTTGCATTAAGGGACTTCCAAAATACTCTTTGCTTTTGTACTTGCTTAAAGTACATTCTACTTTCTCCATCTTTATCAGTTGTTATCTTTTTTTTTTTTAGACGGAGTCTCGCTCTGTCGCCAGGCGGGAGTGCAGTGGCGCGATCTCGGCTTACTGCAACCTCCGCCTCCCAGTTTCAAGCAATTCTCCTGCCTCAGCCTCCCAAGGAGCTGGGACTACAGGTGAGCACCACCATGGCCAGCTAATTTTTGCATTTTTAGTAGTGACGGGGTTTCACCATGTTGGCCTGGATGGTCTCCATCTCTTGACCTGGTGATCTGCCCACCTTGGCCTCCCAAAATGCTGGGATTACAGGGGTGAGCCACCATGCCCAGCCTATCAGTTGTTTTCTATAGAAGATGGTTGCTGTTTTCCTTCAATAGAATCTATAAAGTACCACTGTGTTTTTTACTCTATTCCTGAATGTGACAGCTGAGTGAACCTTGGCCTCCATCCTCCTCCTCTAACCTGAGCACTCACTCTCATGCCTGTGCTCCCTCTGACCACATAAACCCACAGTATGGAAGTGGGGAAGTGGGATAAGAACATTTTAAAATGGCTTTTAACCTGGAAGTGTAATTTCCTGGATTCTCCAGATTCATGATTATAATGCTACCTATGTAACATATCAGTATTTCTCATGGTTATGGCTCAGGAGAATTATTTATTCATCACATCACACCAATTATCATGAGGGCTACATTATCACATACAATTGTTATTTTTCTCTGAGGGCTACCACTAGAAAAATAAATAAATAAAATTTGATACTAACTTCTCAACCAGATTTCTGGGCCCATATGTCTTACAATTTCAACAAACCCTGGAGAGCATGCACTGAGCCATGGCATTAGTATAGTGATTCATTCCTCATTATTATTAGAATATGGTGACTTGAACCAAGAGCCATTAGTCTACTTGTTTTCAGTTATCTTATAATATTAACTTGTTTTGTGAACTTAGAACAGTGTCTACATATGTAAATATCTTCATTTAACTAATGAGTATAATTTCATATATAATAATCAGCTGATCCTGACATACTTTGAAATTTTGAAAATAATTATAAATTATCACTGATGTAATCGTAGACTATTCATAGAAGATTCATATTCCAACTAGACAGTCTATGTTGGTCTTTAGAAAGAATTGCTTTTTTTTTCTAGAAAGTTAGTCTATGAGTCTCTGTACCATAATTAAGATGTTACTGAATGAAGACATAGACCTGAAGGATAGCTTGTCTTTACATGTTCTTCCTAACAGAGTCTGGATTTTTTTTTTTTTACAGAAGTTGTTTATTGCTATGAAAGTGAAATAGCTTTATTGTGGATTTCCTTCTGGTAAAAGAAATTTGTCAATAAACAATAGTGTCTACTCACGTTTCTCTTGTTCTGCTTCCACTCCTTCACTTTCTGTGTCACTTGGCAAGATCCATGGTTGATGAACTACCTGCAATTGCTTTAAGGATTCATCCTGCAAAAGAACACATTTATTTTAGATTAAACTCTGTTTTGATATCATGAACATTAATGTGGATAATCACTTCAATCTTTATGAACTGCATCTTCAAAAACCATCAGAATAATTTCCTCATTAAAAAAAGGAGAGCTCTAACTTTAAATTCATTTTCATGTCATAGACATACTACAAACTCTGAACTCATTTTTTACATTCTTCTTTTAATAACATTTAGAGTCAAGAAACACCTGAACTGTATTCCTTATGAATTAATATTTTTATGGAAATGTTGACACTCATTCTTGGAAACATAATCATGAAATATTCAATATAAAATGGCATAAAATGTGCCTCTTTGCCATCAAGGTTTCAAATTCCCTTTAATGAGAATGAAGATGAATGGGATTTAGAGAACATCTTCGATTTTACTCTCCTAGTATTACTTCACTGCCTCCTTCCTCTTCTCACTTTCTAAAGTTTGTTAACATATTTCTCATATACTTCCTTGCTGCTCTTTCCCTTCTGTCATTGAACTAAAGCAGACCCTCATTATCTCCCACCCTGACTGTAGTAATAGCCATCTGGGAAGTTTTCCAGGATCATGTATCATATCCTGTCTAATTCTCCCACCAGTCATCTGCCAGAGCACGCTTTTTAAGTTGCCATATGATGTAATCACTATGTTGCTTATAATTTTTCAGTGGCTCTATTCATTATTCCCTGGGTAAGATTTAAACTCAAAGCCCTGCATGATCCATACTTGTCTAACATGTTCTATCATACTATTCTCTCAATCCCACCTTGACCACTCCAGCTATAATTAACTGGTAGCTCTACAATGCATTTCCTTATCTGTCTTAAACATTAACACTCCTCTTCCAAGGCTCGGGAGTCACTTCTACTGGAAGTCTTCCCTGATCCTGCAAGGCAGAGTTACTCCTCTATTCCTTTATGTGCCTATTATACCAATAGAATCATACCATGTAATAATTATACTTTCATCTTTTCCGTCCTTAAAAATAATAAAAAAGGTCCTTGAGGTCATAAATAACTTTTTTCACCTATGCATTCCTAGCATCTACTATATCCCTTGCACAAGATAGGGACTTACTAGGTAAACATTCATATAGGAGGAGGTAACGAAGAAAAGAAAGGAGAGGACGAAGGGTAAAAAGGAAGGAGAGGGGAAAGATGGTTCTCCTCTAGAACAAAATAACGACTTTAAATTTATTGAGCCACGACTCAAGAACATGTTTTCAAACATATTTGGAAAATTAAAAACATAAAATCAGTATGATCTGTCAATTCACTCTTTATCTCTCAAATTCACTCATCATCTCTACCCCCTTTCAATTATATTTTTCTCCAATATGAGATATTGTGCTTTATTTTTATTCAGACAAATACTAACAAGGTAAAAATAAAGTTCCACAACCCTTGATACTTAAGAAACATGACACCACCAGTCATTAAATGTCCACTTTGCTTAAAACAGTTCCTTTATGAGATAAATATTCTATCTGCCACGGCTTTCATTTTGATGTCAAATTCTGGAGAAGTTCAGCCCCAATCTAGAGTTTCAAAACAGCACAATTTTCCAGAAGTTTGGAAGTGGAGTGGTGGGTTGGTTGTGTGATGCACAGGATATATTTTAGGGCAGTAAAACTATTCTGTGTGATATCATCATGGCAAATGCAAGACACTAAGCATTTGTCAAAATCCATAGAATTTTATACCATAAGCTTTAATGTATGCAAATGAAAAAAAATCAATTAGGAAGTTGGGGAATCCAAGAATGAATGGCAATATATCAAAAAAGAAAGAACATAAATGTGTTACAGATGTATGAAACAACCTCACTGAAGGGGGAGGAAATAAGGTGCTAACCTAACTAACTTTGAAAATGAGTGGAGTTTGTAAGACCAAAGGCTAAAGGAACTCTACATATGCACTGTACTCGAGATGATAAACTTGCTTTCCATAGGAGTACGGGTTAACAATTCTGAAACCACTATATATGTACTCTGGAAATGAACAAACAGTAAAGTAAATGGATGAGGGGAGCCAGGTTTCTCACTGCTGGTGTGGCAATTTACAGATAAGCAGGGGAAAGAGACTGGAATGATCCGTGCATAATGTATTAGAGTTAAAGACGTCGGTATGAATTTGTGTTTACCTTACTATATATACAGATGGCTACACACAGAAATGTTGATATGTATTTCTTTATTTATTTATTTTCTTTTTTTTTTCTGAGACAGACTCTCACTTTGTTGCCCGGGCTGGAGTGTAGTGGTGAGATAATGACTCACCTTAACCTCCAGGGCCCAAGTGATCCTCCTGCCTCAGCCTCCCAAGTAGCTGAGATTACAGGTGTGAGCAACCATGCCTGGCCCATATTCATATATACACATATGTTTCTCTACTCTGGCACCTGAGAAGACTTAGAAGCAATGACACTCAGTAGCAATTAACACACCTACGACCCCAATCTTGGTTTCTAAAATCATTCTCCAATGAAAGAACCAGGGTTTCTGGATAAATGATTGGACTCCCTAGGACTGAGGGAGGAAATGTACAAGATAAGCCGAACCATCTGGTAGTGCCAAAAAGCAAGAAAGTACTCGAAAACACACACACACACACACACACACATACACACACATACACAATGATGGAAGTATGTCAAAAAGATAAGGGACTAACTGAAAAAGCTGTCATTAGCCAAAGCTAGAACAATTTGAGTAACAAAACACATAAGCCAGTATTGGGTCATTATCCAAAATATGCAATAAATATCTGTAAGTCCATATAGATAAAAATAAATGTTCAAATAAATAAATGAATGGATGAGAATAGACAAATGTATATACAGGAGCATTTCAAATAATTTATGTAAATTCTCCACCCTTAAGGATGTGGGGAATAACTTCCCACTTTTTAAGTGTGGGCTGTGTTTAGTGACCTTCTTTCAAATAGTTCAGGAGGGATAGGGAAAGGATAAAAGTAACTTTACAGTGAAGAAACCTGACAAACCCTATCTCTAGCCAGGTGACCAAGGTCAACAGCAATACAGCATATTGATAGGATGTACCCTTGACAGGATGTGATGAAAATTAAATTTTACCTCTGTGGTCTTCCTCCTAAAAACACGTTAACCCAATCTAATTATGATGAAAATATCACATAAATATCAACGGAGGAACAATTTGCAAAATATCTGAGCTGTACTCCTGATAGCCATTGCGGTCTTTAAACACAGGGAAAGCTTGGTTGTGAGAAAGGGTCACAACCAAGAAAAGCCTAAGGAGACACAATGACTAAATGTAATGTGGATCCTGGATGCGATCATGGAAGAGAAAATGACAGGGAAAACCTGTGGAAAGCTGCACACAGTACAGATATGGTTACTAATAATGTATCAATACTGGTCTGTTAACTGTGACCAGTGCCCCATACTAACATAAAGTATCAGTAATAGTTAAAACTGAATAAGAGGCATAGCAACCTCTGTATTATCTATCTAATAATTCTGTACATCAAAAACTGTTCTAAAAAAGTTTATTTTTAATATTGAAAGTGTGAACCCCAAATATCTGAGATGGTTTCGGTTAATTTAGAAAGTTTTTTTTGCCAAAGTTGAGGATGCATACCTGTGACACAGCCTCAGTAAGTCCTGACGACATGTGCCCGAGGTGGTTGGGGCACAGCTTGGTTTTCTACATTTTAGGGAGACATGAGACATCAATCAATATATGTAAGAAGTACATTGGTTCCGCCCAGAAAAGTGGGGACAGCTCCAGCTTGAAGTAGGGAGGGACTTCCAGATCTCAGGTAGGTGAGAGACAAAAGGTTGCATTCTTTTGAGTTTCTGATAAGGCTTTCCAAAGGAGGCCGTCAGATATGCTTCCTTTTTTTTTTTTTTTTTTTTTTTGAGATGAAGTCTCGCCCTGTTGCCCAGGCCGGAGTGCAATTGCAATGGCACCATCTTGGCTCACTGCAACCTCCGCCTCCCAGGTTCAAGCAATTCTCCTGCCTCAGCCTCCCGAGTAGCTGGGATTGCAGGCACACGCCTCCATGCTCAGATAATTTTTGCATTTTTAGTAGAGACGGGGTTTCACCATGTTGGCCAGGCTGGTCTCGATCTCCTGACCTCGTGATCCACCCGCCTTGGCCTCCCAAAGTGCTGGGATTACAGGCGTGCGCCTCTATTTCAGTGAGCAGCAGCATGGCTTTGAACAGAGTGGGAGGCAGGTTGCCTTCAGCAGTCCCCAGCTTGACTTTTCCCTTTAGGTTAGTAATTTTGGGGCCCTCACGTTTTCCTTTTACAAAAGAAAGCAAAACCAAATTTCAAAATGATTTTCTTTTTCTTTTTTCTTTTTTTTTTTTTGAGACATGTTCTCTATTGCCCAGACTGGAGTGCAGTGACACAAACATGGCACACTGCAGCCTCGACCTCCTGAACTCAAGCCATTCTCCCCTCTCAGCCTCAGGAGTAGCTGGAACTACAGGCACGTGCCACTATGCCTCAATAACTTTTTCTTTTTTTTTTCTTTAACTCATTGTAGAGACTGGGTCTCTCTCCGTTGCCCAGACTGGTCTTCAATTCCTGGGATTAAGCCATCCTCTGCCTCTGCCTCCTAAAGTGATGGGATTACAGGCGTGAGCCACCACGCCCAGCCTCAAAAGTGATTTTCATTTTAAAAATAAAAGCACAAGATTTTTAGCACAAGCAGCTCTTGAAAATGGCCTTTTAATTGGATTAAAACTTAAACTCCTATCATAGGAGAGATGGGCTCCACAGCAGAAACTCACTGCCCCAGGGGTCAGAAGGCACAGCTTTTTATCCTGGTGAATCCAAGGCATGCTAAAGTCTCTTTTGGGATAGAATGGGATAGTTACTGGATTAGATGATCTCTTGTACTCATAAGTAGTATCTATCTAGGTCTAGATTCCTTTAGAGAGTAGAATGTGAGAGGCACTAGATGGCCTATTGCAGGGAAAGTCAGCAAAAAAAAAAAAAAAAGACACTCAATCTTGGAATATACCATTTAGGTATAAACCAGTGTTTATTGTAAGGACTTTAACTTGCTTTTTTTTAAATTTATGAATTATTAAATTTGATCTTGCTGAGCTACACCGAAAAACAGCATAAATGTAAAAAATTGTAGATTTAAAACTCCATAACTATGTAGAAGATAACAGAAGTAAAATTTCAGAGAGGGAAATCACACTGCTGCAGTTTTTAAAAAATGTGACATAGTCTCTGATGTTCAAAGAAGAAATATGAAAAATAGACATTTTGGATACATAAGGGAAAATGAAATTGCGGAAGTGATTCCTTTAAAACAGAAAAATTTAAAGTGATCATGAAAAAGTGTTTTTAATTTAAAAATATTTTGGTTATTTAGCTTTTTGATTGAAATACTAAAATTTGTTTTCATGAAAAAGATATGAGTAGTAAGTCAATTGTGTTATTATTTTCCCACAATAGTTCAGCATATCAAGCAATACTACTGATTGGTTTTTGGTTTTAATGGCTTTATTCCTGAACAGATAAGCAGCATTCAACTATTCTCTAATTAATGCAAATTGCCTAAAGTACAAATGGAACATTAGCTTGGTAAAATATGTAGTTTGGGAAGAACTTTAAAATGTTGAATTATTGTAATCATAAAGATAGTACAAATATTACTGTTAATAGATGATTTAAATGTTTTACTTTGGTTTTCCCTGGAATAGAGCTAGTAATATAACGCACCTGTTCACTTTATCAGTGCCAACAAGCACCACTATGTATGTCTAAAGCTCAACCCATAAGGCTACATATAATTCTTTTTGATGGGGTCAAAGAGCTAAAATCTTGAACATTTTAAAATACAAAAGCTGACGTGTCCCTCTTTGCCAACTTATTCAGATATACATTTTCCACAAGAATATTAAACTGTATCTGAGTGTAGTACAAACTTTTTCATATTCCCAAGAGCAACTTCTTTGTGTTACTTTTAGAAGAAATCCTATTCATTCTTTTTCTAAAACACTTTCACCATAATTACAGCAAATGTACAGGGACTAGGAGTGGTGGGAAATAGTGATATTTATCACATGGAACATGGTTGCTAGCTCTGAATCAATATATTATTCTATCTGCTAACAGAATAAGTGCTTTACAAACTTCAGCAGCATTGTTGATCCACATGAAGAGCTTATTTTTAGATTCTCTAAATGCAACCAATCAGTGATTTATCATATGTGGCCCTGAAAGTTCAGTGTATTTCAAGAAAAAAAAATTACTTCTTTGCTCAAACTTCTACCATTGGCTGTTTTAATTCTGAATCAACTAAGTATTTCTTTTCATTTGGTATTAATATGTCACTAACGCACAAAACATCAGTTTCTATCTTTCAAAATGGTTTAATCACTTTAATTTTACTTCCATAACCATGGAATCCCTGTAAAATAAGATTCCCTGAAGCATATTATAAAACAAACAAAGTCACACTCCACTCTGGATACATGTAATGGACTGCTTCCACTGACAAAGAATTAATCCTTCCGTTAAAAATCACTTCCGTTAAAATGAAATTCCCTTTATGTACACAGCTAAATTTGTAAAGTTTGTAAATAACTTTCTTGTTGCATTTGTTAATGAAATGGTTCATACTATCCATGTGGGGTGTGTATGTGTGTGTATGTGTGTGTGTTTAGCGATGGGGTTTCACCATGTTGCCCAGTCTGGTCTCTAACTCCTGGACTGCAATCTGCCCACCTCGGCCTCCCAAAGTGCTGGGATTACAGGCATGAGCTGGGCCAAAATCCACAATTTTTAAGTGAATTATACTTATGAAGCCCATTTATTTTGGGAATTGTAAAAGTTACTTAAGATTAAGAGCTATTAGTATAAATTAATAGAATCTGGGAAAATGAAAGAGAGAGAGTAATAACAAAGTCAGAAAAGTACAGTAGGTTGTGAAAAACATTACAAAGTAAATGCAAAATATTTAAATAAATGTACATGACTATTTTGCCATCCTACACTATACTTTGGGATTGTACTTCATCTTCTTTTCCAACTCATTCCACTTGGTGGCTTTTCTTTCCAAGGAAATTGTAGTATGAATTTGTAAAAGACTTAGGAAAAAAAACAAAAGATGATTGGGTGTATCAATGAAAAACAAGTCATTTTTCGAGCATGCCTGATTTTACAGAAGCTCTGGGACTTCATTGACTTCAGCTATTTTACAATTATGGAATTTGTAGAAAGTGGTAGCAGTGCAAATGCCTCTTGTCCATATAAGTGTAAATTGTGTCCATTAGAATGCGATAGAGTGTTATCCTATGGATAGTGATTAAATTTGCCAATTTTTCCATCGATTTATAATGTCATTTCAGCATTCCTTTATGACTATGTAAGTGAGGGTTTAATTCTTTGAAATCATTGGAATGCTTTATTTGTTCCCTCATTAATTTATCAGTTAAATAAATCTTTCACATGTGTTCATTTTACATCTGTCTGAGTGCCATGATTACAACTTTTTTAAAAATTATGATTTAGCATGTTTCTGTTCTTAATGAATGTTAATGATAAAATAGGATTTTCTTGAAAAAAGATCTTCATTTCCTAGTTTTCTAAGTGAAATAAAACTATGATAATTAATAATTATTTAAATTTTTAGAAAGTAAACCTTCGTGAATGATAAAACGTAAACTTTCTCTTATTGATTATAGGGAATAATGTCATACACTCTCCATCAGAAGTAGAATTGAAACTTCTTTACACCACAGAGAGCAGAATACTACACAGGAGAAACAAGACAAGCTGGCCAAAACTGGCATCCAAAGTGATTCCAGGATATTGTGTTGCATAGAATTGATCCCCTTTCTGGTTCAGATGGCACATCTGGCAAAGCCAACCTCAACAGATTTGAAAAGACCTGTCTCGTGCTTTTAATTCTGTTTGACACCCTAAGAGATTGTGAAGCTGCCACACTGCCAGTAAGTTCGCACTCCCATGTATGTTGCCTCTGGCCCTCACCAACTAACTTCCTAAGGGTGTTAGGAATCTCAAATGAAATCACTGACTTCAGTCTAGTTCTTTACGGCTTCTCAATCATTTGAATTGACAATACTTACCTGATGCATATATACTTAAATTACTACATTTCACTAATGATAAAGGGATTTTTAACCAGTATACTACGCTGCTTCCCAGTTATTCGTCTGGGTAGTGTGTGTGTGTGTGTGTGTGTGTGTGTGTGTGTGTGTGTGTGTGTGTGTTTCAGAGACAGGATCTTATACTGTCACGCAGGCTGGAGTGCAGTGGCGAGATCACAGCTCAATGCAGACTCAAACTCCTGGGCTCAAGCAATCCTCCTGCCTCAGCTTCCTGAAGAGCTGAGACTATAGGTGTGTGCCACTATGCCTGCCTAATTTTTTGATTTTTTGTAGAGACAGGGTCTCACTATGTTGCCCAGGCTGGTTTTGAATTTCTGGCCTCTAGCAATCCTCCTGCCTCAGCCTCCCAAAGTTCTAGGATTACAGGCATGAGCCACAAGCTTGAGCCTGGTAATGTGATATTGTAAATGGATTAAATTTGCTACAAAAATTATGATAATCCAGATTTGGAACTGATTGAATTTGATAAGTTATTTTAAATTATACTCTTTCTAAATGAACGTTAATATAATCCAAAAACTAAGATTTCTGTGATGTAAAATTATTCCCACCTTGAGTTATCAAGTATCTTAGATGTAAAAAGCATGTAATATTTTTAAAAATTTAACTATCAGAGCTATTTTGAGGACAAAGAAATGTAGGCAATTATAAAATATTTCATTTTTTATTTGGTCAAAACCACAAATCTTAGTCAAATAATACATTGAAAAATAGAAGATGTTGAATAAAAGCTCCATTTTAGCTTTACTTTTGAGAAGACCATATCATCTCTGTAGTTTTGATTCAGATCTAAACAAAATTGTCTAATTGCATGTGGTTATGATTCTGTCTCATTATAAAACTAGATGAAAAAAAGAGCATTTGATCTGCAAAGAGCTGTTCAAACTTTAGTAAGAAATGTTAAATATATTAAAAATGTAAACACTATGGTTTGAGTTTTATTGTGTACTAAATAAAAGCAAATGTTTGCTAGTTCAGTTTTAGCCTCAATGCTTCTAACATTTATAAATACTATTTTTTATTGTTTACCAATTCTACTAACATGAAGAAAAAAGAAAAAGTGAAATAAAAGCCTAAGTGAGAAAAGACAAAAGACTATCATTTTATGGCTCACATTCTAAACATGTTCTCAATGGAGAAGAGTTTAAGTACATATATATTTTCTAATACATAAATGGATTGTCTGTGAGAAAAGCCAACTAGTCATAAGTTAATAGTTTACTAATTAAGATCTTAGTTTTATTGTAAAGAATGGTCATCTGTTGGCTTAAGAAAGAGCTAAAATCTCACTATAAGTCAATAATAAATGAAAGTACTGAGTAATACTAAACCCCTAAGAAAGGCAGTTCACATGTTTTGCAAAATTCAGACTGAAAGTCAGTAATGGATCTCATAAACTGGAGAGATTTTATATATTTTATTTCAGACAAAAAATTATTATTGAGAGCAGATGAATAAGCAAGATATAAATTTATAAATAAAGGTTTTCTCTTTACCTATTTTATATAAAATTGGAGATTTTTAAACAAAATTGGGATTTTTCATGATGCACACAGTTACTCCCTAGAAAGAACGTTGGAAAAGACACTTTATGGCAGAGCATCTTGGCACTTTTAAGATGCATATAAATCAAATGGAGATCATGTTAGGATGTTGATTTTGATTATGTGGGTCTGGGCTGAGCCCCAAGATTTTGTATTTCTTACAAGCCCCCGATGATGGCAGTGTTGTAGTCAGAGGACCACAGTCTGAGGAACAATAGCCTTTAAGTACTTTAAGTGAAAAGGCATAAATTCTCCACCTTCTTGCCACATTGAGCATTTACACTTGTGTACAACATGTACATTTACATTGCACGTTAGTAATTATGAAGAAAACAAGCCTATTTTTCTTGGATGAGAACTACAAAATTAGAAGACTTATTCTTAAGTTCTATCATCAGCAGGCAGCCCATGTCTTGGCCCAGCACCTCAGTTCTCTCCAGGTGGGAACATGGGGTTAGACCTAGACAGGACATATTACAAGAGGCATCAGCTATCCCTCTTGTGGAGGTGGCCTATCACCCACAGATCCACTGTTAAGTGGGGAATGCTGAACCAAGAGCTTGGGCAACCACAAAATCCTTTTAGGCGGTTCTTAACATCACCAAACTGTTTCCCAGTTCCCTCCACCTGCAGTGGATTTAGACAGCTAATTTAGTGGCCACGGTGGTCTGGCTTCAGGCCAAGTTTTATGGGCTCTGCCCACTGGTTTATCTGAGAGTTCTGCAATAGTTTGCCATCAGTCCAAAGTTCCATGGCACAGAACACCCTTGGATATCTCCAAAAATAATAAATCTAGAAGTCTAAAAAGTTTCCAAGTGAAATCTACTATATATTTAATTGTTGGGATAGCCCTTTGCATAATGGCATGTATGAATATCATCCCTGATGACCATTTGTCCCATGAATGAATCCAGACCTAGTATAGATTGTTCTTTCAGTAGGAAGAGCGGTTGTGTCTTTTTTTGTGCACACTCCAATGTAAACCATGTTATTCTCATTTATTTGAATATCAACAAATATTTGTGTATAAAAATATATATTAGTACCAGGTTTACGCAGTTTTACTTTCATGTTCAGGATCACTGAACTGATACACAGTATCTTTCTCCCAATGAGGACCAAAACCTGTCTTGCTAACCTATTATTTATTATCCTGTTTTTGTGGACATGACCATTGAACACATACAGACTAGAAACCCTACAAGTAGATGGAGAAAGCCTAAGTGAGTGCTTCATCCTGTATCATAAACTGATTTCAGACTACATTATAAAGCAACCTTAAAACTCACTTCTTCCATGTAGTTTTTCAGTGAGTGTCCTACTCCACTGGAGGCTTCTCCCTAGAAGTAAAGAGGAAGAGAGGTTGAAAAGGTCAGGAGAAGGAGAGAAAAAGAATGAAAGAATCGTGGAGAGTGGGATCTGAGAGCAACACCAAATATTTGCTATTCTCCCACCTTTTCAGTTGATACTTGTGGGATTGTTAGTTTGCCAACTTCTTACTCTTTGAAAAAAAAGAAAAGAGTTTTTGCAAAACAACAATATAGCTTTCAAGTGGATTTTTAAAATATATTTTATTTTATTTTAAGTTCTGGAATACATGTGCAGGACGTGCAGGTTTGTTACATAGGTAAACATGTGCCATGGTGGTTTGCTGCACCCATCAACCCATCACCTAGGTATTAAGCTCTGCATGCATTAGCTATTTATCCTGATGCTTACCCTCCCTCCACCACCACAGCAGGTCCCAGGGTGTGTTATTCCCCTCCCTGTGTCCATGTGTTCTCATTGTTCAGCTCCCACTTATGAGTGAGAACATGCTGTGTTTGGTTTTCTGTTCCTGTGTTAGTTTGCTGAGGATAATGGCTTCCAGCTCCATCCATGTCCCTGCAAAGGACATGATCTCGTATAGATCTTAATTCATGTTAACAAATGAGCAGCTAGAGTAACTAACTAAATCTTGGAACAGAATGCTAAACAAATTGTGTAACATTTTCTGTTGTTAATGTTATAAATATAGTCTCATAATTAGGCTAAGGAAAGAAGTCGCAAATTCTATATTCTATAAATTTGTGTGACGATCTAAAACATGGACTTAAAAATATTTTTTACATAGAGGACAGACAATTAACCTTTATATCCAGACTTTACATTAAGTCTTTCTTAACCTATTAGTATGTAATTAGTAAATTCTCCGTCATCTGTGTCTTTACTAGCACTTCACTGAGCACTAGTAATCACAGATTCAAATTGTTGAAATTTATAAAATCAAATTAAACATATATCCCAAACTCATCTAAACATTGGTGGTCAAAATTGTCAAACAACTTGGTGCTTTGGATAAGTTATGCTTTTATACTCCATGACGAGAGACATTTGGAAATAAATTCTGAAATATCATGAAATTATAAATCCTAGGACACCATATGTGTTTAAAACATAATTAAATAAGTGTGCTAAAAGCTTACATTTGTTTCTACAGAATCTTTTTAACTTTCCCATGACCAACACATATATTATCTCATTGAGGGCAAGACAACCTCACGCCAATTTAATACTTGGGGAAACTGAGGCCAAGAGGGGTAGAGTGAAGTGCCCTAAGTCAAGGAGCAAGGAGAAGCATCGCTTGGACTGGATTCTAGTCTGATACTCTTCTTTTTTTTTTTTTTTTCCTGGGCTTACTGCAACTTCCGCCTCCCAGGTTCAAGTGATTCTCCTGCCTCAGCCTCCCCGAGTAGTTGGGACTACAGACATGTGCCACCCCGCCCAGCTAATTTTTTTTTTTTTTTTTTTTTTTAGTGGAGACAGGGTTTCATCATGTTGGAAAGGGTGGTCTCGAACTCCTGACTTCAGGTAATCTGCCTGCCTTAGCCTCCCAAAGTGCCGGAATTACGGGCGTGAGCCACCACACCCGGCCCAGGGTGACACTCTTCTATGTCACTGAGATACAACAATTTAAAACATACAAAATTAAATTCATTTTAGTTTTTTTTAAAAAAAATTGTGATGTATTCTTGCAAGTACTTGGGGAAAACATGAGGCATGCTCATGTCAAAACAAAAATTGAGCTAGAAATAGAATGCTGGTATTCCCCAAAACTTAGAAATCACAGGTTAAATCACAAAGGTGGTAATATTTCTTCCTAAATCATATTTCCACTGGCAAAACATTAATATGCCGTAGTTTAAATGTTTCCAAATGCTTCCAAACTTGTAGGATTTTCAATGGATAAGATAGTGAAAGAGATAAGGTAGTTCTATTTGCTTAAAGCATAAACTACTGGGAAAAATTAAGTTCATATAAATCCCTCAAGCTGTGAGGAATTTAACTCAAAGCACACAGAGAAAGCTGAGAACTTATTTCAGATAAACTGTTTATTTTTTTGTTTATTTTATATATATATATATATACACACACACCCATATTTTTATACATAGATAAACTGTTTCTTAGAGGTGAACTTCCCACACTATCTTACCCTCATTCGGACACTAACCTGGGAGTGCTATGGGCTGTTCCAATTTGGCTCTTTCATGACAGAACCAGTCAGTCCTTTATGTGCTAATCATCCTTTCTCCTTTGCCTGGGTGGTTAGGAGTAAGAGAACAATGTGGCAAATTGCTCAGAGTTACAAATGTGCTTTCTGGAGCAGCCAGCATGGGAGGCTTGCCTGGTTGGCCTCTGCACATTTGAGGGTTAACAGTGAGAGATGCTGGAGAGCAGTTTCTGGGCGCTCACTGAAGAGGGCGATGTGTTTCCTTGGAGCTGGAGTGTGTGGTTTTTCCCGTTTGTCTGGACATTTGCAGTCTTCTGCTAAGACCTGGTGATGACCGTGGGTTTTCTTAATGATCGAATATAAATAAAGCAAGCTTCTTGACAGCCTTGCTTCTTTCCTTAGTGTCAGTGTCATATCTACACCACAGGAAAGGAGAAACCTACACAATACCATTTGTTTCAAGGGCCATACAACGGGAGTTTGGTTGTAACTGCCATTTGTAAGTCACTGCAATGGGTGACACCAGTGAATGAGGAGCATAAAGCAAAAGACTCTCGGAGGGGCCGGTGTGGCGGCTCACACCTGTAATCCCAGCACTTTGGGATGCCGAGGCAGGTGGATTACTTGAGGTCAGCCTGGCCAACATGGTGAAACCTCGTCTTTACCAAAAAATACAACAATTAGCCAGGCTTGGTGGTGTACCTGTAATCCTAGCTACTCGGGAGGCTGAGGCAGGAGAATCACTTGAACCTGGGAGGCAGAGGTTGCAGTGAGCCGAGATCATGCCACTGCACTCCAACCTGGGCGACGGAGCAAGACTCCGTCCCAGAAGAAAAAGTAAAATAAAAATAAAAATAAAAAGATTCTTGGAGGAAAATACAGAGGAAACTAACATTTTGAAGAATGCAAGTGTGGTACAAGGCCAAGTGGACACAACGAAGAATAAGGCATCAGTATCTCTGATTCTGATGGGTCAGAAAAGATGGCCCAAGTCAAGAGGCTTGATCCAATACATCTATCTCGGGTTCCCCATTTCCAACACCAGACCAGTGAAATGCCAGCATTCCCTCCTCCCTCTCACTGGGATCGCTAATGAAATAAAATCCCCTTCAAAGCACAAACCTATGAGTTTCAGATGTCCTTTTCTTAATTTTAAAGAATTGGCATTTTAAATATCAAGTCATTCTAGCAACATAGTATTTTGGTAATTACCTGGGAATGAATAAAAAATGCCATAATGCAATTTCCCTTGAAAAACAAAGAGGGGGAGAGGATACAAGGAGAGGCAGACAGGAGCATGTGAAGGAGGAAAAGGAAAGAAAACATGGAAATTATGTCTTAGAAAAAAAAGAAAGAAGGAAGGAAGGAAGGAAGGAAAGAAGGAAGGAAGGAGAGAAAGAGAGAAAGAAAGAAAAGAAAGACAGACAGAAAGAAAGAAAGAAAGGAGGGAGGGAGGGAAAGAAAGAAAGAAGGAAGGAAGGAAAGAAGGAAGGAGAGAAAGAGAGAAAGAAAGAAAGAAAAAGAAAGAAAGAAAGAAAGAGAGGGAGGGAGGGAGGGAGGGAAAGAAAGAAAGAAGGAAGAAAGAAAGAAAAGGCCTTTCTGAAATGTGGTTTCACTTATTGTGAGTTTTTAATATAACCGCAGTTGAGATAAGTGTTTAAATGTAAATTAGAAAATTTAATATATTATAAACTCAGGGAAAGGGGCACAAAGAGGCTGATGTGATTACTGCTTAACGTATGGCATGGGACTATGCCTGTCAGAGATGAAGGCTCTTGTCGGTCCCCTGGTTATTTTATAGTTAAGGAAACATTCTCAGTGAGATGGAAAATCGTAGAGAGTGAGGTAGGACTAGAACCACACTGTCCTCAATCCATTGCCATTTTTATTATGCCATGCTTCTCTTGTTTCAATCAATAAGTATTTTCTATTCATCTTTCATTAATCCTTAGACAAAATGCAAACAGACTGGCACTTGTGTGTAGGGTACATTTATTCACAAACAGTATCTGTCTAAGACCTCTGATGTTAATTTTCTTTTAAAAAATTCCATGAGAAACCTACTTCTACCAGAATAATTTTTCTTCTCATCTTTTTCAAAGGAAACTAAACAATAATTCTAACCTACAGAGCATTCTCTTAAGAACTACCTGAGGTATTTGGAACCCATGGAAGAATGGGAGCTCGATATGAATGGCCAGGGCATTTCTAACCCAAGGGGCCCATAAAACTTCACCCATCATTTTTTCCATAGGTATTTATTAAGCACTTCTCATGTGCCATATACTGTGTTAGGTGTTGGGACAAAGAGCTGAACAAGAGTTAATTACTACTATAAAAAAGTTTACCTTGAAAAAACATATACAAGTGATTAGAATACAAAGCAAAAGTTATTTGCCACACGTAAGATCAAGATGCTATGGGAAAAAGTCAGAGGAAAGGCATCTAGTCTTTCATTTTTTTTTAAACAAACATGTATTGAGCACTCCCATGTGCTGGGAACTGTTGTAGCCTCTGCATACATGTGATGAAGGAGACGAAGTGGAAAGAATAGTGCTTGAGCAAAAAAATTAAAAAAACAATTTTTTTGTTTAGTCCTGAAATCTTAGTCATTAGTCCGGATAAAGGAGCTGCTTAAGGAGGAAGACTCATATTAGGAAGAAGGAAAATTTGGGGTAAGGGCCCAGACACAACAGAGGAAATATGTGAAACCACAAGCATTGCAATGAAGAGCACCAATTATACCACGCACTGAAATGTGTGCTGTATCTTCAGATACAGAGATATCAACATCATATATCACTTCCTAATTTCATACTATAATTTCCTGTAATGCAGCTGCTAATATGATGGCTACATGTTGTGTTTTCTCACTGCATTATTACACAGAGTTACCACATTTATGATAGTTGATGAAGAGATCGAAATTCAGCTTTCTGAACTCGACAACCTCTATAGGCAGCAACTACTATTCATGTCCAAAAGAACAGGCAGTGATTTATCCCCAATTAATGAAAAACTAGGTACAGTGGTTTAGAAACTCAAAAATTTTTAGAAAGCTCAAGTCTTTGAAATTATTGATGTATCCAATAAATTGTTATGTTTGTTTTCAGACCTACATATATGCCAGATGCTATTTCTGTTTAGTTACCTCCAATGCTTTTTCATATTGTTTACAGTATTTTTGAAAATTTGCCCACAATCTTCCAAATAAATACAGCATCAATGCAGACCACATTTCTCTGGAAATGACCCCTTTTACTGGTAGAGAAAATACTTGATAAATTTAGCATTGCTAAGGACAAAAACACAGTGGCATTTTAAGATAAAATGTTATGATTCACTCTGCAGTATCATTTTTTCCAAGATTTTTATGTTAAGATAAACAGTTCCTTTAGAGGTTAATGCCTTTGCCTTAAAAGGATGAAAATGAGAAGGAGCAATTATGTGACTAATGACTAAAATTTAACACTAAGAATGTTAAATTTTAAATGACTTAAAACATTTTAGTGTTCTTTCCTATTTTCTGAAAAGTGACTATTAGCTGAAAAAAAATAAAGCCGTTTTTATTTTTCTCTTTCCTTCACTGCCATGTGAAAAAGTGAGAGGGCAAAGCCAGGAAAAAGGGGCTCCATATTTGGAAGAGTGGTGACTTTTATCAGTGGATGTTGGACAAGAAAAGGGACAGAAGGAGAGAATGTAACTGTAAGAATGAATGGCTAGTATTAATTGTTTGTAATTGCATGGACTTAGAAATAGACTAAAGCATACATTATTGGTCAATTGACTCTAGAAAGATCCATTTACCATTGAACTAGTCATTGTGCCAACATGTATGTTCCCTAATATTTGTTGATTATGTCAATAAATAATATTATTTCACTATTACGTACAAAAAATAGTATTCATTCATTCTTTCTAAAATGCTTTAATGTGTTAACACAGCAAATTATTAGGCATGGTATCTTAGAGAGTTACAACTTTTCTTCTGAAGCTGAGTTTCTTTAGCTATGAGGTATTGACAATAGAACCAGAGGGTTGTGTTTTATATGACATAATGAATTAAAAAGAGTATTAAAAACTTGAAAGATTTTGGCAACTGGAAAGTATGGTATTATTATTTGGTAAATATGTGTATCTCTATTGACCTACTCATCACTGGTTTTTCTGTCTCCTGCCTTGGCAAACTATGTATAGCTCTGCAAACTTGCCAGATTTCTCTCTTGTCCCCCATCTACTTGGGAACTTCTTCCTTGTACTTCTACCTTGTCTTTCAAGTCAGAAAGCCATCCCCGGCTCCCCTCACTCAAATCTTCATGTGCTCCCTTGAGACTACGCCTATCCTTACCAAAGCACGTATCGCGCTCACTGGTTACTTTCTACATCTTTTCTACTTAACTGTGAGTTGTTAGAGGGCAAAAATTGTTTTTAATTAATATTTGTTTTCCAAATCCTGGAACAGGGTCTGGCAATATAGATAAAAAGTAAACGTCTGAAAAATAAATAAATGAAGGAAAACAAATTCTAGATCTTAGCTGACTCTGGATGTACACAGAATCTATACAAATCATAAAGTTTGTAAATAGTAGGAAAAAAGAGCTAAGTCACTTTTAAAACTGGTGAATAGATATTGTTGCTGAATGTGCAATAAACTCACTGAATTAACTGCTGATTACTTCGAGTTTGTAAGTAATTATTGATTATAACTTTCACCTTGAGCTGAGAAAAATACACATGAATAAGTATATTTTTATTATTTTTTGGAAATTTAGTGCTATGAATGAGTATTACCTTTGTAATACTAAAATATGAAAAGATTCAAAATGGCCTTTTAAAAAAAATAATAAAATATAGACTAAAAGCAAAAACCATAAGGAGAAACAAACAAAAATAATGCCTTAAAATCACTAGAAAGTGAAAAAGAGGGAAAGTTTAAAAATAAAAAAAAATTAAGAGATTTTTCTTTAGAAAAAATCTTAGGAAAGTGACAAACATTGAAGATTGGCAGAGGAGATCAAATATAAGGATAATAGCAGATCTTAAGGAAGAAAACAAAAAGCAAGGGAAAAGAATTATGCAAAAAGTTCTAATTCAAGAAAACTTTCCTGAAATTAAAAAAAAAGAAATTACACATTGCACTGCATGCCTGACAATAATGAATCAAAATGACTACCACATGATATATTCTAGCAAATTGATTGTATTTTTTAAATAAGAAAAATGTCTTTTAAGGATCTAGACAAAAAAGACCACACGATTTTTAAAGAGAAAATATTTATATTACCATCAGACTTTTATAGCAGTGCTTTATGCTAAAAGAAGAATGAAGTAATATACTTAAGATACTAAAAAAAAAAAGTGTGAACCCAGTGATCTAGTAGAGAAAACTCTAGAAAGCCAAAATGCCTAGGTATGGGAACTGGTGGTATTAACATGCAGTTGCCGGCACAAAGACCACGTGGCAGCTGAAGAGAATGTAGTATGCAGAGGCTATATCCTATGACATTGTGGATTTCATATGACTCTTACAAATTGCAAGAGAATGGTGAAAGCATGTGCAAATAATTTGTTTTCAGTATCCCTATTGTTAGATGTATCAGTATTTTTGTTCTGAGACTACCATGCATGTAATATGGAATAAAACAAATGAGTTATTATGAGATATTCTAATTCTAGAGTCACTTTTCATTGAGAACCAGAATTGTTGGTATGGAAAAAAGAGGAGATAAAGATACAAGAAACGAGGTTAAATGAAAGTCTTAGTATTTTCTAATTTGAATTAAAAGTGTTGATGAGAACTAACTGTCCACTGAAAAGAGATAGAAATAATGACAAACTCAGGGGCAATGAGCAGCCCTGGGGACCAGACTTGTCTTGAAATATCACTTCTCACTAAAATAAGCCAAGACTTTTAAAAAAATCAGCTATTTTCAAAACACGGCTGATTCCATGTGTAGGGCAGGAAATATACAATGTAAGCTTGGCACATCCTGTACCACCCAATAGCAAGGAAGCTATCAGAGACTACCAGGGGCATTGCAAAATGACTCATAAACAAACTTGAAGGAGCTCTCATGAGCCAAAGATGGGACAATTTGAGCTTAGCAATGATCATAATTGTCATGTGTTGCTATGTATCAAATACGTTTAACAAAAGTAAGGGTTATCTTCAGGAGCTATTAGAGAAATGATTCATTGTCTTGAACACTCATAAATAAAAAGGACAAATCAAGCAAGTACCCTACTTTCCTATCAGAACTGTATTACTGGCTCACCAAATAGTAAGTGAGGGAAAGGATTTCTTAACAAAAGTATTCCACCTAATAAATAAAAAATAAATGATAGGATAGAATATCATCAAATAAATAGATATCAGTATTTAGTATCACTGGCTGCTAAGATGATAAAATGAGAAACAATCAGATATTAAATAGCCACGCCAGCTAGGTGTGGTGGCACATACCTGTAGTCCCAGCTACTTGGGAGACTGAGGTGGGAGAATTGCTTGAGCCCAGGAGTTAGGGTTCAAAGTTACAGTGAGTTATGATTGTGCCCTTGCACTCCAGCCTGAATAACAGTGAGATCCCATTTCTATGAATGAATGCATGCATGAATGAATGAATGAATGGTCATACCAAAGAGGAGCTTTATCTTATTTCTGGATAATTTTCAGAAAAATATAGAGAACTGAAGGAGCATGTTGAATTGCACCAAGAATATGATGTTAGTAAAAGCCAGACTGTGGAAAATATTACAGGTCAAATGTCCTGCATTCTTTAACAGATAAACTGAAAGCAAATGCAAGGGATGGAGGAGGCACCTATAGACTGAAAAACTTAAAGGATGTGCCAGATTTTTTAAAGTTGGCAAGGTTAACTTTGGGGGACAATGAATGCATATTTAGGTGATAAAACTATTTTTTAAATGCAAGTAGTTTATTTCTGTAAAAGAATAGTTTTTATTTGCAGTGGGAAGTAGAGGTTGTGACTGGAATACTGATGGGTTTTCTTAGTTGTCTGGCAAAGTGCTATTTATTTATTTATTTATTTGGAGACAGAGTCTTGCTCTGTTGCCTAGGCTGGAGTGCAGTGGCGTGAGATCTCATCTCACTGCAACCTCCGCTTCCCAGGTTCAATTGATTCTCCTGCCTTAGCCTCCCGAGTAGCTGGGATTACAGGCACATGCCATCAATGCCATCACACCTGGCTAATTTTTGGTATTTTTAGTAGAGACAGGGTTTCTCCATGTTGACCAGGCTGGTCTCGAACTCCCGACCTCAGGTCATCCGCACACCTCAGCCTCCCAAAGTGCCAGGATTACAGACATGAGCCACTGTGCCCAGCCTCAAAATACCATTTCTTGGCATCAGTGGTGTTCTCATTATATTAAGTAATTAACCCATACATTTTATTTGAGTGATTTTCACTATTTGTGTTTAATCTTGCAATAAAAGATATTTAAATATAAACAGACAACTATTTCTAATATTAAACTACAGTTTTACCAGCATAATTGTAAAGTCCAAGTGAAATTTTAAAAAATTAGAGTGAAATTTTACAAATCTCCATTTGTTGTTGGCTATATCTCCAAGATATGTGCCTATTCCCTTTGATCCAAAGCTTTCGGTCTAGATAAAGTGGTATTCCTTATTGGTTACATATCAGCAGAAGTAGTTAAATGACATTCTTATTGTTTTGATTTAATCTTAAACTAATCTAATTATAACACTGACCTCATAAAAATCAGTTAGCAATTTTGATTTTTACTTTTTGAAATAAGCCTTTAAATTCTCCTCCATTAAGCTCTTTAAAAAAATCAATAGATTTCACTTTGGAATTTGTAAAGTACCTGTATAAATTCTCTAAGGTCCGTGAAATATGAATATGAGTCACATAATTTAAACCAAACATGTAATGTATTCTTTTAAAATTAAATCAACCTGTGTCTTTGCAAAATGACTAAACGGCTAAGGTGACCAACCTCCTGAACTGTGACTCAGATAGGAGCATGGAAAAAAAACTGATACCCAATGCCCATGCAATACCAAGGACTTTACGTCTCTCATGTTTTTGGCTCATATTTCCTTAACTTAAAAAAGTGATTGATTTTTCAGATAAGCGGTATTACTAGGAATTTCTCTATATTTAGGGAAACATTTCTCTAACTGATGCATGGACACAAGTAATTACGTGTTTGTTTCTTTTAAGATGTGTCTCTAATTTTTTTTTCATTCAACAACCAAAAAACCAGTTTCACATTTCAGAAACCTTTGCATTATTTAATACACATTAAAAGGTTATAGAACAATGTAAACTTCGTGAGAAAAATTATTTTTCACTGACTTGTAAACAAATTCAGGTCATATAATAGAGAAGTGCATTTAAATTCAAAATTATATTTTTAATCCTTAACATATTTAATTGAAGGGGCCTAAATTTCTATTTTTTAATTAATTACACAAGTGATTTAGAGAAAATGCTATCTGCAGAATTAAGGTTCCAACCAAATTAGCAAAATGCATGAATGAGCATCATCTAGTCTGTCATAAACTTGGCAGCTGATACCATTAACAGCGTCACTAGTAAAGTTGTGTCTTGCTGGTAGTAAATGTGTAGAAGCATAACCAATCGTCTAAGAAAAAGAAGTGACCTCCAAATATATAAGAGAGTGACTTGGAATCAGAAAATAGTGGGGGTTTTAATTTATTCAAATTATTATGATTACTAACTCTGGAGTTTTACCTACAGTCTCTAGGACACTTTGAAAGGTGATTTCCATTGGTGGGTCCAAACTCACCACCTGTGTTTATGTACATTATTTCTTTTGCTTAATGGGTGCTGGTCATTAGACTAAGACTTGGCCTAGACTCTACGTACTGTCAGAAGGTGCAAAGGTGTTACCTAGAAAAGTAAGAGGACAGGCTTTGGAGTCAAACAAAGGTGTTTAAACTCCAGTTTTGCCACTTATGCTTACGCACATTGGGCAAATTTACATAACTTCCCTGATTTCCATTTTCTCATCTGTAAATGGCGATAACACCACTTTCCTCAGGGGTTATTCTGAGAATGAAATGAAATACTGTCTATAAAGCAATGAGGACAAGGACAAATCCCTGGCTGTCATTATTATAAATCACTGTGATAAACGTTAGTACTAGTGTTTAGTTTATAATGAAAGGCAGGAAAAAACAACCTAATATTGTGAAAGGTACAAAAATGAGGGATATGCTTAAGACTTTAATAATATAGGTAGGAAGGAAATCAGATGCTACTTCTTCGTTTATCTCTTATTTTTGTGTTACTTTCATTAGAAGAATCTTGTACTTTCAGTGATAGGAAATTATCAAATGGCTTCATATACAAATAAGTTTTCAGGAGTAAATTCATGGATGAATGGAAGATTGATTAATAAAGGAACACTTTGCGAAATTGTTGAGACAAGGGAGTAAGACGGCATCCTTAGCAAGTCCTTGTTCCCGACTATCTATTCATCTCCATCTCAGGAAGCTCCCGGTGCTCTAGTCATACTGAATAAACCTGAGGCCCCCAAAGGCAGTGTCTCTTCTGTCTCTTTGTCTCCTTCCCCTCAACCTTTGGCATTCCTTTCCTCTTCCAGACATTCCTTTCCACATTCCATGCCCTTTTCCTGATGTCACATGGCAAGATTTTACACTTGGCAGGTCTCAGCTCCAATGCTACTTGTTCGAGGAAGACTCCCCCAGCCCACATATTTGTGTGGTCTTCACCCCACTCTGCTATGTGCTGTCTTGACTCCCCACTATTAGAAAACCTGCCCACTGACTGCACTGGTAGAAGTGCTCTCTCCTACATTGTTGACTCCACAGACCCAACCTTAATATTTGCAAGGCCTGGGCCAAGAGGTCAAACAGAGGTCTGCACCGCCAACAAACTATCACATAAACTGTATCTTGACTTTCCATCAGACTTAGAAGGCCGGTTTCAAATTTAGAATTCCTGTATTCCTTCAAGTTCTGCACCAGAATTTGGCAGAAAAAAGAAAGCAGCAGGTAGGTGCTAACCTCTAACTCTATCTCCCTGTCCCCTCTCCTCACACCCTGCACTGTACCACAAGGGGCTCTATGAGGACATTATGTGGATATCTGTACCTGTATGTCCAAGCTCGTCCACATATCCCCAAAACAGCTGCCTCTTGCCCACTCCTCAGACCTAGAGTTAGCTGTAGGGAATGATGGACTGAGGAAAGAGGCCAATGCAGGTCCAGAGAGCAGGCTTGGGATCTCTAGTGAAAGGGATTCTAGGATTCTAGTGCCTAGCACATATTCAGGCTCCAGAGAGATACATCTTGGTCCCATGGACTCCTCATCCATGGGGAGGGATACAGCCTTGGGCTAGTCTAAGGCAACCAGTGAAGCTCTTTTATGGTGGACATATCTATCTCTTTACCATTAATAGCACTTAGTGCAGGGCTTGGTACCTGAATCTCTCCAAAACAGTTCTTGAATGAATGAGGATTATTACAAGAAGCACAAATTTCTAATTTAATATACAAAAGATAGAAGATGTCATCAGAAGACATAAAGACAAAGACTTTTTGTAACAATGTTGAATATTTCAAAATGACGGGATCGGGGATATTCTAGTAGCAAGAGATGGGGGAAAAGTCATATTTTAGATCTATATAGGATCAACAGGAAATTGAGTATGAATATGAAGTAGAGAAAGACATTTTCAAAATTGACTACATTTGTTTTGAGTTGGAGAGTAACCCAAAAACACAGGTGAACAAAAATAAACTGAAGGTAGAATAGAAGAAGAAGAAAAAGGGAGTAAGATCCAGTTGAATTGCCTACCACAAAGACACTGTCAGACCCATCAGAGTAAATGGTCTTTTTGAGAAGAAATAAAAGTCAAAAGCTCTCTCCAGGGAAGGCAGCATCATTATCAAGGAAAATGGATAAAACTTAGAAAGGAAACAAAGTTAGGGAAGGATGTGAAATTACCTGCTTGCAGAAGATATCACTGCAATCACATTCCACTAACGAAAGATTATACCATTGTCTAAACCCCTTCAGCCTAGTCTTAAATTTTTGTTTACAAATTCATTCATTGGGAGTTTAGTCCAAGACTATTGTAGCATGAACTGAAAAAAAATAAGTCCATCTTACTCCAAGGAGAATTTATCCAGTAGGAATCTGTTTCACTGATGCCTAGGACAGACTTTATAGACCAATCAGTTAGGGCAAAACCACAAAGTGATACCAGACCCAGCAACTTAATGAACCACAATTCCAATGCTTCATTACATCTAAGACAGGGCACAGAGTGTGGGCCCTGCGATGATGTTCCTAGTCTCTTTGATGCAATACAGTCATTCCTTCGTGGTCTAAAACCCTTGCCCCTTTGGGGACTAGAAGAGCCCCAAGATGTTCTATAGGAAGAAATTTCTCTGTTAATTCTTAGTCCAAAAAGTGAATATAATGTGCCTTACAGAACAAAGCTTACTTTGAGACCCTGAGAAGGCCAAACCACATCATAGAGAGTAAGAGGATATCTTCTATTCTTACGAAGGTATGCCCATCTTTAGAACCCAGTTCAAAGCAAACATCTTTTGAGGTCTTACTGAACATGACTGAACACTGAGGTTTATTACAATGTTTTTGCATGTGTTTGCATTTTGTGAAAACAGCTAAAATCAGAAACAGAGGAGCCAAAAAGATTTCCTGCCAAGTCTGGGAATCTAAAAGCCAGAAATTTCAAGAAAACAGAATAATTCTTGTAACATGTATAGTGTAATTTTATGGACTTTCAATGTTAATTGAGATAAACACTTAAAATCTTGGGTACTTTTTGACAATAAACTTCAGAGCCAAACTATTTAGCCCCATCTGAAACCCATACCAATATTGCAGGTTGAAAGTTAAATGTAAATCATCTTATGGTCACTGCCAGTTAGTTAAATATATCAGTTTAATAAAGTCAAGTTATGAAACGGCAACCTCAATATTCTTAAAGATTACAAGTCTCTTGGGAGTTTTCTTTACTCTGGTAGGATACTCTTTGAAGCTCCGAGATGACACAAATCGAGCTAATCAAGGCCCCTTCCATACTTAATGTTACTTTAGAAAATTAAGAGAATCTTTAATCACTGACTTGGCCAAGCACCAGACTTATCACTGGCCACCACATGCAATTATGCAGTGTGCCACAGCCAAGGGGGTGAGTGAGAGCAGTGTTGGCCACTTTTATAAGAGCTCCAACAGTGATGGTGAGATTTAAAAAGTGTACAACAACACATTTTCAAAGTTATCAAGAAGCTGAAACTAGCCCAGTGAAATTAATTGCAAAATACTCTACTATGCTTTTTATTTTTTTTTAAATCACATAGACACGGGATTATAAAAACACAGCCACACTGTAGTGTTAAAGAAAAAAGGAGGCAGGGGAGAATTTTAGCTGACTACAACTTTGGTGTGCACCAGAAATGCAGTGGAAGCTACTAAAAAAGCTATTTCAAAATTAGACATCATTAGTAAAGGTACAGCAGACTTCTCCAGGCTGTTAGTGGGTGAACTGGACTTTGTTGATCAGGTTAGAGCACTGTGGTTCCATTTGGTGTGTTGGTGGCAAATAGAGAGGGGTCTAGAAATAAGGTCACATAAAGAATCGTTGAAGAAGTTATTTATTTTTCATCCGAAGGACAGAAGACCTAAAGAAAGAGTATTGTGTTTAACTGAAGATTTAAAAGATGGAAAGGAAATTAGACGGTTTTTTGTTTGTTTCAGAGAGTCAAATTGGGGCTTATAGATGAAAGTTTCAGGGAGACAATTTTTTTTTCCTCAAAATAAGGGAGCACTGCTCTAGAGGAGTAATAAAATATGAGTGGGAGCAGGAAGTTTCAGGAAAGAACTGTTGCCTGAAATCCTGAGGGCAAGGTACAGTAGTGAGCTACAGAAGGGGTTCCCCACTGGGGAAGAAGTGGCTCCATATTCTGATACCAAATTTCTGTTGTGGTCTCTTCCTAAAGTTCTAAAGCTGGGCCACCACATTGAGGCAGATTGGTAGTGAGGGGATAGAATTAGATTGTCCCTTGTTTCTCATAATTATAACCTTGTTGCATTTAATTTGGGAGAAGAAGGTGGAAAAGTATTCAGATAGCCTTGCTTTTGACTGTGTCATCATCTGAATCAAGGTAAGGAAATTGGCCTTTATCCAGTACCGGCTATAGACCAGGCATATGTACTGCTACTCTCAATATTCCTGCCAAGGAAATACTTCTATTTTACAGCTGTAGAAGCTGAGACGAAAAAGATTCCAAGGTAGAGCTAGGAATCCATAGCCTATGGTCTTCTAGAAGACAGGAAATGAAACCAACCATTGTATTAGTCAAATTAAATATTTAAACAGTGATAGAGGCTGATTTAAACTCACACACTGGACTCCTAATCCAGTTCTCCTTCCATTATCTCAGGTAGATATTTTCCACTTCTTAGTTTTGCTACTCCAGGGTCAACCCAACAAATTATTTACATTAAACCTCAGTGTAAATTATTATGGACAAATGAACTCCTTGAAAATATACATAAAGTCATTTAAAGGAAAAAAAACCTACTGTGAGTTATGAAATCCTTTGTTAGGCTCTTATGAGAATTTAATAAGTAATATTGCAAAGAGTCTCATGCTCAGATAAATTAGTTCATTTCTGCCAGGAGGAAGAAGTAGGCACAAGGGTTTGAATCATTCAGTGTCTCCTCCAAGCTTCCAGAATATAAACACATTATTCAACACTCCCTGGAAATCAAGCTCCAAATTGGATTTGGACATGAGATTGGGTCTGAATCCTTTTTTTCTGACACTCATTTATTAGGTATGTGTGGCCTCTGAGGCAAGTCACTTCAATTTTCCAAGTCTCTCTTTCTCAGTTGTAAAGACACTACAACTAAGAATGCTTTCGATTGAAAGAATTAGAGGCAATACCTATAAATCACAGAGCTAGGCACTGGAGAAATGATTCTCATTTTCATTATGACCTGCCACTCCAACATCACGGCCCCCCATCACCTAATTCTCCAGCTGTGCTGACCTGTGGGTGGCCTCCGCAGGCTGTCCTCCGCCTGTGTTGTAATGACTCTTCCCAGCAACTCCCTTCACTATCAAGCCACAGGCCAACTTCTCCAGGAAGCTATTTCTGATCATGCTCCACCCTGCAGCCTACTTTGTGTGCCTCTGCCTCTCCTAGGCATGCCATGCATACTTCTGTCACAGCACTTCCGTACTCTCACAAACATCTGTTCATTCAGCTGCCCTTCCTGTCATACTGTAAGTGCTTTAATGGCAATGAGTATATCTTTCATTTCCAGATTCCCAGTACCTCACAGGATTTCACCATAGAAAATGCTTAATAGATGTTTGTGGAATGAATGGATGCACTAAGCCTAGAAAGTGAATATAGCATGTTCTTTCAATGCTATACTAAATTATTTTTTGAAAATAGTTTTATCCATCAATCCATTCAAAATCCTACTTAAGAATTCAGTGAATTTTAAACAAACATGCATCCTGCAAGATAATCTGAAAGGTAGTCAGAAAAATCAAGGATAACTTTCTTTACATTTTTGACTAATATTCAAACAAACACACCACTTATTCATTCCCACATGTATATGTAAATTCAGTAGACCCCGACAAGGTACTTCTTGGCATTCTGTAATTCTTTCACAGCTAAGAAATCTTTTGAGAGTTCACTGTTGAGAAAGCTCTCACTTTTGGCAGGCTGGAAATATAAGTCCCACACCAGGAGAAACTGAAACAATGAGGATGAATGGGGTGGGTGTGTGAAGAAACAAGAAAACACAAAATTGCATTTTGCTAATTTCTGATCCTTCAGCATAAAGAAAGACTAGATCCTCTACTGTTGTTTTTATTTGAATGAGGATGGAATAACTTCTAGTTAACAGATGTTAACTTTAAATTAAATTGTAGTTAAATTTAACTTTAAAGTTAAATAGATGTTAACTTTAAATTAAGTTGATAATTTAATATTTTTTTCTTCCTGTAAGTAAAATGAATGTCTATATAATGGGTAAAAAATGTGACTTGGATATACATGTGCAAAGATTTGGTTAGAATGATTAAGAGGAATATGGTCTGTGTGTATATATTTCATATGTGTGTGTGTTTGTGTATATGTATGTATGTGTCTACGTATAATTTTTTAAGATCATTTCCTTTGAAAGTTCAGGTGCTCTTTTTGGAAATGCAAATAGTTAAAGCTAAACTAACTAGTTCTTATCTTTATCATAATTGTAAGAAATGACAGTAAGATCACAGCTGTGCCAGTTGCTAAGAATGATTATAGGAAAAATAAGTATAAATCCAATTGCTTTTACTGCTGAGTTTAGAACAATTTTTATCCATTGAGGAAAGTCCGGACCATTTAGTAAGGAAGTCTACTTATTAGATATAATACACTATTTAAATGGATATGCCTATAAGAATCATAAAAAAATAAAAACAAAGTCCAAGGGAATAATGTACAGTCTCTATATCATCTCTGCTTGAGATGTAAGAAGTGCAGTTCTGCAAAGCCCCCAGGTTCCCACGCAGAAAGCAAGCCGCCACGATCCCTTATAACTCTTCCTGCCAGAGTTTGGACTAAAGTTAGCTGACTTGAAAAGCTTAATTAGAGATAGATAGTCCTTAATGATGGGACTATACTCCCTGATTTCTCAGAACAAATGTAAATATGTTCATATATCACTTGTTTCTAGAGAGGATATTTTGGCCTGGTGTTCCCAGCCAAGACCACTGCAGACTAAGGAGTACGGCTTGACCTTAACTTCATAAAAGAACCATCCTGTGCTACTGACCTGATTCTGGCTTAGCTTGAGAATTTGCTGTTATACTACTATGGGGTGGACTACCAAAATCTACTGACCCACAGAAACAAAATAAACAATTCCACATGAGATGAGGAGAAGTTACTCAATTTTACTGTTTGTATAAAGCAGAGAAAATTTTTAAAAATATATGAGCCATTTGTTTTGCCTTCTTTGCTGCTGTCCTAGCAGTGGGCATCCTAGACTGGCCAAATTTCATGTTTATGTCATTATTTCCTCAAACAGAGTGGAAACTCATTATGGACAAAGGCGGAGTCTCATTGTAATTGCATCCCCGATGCCATCAGTGTGCCTGGCACACAGCAGGCACGCAGTAAATATTTGCTGACTGACTGAACGTGTACTTTGTTGGGCTATTCCAATCCAAGAATCCAGGAGAATCTGGAACAATTGTGAATGAGTTACATACCTGCCATTTTAAGCACTTTACATATCTCAATTAATCCTTCCTAGAACCATATAAAGTTGATGTTATATGTTTTATGAGTAAAAATAGTAAGCTCAGAGAGACTGTATTACTTGCCCAACATCTTAGAGCTAAAAAACCAAGCCAGATTTGACCATGGGTCTCTGGAACTCCACAGTCCACATTCTATCCATTGTACGTTATGTTTACTTCTCAGAAGAGAATCAAAATTCAGCTTGGCCTAAATGTAAATTTTGCACCTACTCTTTACATGTTCACCACAATATTCCCTATAAGCAACATTTTTGTGCTTTATTTATTTATTTATTTATTTATTTTTTTGAGACGGAGTCTCACTCTATTGCCCAGGCTGGAGTGCAGTGGCGTGATCTCGGCTCACTGCAGCTTCCGCCTCCCCGGTTCAAGTGATTCACCTGCCTCAGAAGCTGGGACTACAGGCGCCCGCCATCATACCCGGCTAATTTTTGTATTTTTAGTAGAGACGGGGTTTCACCATGTTGGCCTGGCTGGTCTTGAACTCCTGACCTCAGGTGATCCGCCCGCCTCAGCCTCCCAAAGTGCTGGGATTACAGGCATGAGCCACTGCGCCCGGCTAACATTTTTGTTTTTAATCTTTCGCACTTGTTAAAGTGAGCTGGTTAACATCCGTCACTGACCCACTGCCTCCAGAGTCCTCCATTAGATAATCTGGAGGGACACAGGACCTGCAGAGCTCTCTTGTTGAAAGCACATGGTTTAATCTTCATTTTGAAAGTTGGCTTGAAGGATCCTGATCATAAAAAAAAAATAAATAATTTTTAAAGTTGTGTCTTTTCTCAGTTGCACAGCAAGACTTTAAAACGGAATCAAATTTATTTTCAATCTAACAATGCCATTCAACTATGAAATGCAAGTGTGCTAAGATACCTTTTTTTATCTTGTGAAGGAGGAATTGTTTTAATTCATGAATAGTATACTTGGTAGGCATCTAATCACCCTATGTGTAAATCATTTATTAACCCATCTGTCAACTGTGTTTAACTAAATAAGAGTTCTCTTTCATCTTTAAGAAGAAATATCCATATGGGAAGCTCTAGATTTTCATAGAGCAACAAGCTAGTCCTGTTTAAAATCATATCAATCAACACAATCTAAATTATTGAAAATATTGATCAGAATATTTATTTACTGATACAGTTTTTGGCATGTTTTCGTGTACAGATTTACTCCCTTACCAGTCTTCTTTTGATGAACATACTTTAACATTTTTCCAATTTATAAATCAGTGATTTATAAATTGGAAATTAAATAAATTGGAAATTAAAAAGCAAAACTAAACAAACTCAGAGTACTTAAGTAACATATTATTTAAGCTTTCATACTTTTTTCTTTCTTTTCTTTGAGTACCTCCTTTCCATCCTTAAAGTTTCCATTTATAATTAAAATTGTCCTCCCACCCCCTACCCGTTACTTCAGAAGTATACACTTCCGATCAACAGAATGCCCAGCAGAGGTGCTTAGCAAATGCTGGTTGGATGAAAAATGAATGAATGAGTTAGTGTCACAGTGCATTTTCTAGAATCATAGGCCAGAAGTTCAGTAGAGTTACACTTTTCAAAATAGAGTGAATTAGTACATAATGGAATTAATTCTGTGTAAGTGATCTATAGCATCAGAGCATTTATATCCCTTTGAGGCTGCAAATGTAGGAAAAATAAAGTCCCTGAATCCTGTTTCCTCATTCAAGCACACATTCTGTGCCAGGGTACTGTATTCAGCACAGGGGCCATCAGACATAATTTAAAGAGCAAGGCCACTGGCGGCTCTCATATGCACTGTCCATCTACATTTGGGAGTCACTCTGGTTTTTTTTTTTGTTTTTTTGTTTGTTTTTTTTAGATAGAGTCTCACTCTGTCGCCCAGGCTGGAGTGCAGTGGCGCAATCTCGGCTCACTGCAAGCTCCGCCTCCCGGGTTCACGCCATTCTCCTGCCTCAGCCTCCCGAGTAGCTGGGACTACAGGCGCCCGCCATCACGCCCGGCTAATTTTTTTTTTTTTGTATTTTTAGTAGAGACGGGGTTTCACCTGTTAGCCAGGATGGTCTCGACCTCCTGACCTCGTGATCCACCTGCTTCGGCCTCCCAAAGTGCTGGGATTACAGGCGTGAGCCACCGCGCCTGGCCAGTTACTCTTAGTTTTAAGCCACAAATATATTTGTACACGAAGTGACTTCTTAGAATGTGAAGGATACAGTTCCCCCTAGTTACCTAGGTGGCTTGGACAACCATAGGAGGTTGGACGTCTACACAAGAGAAGGCAAGGTATTAGAATTAAGAGTGGAGGTTGTAGCACCATGTGACCTGGTGTCAAAACCTGGCTCTGCTCTTCCCTGGCTGTGTAATCTTCAAAGATTACTGAGCCTCCCGGCAGCAGTTTCTACAACTGTAAAATTGGTATCAGATATCTACTACATAGGATTGGTATGAAGATGTTACAAAATATCTATGAAGAACATAGCATAGTCATGAGCAAATAATAAATTTTCCATATATAAAAGGCAACACCTTTATAATGCTGGCTTATTACTCTATTACTATTATTACTGAAACTGCCATTATGCCAGTTTCTTCTGTTGGAGTCCACAGGGAATTAGAGCAGACTCAAAATTTTCAGTGTCAGGAAGACACTCACATAATCCGGAATACAACTTTCCCTCATCACTGAATCTTGACAGTTCTTCTAAGGTTGAACTTGGGCTTTAGTTTGAATGCAGTGGCCCTGTTGTCTTCTAGAAAGATCTTATACATGCTTAGTACAAAATATTTACTGCAAGTCGAAAGGAAGAAATTTGAAATAGTGTGAATATTTATAATGACATAGGACACATTATTTCATCAGAATAAGCAACCAAAAAAATGTGTCCTAGTTGTGCTATAAAATTTTCAGTTTTGTAGTGTCCAGAAATTTCCTACAAGGCTAAATATTTCTAAGCTTTTGAATACAGAAAAATATATAAGTATACTATTTACTAATCAAAGGTTACATGGCCACTAAAAAAAATTCCAATGTGTCTATCCTATGTTTAACCAAAGTTAATAGATATATATAGTACAGTTGCCCTGAAAAATTTGTTCTACCTCAGCTTTTCATATACAGGTAGACATTTTATATAAACAATTCTAAGTGTACTTTTTCCGTGACTGGTAATAGACTATGATACCCATGTCACCTTCAAAGTTTTATAAAGTAGAATTTCAGAGGTAGAGACTTTTAGAGTGGTCATCGTATTTCTGTCTTCTTAAAAATCCCAGAAGTCATTCATGCAAATAGTACAGCTTCATTTAGCTCAGACGTTAATTCACTGTGGCTGGGACAGCCTTGGGTATTCTTCCCAGGCTCTAGATTTATTCAAGGCCCAGGGAAATTTGGATGGGTTCAGTTTACTTAATGTCTTCTTTGGCCTCAAGCTTCCAACCTTCACCTGCTGTTTAACATTCCTTTCTAGATTCTTAAAAACCCTGTTTACATCGAAAAGGAATGTTATGCCTCAATACAAAGTAATCATGAAAGAACATACTTGTCAACTTCATTCCTGGTAGCAGATTTTGGCTTCTTTTCTCCACTTTGAACTAAGGTAGCAATTTTGCATAGCTTTAGAAGAAATGTAAAAGTAACGCTTTCAGGATACACTTTTTCAGGATTTTACTTTTTCTAAGGTCAACAGTATGTTTTATTAGTTTACAGTCTGATTTATTAGTTTGGTTTTTCTCATACCATAATGTGATCCATGTAGCTCTGCATTTTTTAAACACTTTGTTGAACTAAATTGCTCCCGGCCCTTTTTTATTTTTTAAGTGATTTTTTTTTCCAGTTAATCCATTCACAAAATTGCTTGAAAGAACATGGTAACCAAATGCTAGACATCAACTACAGATACTGGTACTTGCACAGAATGTGGGAGGTTCATTCTCAGAGCTTCTTGCTCCTGACTAGAGCATGACTTGACCTCTCCAGCAGCCACTGAAAGGGCTTGGCACCAATGACTGTGACTCTATTCCTGGCCAGGAGCAGAACACACACCAAGAAATGTCATGCAGGGGCCATGCATGACAGATCAAAGTGATTAGTCAATTTCAACAATATGGAGGATGTTATTCACACATCAGAATTCTCTTTATCATGTTTGAAACCACATTCCTCAATGAAAAACGGTTTTCAAAACATAATTTGTAGGACAGGGCCTATCTCAGTAAACTACATTAAATTCTAAAAGAGGGTCACATAAAATGTAACTGAGGCTGGACTCCTAGTTTCCTGTTTTCCTTATGCTGTTACTTTGTAAATCTAGAAGGAGATACTGTGCTACATTAACTAGTGAAACAAATGCTAAAAACAATTTCTGTGATAACAAAGATCAAGTTCAATCCTCCCTTGAAATCTTATCTAACTCTTCCAATCTATGGAAAGCTCTCCTATCTCTAAACTGACATTATGTATACAGTCTACATCATACAATTTACTTAATGGTTTTCATCTTAGTGCATTTAGATAATTTTCCTTAGAGAACCATTATGTTTTTAAGGCTAAAACCATTTCACTTTCCACTTTTTTTCTACAAGGCTTCATGCAATCGGTTTAGTGAGAGGGGCCATGTTAGCAACTTAATATTTATTATCTCAGTTGATTAAAAAAGCAGGGTCAAGTTGTGTATTAAATTTAATATTCAGCACTCACAATCACATTTATATGATCCAAGAGTGCTCATTATTTACAAAACAGTGATCATTTCCTTTATCTACGAGAACATGTTTTCAATATTGCTGTGTTATGACCATAAAATATGCTGTCATTTTCTTTTAAGCTTTCCTTCAAGGACAAAATAATGTGTGGCAATACAGAGCTTCACAAGATACTGCCTGTCATTTTTAAAAATCAACAACATTTTCTGGTGGATTGGGAGGAAATTAGAACCATACGATTCTCAAAAAGACCTACCTACAAATATATGGATGGTTTCTTGATATTCAAAAAAACACAATTCAAGAGCTAACTAGAGAGAAATCCTGGCCTAAACATAAAAAATAAAGTTAAAATTAAGAAACATTTTTCCAACTCAACCAGCTGGTCTCTGATCTATGAAGTATAGAATTCCACCGCTATTTTATACAAGAATGGGAGAAAAATTCCCCACATTAATTCAAGTCGGAAAATACCAGTCACCCATTATATACACAACCCTATGGAAAACTCTCGAAGGACACAAATTCCCAGTACTTCCACTGCGCATCCACAACGAAGCTTGCTGGTGAGGCCCTAAAAGAAGTCACTTGTCAGTTTTTATAGCATCATTTTCTATATTTCCTATCTGAATTCTTAGTATCAGTGGGACATGGTAAAAGTTTAACAACCAGTTCTCCAGAAGAAAATTAAGGCTCTTAAAGCATTTGTTGATTTCTGTGGAATAAATCCTCCCATAGGGCTGATTTCAAGGTACCAATGTGATGTCATTGTATAAAGTTGGGGAAAGATGGCCCTACCCAGCCAGGGAGCCATACCGCCTGGTTCCAGCACAGTAGAACCAGGTCAAAGGGAAGGTCCCACAGGATGAGCAATGAACTTACAAGTATAAGTCATGCCAGGGGACTAATTAGAAAAGTTTAAGGAGTTGTTGGCTCATAGAATTTGAAGGCAGGGAAATTTAATTTAATGAGACATCAGCACAATCTGTGGAAGGTAAAAGGAATCAAATTTTGATCACTCTAAATGAGGAAGAACTGGAAGAACTCTCTTACAAGTTTAACAGAGATACGTTCCCTCTCTTAAAGGAAGTCTTAGTTTCTTTTAACCTGGAGAAGTTAAGGAAATGTTGGAAGACTTCTTAATATTAGATGGTTGAGAATTCAACTGCTGTTAGAGTTCTCCACATTCTCTGAGCCTATGAGGCTGAAACTGCAATTAAACTAAAACATAAAAATCTTAATGCTTTCATCTTATGATCTGAAGAAAGTTCATGCACTGTGGGTATGTATATATAGATGAACTTATACAAGAGATTTTGAGTTTATTTGTAATATAATAATTTTTTAAAATTCAAATATATATTTTATATTTTATAAATATAAATTTTACTATTAATTTCCCAAACGTCATAATAAAATAATTCATATATTTCTTATAACCCCTATAGTCTATCTGCAGGCTTAGAAGTGGTTTTCATTAGTTTGTTTGTCATATTTTTTGTTTACTTCACTTAGTATGGCCAAATACTTCTCAAAGTAATTTCATGTTTTTCTAACAACTATTGGTAAATCTGTATTTCAAATAAATCCTAACCCACAGCATAAGAGGCTGACTGTAATTTAAGCCTCTTATCCCTCAATACTGTGTGGTGTATAAGAGTTTTAACTTACTATTGAGATTCTATAAAAAACCACTTCACGCAACCTACATTTTTCTATTAAGACTCACCAAGTATTAAGTCCTTTAGCCTTTGCAGTCTTTTCAAGCACAGGGGTGAGCTGGTCCACTTGGTCCTTAAAGTAATTTAAAAATAACAATCCTTCTCTGAAACTTGTTGCTGTCCTGGCAGTCAACTCTAATGCCACCCTTCAATATTAAGACAAGGTTCTACTTGAAATACCATGTAATTGAAATTACAAGCTCTGCGTTCTTCCTGGCAGTAAGCCAAAATATTTGAAATCAGCTTATAGTAAGCATATATTGAGCTAAGAACTGTCATGTTACAATATGGGATTCATTATGGTCATTGTTCCAGTTTACCCAGGGGTCCACTAGCGTTAAACACAACGTGAATTTCCTAAAACTCTGAGATATTCAATAATAGAGTCCCTCTCCAGGTCCTTCTGCCTTCTTTGATAATAATGCTTTGTTTTGCTATTCTTTTGTGCACGGTGCCTTCCAGCTAGAATACGCTCAAACAATTTTGGAACAACAAAATACAGTGTAAAATCCACAGGCTTTAGAGTAAAAGAGAATATCTCTTAACTCCCGGTTTCAGCATTTATGAGCTCTGTGACTATGAATGTGTTAATCTTTTAGAGCTTGTGTTTCCTAGTCTTAAAAATGGAATTAACAACACCTGCCTAGTTGGAGTACTATAAAAATTAGAAATAATGTCTGTAAAGCTCCTAGAACAATGCATGGACATGGTAGACACTGAATTCAGGAACTATGAGGATGACTAATTGATTCTAAGAAAGCATCATTTCCCTAAGCATTCTGATTCTCCAAAAGCAGTGTACCAAAGCAAATTAATCTCTATTCATGTGGATTTTAGACTTTCTGTTTGCGGATCACACACAGCTTTTTTTATTATGGTAAAATGCACGTAACATAACATTTACCGTTTTATATTTTAAAGTTAAGATTGAATGGCATTAGGTACATTCACAATGCTGTGCAACCATCACAACTATCTAACTATAGAAATTTTTCATCACCCCAAAAGAAAACCTCAAATCCATTAAATACTCACTTCCCTTTTTTCTTTCCTCCCTGGCCCCTAGAAAACCCTAATCTACTTTCTGTCTCCGTGAATTAGCCAATTCTGGATATTTCATGTAAATGAAATCATAGAATATGTAAGCTTTTATGTCTGGCCTCTTTTACTTAGTGTAATGTTTTCAATGTTCTTCCATGTTGCAGCATGCAATAGAACTCTATTTCTTATGACTGAATAACGTTCTCTCATATAGTTTATCCATTCATTAGTTCATGTATGTTGGGTTATTTACAGCTCTTGTTTATTATGAATAGTGTTGCTATGAACAGTTTTGTAAAGGTTTTTCCTCAAATACCTGTTTTCAATTTGTTTGGATATATTCCTAGGAGTGGACTTGGTAGACTATTTGGTAATTCTATGTTTCACAACATTAATTTTGTTCCCTTAAGAATTGCAAACTAGAAATGTTAAGTTAAATATAAATCTGTCATATGACCCAGCAATTCCACTCCTAGGAATCTCTCATGAGAAACAAAAACATGTCCACAGAAAGATTTGCATAAAAATCTTTATAGCCACACTATTAATACTAGCCCAGTATTAAAAACAATCCAAATGTCCACCAACTCATGAACAGACGTACAAAATGTAGTGAATCCAAACAGGGAGTACTAGTATTCATCAATAAAAAGCAATAAACTACTTTTTCCTATGTAACATGGTCATACTGCAACATGGCTGCAACATGGATGAACCACAAAAACATTATTTAAGTGAAAGAGGCCAGACCTAAAATAACATATACAGTATTATTCCATTTATATGAAATTTCTAGAATAGGCAAATGTATAGGAACAGAAAGTATATCAGTGGCTTCCTGGGTCTAAGAGCAGACATGGATATTATTAACTATAAATAGGCATGAGGAATCTTGCTGGGGTGATGACAGTGTCTTCAAACTGCATTATGATGATGGTTTCACAACTCAGAAATTTAAAAATGTTTATTATATACTTAAAATGGGTAAATTTTATTTTATTTTATTATTTGCTTTTATTTTGTGCTTTCTATTTGTCCTTTCTGTTCTGTGTTTCTTTCTGTCTTTTTTTTATTATTATATTTTAAGTTTTAGGGTACATGTACACAATGTGCACGTTAGTTACATATGTATACATGTGCCATGCTGGTGCACTGCACCCTCTAACTCGTCATCTCGCATTAGGTATATCTCCCAATGCAATCCCTCCCCGCTCCCCCCACCCCACAACAGTCCCCAGAGTGTGATGTTCCCCTTCCTGTGTCCATGTGTTCTCATTGTTCAATTCCCACCTATGAGTGAGAATATGCGGTGTTTGGTTTTTTGTTCTTGCGATAGTTTACTGAGAATGATGATTTCCAATTTCATCCATGTCCCTACAAAGGACGTGAACTCATCATTTTTTATGGCTGCATAGTATTCCATGGTGTATATGTGCCACATTTTCTTAATCCAGTCTATCATTGTTGGACATTTGGGTTGGTTCCAAGTCTTTGCTATTGTGAATAATGCCGCAATAAACATACGTGTGCATGTGTCGTTATAGCAGCATGATTTACAGTCCTTTGGGTGTATACCCAGTAATGGGATGGCTGGGTCAAATGGTATTTCTAGTTCTAGATCCCTGAGGAATTGCCACACTGACTTCCACAATGGTTTAACTAGTTTACAGTCCCACCAACAGTGTAGAAGTGTTCCTATTTCTCCACATTCTCTCCAGCACCTGTTGTTTCCTGACTTTTTAATGATTGCCATTCTAACTGGTGTGAGATGGTATCTCATTGTGGTTTTGATTTGCATTTCTCTGATGGCCAGTGATGGTGAGCATTTTTTCATGTGTTTTTTGGCTGCATAAATGTCTTCTTTTGTGAAGTGCCTCTTCATGTCCTTCGCCTACTTCTTGATGGGGTTGTTTGTTTTTTTCTTGTAAATTTATTTGAGTTCATTGTAGATTCTGGATATTAGCCCTTTGTCAGATGAGTAGGTTGCAAAAATTTTCTCCCATTTTGTAGGTTGCCTGTTCACTCTGATGGTAGTTTCTTTTGCTGTGCAGAAGCTCTTTAGTTTAATTAGATCCCATTTGTCAATTTTGGCTTTTGTTGCCATTGCTTTTGGTGTTTTAGACATGAAGTCCTTGCCCGTGCCTATGTCCTGAATGGTGATGCCTAGGTTTTCTTCTAGGGTTTTTATGGTTTTAGGTCTAATGTTTAAATCTTTAATCCATCTTGAATTGATTTTTGTATAAGGTTTAAGGAAGGGATCCAGTTTCAGCTTTCTACATATGGCTAGCCAGTTTTCCCAGCACCATTTATTAAATAGGGAATCCTTTCCCCATTGCTTGTTTTTCTCAGGTTTGTCAAAGATCAGATAGTTGTAGATATGCGGTGTTATTTCTGAGGGCTCTGTTGTGTTCCATTGATCTATATCTCTGTTTTGGTACCAGTACCATGCTGTTTTGGTTACTGTAGCCTTGTAGTATAGTTTGAAGTCAGGTAGTGTGATGTCTCCAGCTTTGTTCTTTTGGCTTAGGATTGACTTGGCGATGCGGGCTCTTTTTTGATTCCATATGAACATTAAAGTAGTTTTTTCCAATTCTGTGAAGAAAGTCATTGGTAGCTTGATGGGGATGGCATTGAATCTATAAATTACCTTGGGCAGTATGGCCATTTTCACGATATTGATTCTTCCTACCCATGAGCATGGAATGTTCTTCCATTTGTTTGTATCCTCTTTTATTTCCTTGAGCAGTGGTTTGCAGTTCTCCTTGAAGAGGTCCTTCACATCCCTTGAAAGTTGGATTCCTAGGTATTTTATTCTCTTTGAAGCAATTGTGAATGGGAGTTCCCTCATAATTTGGTTCTCTGTTTGTCTGTTATTGGTGTATAAGAATGCTTGTGATTTTTGTACATTGATTTTGTATCCTGAGACTTTGCTGAAGTTGCTTATCAGCTTAAGGAGATTTTGGGCTGAGACAATGGGGTTTTCTAGATATACAATCATGTCGTCTACAAACAGGGACAATTTGACTTCCTCTTTTCCTATTTGAATACCCTTTATTTCCTTCTCCTGCCTAATTGCCCTGGCCAGAACTTCCAACACTATGTTGAATAGGAGTGGTGAGAGAGGGCATCCCTGTCTTGTGCCAGTTTTCAAAGGGAATGCTTCCAGTTTTTGCCCATTCAGTATGATATTGGCTGTGGATTTGTCATAGATAGCTCTTATTATTTTGAAATACGTCCCATCAATACCTAATTTATTGAGAGTTTTTAGCATGAAGTGTTGTTGAATTTTGTCAAAGGCCTTTTCTGCATCTATTGAGATAATCATGTGGTTTTTGTCTTTGGTTCTGTTTACATGCTGGATTACATTTATTGATTTGTGTATATTGAACCAGCCTTGCATCCCAGGGATGAAGCCCACTTGATCATGGTGGATAAGCTTTTTGATGTGCTGCTGGATTCGGTTTGCCAGTATTTTATTGAGGATTTTTGCATCAATGTTCATCAAGGATATTGGTCTAAAATTCTCTTTTTTGGTTGTGTCTCTGTCCGGCTTTGGTATCAGGATGATGCTGGCCTCATAAAATGAGTTAGGGAGGATTCCCTCTTTTTCTGTTGATTGGAATAGTTTCAGAAGGAATGGTACCAGTTCCTCCTTGTACCTCTGGTAGAATTCAGCTGTGAATCCATCTGGTCCTGGACTCTTTTTGGTTGGTAAGCTATTGATTATTGCCACAATTTCAGATCCTGTTATTGGTCTATTCAGAGATTCAACTTCTTCCTGGTTTAGTCTTGGGAGGGTGTATGTGTCGAGGAATTTATCCATTTCTTCTAGATTTTCTAGTTTATTTGCGTAGAGGTGTTTGTAGTATTCTCTGATAGTAGTTTGTATTTCTGTGGGATCGGTGGTGATATCCCCTTTATCATTTTTTATTGCATCTATTTGATTCTTCTCTCTTTTTTTCTTTATTAGCTTGCTAGCGGTCTATCAATTTTGTTGATCCTTTCAAAAAACCAGCTCCTGGATTCATTAATTTTTTGAAGGGTTTTTTGTGTCTCTATTTCCTTCAGTTCTGCTCTGATTTTAGTTATTTCTTGTCTTCTGCTAGCTTTTGAATGTGTTTGCTCTGCTTTTCTAGTTCTTTTAATTGTGATGTTAGGGTGTCAATTTTGGATCTTTCCTGCTTTCTCTTGTGGGCATTTAGTGCTATAAATTTCCCTCTACACACTGCTTTGAATGTGTCCGAGAGATTCTGGTATGTTGTGTGTTTGTTCTCATTGGTTTCAAAGAACATCTTTATTTCTGCCTTCATTTCGTTATGTACCCAGTAGTCATTCAGGAGCAGGTTGTTCAGCTTCCATGTAATTGAGTGGTTTTGAGTGAGATTCTTAATCCTGAGTTCTAGTTTGATTGCACTGTGGTCTGAGAGATAGTTTGTTATAATTTCTGTTCTTTTACATTTGCTGAGAAGAGCTTTACTTCCAAGTATGTGGTCAATTTTGGAATAGGTGTGGTGTGGTGCTGAAAAAAATGTATATTCTGTTGATCTGGGGTGGAGAGTTCTGTAGATGCCTATTAGGTCCACTTGGTGCAGACCTGAGTTCAATTCCTGGGTATCCTTGTTGACTTTCTGTCTCGTTGATCTGTCTAATGTTGATAGTGGGGTGTTAAAGTCTCCCATTATTAATGTGTGGGAGTCTAAGTCTCTTTGTAGGTCACTCAGAACTTGCTTTATGAATCTGGGTGCTCCTGTATTGGGTGCATATATATTTAGGATAGTTAGCTCTTCTTGTTGAATTGATCCCTTTACCATTATGTAATGGCCTTCTTTGTCTCTTTTGATCTTTGTTGGTTTAAAGTCTGTTTTATCAGAGACTAGGATTGCAACCCCTGCCTTTTTTTGTTTTCCTTTTGCTTGGTAGACCTTCCTCCATTCTTTTATTTTGAGCCTATGTGTGTCTCTGCACGTGAGATGGGTTTCCTGAATACAGCACACTGATGGGTCTTGACTCTTTATCCAATTTGCCAGTGTGTGTCTTTTAATTGGAGCATTTAGTCCATTTACATTTAAAGGTAATATTATTATATGTGAATTTGATCCTGTCATTATGATGTTAGCTGGTTATTTTGCTCATTAGTTGATGCAGTTTCTTCCTAGTCTCGATGGTCTTTACATTTTGGCATGAGTTTGCAGCGGCTGGCACCAGTTGTTCCTTTCCATGTTTAGCGCTTCCTTCAGGAGCTCTTGTAGGGCAGGCCTGGTGGTGACAAAATCTTTCAGCATTTGCTTGTCTGGAAAAGATTTTATTTCTCCTTCACTTATGAAGCTTAGTTTGGCTGGATATGAAATTCTGGGTTGAAAATTCTTTTCTTTAAGAATGTTGAATATTGGCCCCCACTCTCTTCTGGCTTGTAGGGTTTCTGCCGAGAGATCCGCTGTTAGTCTGATGGGCTTCCCTTTCAGGGTAACCCGACCTTTCTCTCTGGCTGCCCTTAACATTTTTTCCTTCATTTCAACTTTGGTGAATCTGACAATTATGTGTCTTGGAGTTGCTCTTCTCGAGGAGTATCTTTGTGGAGTTCTCAGTATTTCCTGAATCTGAATGTTGGCCTGCCTTGCTAGATTGGGGAAGTTCTCCTGGATAATATCGTGCAGAGTGTTTTCCAACTTGATTCCATTCTCCCCGTCACTTTCAGGTACACCAATCAGACATAGATTTGGTCTTTTCACATAGTCCCATATTTCTTGGAGGCTTTGCTCGTTTCTTTTTATTCTTTTTTCTCTAAACTTCCCTTCTCACTTCATTTCATTCATTTCATCTTCCATCGCTGATACTCTTTCTTCCAGTTGATCGCATCGGCTCCTGAGGCTTCTGCATTCTTCACGTAGTTCTCGAGCCTTGGTTTTCAGCTCCATCAGCTCCTTTAAGCACTTCTCTGTATTGGTTATTCTAGTTATACATTCTTCTAAATTTTTTTCAAAGTTTTCAACTTCTTTGCCTTTGGTTTGAATGTCCTCCCATAGCTCAGAGTAATTTGATCATCTGAAGCCTTCTTCTCTCAGCTCGTCAAAGTCATTCTCCGTCCAGCTTTGTTCCGTTGCTGGTGAGAAACTGCATTCCTTTGGAGGAGGAGAGGTGCTCTGCTTTTTAGAGTTTCCAGTTTTTCTGCTCTGTTTTTTCCCCATCTTTGTGGTTTTATCTACTTTTGGTCTTTGATGATGGTGATGTACAGATGGGTTTTTGGTGTGGATGTCCTTTCTGTTTGTTAGTTTTCCTTCTAACAGACAGGACCCTCAGCTGAAGGTCTGTTGGAGTACCCAGCCGTGTGAGGTGTCAGTCTGCCCCTGCTGGGTGGTACCTCCCAGTTAGGCTGCTTGGGGGTCAGGGGTCAGGGACCCACTTGAGGAGGCAGTCTGCCCGTTCTCAGATCTCCAGCTGCATGCTGGGAGAACCACTGCTCTCTTCAAAGCTGTCAGACAGGGACATTTAAGTCTGCAGAGGTTACTGCTGTCTTTTTGTTTGTCTGTGCCCTGCCCCCAGAGGTGGAGCCTACAGAGGCAGGCAGGCCTCCTTGAGCTGTGGTGGGCTCCACTCAGTTCCAGCTCCGGGGCTGCTTTGTTTACCTAAGCAAGCCTGGGCAATGGTGGGCGCCCCTCCCCCAGCCTTGCTGCCGCCTTGCAGTTTGATCTCAGACTGCTGTGCTAGCAATCAGCGAGACTCCGTGGGCGTAGGACCCTCCGAGCCAGGTGCGGGTTTTAATCTCCTGGTGTGCCATTTTTTAAGCCCGTCGGGAAAGCGCAGTATTCGGGTGGGAGTGACACAATTTTTCAGGTGCCATCTGTCACCCCTTTCTTTGACTAGGAAAGGGAACTCCCTGACCCCTTGCGCTTCCCGAGTGAGGCAATGCCTCGCCCTGGTTCGGCTTGCGCACGGTGTGCGCACCCACTGACCTGCACCCACCCACTGACCTGCACCCACTGTCTGGCATTCCCTAGTGAGATGAACCTGGTACCTCAGATGGAAATGCAGAAATCACCCGTCTTCTGCGTCGCTCATGCTGGGAGCTGTAGACCAGAGCTGTTCCTATTCGGCCATCTTGGCTCCTCCCTTGTAAATCTTATAATACCTAAATTATGCCTCAACAAAGTTGTAAAAGCAATTACATAGGAGAAAATGAAAAATAAAAAAACATGCTATTCCTCCTTCTTATCCATTGCTACTCTAAGTCCATAAATTCATCATCATACTCAAGAAAAACAGGTTTCTAACAGGTGTCCTTGTCATCTTTCGAATTGTTCTCCACTCAAATTTAACTACCTCAAGTCACCACCAGATTATTCCTCCTAATAATAGGAGAGCTGGACTTAAATTCAATAGAAATCATGGCTGTGAATGGAATTAGTCAGAGAGAGTGTGCAAGATGAGAATAAAATAGGGACCAGAAGTATTGGTTAACGTCAAAATTTCAGGGGAAGACAGGAAGATGTCTAGCAAAGAAGACTAAGATGGATGGTCAGGAAGCCAGATGATCAGAAGGGAATGGGGTCTAAGAAGACAAAAGAAGCAGGAACTTCAGGAAGAAAAAGTGGTAATTAACCTTATCAATTTCCACAGAAGGATGAAATAAAATGAAGGCTGTAAGGAGTTCACTGGATTTTGATATGTAGAAATATATTTTCACTTTTGCAATGAATTAACTCATTAGTGAGAAAGAAGCTGTGTCTTTCTTTTCTAAGATGTTGGTGAAAGGGCAGAAGACAGGTAAGGGCAATAGTAGCTAAAGGTGGAAAATGAAATCATTTGTACATTTGTTTGCCATTGAAAAATGCTTGAGAATGTCCATAGCCTGCAGGAAAGTCGAAAGAGAAGTGTTAAAAATACAGCAAAAGACAAAGAAGTACATTTTTAGAAATGGGGAGAAAGGATTCTATCAAGAGCCAACCTGGAACACGATAATTTAAACCTCTTCTGAGACTGGATGAAAACAAATGAGAGGGGCTGCTTACACAGATGAATACAGGCTTATGGATGTTAAAGGACTTTACACCTGAGGGACCCAAGTTTTGTTTGTTTGGTTTTACTTGCTTGATAGTTTTATTTTTTCTTGAGAAGTAGGAGGCTAGGATCAGGTTTGGAATAATTGGTAGGGAGAATAAGATACATATTGAGGGCAGATTAAAACTGGACATTAGCAGCAAAGGAAGGCTAAATGGAGAGTCATTGATGAAATGCACTGTTCAGGGACTGGCCGGATAAGGCAGCCATAAGGAGGCAATGGCTTAGGGCCTGGAGTTCTTAGGGAAATCAAAGAAGAGGAAGAGTGGGACTGATGGAGTTAGAAAATGAAAAGGAGGGTATTACCACTGACACGCTGGAGTTCAAGTCCAGAAGAAGAATAAAACTAGGTTATGATAAGGTTACAGGTATGGCCACAGGCATGAAGTATTGGGTGGAAGGTATGGTAGAAAAACTTTGGAGATAGAATGTTGGATAGAATGTTGGATAGATTGGTTATGTCATGTCAAAATTCTCAGTGACTGAGGAGTGTGAGTGCTAAATTGAAATTCTATAAACCTAAATGTCAATCAACAGATGAATGGATAAAGAAAACGTGGTACATATAAACAATGGAGTACTATTCATCTATACAAAAGAATGAGATCCAGTCATTTACAACAACATGGATGGATCTGGAGGAGATAATGTTGAGTAAAATAAGCCAGGCACCAAAAGACAAACTTGGCATGTTCTCACTTATTTGTGGGAGCTAAAAATTAAAACAACTGAACCCATGGAGATAAAAGAGTTGAAGGATGGTTGCCAGAGGCTAGGAAAGTTAGTATGGGGTGGGGTGGAGGGAACTGAAGATAATTTAATGGGTTCAAAAATATAGTTCAAAAGAATAAGACCTAGTATTTGCTAGCACAACAGGGTGACTACAGTCAAATAATTTAACTGTACATTTAAAAATAACTAAAAGAGTATAATTGAATTATTTGTAACATGAAGAATAAGTGCTTGAGGTTATGAATACCCCATTTACCCTGATGGTATTAAGATGCAGTGCACACCCATATGAAAACATCTTATGTATCCCATAAATATATCCACCAATGTACCCACAAAAATATAAACAATTTAAACAATTTAAAATGAAATAAAATTGTTTATTTTTATTGGAAAAAAATTATATAAGGTAATATGAATGTCGGAAGAATTTTTTTATTTAACTTTTATTTTAAGTTCAGGGGTACATGTGCAGGTTTGTTATATAAGTAAACTTGTGTCACAGGGGTTTGTCGAACACGTTATTTCGTCATCCAGCTATTCAGCCCAGTACCCATTTTTACTGATCCTCTCCCCCCTCCCTCCCTTCACCCTCTGATAGGTCCCAGTGAGTGTTGTTCCCCCTCTATGTGTCCATGTCTTCTCATCATTTAGCTCCCATTTATAAGTGAGAACACACAATATTTGGCTTTCTGTTCCTGTATTAGTATGCTAAGGATAATAGCCTCCAGCTCCATCCATGTTTGCACAAAGGACATGATCTCATTCTTCTTTAGGACTGCATAGTATTCCATAGTGTATATGTACCACATTTGCTTTATCCAGTCTACCGTTGGTGGGCATTTAGGTTGATTCCATGTCTTTGCTATTGTAAATATTGCTGCAATGAACATATGTGTTTTTATGACAGAACAATTTATATTCCATTGAGAATATACCCAGTAATGGGATTGCTGGGTCAAATGATATTTCTGTTTCTAGGTCTTTGAGTAACTGACATGCTGTTTTCCACAGTAGTTGAACTAATTTACACTCCCACCAACAGCATATAAGCATTCCTTTTTCTCTGCAACCCCACCAGTATCTGTTAATTTTTGACTTTTTAATCATAGCCATTCTGACTGGTGTGAGATGGTATCTCATTGTGATTTTGATTTGCATTTCTCTAATGATCAGTCATATTGAGCTTTTTTTTCGTATGCTTATTGGCTGCATGTAGGTCTTCTTTTGAAAAGTGTCTGTTCATGCCCACTTTATAATGGTTTTTTTTCTTGTAAATTTGTTTAAGTTCCCTATAGATGCTGAATATTAGACCTTTGTCAGATACATAGTATGCAAAAAACTTTCTCCCATTCTGTAAGTTGTCTGTTTGCTGATAGTTTCTTTTGCTATGCAGAAGCTCTTTACTTTAATTAGATCCCATTTATCAATTTTTGCTTTTGTTGCAATTGCTTTTGGCATCTTTATCGTGAAATTTTTGCTGGTTTCTGTGTCGAGAATGGTATTGCCTAGGTTGTCTTCCAGAATTTTTATAATTTTGAGTGTCACATTTAAGTCTTTAATTCATCTTGAGTTAATTTTTGCAGATGGTATAAGGAAAGGATCCAGTTTCAATCTTCCGCATATGGCTATCCAGTTATCCCAGCATCATTTACTGAATAGGAAGTCTTTTCCCCATTGTTTGTTTTTGTCAGCTTTGTTGAAGATCAGATAGTTGTAGGTGTGCAGCTTTATTTCTGGGCTCTCTATTCTGGTCTATGTGTCTGTTTTTGTACCAGTACCATGCTGTTTTGGTTACTGTAGCCCTATAGTATAGTTTGAAGTCAGGTAGCATGATGCCTCCAGCTTTGTGGGGTTTTTGTTCGTTTGTTTGTTTGTTTCTTAGGATTGCCTTGGGTATTTGGGCTCTTTCTTGGTTCCATGTGGATTTTAAAGTATTATTTTCTAGTTCTGTGAATAATGTCATTGGTTGTTTAATAGGAACAGCATTGAATCTACAAATTGCTTTGGGCAGTAGAGCTATTTTAATGACACTGATTCTTCCTATCTATGAGCTTGGGGTGTTGTTTCATTTGTTTGTGTCATCTCTGATTTCTTTGAGCAGTGTTTTGTAATTCTCATTGTAAAGATCTTTCACCTCCCTAGTTAGCTGTATTCTTAGGTATTTTATTTTTTTTTGTGGCAACTGTGAATGGGATTTTGTTGCTGATTGGGCTCTTGCCTTGACTTTTTTTGGTTTAGGAGTGCTACTGACTTTTGTACATTGATTTTGTATCCTGAGACTTTGCTGAAATTGTTTCTCAGCTGAAGGAGCTCTTCCAGCTTTTATCCGTTTGGTATGACGTTGGCTGTGGGTTTGTCAGATATGGCTTTTATTATTTTGAGGTATGTTACTTCCAAACCTAGGTTATTGAGAGTTTTTAACATAAAGGGGTGTTGAATTTTATTGAAAGCCTTTTCTGTATCTATTGAGATAATCATGTAGTTTCTTGTTTAGTTCTGTTTATGTGATGAACCACATTTATTGATTTGCATATGTTGAACCAACCATGCGTCCCAGGGATAAAGCCCACTTGATTGTGGTAAGCTTTTTGATGTGCTGCTGGTTTCAGTTTGCCAGTATTTTGTTGAGGATTTTTGCATCAACATTCATTAAGAATATTGGCCTAATGTTTTCTTTTTTTGCTTTCTTTTTTTGTTGTGTCTCTGCAAGGTTTTGCTATGAGGATGATGCTGGCCTCATAGAATGTTAGGGAGGAGCCCCTCCTCATTAATTTTTTAGAATACTTTCACCAGGAATGGTATGAGATTTTCTTTGTACATCTGGTAGAATTCAGCTGTGAATCCATCTGATCCTGGCCTTTTTTTGGTTGGTAGGTTATTTATTACTGATTCAATATCAGAGCTTGTTATTGGTCTATACAGAGATTCAATTTCTTCTTGGTTTATTCTTGGGAGGATGTATGTATACAGGAATTTATCCATTTCCTCTAGATTTTCTAGCTTATCTGCATAGATGTGCTTATATTATTATCTGATGGTTATTTGTATTTCTGTGGGGTGAGTGATAACATCCCCTTTGTTGTTTCTGATTGTGTTTGTTTGGGTCTCTTTTCTTCATTAGTCTAGCTAGCCATCTATGTAATTTATTAATTTTTTCAAAAAACCAACTCCTGAATTCACTGATCTTTTGAATGGTTTTTCATGCCTGTGTTTCCTTCCTCTGATTTTTGTTATTTCTTGTCTTCTGCTAGCTTTGGGGTTGGTTTTCTCTTGGTTCTCTAGTTGTTCTATTTGCAAGGTTAGATTGCTAAATTGAGATCTTTCTAACTTTTCAATGTGGGCATTTAGTGGTATGATTTCCCTCTTAACACTGCCTTAGCTGTGTCCCAGAAATTCTGGAACATTTTATCTTTGTTCTCATTAGTTTCCAAAAACTTCTTGATTTCTGCCTTAATTTCATTATTTACCCAAAAGTCATTCTGGAGCAGGTTATTCAATTTCCAAGTAATTGTACTGTTTTGATTGAATTTCTTAGTTTGGATTTCTAAATTTGTTGTGCTATGGTCCGAGAAACTGGACCATATAAAAACCAAGAAACTGGTTTTTATGATTGCTGCTCTTTTGCATTTGCTGAGCAGTGTTTTATTTCTGATTATGTGATCAATGTTAAAGTATGTGCCATGTGGCAATAAGAAGAATGTATATTCTGTTGTTTTGGGATGGAGAGTATTGTAAGCGTCTCTCAGGTCCATTTGATCCAGTGCTGAGTGAGTTCAGGTCCTAAATATCTTTGTTAATTTTCTGCTTTGATGATCTATTTACAACTGTCAGTGCAATGTTGAGGTATCCCACTATTATTGTGTGGAAGTCTAAGTTGCTTTGAAGGTCTCTCAGAACTTGCTTTATGAATGTGGCTGCTCCTATGTTAGGTGCATGTATATATAGGATATTTCAGTCTTCTTGAATTGAACTCTTTACCATTATGTAATGCCTTTCTTTGTCTTTTTTTTTAATCTTTGTTGATTTAAAGTTTGTTTCGTCTGAAAGTAAGGTTGCTACCCCTGCTTTTTTCTGTTTTCCATTTGTTTGGTAGATTTTTCTCCATGCCTTTATTTTGAGTGTATGGGTGGCATTGCATATGAGATGGGTCTCTTCAAGACAGCATACCAATGGGCCTTGGTTCTTTATTCAGCTGACCATTCTGTGCCTTTTAATTGAGGCATTTAGCCTGTTACCAAAGGATTTTTATTTAGAGATGAAAATGAATGATCAGGAAGTTGCAGTGGAGAGCTATGATAAACAATACTGCCTCTCATAACTGTGGCATGAAAAAGTAATGAATATTTGCATAAAAGAACAAGTGATAAATGCCTGGGAAAAAGGTTTCTATTAAGGACAGAAAATGGAAGCAGCAATGGACAAAGAAGTTGAAGATATGGAGCAATTTATTTTCCTTCAAATAAGAATTTAAACTAAGAGTTTTAAGGGCATACTGCCTTAGGCAGAGCTTTCCAACCCTGTTCTAGAAGCATGTTTTAGCCATGCCTTGGAGATACTAAGACCTTATAGTTTCCAAAGCCATCCTGAGTTAAACTAAATCCTATTACTTATAGTTGTACTGACACTATGGCCACAATGATGATAATAATATTACAGCATACTCAAACATTTAATTTGGAGCTACTGTTATTTAGTTAGATAAAAACTTAAATTTCTAAAGAGATTAAAGGTCAAAAAATGAAAATTACTCAGATCCACATTACCCAATAACCTCAGCCTAATAATTGGACTCATGGGAGGTACCTAAGACACAGGACCTCCCTCTTTAAGTGCAGTTAAAAGAACTATAATGTGACGTTTGAAGTATACCATTATATTCTACTTATGACACTAACCATTTGGAAAAAGTGGCCAATGAATAAAAGGACACCTAAAAGTTCTCAGGATGATTTTTCCTCCTTCAGTTCAATCTACCAAGCATTTATTGAGTATCTCTTCTTCTTGACACTGGGCTAGGTACTGAATATCCTGAGATGAACATGACTTGTTACGATAAAAATTATGTTTCATTTTATTGTATTATATTGATTTATTATAAATATATTCTAGTGTTAATAATCACAGAATCTACATCATGGAACTCTCTGAACTCATATCAAACAAGGGTAAAGTAATTTGATTGAAGATTTTGCAAGCTACACTGCCACCTATTTGCTAAAATTCTGAAGGACATTCAGAATAAACCTAAAGGAATTCTAGTTCTATATGATTGGGGGTACCATTCTCTCTGTGCTTCATTTCACATCTTTAAAATGGAGATGATAATAATACTAACTTCTAGGTTTGTTGAAATAATAAAAAGCATTTTAGCAATGCACTTACAAATGTTAGTTATTGATTTTTGAAAACCAGCCACAGACCTGGACAGTTTGCCTTGCTACAGTCTATTTTACTGACAGTATGAAAACACATCAAAAGTCGACCATTTGACATTTGCACATCATGGCTGAGCAAAGGCTTAAAACCACAGATAAAATGAGGATGTTATGCTTTAACTTGTAATATACAAAAGATGATTTATTTTCTTTGCTTTCCTTTTATGTCAACAGCTGTATGAAAAAGCCATTGGTCTAAGAAATGTAGAACATCAGCTTTCTGTTGTCTAGCAGGAAACCAGTCAACAGTGGAATAAGGAGGCTTTCTGAAATGTTACTGGGGTGTTGTTGAACCTAAAGTCACAAACGAACTACATTCTTTAGAATCAGCCTTCAAAGACAGAATTTAAATTGGGCAGTTTCACAAAAAGAGGGAAAGAGGAAATTTGGTGTTTTACAAATTTGGGTCAGGACAAATATAGTTAAGATTTAATGTTCATTAAAAGAATAAGTGATAGAATTGGCTAGGGTTCACTCCTGAGTATGAAACAGTTTCTGATAAATTTCTGACTATTTTTACGTATTAATGACATTGGATTTATGTTTTTTTCTTTTCTTTCTCAAGTTAGACACACTTGCAAATCATTTAAAGTATAAAAAGTTATAACTGTGGCCTCCTCTATCAATTTTATGAGTCTTGAAAAAGTTTAATGACATTATTTAACATAAGTAAATGTTTTGTTACTTGACCAAAGCAAACATGATTTTTAGGCCCTTAAAGGCACTCAACATCTCCAATATAAATGTCTTTGCAAAGAAAATACTTTTATAATTCTCTAAATCATCAAGCCCCAAAAATGCTTACTAGAAAAGACAAAACATTCACATGATGCAGCTACGTGTTATCGTTAATGCTCCATAAGAAAATAGGATAAACATTGAAATTTCAGAACAGTTTGAATGGGTAATTTCAAAGTTTGTTTACAGCAGGGCAATTCTTATGTTCAAAGCAAACCTTACAAATAAATCTTGTGTATAAGACAGATACCATTGAAACTGCTCCCTGAAGTCCAGGTACATACTCCCTGGCCTCCAGAAACTAGTGGGAAAGTGATTATTTGAATCCCATTAGTGCCCCAAGATGGGCCACCAGGGCTTTGGAATGTGACAGATAGGTTCCAATCATACCTACACCATTAACTGTAGTTACTTACCTTCTCTAAAACTAAGTTTTTCCATCTAAAAATTAAGATAAACTTACCTCACAAAGGGGTTGTGTAATTTTAAATAAGTTAATGTAAGTAAGGCCTTAATTTCAATTATTTCATGTGATTATAGCAGAGTTCCTGCTCTTTCAGGGGAAGTATATAGTCTAGGAGAGCTGTGGGCCATTCACAATTAGTTTCCCCACCTGTATCTCTATCAATATCTACAGCAGTAAATCTCAAGAAAGGTCTGGCCGCCCAGAGTGGCATGTATCCCACTACCCGCCAGATGGGAACTCCTGGGTTGGACAGTCATGTGGACAAATAAGAGTGCAGCAGAGATGTTAACATGATGAGTGTGACCGCCTTAACCCAGGCTGGAAGCAGAAGGAGGGATGAAGGATGGTGTGCAGCTTCCTAGGTTATTAACTAGGAGAAACAGTGGTGATATCCTGTAGGAAGAGGTTTCTACAATAATGGCAATGAGGTGGGGCACTGGCCAGAAGACAGGAATGGAAACTGAAAGGGATCTGGAGGTGGAAGTTTTGTTGGGAATAGAAAAGACTACAAGCAAAATTTGAATTGAGCATGTTCATTCATATTGTCATCTCCCAGGAATGCAGTCTAGTGAGGCAAATCCACCAAAGTATTATTGATTTCCCCACGTTGATCACTGACTTGGCCTCAAGTGGTGGGGCCACAGGAACATACAGGTGTCAGGAAATGCACCCCTGGCAGAGGTTAATGACTTCCACTTCCAAGGTCTCCCTACTGTCTGCTTGCATTTGACTGTCCTTAGGCTGCAGGTTCTTCAGGCTGAGATATTCTTGTCACTTTCTCCTGGAACAACAGACCCTACATGGCCATTTCTCAACTTTTGTGATCTCCAAGTACAGATGTCTACTAGTTCTTGATTACCTTTTCTTGATATTATTTGAAGTTTGTCTCCTTAGCTAATAAACCCTTTATATTTCTTCTTCGATTAGGTGATCTTTCCAGAAATTTCTTTTTTAAAATATGCTTGTATTCTTACTACTGGAATGCAAATACTTTCTTGATAAACATAAAAAAAATTAGTGAAACTTGAAAATGACAAGTTTCAGAAATTCAGATTTAAGTAAAATAAATACAGACATCTGATTCACAATTCTTGAGAAATACTAATACATTTTTGTAGTTGTGACATCGTGGAGAGATATTTACTTACTTACTTACAAATTACTCAGCTTCCTTTTTTCCCAAGCAGTTTGTGTTATCTCTGAATCTAGATGTCCCAATATTCTGAACAAAATAACTGGAAGTTAAGATTTCAATTCTGTCTTCTAATTTATAAGATTCTTGTGAATATGATTTAAGCTTTATTTAAGAAACTCTATAAAAATCACTAGATGAAATACTTTCTGTATAAGCAAACTAAATAATCTCTAGAAGCTGATGAATAGTTTTTTGTATTCTGGGAAAAGGTCTCCCAAGCTTTTCTTGAAATATTGAAACGCTAAACCTGTTCTTAAAAAAAAAATCATATAAGAAGGCATGCTTTAGAACAGCTAGTTATTGTATGATGTAGTTAAACTCTTTGATTTTGCAAAAGAAGAACAAAAGGAAGGACTTTATCTACTTTAAACATGTAAAACTACAATAACTAAAACAGAAATAACATATGTTAATGGAGGCTAACTCTCCATTGCCTAGATGAGAATCGTTAACTTAGTGCAGCCTACATTTGGCGAACGTGGAGTAGGTACAATCCTGGCTCCCCAGGCTTACAAACTGAGGGATTTAAAGCAATCTATTACATCTCCCTCAATATTAGTTTTCTCATGTATAAGTTGGTTAATAATTACAATCTGCTTGCAAACAAAATGGGATGTTTGTACAATGCCTGGTAAAAATTAAAGATTTAATAAATATTAGCTGTGACAATATTATACATAGTAATTAAGATGAAAAGAAAAAGTTCAAATTAATAAAGAAGGGATGAATTATCAAAAACAAATGACACTAGCAAACTGTTTCTTTTTTTTTGTTGAGACAGAGTCTCACTCTGTTGCCCAGGCTGGAGCACAGTGGGGTGATCTCAGCTCACTGCAACCTCCGCCTCCAAGGTTCAAACAGTTCTCCTGTCTCAGCCTCCCAAGTAACTGGGGTTACAGGTGCCTGCCACCATGCCCAGCTAATTTTTTGTATTTTTAGTAGAGATGGGGTTTTGCCATATTGGCCAGGCTGATCGCAAACTCCTGACCTCAGGTGATCTGTCTGCCTCGGCATCCCAAAGTGCTGGGATTACACGCCCAGCTTCTAACAAATTTTATTTGGAAATACCTTGTTAAACACTTGCCTCACAATAACCACCAAAATAAACTCAAAATTGATTGAAGAATTCCAAGAGGAAAATGTGAAGAACTTTTAGGTAATATTTGTCTAATATTGGAGAGAAAAAACTGTATAAAATGAATGGAAGAAATTGGAAAGAGAAAAATATAGCTTCTCTGTAATAAAAAAGCTATTATAACATTAAAAGACAAGAGAAAAATTGCTAAAAATTATTTGCCACAATATGAAATGATACAAGTCATTATTTTTAATACATAATAAATATCAACAAGTCAATAGGAAAATAAACTCTCCGAAAGAAATATGGCCAGGAACACAAAAAAATCATTAAAAAGTCTAATAAATATATGTAAAAATTATTTATTAGTGATTAAAGAAATTCACTGGTAAACCAGGAAATCCAACTTCAAGGACAAAAAGTTTCATTTTATATTTATCAATATGATGAAATAATTTTGTGGGATTTTTACTTTTCATTTATAGATTTTAAGAGAATACTTAATTCTGGCAAGAGTTTAGGAGATTCCTGGTAAATATGCCTAATGGCCTTCCTCTGGAATGTATTAAGAACTTTAAAATAGTTCATATACTTTAACCCTTTAAGGACTTTAGCCTGAGGAAAACATTGAGACACTGACTGTGATTTTTGTTCTCCAAAGCATTACTCTCAAGCCTCAAATCTCAGACGCAATCTTAACCAGTGTGTCCCAACACCTTCACATCAAAACAAATAAAGGAAATAACAATATTTGTACAGTACACAGTGAACCCAGAATAGGCTGCTTGCACGGAATGAAAGTTCAACCAGTTACCAGAAGGACTGGAACGCTGAGGTCCCAGCATTTCTGTCACCAATCCCAATGATCAGTAGCCTGGGACAAACTATTTGGGAATATCCAACCTAAAAGCCTAACATTAAATCACGTATGGCAACTCTATGTTATGATTTAACACCAAAATTAAAGTCTTAAACTTTTAAAAGGTGAATAATAAGAGGCTACTTGGTCTAATTGGTACTAAAACAGATAAGGCTGCAATAATGCACAGCCATTAGAATTAGACTAATAGATAGTTTTATGTAAGAATATGCTTATTGCGTTTAGCTTGTAAGATAGATGTAATTTTTTTTTTAACTTTCAGAATAACAAAACCATAGTGGGAAAAAAGAATATGCTTATGATATAATGTAAATTAAAGAAAAGCAGAATGTAAGGCTTTTCATATTCAATTTTAAAGAGTTTAATTTCTGAAAAAGGAATTTTCATTCGATATAACCTAACAGTCAACATCCTTTCAATATAAACATATAAACATAATCATTTTCCAAATGTTCTTTTAATATACATATTAGGTCAACATAATATCAGGAATATAAAGTATTTTTTTGGTTTGTTTGAGTCAGCACACTTTTCAGATTCAGAACACAAATATGGTCACTTTTTACAATAAGCAGAAATATGATCTTGATTAGATGAATGTGGTTAAAAGGTAAAAAAGAACCCTGCAAATGTGTAAGCTTCTGTAGGGAAGCACTCAAAATCCACCATTTTATGTAATCTATGTAGTTTTCGTAGCTGAAGAAGGAGAGGAACATGTAAAGGAAATGCCCTTGTGGGTAATTTAATGTTTTTCCATTTCCACAAGGGATTGGATATTAATGTGTTTCCCAGCACACATCCTGCACAAGTCATAGTCAGAGCTATAAGGCTTTACCTCGAAACACAAACATAATCCATATTACTTTTTTTCTCTTCAGCCCATTTCTACTGCAATCTAATGAAATTTGCAGGAGGTGACAATCACTTTAGTAAAGAATTAGCAATAACTTCAAAATACCGAAAATGTAAAAATATAGTTTCCTTTCTGCTCATCACGTTCAGAACAGACTCATGACTGGGATCTCATGCTGTCATACATCTCCTTGGGTATTATTTGCCTAGAAATTAATTATACTTGCTCTGCATCAATGTATATTAGGCCACACTCCCTTCCCATTATTTTAAAAATTAAAGGCAGAATTTAACTGATACCACAAAATAATGTCATACTTTTATTAATGGAGAAACAGTAAAATTATGTTAAGGGATTGAATTAATTACCAAAACCATAATCAATGTTTAAACATTTATTAGATCACACTTTATCATCTCAGGCCATTTTTTCCCTATGCAAATGTAACATTTAGAAGTTACATTTTCAAACTCATAGATGTTTTAAAAAATAATATTTGCATAGGTCTGGGCAAATATTTTCATCCTTAACATGTCAGAAATCAACAGACCTGAAATGTCAAAAGGAAAAATCCCACCAGATCCCAAAATTTGGTTAGATAACTTGCCTACTATGGCACTTAATTTTGAGCAGCTTTATTGGCATCTTAGCTGATGAGTCATAAAAGCCAAGGGAAATTCCACAGGCCAGAAGGAAAAAGAAATAGCAAAAACCTTTAGGACTGAGCAAAATATGTACTAGTCACTGTTCTTTAACATAAATTTCATTGCTACAATTAGCCGCCAGCAATTTGCCAACACTATCTTTCAAGGGACAAAATTCATCATAATTTATTACTTCTATTTGGTGAGATTATAATGAACATTCATTTCTTTTTCATTTTGCAAGAGTCCAAGTTGAAACATGTTTAATCTTAATTCCATAAATGCTAGCTGTGTGCCTAGTTTTCCATTATAGATGGACATTGCAAGAAAAATTGCAAGTTGTTCATTAATTCATTCACTCAACTTTGCTTCTATTGCTCAACTATTTAAACCAATTTACATAAAATCACAAGCCCTCTAAAATATGTGCAACAATTTATGTACCATAAAATTATACTTGAGTATGAAAAATAATCTGGAACATGTTTTATTGGAAACATTTAAAATGTTAAGTTGTGAGTATAATGAAACAGACAAAATGTTTCTGTGGGCAGGGTTGCGTGTACAGTGTAGCAATATTAATAAGAAAGGAGATATAAAGCAGGAATATGTATAGGTAAATACATAATGTAAAGGTCCACTAAAGAACTATTCCTCACCCATGTTTTATACAAGAATTATATGAGTACAATTTTTTATGCTTCCTGTCAAGCCTAAGTGTGATTTTATAATTTTCTTTCAAGTGTATAGATTTTTAAAAATTATTTTTGACAAATCTCACCTGGAATCAAATGTATAGATCTTTTTATGCATGCCTTACAACAGAAGAGGTAAAGATCTGGGAAAGAAGAAATGCGATAGAGGAATGAATCTCCAAGAAGACACAGTATTTGGCCTGAAAGTAGTATGTATGTTTCTGGAGGAAAGAAATAAAAGGCATTTGTGCAACTTGCATATTGAGAAATGTCATATGACTTCAGCAGATTGCCAAAGTTTCTTTAAGTCTTAGCAGGCAATGTTCATTGTGTATAATTGAATTCCTCTTTTAACATAATTCCCAAAAGCATCCAGGATTTATTATAAGAGGATTCCACTCTGCTAATTAACATTCAGTCAGTGAATAGAAATACAGGAGGGACTCTGCTGACTTATGTACTGCATTGGCCAAATAAAAAAATTAAAAATTAACAAAAAGTAATTATCTAATTCTTTCTTGTAAAAAGAAATTCATTTAGGAGCAATGCTCTTGCTGTCCAATCTTTCTGAAATTATACATCAGTTGTATGTGTTAGAGAAGATATATGCATAGATGCTTCATCTTCATGTTTTCCAATTATAGTTGTGAAAAGAGTATATTTGCATCTTATCCAAATTCATTATTTTTTAAGTTTCTATCCATGGGACCTTGGGAAATATGGCATATGTGAGAAATTTCAATGTCACACAATCAGATCCAAACTTCACTACTTGTGAGTAGAAGTAGAAAGAATCAGGAAGAGTGAAAAGGGTAAAAGCCATTCATTTGTTCCTACAGCAACAATAAACAGAATGTTGCATATACTAATCAACAAAACACAATGATATGGTTTGGCAGTGTCCCCACTGAAATCTCAACTTGAATTGTATCTCTCAGAATTCCCACATGTTGTTGAAGGGATCAAGGGGGTGGTTATTGAAACATGGGGGCTGGTCTTTCCCATGCTATCCTTGTGATAGTGAATAAGTCTCATGAGATCTGATGGGTTTATCAGAGGTTTCCACTTTTGCTTCTTCCTTATTTTCTCTTGCCACTGCCATGTAAGAAGTGTATTTCACCACCTGCTATCATTCTGTTCCCAGCCTTGGTTATGTTTTTATCAGCAGCGTGAAAACAGACTAATACAGTAAATTGGTACCAGTAGAGTGGGGCATTGCTGAAAAGATACCTGAAAATATGGAAGCGACTTTGGAACTGGGTAGCAGGCAGAGGTTGGAACAGTTTGAAGGGCTCAGAAGAAGACAGGAAAATGTGGGAAAGTTTGGAACTTTCTAGACACTTGTTGAATGGCTTTGCCCAAAATGCTGATAGCGACATGGAAAATAAAATTCAGTGTGAGATGGTCTCAGATGGAGAAGAGAAACTTGTTGGGAACTGGAGCAAAGGTGACTCTTGTTATGTTTTAGCTAAGAGACTGGCAGCATTTTACCCCTGTCCTAGAGATTTGTGGTACTTTGAACTTGAGAGAGACTATTTAGGGTATCTGGAGGAGGAAATTTCAAAGCAGCAAAGTATTCAAGATGTAACCTGGGTGCTGTTAAAGGCATTCAGTTTTATAAGAGAAGCAGAGCATAGAAGTTTGGAAAATTTTGCAGCCTGACTATGTGATAGAAAATAAAAACCCATTTTCTGGGGAGAAATTCAAGTTGGCTGCAGAAATTTGCATAAGTAGCAAGGATCCTAATGTTAATCCTCAAGACAAAATGTCTCCAGGCCATGTCAGAGAACTTCTCGGCAGCCCCTCCCATCACAGGCCCCACAGGCCCAGGAGGATGGGCTGGGCCTAGGGTCCCTATGCTGTGTGCAGCTTAGGGACTTGGTGCCCTGTGTCCCACCTGCTCCAGCCATGGCTGAAAGGGGCTGATGCACAGCTCAGGCTGTGGCTTCAGAGGGTGGAAGCCCCAAGCCTTTGCACCTTTGTGGTGTTGAGCATGTGGGTGCACAGAAGTCAAGAATTGAGGTTTGGGAACTTCTGCCTAGATTTCGGAAGATATATGGAAACGCCTGGATGCCTAGGCAAAAGTTTGCTGCAGGAGCAGGGCCTGTATGGAGAACCTCTGCTAGGGCAGTGCAGAAGGGAAATGTAGGGGTGGAGCCCCCACACAGAGTCCCTACTGGGGCACCACATAGTGGAGCTGTGAGAAGAGGGCCACGGTCCTCCAGATCCGAGCATGGTAGATCCACTGACAGCTTGCGCCATGCTCCTGGAAAAGCCACAGCCACTCAATACCAGCCCATGAAAGCAGCCAGGAGAGAGGGTGTGCCCTGCAAAGCCATAGGGGTGGAACTGCCCAAGACCGTGGGAACCCACCTCTTGCATCAGTGTGACTTGGATGTGAGACCTGGAGTCAAAGGAGATCATTTTGGAACTTTAAAATTTGACTGCCCCGCTGGATTTTGGACTTGCATGGGCCCTGTAACCCCTTTGTTTTGACCAATTTCTCTCATTTGGAATAGCTGTATTTACCCAATACCTGTACCCCCATTGTATCTAGGAAGTAACTAGCTTGCTTTTGATTTTACAAGCTCATAGACAGAAAGGACTTGCTTTGTCTCAGATGAGACTTTGGACTGTGGGCCATCAGATTATTGCTGAAATTAGTTAAGACTTTGGGGCACTGCTGGGAAGGTGTGATGATTGGTTTTGAAATGTGAGGACATGAGATTTGGAGGGGCCAGGGGTAGAATGATATGGTTTGGCTGTGTCCTCACCCAAATCTCAACTTGAATTGTAAATCCCAGAATTCCCGTGTGTTGTGGGAGGGACCCGGGGGAGGTTATTGAATCATGGGGGCCAATCTTTACTGTGCTATTCTCGTGATAGTGAACAAGTCTCATGAGATCTGATGGGTTTATCAGGGGTTTCCGCTTTTGCTTCTTCATTTTCTCTCTCTGCTGCCATGCAAGAAGTGTCTTTCACCTCCCACCATGATTCGGAGCTCTCCCCACCCATGTGGAGCTGTAAGTCCAATTAAACCTCTTTTTCTTCCCAGCCTTGGATATGTTTTTATCAGCAGCATGAAAATGAACTAATACACACAACATCTGGCAAGATTAAAAATAACCAAATTTACCTCCAATCTAGCTCAGCAGACACTTTATCAAGGTAATTCCAGAATTACCAGAGTCTCTAACTTTTGGATTAAGCTTGTCACAGATATTTTTTTCTTAGACACATACATTTTTCCCTTTTGCTTTCTTTCTCAGTAGTTTCCCCATCCCAGGACCTCTTTCCATACTGCTCTGGTTTCTCAGAGTCCTCCAATTCCGAAAAACCTGAGCAAGGCTTATCTCTTATGCTGAAATGTACGGATCCCTTTCTCTCATGAAAAACTACCTGTTCTGATCCAGTCCCCTCAAGACTGTTGCTTTTCACTATCTACTTAATCTGGCGAATAATTCTACCTTTGATATTGGTGACCAGGCATGGTGGCTCAGCCTGTAATCTCAGCACTTTGGGAGGCCGAGGCGGGCGGATCACTTGAGGCTAGGAGTTTAAGTCCAGCCTGACCAACATGGTGAAACCTGGTCTCTACTAAAAATACAAAAATTAGCTGGGTGTGGCGGCGTGCGCCTGTAATCCCAGACACTAGGGAGCCAGAGCCATGAGAATTGCTTGAACCCAGGAGGCGGAGGTTGCAGTGAGCTGAGATCACACCACTGCACTCCAGCTTGGGTGACAGAGTGAGACTCCAACTTAAAAAAATAAAAAATAAAAATAAAAAAATAAAAAAAGATATTGGCTACTGATAATAGCCTAATACTTATCTCCTTTTCATTACAGGTGTTAACAGTGACTCAGTGCCTAAATACAAATTTGCAAATAAGTACCAATTGTACGGATCCCAACAAGTTCTATGAAAGACAGTTTGGGCACTGGGAACCATGAGTTTTTGTCCTGCCCTGTCTATGTGACCTGGGACAAATCACAAGATCTTTTGGAAGCTCAGTATGCTCATCTGAAGCTAAGTAAGCACTACTTCACAGCAAAGTGGTCAGGATAAAGTGATAAGCCACGGAAATGACAAAATTCAGACACCATTGGTATAAAATATGTGAAGCACTTAATAATTAAAAAGTGCTGTACAAATATGTGATATCATCCTAGTCAATTTTATGTATTTCCTCAAGTAGATAAAACTCTCCAGGAGGATAATATACCAAAAGCATAACTTTTAGTAAACCCTGGGCATTTTAGGAAACCTTTTTTACAGAAGACTTTTTAATTTTCTTTTCTACTTTAAGTAAGAAATGATGACCAGTTACATAAAATCTTATGAGAGTCAGATTATAATGAGCTAGTCATTACTGACTAATGAATACAATAACTTAAAAAATTTACAAGGAAAAAAGAAAAAAGTCAGTAAGACATTTACTATCAATGGTCTTTCTTAATTATCTTCATCTTCCCTTAACACCCATATGTTTATTTAATACTTTTACAGCAAAATAGATTTTTTTAAGATAAAGGAAGCTCATTCCTGTAATCCCAGCATTTTAGGTGGCCGAGGAAGGAGGATTGCCTGAATCCAGGAGTTCAAGAGCAGCCTGGGCAACATAGCTAGATTCTGTCTCTACAAAAAAATAAAATTTTGCCAGGTGTGTTGGTGCACACCTGTAGTCCCAGCTACCCAGGAGGCTGAGGTGCTGAGGTGGGAGGAATGCTGGAGCCCAGAAGGTCAAGGCTGCAGTGAGCTGTGATAGCACCACTGAATTCAGCCTGGGCAACAGAGCTAGACTCTGTCTCAAAAAAGAAAAAAAATAAGAAAGCCATAGAAATTATGCAATCCAAAATCATCGACATTAAGTGTTCATCAATCATTGATCTAAAATAATGTATTATATTTATGAAGCTAAGAGGTCATAATCAATACCTGCCTATTTGGTATTTTCTTTTCATGGTTGTCTTTTTGTTGGTTTACTAAATGGCTTTACCTGACAAATACAGTTTTAACCTGCATAGGCTGTATATATACCAAGAGGCAGTCCAGAAAAGAGAGAGCAGAGAGGGAGAGGGAAATTCCAGAAGAACGACTTGCTTATTTGGAGGAGGATAAAACTTCAAATATAAATGTTGCCTCCACGTCACTTAAATATTCACAAAATATTCAAGAAATATTCCAAGCACAGGGTAAGCCACTAGGAAAAAACAGTTTCCAAGAGTCTGTTCCTCACTTATTAATATACAATATTCAACATGGAAAGTTAGCAAATAGAGACAGCCTGTGTTGAAACTACCTTAAATGGTTTTCAACATTTGTGGCATATTTATATTTGTACAGGATATGACTCAAAATTTGCTTTGAAGTATTTTGTATTTCTTACGGTAATAAAGAAAAAGAGTTTCTTTGTTCCAATTCTTCATAATATTTAGATAAAATCACAATTTTCTTCTTGATTTACTAAAAATACTATCCCAAGAAATACTACAGAAGTTTTTTTTAGAAACTCTATATCTAAAATATCTTCATTTTAACAAAATTAACTTTTAATTTAACCCATGCTTTCCTCATAATAAAAGCAGCTACCATCTAGAAATTGTCTGCTTCAGGGTCCTGACATTCACTCATTTATTCATGTATTGTTTTATTCCACTTAATTCCAAAAAGATTTAAATGTGTAATATGATATTAACTGGAATTGGATAATTTTTAATGCAAAATCTAATGAATGTAAATAAAAACAAACAAAGTTGACCTATAACAAACTTTTGCATTGGGGAAGCAGTATGTGAACACAGTGGAAAAAAGCAAAGATCTCTAAGAACCCATTTGAAATCACTCATGAAAACTTCGGTCAAATAAAGCTAATTTCTTTTTTCTTTGCATTTTTATGTATTATTAAGGAAGCCAAATACTAAAGACAGGATATATCTTGATGGGAGAAAATGATTAGAAGAAGAATCTAATGGTATATGTTTAGGCCTGAGGGACAAATATGGACTTTGTGGAATTCACAGCTGATAAACCTTTGCAAAAAGTGAAGAATGACAGATTATTACAACCTGAAGGACAACATAACATCATGAGGTTATGGAGAAATACTAAAGTTTATAAATGGCAGAACATTTCTTAAAAAATAAAATTAATGCAACAGTAGGTTATAATCACCAAATAATATTTTTTCCAACCACATACTTCATTGTACTCTATGTGAGAACATTATTTGGAACCCTAGCTTTGGTTGTGGCATAACTCACATGTTACAGGGGACTTGGCAAACAAGGATATGTTCAGAGAAAGCATCAAGGTACTGAAATTTTTTGAAACTACACAATGTAAGCATTGGTTAAAAGAATGGACTATGCTTTGACTTAAAAATTTAAGTCTCATTTGGGACATGCTCGTAGCTTCTAATATCTGAACATCAGTTAATTGTAAAAAGGATTAGGTTTAAGCTATCACTCCACGAGTAAAACTAGGACCAATGTTTGTGAGGAATGGAAGACAACATCTAACAAACAGGAATAAACTGTTTCTACAAGAAACAGACAAGCACTAAAAATATTAAGGATGTACAGTAGAAGGAAAATTGACTAGTCCCCAACTCCTGATATCACTGTTTTTTAACTTTAGGACCTTGGTTTAGTTCCTTAGCTTCTCTGAATTTCTGTTTCCTTATCTATAGGTTAGATATCTCTGCATTGAATAGAGGAGTGAAAATATCCTGTTGAAAATGCCAAGGTAAGAGATGGGAAATGCTGAACTGGATGGTTACCATGGTTTTTTCTATTTCTAAGATTTTACCATTTTACAGTAAAGGAAAATATAATAGTTTTCATCTCATGGTGAGGAATTATTGCTAAACTATGCATTCAACATACATATATATGTATGTGTGTGTTTCATATTATGGGCCTACTGTGTGTAGGTACTCCTCTAGAGATGTGGAAGTGAAAAAAATGTACAAAAATTCTTGCCCTGCTAGACCTTATATTATAGTGGAAAGAAATGGACAGTAAAACAAATAAGTAAATTGTATCACACAGTAGAAATCATAAGTACTGTATAAAAAATAAAGAAGGGAAATGCAAAATTTTAAATAGGGTCTGGGAAAATAACATCTGAGCAACGATACATTGATTTTGTCAGTAATTTTAAAAATTAATTTTATTATGAAGTTCATTGGAAAACTTGGTGCCTTTTACCAAATCCTATGATCTGAATAATGTTTTAAATCATGTAATCTCGTCACAGAGTGTTATGGGTTGAACTGTGTCCTCCTAAAATTTCATATGTCGAATTCCTAGCCCAAGTACCTCAGAATGCATTTGGAGATAAGGTCTTTAAAGAGGTAATTAAGTTAAAGGAGGTTATTAGGGAGTCCCTCATCCAATATCACTGGTGACATTTGTGATGTATCACTGGTGTTAAGTGCTTAGGACATAGACATGTACAAAGGGAAGAAGCTGTGAAGACTCAGGGAGAAGACATTTATCTGCAAGGTAAAAAGGGAGACCTCAGAAGCAAGCAGCCCTGCCAACACTTTGATCTTTGATTTCTGCCTCCACAACTTTGAGAAAATAACTTTTTGTTATTTAAGCTACCCAGTCTTTGCTACTTTGTTATGGCAGCCCTAGCAAATTAATACAGAGAATATAGACACATACAAACCCAGTCCAAATATTACATTTAAGATAAAGCGATTGCATTAGCTATTTTTATAGAAACTAAAAAATTTTATGAACTTTAGAATTTGTAAAAAATTTATTTTTATTTAGAATTTATATAGAATTTCAGGTTTTTTCTATTTATTCTTTTAACCTTAAATTGCATTAAAAATCTTAAACCTAATGGTTCTCTCCCAAAATACTGTATTGAAGATATATAGTTTAACAAACATATTACAAGGACTTCACTACTAAGAATAGCATAAGTCACATATAAACTTTCAGGATATGCAAAATATTTGTTTTACTACCAAGGTAAGTATAGTTAAACTTATTGAAGTTTCACATGGCAGCTCATAACCTTTTAGCATGCTCACATGCACAAGCAAGCAGTTAATAACACCAGAACTTCACTTTTCCCATCTAGTTCAAGTCTTCTTCCCCAACTGTTGAAACAACTTAGAACAGCCTAATTAATCAGTAAGAAAGCTGGCTTTATTATATTTTATTTAGATTTACCTACTAGTAATTTAAATTAGTTTTAGCAATTAAAAAAAATAAGTCAATGAATATACTTACAGGTCCTGTTAGTTTAGATGCTTTCTCAAATTCGTCACCCTCCTCCATTAGTGCTTCTTCAGTCCCAGGCAAGGAATCTATTTTTATTTTTAAAAAATGAATAAATTATACTCACATATTGCTTATTAATTCTCTGATATATAAACCTGTTGTGAGAAGAATAAAATGATGGAATTGGGTGTTGAAAAAATCATAGTGTTTGTGAGTTAAAATAGAACGTGAAATAATATTTAGCTTAAAAACAACTTGTGAAAAATGATAAGTATTTTTAATTTAGAAGGGCACAATAATGTCAGGAATGGGCAAGAGCCACAGTTATCTTAGTTATACAAATAAAGCAAGATATTTTGGCATATTATCCAGCTAATTGTTGGAACATAATTATATTTAATGCCCTGTTTCTCTTTTATAATTTCATGATTATTTCTTTTATCTATCAATTGTCTCCTTTTGGGGGGTTACACAATTTGAGTAATATTTTGTGCTCTCTCTTTTAGATGGAATGGAACATTCTGAAAAAAGTTCAGAGAGGGGCGCATATTATTAAATGGTGATTGGTTTTCCATTTCAACGTATGAAGGAAGAAGTTGCAATTAGCCTGAATTGAATATATTGAGGGGTGGGTGAGTAGTGGCTTTCAAATATGTGAAAACAATGATGCAACCTTTTTCATATGTCTTCTGACATTATAACAACCACCAGAACAACAAGGATTTCTATGGGTTATAAAGAATTCTGTGATAGGGATAGGTAAATGGAGCAACTAGAAATAATCTGTGCTGAAGAATGTTGACTTCCTTAGTTGAGTTTGAACTCCTTCTTTTCAAATTAAAAAAAAAAATCAGTTAAGAGAAAGGTATTTTAAACCACTGGATTTAAAAATTAATTTCTTATATTTATTAATACTTGAGGGAGTCATATAAAGCCCTAAATATTTTCCTTTAGCTTTATGTACATATGGAGACAGATTTTTCTGTTGCATAAAATGTATACTCTGTAAAGAGAATTAGAGCATGAAATCTTTCAAACCCTTAATGGCCACTGAACACCAGGGAGATAATGGAAAGCTTAGCCCAAATCCATAATAAATCATAGCTTTTGAATCATGGAGTGCTCTCTATCTCTGATAACTCAGAATTTTACATTCAAGAAGACAAGTTTCTAAATTCTGGGGCACACAGTTTATGTAGATGTAAATGTGGATTTTGTTTTAAAACACAGAATACCTTCCACCATAAAACTGACTTCGGGAGAGACATATCATTCTCAAATTATAGGTGAATTTAAAGATTTTACTTACTACTTTTCCTGACAGAACATAGATATTAAAAATAAGCAAGTTTTAGTGGATAAAATCAGGAGAATTATACCAAATGCAAAACTATTAATCCACTTGTAAAGAATACTTGAAGCTCTAGCTCCCAAAACCCAATTGTAAAGCTGACAATAAATTTGTTAAATTAGGTTGTAAATTAAGCATAATTTAAGTCCTCCAAAACTGAATTATATTCTGCAGAACTGTGAGCAAATGCTACTATAATTTTAGTATTCACTCAGTATGTTTCTTGTTTTGCTTGTGTATTGAAGTTCTTATTTCAGTAATCTATTGACTTAATAAATAAATAACATTAAAATGTTCTATTCTACATTACACAGCAAATTATTTTCATATATAGGACAGTAAAATCCACCTTCTCATGGATTTGCTAATTTTTTCAAAGTTAGAAATACTATAAATAAGTTCTCAAGCTCTTCTCCATGAGTAGTTAATGGTTTTTAATAGATGTCATTCTGCTTGATTATTTATGTATTCATTCATTCATACATTTATTGTATTGTATATTTGTGTATTCATTTATTCAACAAATACTATATGGCAAGCACTGTATTAGGTGCTTTTAAAATAAGTTGAATATTTTCTATGACACTTTCTTTCATGAAATTTACTTGAACACATTTACAGGGCAGTATTAACTTTTTAACAAAGATGAACATTTATAAAGCAAAAGTATTAGTAACTTTGTATGATTTACATTTTGTTTGGTTTCATTTTTGTTGAATTCTCCCTGGTTATTGGTACCATATCCAGAAAGATCTATAATATAGTAATGCCCATTGAGCTTAGGATGAAGGGACAACTATAAGTACTGCCAGAACATTTGAGAGTTTACATAACTACCGTTTTTAAAAGTTATGAAGTCAAATGGATACTGCCAAATAGCCCAAATCTAATAATAGGGTACCAATCTAACAAGCTAGTAGGGACCAGAGACACCATGAAGGTAAAACCTTAGTGTTTAATGCTTAGAGCAGTAAATGCCATTGTTTATGTGTTCTAAGTACATCACTCATTAACAGTAACAGGTGAGTATATATGTGCAAGCTATTTTGCTCTGTCTATTCCAGAGCAATTTCTTTTATATATGATTTTCAAATGTAAGTAATTTTTTTAGCTATTTAAAATCACCTATGGATGGGTGGGAAATGAGTCCCTAAATTTGTCAAATATTACAGTTTATCTTATATCCTCATTTTAGAGAAGAAGAAACTGAAGCATGGAAAGATAAAGTAATTTTACCAGAAACCTAATAATCTGTGGCAGGAGTAGGACTAGAAATTCAGCCTGTGTGGTTGATTGGACATGTTGGTGGGAACCTAAAAATCTGTAGTTTATTGCAGTGCTTAGCTACATCCAACTTTTTTCAGCCATTATTTTTACTTTTGCTGCTTGTGTCACAACAGACTTTTTTATGCACAGTTATACCAATTTATAGAAATGTTTACGCTTCCCGAGCCAAGTTCAATGTGGATGCACAGTTGACATAAACTCACAATAGCACTTTTGGATACTATTCAATTATTGGATCTAGTCATTTGACTAATTTAAGTAGAAAAGAATGTACTAAATCAGAAACTCATATTCTGGAATTTGCAGATTAGGTATACTAATAATTGAATGTGAAGAATGCAGGATTAGGCATTTCAAGAAAGGAGCTTAAAGTATAATCTGCAACACATTTTTGATATATTATTTAATTTCCCAGGAAATTTGAGTCCTTATAATACTCAGTAATTATGTAAATGAGAAGCTGAAGGATATATATAGGTAAAGATTGGTAGGTTGGAGTTATTTTGATAAAATTTAAAAAATTAATGGCAAGTAATTAAACAGTATCTGTCTTGTGCCTGGTTTTGTATTGGGCACGATGGGTAACATAAGAAAACTTCAAGCAGCATATAATCCAATGGAAGTAGGAGAAACACACAGAAGAAGCAATTCAAAAACAATTTGGAAATGAGAGAAAGAAAACATCAGAGAGACTTTACATGATCTTAGAACAGGTGATCTAAATAGGCAGAGAAGGGAGGGAAAAGGCCTTATTGCTAGGCAGGGAAGGATGGCATAAGTGAAGGTACACATGCAAGAATATCTATGAGCAGAAACCAGGCTGACTCCAGAAACTATGCGAGTGTCAACGAATGGCCAGCCTGGGGCTTCCATGTTGCTAGTGACACATTACTTAATGTTCATTGTCAGGGTTAAAGGTCGATCATAAGAACATGCCATGTCATCACCATTATAATAGATTTGAGTATGCATTAACTATGGTCATTTCTTTCTATTATGCTACATTAACATTGGTTTATGTTCCCTTAGCAGTTTTTTTAATATTTATTACCTAATATTTGACTTATAAAAATGCAACATCTGTAAAACATTTATATAAATATAACATGTAAAATATATCACATCTATTAGTATATATGATCTATTTAAATTACAAATTACAAAGACAAAATAAACACCCCAAACCCACCACTTAATAATTAGGGCATTTTCAATAACCTTCATATATCCGTGGGCTCCTTCCTTATCCCATCACCCAGCCTCCTCTTACCTTGAGAATAACCAATATTTTGTGTTTGTCATTTTTTTTTTTTTTTGAGACAGAGTCTCGCTCTGTCGCCCAGGCTGTAGGGCAGTGGCACGAAATTGGCTCACTGCAAGCTCCTCCTTCCGGGTTCATGCCATTCTCCTGCCTCAGCCTCCCGAGTAGCTGGGACTACAGGCACCTGCCACCGCAGGTCGAACCCGGGCCCCGCCTGGGTGAAAAACCAGGAATCCTAACCGCTAGCCCGTGTGGGAGACAACTCCTGTCTTTAAATATAGTTTTGTCACTTATGTTTTCCTAAAGAACATATTATTTAGATTTGCTTTTTGGAGCTTTATAAAAATGGCATTCTGTGACTTGCTTTTGTTTAAGAAGCATTAGGCTTTTAAGACTCATTTAATGGTGAGCTGCAACTTGCTATACCAGAGTGGGAGAACCAACTGCCATTTCAGTTTGGCTGCTTGAAATCAGCCACGGTGGGAGTATTCACACCACGGAAATCTTCAATCTCTACAAATCAGGGCTTCCTTTTTTCAGGAAAACAATTGTTGTACATTTACACAGTAGAAATCTGAATGCCTTTCAACTACATACAGGGGATGTATTTGTACATCACTGATTTTATCCATCGCCTGTATGTAGTTGAAAGGCATTCAGGTTTCTACTGCATAAAAAAATTTCACAATTTATCCATTTCCCTATCCATGAACATACTAACAAGGGTTGTTCATATTTCATGCTATATGATACTTATTTCTCTAAGGCATTTACCTAGAAATGGAGTTTCTAGGTTTTAGATTATATAAATGCTCAAGATTTTAAGATAATGGAAAACTTTTCCAAAACTCATATACCTGCCTTATACGAGTTTCTTTTCATCTATGACTTCACCAGCACTTAGTTTTGTCAGCTTTCTTCATCAATGCCAATCAAAAGGTTGTAAAAGAAAAAAGATTGTATCTCTCCATGGTCTTAATTTGCTTTTCCCTGATAACTAAGATAATTTAAGTATTTTTCATCTGCTTGTTGGACTTTTGTGTTTCCTCTCTGTAAAATGTATATTCATACTTGTTACTTATTTTTCTGTTGATGTATTGATTTTTTATTTATTAAATTGTAGGTGTTCTTCATATTCTGAATATTAATCTTTGATCAGTGGCAATTACATTGCAAATATGTTTCCCTATTTGTGGCTTTTCTTTGGGCATCTGTTTTTTGATTTTTAATTTTTTTCAATAGGTTTTTGGGGAAAAGGTGGTGTTTGGTTACATGAATAAGTTATTTAATGGTGATTTCTGAGATTTTGGTGCACCCATCACTGGAGCAGTGTACACTGTACCTAATGTGTAGTCTTTTATCCTTCACCACCCCCACCCTTTCCCCCAAGTCCGCAAAGTCCAATATATCAATCTTATGCCTTTTCGTCCTCATAGCTTAGCTCCCACATATGAGTGAGAACATATGATATTTGGTTTTCCATTCCTGAGTTACTCTCCTTAGAATAATAGTCTCCAATTCTGTCCAGGTTGCTGTAAATGTCATTATTTTGTTCCTTTTTAAAGTTGAGTAGTATTTCATGGTGTATATATATCATATTTTCTTTATCTACTCATGGATTGATGAGCATTTGGGCTGGTTCCATATTTTTGCAATTGCAAATTATGCTGTTATAAACATTTATGTGCAAATATCTTTTTCATATAATGGCTTCTTTTCATCTGGATAGATACCTAGTAACAGGATTGCTGGATCAAATGGTAGATCTTCTTTTAGTTATTTAAGGAATCTCCACACTGTTTTCCAGAGTGGTTGTACTGGTTTACATTCCCACCAGCCCTGTAAAAGTGTTCCTTTTTCACCACATCCACACCAACATCTTTTTTTTTTTTATTTTTTATAGTAAAAAAATAAAAATGGCCATAGTAGGCCATTGTTGCAGGAGTGAGGTGGTATTGCAGGAGTGAGGTGGTATCACATTGTGGTTTCTATTTGCATTTCCCTGATCATTAGTGATGTTGAGCATTTTTCCATATGCTTTTTGGCCACTCATATATCCTCTTTTGAGAAATGTCTATTCGTGTCCTTAGCCCACTTTTTGATAGGATTGTTAGTTTTTTTCTTGCTGATTTGAGTTCTTTGTATTATAGATTCTGGATATTAGTCATTGTCATAAGTATAGATTATGAAGAATTTCTCCCACTCTGTGCATTTTCTGTTTACTCTGTTGATTATTTCTTTGGCTGTGCAGAAGCTTTTTAGTTCAATTAAGTCCCATCTATTTATCTTTGTTTTTGTTGCACTTGCTTTTGGGTTCTTGGTCATGACGTCTTTAAGCTAATGTCTGGAAGGGTTTTTCTGACATTATCTTCTAGAACTTTTATGGTTTCAGGTCTTAGATTTAAGTCCTTGATCCATTTTGAGTTGATTTTTGTATAAGATGAGAGATGAGGATCCAGTTTCATTCTTCTACATGTGGCTTGCCAATTATCCCAGCACCATTTATTGAATAGGGTGTCCCTTCCCCACTTTATGTTTTTGTTTGCTTTGTCAAAGATCAGTTGGCTGTTAAGTATTTGGGTTTATTTCTGGGTTCTCTATTCTGTTCCAGTGGTTTACGTGCCTATTTTTATAATACTACTATGCTGTTTTGGTAACTATGGCCTTATAGTATACTTTGAACTCAGGTAATGTGATGCCTCCAGATTTGTTCTTTTCACCTAGGATAGCTTTAGCTATGCAGTCTCTTTTTCGGTTCCATATGAATTTTAGGATTGTCTTTCCTAGTTCTGTGAAGAATGATGGTGATATTTTGATGGGAATTTCATTGAATTTGTAGATTGCTTTTGGCAGTGTGGTCATTCTCACAATATTGATTCTACCCATCCATGAATATGGAAAGTGTTTCCATTTGTTTGTGTTGTCTATAATTTCTTTCAGCAGTGTTTTGTGGTTTTCCTTGTAGAGGTCTTTCACTTCCTTGTTTAGTTATATTCCTAAGTATTTTTTTTTACAGCTATTATGAAAAGGGTTGAGTTCTCGATTTGATTGTCCAGCTTGGTCGCTGTTGGTGTACAGCAGAGCTACTGATATGCGTACATTAATTTTGTATCCTGAAACTTTGCTGAATTCATTTACCAGTTCTAGGAGCTTTTTGGATGAGTCTTTAGAGTTTTCTAGGTATACAATCATATCATCAGCAAACAGTGACAGTTTGACTTCCTCTGGATGCCCTTTACTCCGTCTCTTGTCAGACTGCTCTGGCTAGGACTTCCAGTACTATGTGAATAGAAGTGGTGAAAGTAGGCATCTTTGTCTTCTTCCGGTCTCAGGGAGAATGCTTTCAATTTTTCCCTGTTCAGTATAATGTTGGCCATGGGTTTGTCATAGATGGCTTTTTTACCTTAAGGTATGAACCTTCTATACCAATTTTGCTGAGGGTTTTAATGTTAAAGGGATGCTGGATTTTGTCAGATGCTTTTTCTGCCTTTACTGAGATGATTATGTGAATTTGTTTTTAATTCTGTTTACGTGGTATGCTATATTTATTGACTTGCATATGTTAAACCATCCCTGCATCCCTGATATGAAACCCACTTGATCATGGTGAATTATCTTTTTGATATTCTGCTGGATTTGGTTTACTAGTATTTTGTGAGGATGTTTGCATGTATGTTCATCAAGGATACTGGTCTGTAGTTTTCTTTTCGTGTTATGTCCTTCCCTGGTTTTGGCATTAAGGTAATATTGGCTTCATAAAATGATTTAGAAAGGATTACCCTTTTCTCTACCTTTTGATATAGTGCCAATTCTTCTTTGAATTGTCTGATAGAATTCAGCTGTGGATTCATCTGGCCCCTAACTTATTTTTATTGGCAATTTTTTTTATTACTATTTCAATCTCACTGCTTGTTGTGGGTCTGTTCAGAGATTCTATATCTTCCTGGTTTAATCTAGGAGGGTTGTATATTTCCAGGAATTTATCCATCTCCTCTAGGTTTTCCAATTTATGTGTGTAAAGGTGTTCATAGTGGCCTTGAATAATCTTTTGCGTTTCTGTGGTATCAGCAGTAACATCTGTTTCATTTCTAATTTGGCTTGTTTGCATCTTCTCTCTTCTTTTCTTGGTTAATCTTGCTATATTTATGTTTTCAAAAACCAGTTTTTTGTTTCATCTATCTTTTGTATTTTTTTTGTTCTTTCAGTTTGTTTTAGTTCTCCTCTGATCTTCGTTATCTCTTTTCTTCTTCTGGGATGGATAGTTCTTGTTTCTCCAGTTCCAGGAGGTAGGAGGTATGACCTTAGATTATCTATTTGTGCTCTTTCAGACTTCTTGATATAGGCATTTAATGCTATGAACTTTCCTCTTAGCGCTACTTTTACTGTATCCCAGAGGTTTTGATAGGTTATGTTACTATTATCGTTCAGTTCAAAGAACTTTTTAATTTCCATCTTGATTTCCTTGTTGACCCAATGATCATTGAGGAGCAGGTTATTTAATTTCCATGTATTTGCATGGTTTTGTGGCTTCCTTTTGGAGTTGATTTCCAATTTTATTCCAGTGTGGTCTGAGAGAGTACTTGATATAATTTTGATTTTCTTAAATTTACTGATACTTGTTGTGTGGCCTATCATATGGTCTATTTTGGGGAATATTTCATGTGCTGATGAACAGAATGTATATCCTGCAGTTGTTGGGTACACTGTTTTGTAAATATCTGTCAAGTTTAGGTCTATTGTTTCTTTGTTGACTTTCTGTCTTGATGACCTGTCTAGTGCTGTCAGTGGGGTATTAAAGTCCCCCACTATTACTGTGTTGCTATCTGTCTCATTTCTTAGATCTAGTGGTAACTGTTTTATAAATTTGGGAGCTCCAGTATTAGGCACATATATATTTAGGATTGTGATATTTTCCTATTGAACTAATCCTTTTAACATTATATAATGTTCCACTTTGTTTATTTTTAACTGCTGTTGCTTTAAAGTTTGTTTTGTCTGATATAAAAATACCTACTCCTGCTCACTTTTGGTGTCCATTTGCATGGAATACCTTTTTCTACCCCTTTACCTTAAGTTTATATGAGTCCTTATGTGTTAGATGAGTCTCCTGAAGACAGCAGAAACTTGGTTGGTGAATTCTTATCCATTTTGCCATTTTGTATATTTTAAGTGGAGCATTTAAGACATTTACATTCAATGTTAGTATAGAGATGTGAGGTAGTATTCTATTCGTTGTGCTGTTTGTTGCCTGAATACCCAAGTTTTTTTTCATTGTGTTATTGTTATACAGGTCCTGTGAGATTTATGCTTTAAGGAGGTTCTACTTTGGTGTATTTCAGGGATTTGTTTCAGGACTTAGAGTTCCTTTTAGAAATTCTTGTAGTGCTGACTTGGGAGTGACACATTCTTTCAGCATTTATTTGTCTGGAAAATACTGTATCTTTCCTTCATTTATGAAGCTTAGTTTCTCTGAATATAACATTCTTGGGTAATAATTGTTTTGTTTAAGGAGGCTAAAAATGGGTCCCCAATCCCTTCTGGGTTGTAGGGTTTCTGCTGAGAAATCTGCTATTAATCTGATAGGTTTTCCTTTATAGGTTACCTGATGCTTTTGCCTCACAGCTCTTAAGATTTTTTCCTTCATCTTGACTTTAGATAACCTGATGACTATGTGTGCAGGTAATGATCTTTTTGCAATAAATTTCCCAGGTGTTCTTTGAGCTTCTTGTATTCGGAGTTCTAGATCTCTAGCAAGGCCAGGGAAGTTTTCCTTGATTATTCCCTCAAATATGTTTTCTGAACTTTTAGATTTCTCTTCTTCCTCAGGAACACCAACTATTCTTAGGTTTGGACATGTAACACAGTCCCAAACTTCTTGGAGACTTTGTTCATTGGAGGCTTTGTTCATGTTTTTAAAATTCTTTTTTCTTTGTCTTTGATGGATTGGGTTAATTGAAAAGCCTTGTCTTTGAGCTCTGGAGTTCTTTCTTCTGCTTGTTTAATTTGATTGCTGATACTTTCCAGTGTATTTTGCATTTCTCTAAGTGTGTCCTAGATTGCCAGAAGTTCTGATTATTTTTTATTTATGCTACCTATTTCACTGAAGAATTTTCCTTCCATATCCTGAATTATGTTTTTGATTTATGTAAGTTGGACTTACCTTTCTGTGATGCCTGCTTAATTAGCTTAATATTCAACTTTCTGAATTCTTTTTCTGGCAATTCAGATTTCCTCTTGACTTGGATCCATTGCTTGTGAGCTCGTATGATCTTTTGAGGGTGTTAAAGAACCTCATTTTCTCATATTACCAGAATTGTTTTACTGGTTCCTTATAATTTGCGCAGACTATGTTAGAAGGAAGATGTAGGATTCAAGAACTGCTGTTCAGATTCTTTTGTCCCTTAGTGTGTTCCCCTGATGTTGTGTTCTCCCCCTTCCCCTAGGAATGAGGCTTCCTGAGAGCTGAACTGTAGTGAGTGTTTTTGCTCTTCTGGTTCTAGCCATCCAGTGGAGCTACCGGGCTCTGGGCTGGTACTGGGGAGTGTCTGCAAAGAGTCCTGTGATGTGATCAGTCTTCAGGTCTTGCAGCTGTGGATACCAGCACCTTCCCCGGGGGAGGTAGCAGGGGAGTGAAGTGGACCCTGTAAGGGACTTTGGTTATGTTTTTGTTTAGTGTGCTGGTTCTGTGTTGGTTGGCCTCCAGCCAGAAAGTAGTGCTTTCAAGAGCTCATTGGCCCTATGAGGATGCAAACTTGCCCTAGGAACACCTGGTTAAGTATTCAGGTTTCTCAGGTGGTGGGCAGGGCCATAGAGCTCCCAAGAAACTGTGCCCTTTGTCTTTGGCTACCACAGCAGGTAAAGAAAGACCACCAGTTGGGAGCAGAGATAGGTGCGTCTGAGCTCAGCCTCTTCTTATATGGGGCTTGCTGTTTCTGCTGTGGTGGATGGGGGTGTGGTTCTCAGTCCAATGGAGTTATATTCCCAGGGAGATTATGGCTGCCTCTGCTGAGTCATACAGGTCGCCAAGGAAGTGGGGGAAAGCCAGCAGTCACAGGATTCACCCAGCTCCAAGGCAGCCCATAGTCCTAAAGGCTGGTACACCCACCGTGCCCCCTCAACAGCAATGAGTTTATTTCCAGGCACACCCACTGTGCCCCCTCAACAGCAATGAGTTTATTTCCAGGCAGCAAGTGATCAGGGCTGAGAACTTGCCCCAGACCATGAGCCTCCTCATCTAGAAAGCAAAAAGACTCACAAATTTTCGCATCTCAGGGAGCCTGCAGCGGTGATCCATTTCCTTCAAATAGTCTGTGGATTCTCTCACCTTTCCTGTTATGTTCCTGCGGTACTTCTTGGAGCAAAAGTTCACGATGTGAGTTTCTACATGCTGCTCTGTCTGTCCGAGTGGGAGCCGCAATCTAGTCCTGCCTCCTGTCCACCATCTTAATCCTGAGCTTCTTTGGGCATATTTTGATAAACAGGAGTTTTTAATTTTCTACGGCTGAAGGTTTCAATTATTTCTTTTATGGCTGGAGATGTTTTTTTCCTGTTGAAGATGTCCTTCTCAATCCAGGTGTAAGAAAAATACTTTCCTATAGTTTATCTTCTAACTATCCAGGTTGAATGTATGGACTGTGTTTTGCTATTATGCTGACTGATGAAGACGTGATGTACCTTAGATGGCATTGGAGTGGCATTACCTGTACTTATTTACATATACAACAAACATTTTGAATTGCTCTGATATTGTTTGTTTGCTAAGTTAAGGAATTTCCATTTTATACTATAGAAAATGGAAATTAAATAAGCAGCTTTATTTTCAGAAAAACAATGAACAAAAGAGGGGTGAGATAGTCCGAGGAGGGCCAAGAAGGGAGTTGATGGAGAAAGAGGGAAAACACATAGACCAGGCAGTATTAGGGCAAATACAAAAGAGGCTGACTCAGGGAGGAAATTCTGAAGTGACATTGACATAATTGGAGACCAATTTAATACAGGGCTGGGAGAGAGGGAGTATGATATTGTCAAGTATGATATTGACATTTCTGCCCAAGAAGAATGACTGGATCAATGACGTGAGAATGGGAGCAGCACGTATAGCAAGTGACAAGGGGCAGAGAAACAGTTCCATTTTCTAGAAATCCAGCTGACAATGTGGGTTTCTAAAGACAAGTTTGAATTAGTGACATAGTTTAGGGAGTAGCCAACTTATAGTTGATCTGTTTGGACCTTAAACAGAACAGGCCTAAAGAGATTACTCCTCAGAATCCACACTTCTCAATTCCTTCTCTCCTTTGCTCTTATCCTGACACAAACAGCCCCAAGGAGTGTGCCAGCGGTAGATATGTGACGTGCAGCTGCAGTGAATTCATGCAAGGCAAGATGTTTGGTTTAGTTTTTTTCCTTTACTTCTTTAATCTTTAAGTGCCACTAGAACTGCAATAAATATTGTTGGACTTAAAACTTACCGAATGAATCTGGGATTTTTTCATCTGGAGAATGGAGTATTGGTAGTGACTCTTCTGTCCTTTCTTCCAGGTTGTCTCCTTGAAGCCTAAATAATTAAAAATGATCATTGAAACATCTCATAATGTTAAATTGTGAAATGTGAACTATGCACCATGGGGGACATGGCTGTGAACTTCTAGACTCTAAACTCAGATATGCATGTTCAAAATAGAAATACAAGTTCACTAAAGCCATTTTAATATAGGATTTTTGCTGTTCTAACCATTAAGGAAAAGTCTTCTATACTTCCTGTTACATACATACCAGGATTTATCTAGGTAGAATCTGCTTTTCTTCTCAGACTGACCGTAGAAAGGTTTAGAAGCACGTATTTTCACTTAAACACCAAAGGGGAATTGAGTGGAAGGAAAACAAGAGGCCAACACAGTGTGCTCACCTAACATCAGGGTCTGGGAGTCATAAAAGGATTTTCCTAATTCCACTGAGGTTTATCAAGCACAATCTTGCAAATCAACCAACCTAAGCTTCAAGGCCTGTGGGTCGAGATATGTCTCAGCAGTGGAGGTAAAGTTTCCTAATGTGTGACTGCCCAGACTTCTCATAGACACTGAGCCTTCTTCAGGAGAGAACAATAAATACAGGCATAATTTATAACTATACTGGGTTCAAATGTTATACTGTTATATAAGTTGTAATTTTTATAAATGTTATAATTCTCAGCCATTTTATGTCTTTGCTTTTATATACCACAGCAGAATCTCATATAATTTGCTTTTTGACTTCTACAAATTCAAGCATATATGCATATCTCTTGATCTTTTGTATAATTACAAACAATGTAAATTATATGTGCACCATAATTTTTATAATATTAAATTCTGCACATCCCTCTATTATACATTTATACTTACTTATTACCTTCTGTATATGAAATCACATTTACTGTATTGTATAAGAAAATTAAAGAATTCTCAAGGGGAATTTCCTGAAACTTGTAACATTTTTTGCTAAGCTTTGTGTGGTTTTGTACTTTTAATTAATTTTTTAAATTTTTTCTTGGGAAAAAGACCACTTTAAATAAATTAGCTACATATTTTTCAAATATTCTCTACTATTTCCTTTTTATTGTATTCACTTTGGATAAACAATTTTAATATTCAGCAATAGCAAATATTCTGTTTTGAGCTCTCTTTGTCCAGGACCATTCTATCAAAATCATATCAAAGAGAGAAGGTACAGAGGTGCATTAAATATTTAAAGGTATAAGTAAAAATTATTATTGAAAATTCACAATGAGCTCCAACACATTGGGATATTTAACATTAAGTTAAAACCCTAGGCCAGGTGTGGTGGCTCACTCCTGTAATCTCAGCACTTCGGGAGGCTAAGGCAGGTGGATCACTTGAGGCCAGGAGTTTGAGTCTGCAGTGAGCCATGATCACGCCACTGCACTCCAACTGGGGTGACAGAGTGAGCCCCTGTCTCTAAAAAAAGTAAATTTTTTTTAAACCTAAAAAGAAAATAAATCTCCAACAAAGACAGAAAGAAGCAAGATCTTAAAATAGTGCTGTAATTTTTGTTTGCTTGTTGTATGCATCAATAAAACTTTTGTTTTATTTAGCACTTATTAATATGCTCAAGCATAAACCAAATGTCATAGAGATGCAAAGAAATTATAACTGTTCCTGACAGGCTTTAATATAGCTCAGTTGAAGAGACCAATGGCTATGGATTAAAAACGCAACAAATTGGGTGGCCTTGCAGCTGGCTCGTCCTTGTCCACACGGTGCCCTCCAGATACCTTAAGAGCTGAGTTTACTGTGACTTGGCACCAATTCCATTGCGGAATGCTTCACAGTCCTGCCATCCTCGAGTACTCTGCCAATGTTTCCCAAGCTGTAACCCACACAGCACCACTTCTGTAAGAGGTTAATGGGTGCTATGCAAACAAGGGGTGTATGGGCAAGTCCGGGAAATACAGTCTAAATAAAAGTTAAATTGCTTTTTGTTTTTTTACCATAAGAGTTTTACTCCTACTCCCAAAGCTTTTTGCTTTGCTTTCTAAAACTCCTTTTCCATATTAAACAGACTCCCTTATATTTTCAGCCCCTAAACAGAATGTTGGCTGCTCCTCCTTTTCATATTGGAAAGTCTCACCTAAGAATATCACATCCCTTTTCTCTAAGGGTCTTCCAGGACCTCCTCTCCCAGGGAGGCTGCCTGACCCACCAAACTGAGATAGCACAGGATTATGTATAACTTTCTTCTCTCTGCCTGCAACAACTTGGGTCAGGCTCAGAATTTTCTTCTTCAACTCAAGTGTTATTTTTATCCTGAGTGATTTTGATATTCATGTGTATCTACCTACTAATCTTAAAGTCCCTTGACCTCCTCACATTTGGAGATCTTCCCTTCCACTTCACCTTCCTTAACCCAAGGACAGACAACTTGGAATTGTTTCATGGCAGATATCTGTAAGTCCAGTGTTCTGGTCTCCGAAAACAAATTCACCTCCTTCAGGCTCTTTCACAGTGTCACTCTCCTTAACACTTTCTACGCAACCAAATATTAACAAATCTCCATTTCCCTCTTCTTTCTCCTAGGTATCAGGGAGTGTCCCCTCCTGCTTCCCTGTCTCCGAAAACAAATTCACCTCCTTCAGCCTCTTTCACAGTGTCACTCTCCTTAACACTTTCTACGCAACCAAATATTAACAAATCTCCATTTCCCTCTTCTTTCTCCTAGGTATAAGGGAGTGTCCCCTCCTGCTTCCCTGCCTTCCCTGCTCAGTTGGGACTCATTGTCTCAGCTCCTCTGCACCCCTGTCCTCTGTCACTCCTGCGAAGGCAGACTCCAAACCTATATTAACCCACCATTTTCCCGCACATGTGCCACTGAACAATAATCGAGAAAATCATCATTCTAGGATTGGTGACTATAAATCAGTGGTCTCTAACTTTAAACTTGAACTTCTTGATTGTCTTTCTTTTTTCCATTCCTTTCAAAGTATTTTCAAAAATCTCACCATCAGCTCTCCTCTGTGTCACCCAGAACAATTATGTAATCAGGAGTACAGACCTCATCTTGCCCTCACACACCACCTCCAGAATTATTTTCACCCTAATCTGTATTCACTACCTTTCCAACGCGCAGAGCGCAAGAGGCCCTGTCTCCTGTGTAAGGCTGAGACTATCCATTATGCTGGAAAGATTTGGATCTCAATGTCTCATCAACCTATTTTATCCACTATCACCCCCCAACCAGTATTTTTTCTGTTTTTTTTTCCCACTATCATTTCCCACAGCATATGAACAAGCTCACTTCTCTTTCAGTCTTAAAAAAAAACCCACAAAAATTAAATACCTCCCTTAATTATATAAAATAACTAGCTGTTTCCTTTTCATGTTCAATCTTCTTTGAGCCAAACTCCCATATTCTTCATTCAATGCCTTTACGTCCACAGTTTTTATTCACTCCTACTCCTCAACCTGTTTTAATTTGGTTTCTGCCTCTACCACTGAGAAAACAGCTTATGCTGACTGTATGACCTCCTAATTGCCTTGCACAATGGGAAATTTGCATCTGTTGTCTTTATTTGACCTTGCGTTAACCTCTATTTGTTCTTAAGGCTGTCATTGCTTTTCTTCTGTGGCCCTTCTCTCTCCTGCATATCTGACTACCATTTCTCAGTCTCTTTTAAAGGCTTTCTCTCTTTGTAAACCCATAAATATTATATTTTCCCTCAGCTCTATCCAAGGCCCTCCTTTTCCCATTCTAATCATCCCCCTGAATCATCTCAACCACTTTGATAGTTTTATTAAGTTCATATAGGTTGAGATATTTTAAACCTTTATCTTAAACCATCAGCTCAAGATTGGTGTACCCAAATCCTTATAGGACATATTACTTGTATGCAAGATAAGCACCTCAAAGGCAACATGTCCAAAAGCAAACTCATCTTCCGAATCACTCTGCCTCTCATTGCACATGGCTAACCAATCTGTCTTGCTGAATCTACTTCTTAAAGAAATGTCTCGAATCTATCACTTCTTTATAGTACCACCATAGTGTGATTTCTCATCTTGATTTGTCTGGATTATTGTGTAGTTTCCTTACAGACAGCCATACTTAGAAACCCCTTTTCCATAAGGCTATCAGAATGTTCAAAACACAAATCCAGCCATATTTTTCTCATGCTTTAAATATTTTAGAGCAAGAGGTCTTCACATTATATTCATGTTAACATTATACTCATGTTAAGACATAAGTATACTCATGTTGCTCTCAATATTTTAGGAGTATAATGTCAAGACCTCTTGCTCTAAAATAAAGTATGAGAATAATATGGCTAGATTTGTGAGTAAGCAGTCTTAACATGAGTATATAATCACAATAATTCACAGTGGGTGGAATGAAGAGTTGTGGGTGGATGTGATCTTTTTTGGAGAGAGAGACAGTAATTTTAGCCAGCTTCTCAAAATAATCCTTGACTCACAAGGATTTTAGAACTACCATTTTTATTGGCTTCTCATTACCTACAAGATGAGTTATGGCTTCCTTCGTAAGTCATTTGAGTCTCTATATTGCATAATCCCTACCTGTGTCTGCAAATTCATCCTCTTGGATCCTCCACCATGGATTTTATACTCCATAAACTCCAAACCGCTTTTGCTTTTTTCAGGTGTTTTGTTATTAAGCCTCTGTGTCATTATACTATTACCTCTGGCAGAATATATCTACCCCTCCCCACCACGCCATCCCTCTGCATTTTACTATTTGGCTTATTTCTAGCTTTTCCTTCTAGATTCTCCTCTTTTCTGAAGGTTTTCTTCCAAAAGTCTTAGCACCTGTGCAAATCTTTACCATAGCTCTTACTTCAACTGTGACTGAATTATTTATGTAGATGTCTGTGTTTGCCAAAACACTGCAAGTGTCTTAAAGGAAAGGATTTTGTTTTTCCTATTTTTATGTAATTAAAGTCTAGCTTAGATAGAGCTTGGTATATTTTAAACTCTAAAAGAGATTTCTTAAGGTACTTCTTAGTGATTATTTCATCTTGGAGATAAAGAAAAGAAAATATGGCCCAGCCCTATATTGGGGATTTTGTATAGAATACTATAGTATACTTATAATTATATTCCCTTGAAAAGTGGTAAAAATCATGCTGCATATAGTTAAGGTTAAGTAGCTCTTAGCTTGGTCCTCCCCAATGCAGGGTGTGAGGCAGAGGCTTATGTGTGAGTGGTTGTTTGACCCGGGAGGCAGGAGTGAGGGACATGAGTATAAAACATGAAAGGAGGAAAGGCAACACAGCATGAGTCATTGAGCCAACCCTGGACAGGTGGCTGTTGCTCAACCCCACAAGAATTTTTGAGGAGCCTAATGAGGTGTGCCCACTGAAGGATGAAAGGACAAAGCATTTATTCATAGGCTTCTGGTCAAGGGTGGGCCTTGGGCACTAAAATCCCTGAGCATTTGAGTTGCACATATATATGTATTGAATGATTCCCATTGGCCATCCTGGGGCAGGAAATAAGATCTGGAAGAAACCTGGATGAGGCAAAATGCTGAACTTTGCATTTGCACAAAGTTGCTTGTCCCACCTTGAAGCATGGGAAGAAATAGTTGTCAAGAAGAGGTGAGGCAGAGAGTATTTGAAGTGGGATACAAGTGGGGCTGATAAAGATAGTAAATGTGATTGAATTTAAAATAACTGACTGAGATTTGATTTTATACTGGCCAGTGAGATCTTGCTAGAGGAAATGCTGTTATAAATATTAGTAAATTCTGTTCCAAGGTTTGTGTCATTAATCACCTTCTATTGACTTAGTCTTAACAGTGAATGAGGCAATGAAAGTTTGTATCCACAGAGATTATTGTACCTATCACAGAGCCTATGATAGTACCTAGTACATGTGCGTGATCAATAAATATTTGTTAAATAAATGTTGCTGAAAAGTCTCTGGCACTTACAAAATAGACTTAAGGAAGATGGACTAGTCAAGAGAAAAGAGGTCAGAGCTCATTAAGGGGATTGGTTGCGATAGCAGTAGTTACAATTTTGCTTGCTTGGTGATGTTATGAGATCCAACTGATCCTGATGTTTCACTCTGTAAGAAAAAGCAAGGAGACTGAAAATAGGACCAAGTAGCAGCCAATTACTGGGCTAAAAGGATCAGTAAAGATACACTCACAACAGCCGAATCCATAATGAGGAGGGAGTTTTAAATAATACAAACAGTAAGAGAATGGATGGTGATTTGTGCTATTTTTTATACTTTAAAAAACCAAAACACCCAATAAGGTGATATAATTCCCTTAAAAAATTCCCTGATGTCGAATGTCCATTCAGTTAAACCATGTAATGGATGAGAGAAGATTTAAATAAGCAAATTAACAATTTTTTCATGTTGGACTGGAATGGCATTCAGATTTCAGGTTCATGGGCAGTCATCCTTCTGTACATTATCATGGAAAAGCACACACACTCATACACATACATAAAATATTTTTAATCTTCCCTGAATACTTTCTGGAAGAAAACAGTATCTAACTAAAGAGTAGACATTTGTCAAATGTTTTTTTGAATTGAATAAGAATTGAATACGTTGCAAGTAACAAACAATATATCCAGATAGGTAAGATAAATTCAGATGCAGTCTTGCAAATCAAACAAGAGGAACTAAACTTCATGTAGAAGGAAGCTTTGAAAGTTTTCATTCATATGCCTCATAGGGTAAATGCACTACTAAAAACATAATATTCATCTTTGGATTGGTAAAATCTAGGAGGGTATTTGGGGAGCTTTTGCGATAATCCAGCAAGAGAAGAGCAGAAGCACGGAGTAAGGAGTATCTATGGAGAGTGCCCATGGTGGCTGGAGCTGTTTCAGGTGCTAAGGAGAGAGTAATAGGTAAAGCTGGCCAGCTTCCATTCTCATGGAGATTACATTATGCCGACTGGAGATGATGAACAAACAAGTAAAATATACAGAATCAGATGTTGATAAGAAATCTAGTTAAAATTAAAGGAAGGAAATGTAAAGCACAGAAGACATATAAGGAGGGTCTGGGGGAGGGGCAGTGTACAACTTCATAGTGTGTGTCTGGGGAAGGCCTTCCCTGAAGGTGATCTGTGAGCCTAAACTTGAAGAAGTGAGGGATTAAGTGACTTAGACCTCTGGGAAAGAGCATTACAGGGAGTGGGAATAGCAAAGAAAAATATATGGAGGCCAATGACCGGAGTGGCTTGAATGAGGGGAGGAATGGGAGAATATGCCATCAGTGTGATAGCTGCAACATTTGATGATGAATAATCTAGTCTTCTGATGACAATGGGAAGCCACTGGAGAGTTTTGAAACATAGAAGTGACATGATGGGACTTTTGCTTTAACCTGCTGTATTGATAATAGACTGTAGGAGCAAGCATAGGATCCAGGAGACACTTTAGGGGCTCTTGCACCAATCATAGTGAAAGACGAGTGTGGTCAACAAAAGGGCTGGAGGTGCTCAGAAATGGACTGGCTTAATTAGACTTCGGGGGTGAAAGAGCGGGGAAAAAAAAATGTGAATATTTCTGACCTGAGCAACAGAACTAATCCTGTTGTCATTTAGCAAAATAAGGAAAACAGAGAAATTTGGTAGGGATTAAGTGGAATTTTGTTTGGGATATGGTAAGTTTAAAATGCATTTCAAGGAACATTTATTTTACTTTATGGAATAAAGTATTATCTGATTCTAGAATCGCAATGAAGATAATTGAGATCTCTTTAAGCTAAAAATAAATAAGTAAACCAATAAAATGCATTTCAGACAGGTAGGTAGAGGTGTAGAGAGGTAGGTGGAAATCTGTGTGAAGATATCGAACAGGCTGTTTGAAGTGGTGGGGAGAGTTTTGCCTTCCCTGGATTCCAAAATTTCTACAAAGAACTTTAGAATATGATATATTACTATTTAATCCAGCTACTTAGAATATTATGATATTATATTTCACTGCAAAATAAATAGTAGATCCTGATAAATGTCAATTAGATCAGGGGAACCACATTAAACAGTTTTGGTTTTAAGAGATTTTGAGCCATTTGCTTCAAAGGGTTAGAAAATTAACCTATCTTTCTCGTCTAAAGTCGGCTTTTAATTCACAAAGCCTCTTTCATAACAACATTCATCAAGTTACTTCTAAGTCTCTTTCAAAATGTTAAATTTCCATTTTTAGAATTCCAGTATGTTTCTCCAGATTTATTTTTTTGAGGGAAATTCTAACAACTTATTGTCACTCACTCAATTTTGAAGCCTTAAAAAAGTCAAAACTGTCACCAACATCAAAAATTTATGGGGGACTTTCAAAGGCAGTGCTCTGCCTCAAGCCCTGAGTCTGTAATTTGGCATGAGACCACTTGTATTTGCATGATCTCCCCAATTACTTTGCAGGCTTCCTGAAGCCAGACACCAAGGTCTGATACTGTCCACAACATCAGGGCCTTGCACATTAATTTACACTTGTGGTCCCCAGAATAACTGTCTAATTCAAATGCTGTCTATCTGAATTCCCTCAGCATTTGAATGGTTCCCTTTTACCCCAGAAAAAAAGTCACTGCTGCCCTACAAAACCTTGCCTCTATCCTCCCCAAGTCCCAGTTCTTCAGCATGTTCTTCCTCCCATTCTCTTTGCCGAACCCATTTAACTCCGTCTCGCTCTTCGCTTTCATCCTTGATCATTCCAACTTGACACCTTGGTGAGCAACCTGCTTACCTTGATTCTGGCCCTTTCACACCATCTCTCAGATCCCTCCCAGATATCCCTGCATCCCAGACACAGCTCTACCTCCCCAAATCTTCTTTTCCAAGAAAAATTTCCAACACTACCTAGATTTCCTTTCTTATTTTAGTATATTCTTTTCTAGTTTTTTTGTTTGTTTGTTTTTGGGTTTTTGGTATTTGTCGGTAGGCACTCTTGCTGTGGCCTGATTCTTGCTATTGATGTCACACAGGAGGATAAGTAGCAATGCATGAAGATGATAGTAGAATGAAGTAGAATAGCAGAGGACTGCCCTTACATTCTGCTTCTTCAATTCTCTCTCATTCGCAAGAACCTCTGAACATTTGCCTCTAAAGTATAATGATTAATGGTGACATAGAGATAGAAACCATCCTCTTTCCTGTTAAATTTTCCTTGTAACTTCCTATCTCCTGAAAGTGAGATATGGGCCTGCAAACTATCTGTAACTTTCTAATCAAATTTATAGTTCCTTTTATATATGCATGGTGGCAGACATGTAGTTGGCATAGGTGCTGTCTTATCTGGACTGCTAATTACTTTCCTGGCAGAGGCTTAAGAATTTTAAAAACAAATCTAGAGAAAGAACACTTGGAGAATAGATATGTTTTGTGTTTGGTCTCTTCTGCTTTACCTCAACTCAAATGTAAAAATGTCAACACTAAATAAGGTAGAGAAGATGAAGTCTGGAGCAGGATTGATTCACGACAAAACCAGATTTTCCAGGCAGATATGACCAGAATGTGGGCCTCTGACTCACATACCTTGGCCAGGTTATTATGTGCACAAAGGACAACCCTGGGGACATTCCAATCTCCCTGAAACCTGAGGCAGCCCAAAGAAAGGATTATGTTCATATGGCCAGCATGCTCTGGAGCTAAGGAAACTCCAGGAGAAAGCAGCCAAACAGAATATCTGAGCTAGAGGCAGCCCTGGGCATTGGAATCAGCACACTTCGTTCAGAACAATTATTCATGTTCATTTTTAACAGGGTTTCATGTCTATAAAAGGATCTGGTGAAGTGTGAGTGTGCTTTCAGCCTGCTTTTATTCCTAGAGCCAACCTTTTAAAAAACCAATCTAAATGGACATAAGCAGTTAAGGCCTCCGTGGACTCTCGGTGGTTCTCAAATTTTAGGACACCTTGAAATCTCCAACAGGACTTCTAGAACACAGATTGCTGGGCTCCATCATAGACTTTCTGATTCAGAAGGTCTGAAGTAGAGCCCAAGAATTTGTGTTTCTAGTAAGTTTCCAGATGATACTGATATTGCCGACAGGGTATATTGCCTTCCGTGGTGCCTAATCTTTACAGCTTTATAGCTATGGAAGGAGGCCTTTCCCTTCCCATCCATCCTCATTGTGGTAGTTGTATTGCAACATGCCCAGAATTTCAAAAATGGGGAAGACTCTACCAGGGGATGCTGGTGTTTTTCTTTCTCTAACTTGCTGGGTATTGAATTTTTGCTGAACACTAAATTTTCTTCCCAAATATGAGGCTCAAAATCTGAGTGTGACTCCACTTGAGCCCAGGATCCTGCATACTTAGCCTAACAGAGAATTGCTTGGTCAGCAGACATCAAGTTCAGCAGCTGTAAGGAATCTTTTTAAAGCACTGATTTCTAGCAGGTTGAAAAATGGGATTGTGTGGGAAGCTAAAACATCCTTTTGAAAAATCGCCAAAACCTGATTTCTTCTTTTAATCATAGATCCCTTTATGGTGCTGAAACTGAAGGCTGCCTCACATATGTACGTGGTGAAAAACCAGCCCCTCTTCTGTATATTCCTTGGAAGCATCTGTTAGATAGCTGACTTCTTTTGTATATAGCCAGTCTCTCTCCTTCTCTCTGGTGGCTAAAAGCAAACTCAGCACTTCCAGGCTTTTCTGTGCTATAACATTGAAAGTGACAGTAGGTTTTGCTGCCTTGGTAAGACGGTTTAAGTTCCCTTCTTTGCTTTTTCCTTTTGATAAGATTTAGAATACTTAAAAATAAATTGTGATAACTAGTAAAATTAGAAGGTATACTGAAATGTTCAAGTATACTGAACATTCCAAAGTAATATTACTTTGTACCAGAGAAAGACAATATTTTAGTAGGGTTCTATCTGTCCGCAAATGGCAATTGGGATGTCACCAGTGATATACAGTATCACAAACATTGAGCAATTGCTACTAGACATGGAACCAGCAAGAAGAAATGAATCAGGGGTAGCCTCATAGCAACCTTCTTTAGAAAGTTGTAAATTGTTTTGAAGAGTAAATAAAGGAACTCCGGAAAACCCCACTGAGTTGTTTCTAACTAGGAAGGATGGGGAACAGAAGACAGGAAAAATCTGAGATTCCCGTAGAGTTCTAAAACAACTGTGTCCTGAGGTTGCAGCCTAAGGAAAGTGAGCTGTCGTGCAACACCAACAAACAGAAAGGCTCCCCCGAGGGGGAATTTTATAACTCATTTATCTGTGAAGGTTTAGGATCATGCCATGCAGGGATCACTTTCCTAAATTGGACGAAAGTTCCCCTAATCTGGAGCAGTGAGAGCAGTCCATGGGCTGGGAACTGCTTCACTAGGAGATACTCTGCCAAGAGTCAGGAAATCAGTAGCTCCAATACTGTACTCAGGAAATTAGTTCAAAATTCTACATCCTCCATCTGCCCTTACTAAAACCTTCCCTGTGGTGGCCCAAAGAGAAAGAATCAAAATGCAAAACTCATTCATAAGCAAGCATAACATTAGGGATGACTAGCAAGTATTGAGGTCATTTGAGTAATAGAAATAAGACTAAGTCTATCATTCTAACAACTATGGTTAAAGATCAGAATGCTCACACTAAGATTCTACGCAGAGAAGACACATGAGGGGAAAAAAATTCAATAGTCATTTAGCAATATTAAACTGCAAAAATCCTGAAAGTAATGGGAGGAAGCTGCGAGGAGTCTAGGTATATACCAATTCCTATATCTTACAGAAGTAAGAGATACTGCTTCTGATAATTCAATAAAGGTAAACTTAAATATATTCTCAATAGTGTAACAATAACTATCTGTGAAAATAAGCTATATAGCTTACAAATTATAAGAAGAAATACAGCAAATAAAAGGAAATATCAAGAAATATTAAAGTACCAAAAATGACTAGCAATTTACAAAATATACCCGATATAAAAATAAATTAGGTCATTTGTTTATTTAATATGCAGTGTGGGACAAAAATCTACCATATAGTCACTAAAAGAGGTATCTAGCACAGAGTTATAAAAAAAAGTTAAAAGTTAAAGGATGGAGAAAAATACGCATGAAAATGCAAAGTAATTAATCTGTCATAGGAGTAGAGTTGAAACAAAAGACAATGCAAAGTAAAGTTTAGCCATAGTTAATATTAATACTAGGAAAATCAAAATTAGAGGGGAAAAGAGATTAAATAGCAGTGAGGTCGTTAATTGTAATGGATTTCTATTAGCGAAATTATATAGCACTAAATTATATAAAGCAAATCAATTATAGCTAAAGGAAATTATAACTAATTTTAGTAAAAAGTGAAGCAAAGCAATTACAGCTAAGAACATTTTGAGAAAAAGTAAATGATGTAGAACTTTTTTATGTAGCAGCTTGGTAAAGATTTAAAAACATGATTTGGGGACAGATGAGTGCTTGTGAAATGGTGATGGAAGAGAATATGTACCACACTTTAAAAGCGTAATTTGGCTATCACTATAGATATAAACTATATATAGATATTGATTCATTAGATTTTGTATCTCTTCTGAATCATCAATTCCTTTTGAGGAATTTATCTGAAGTAGAAAATTTAGCAGTGTCAGAAAAATGCTCAGTACTGTGTTGTTTAAGGAACAAACTAAATATGAACAGTAAAGGACCGGTAATAAAAAATAGGGACTATGTATATATAAAATCTAGTTATATATAATCTCTCTATATAATCTATATATATAATCAATATATAATATAATCTATTATGTGTTTTGATTGTATGATATATATATAGTCCCTATTTTTTATTACCAATCCTTTACTGTTCATATTTATTATATGAACAGTATTTTATTATATATTTATTATATATTTTACTATATATAACATAAAGTATATACACATATTAGTGTCTTTTTTTTTCTCCCCTTGAGACAGGATCTCACTGTCACACAGGCTCAAGTATAGTTGCGCAATCACCGCTCATTGAAGTCCTGACCTCTTGGGATCAGGTGATCCCCTAACCTCAGCCTTTTGGTAGCTGGGAATACAGGCGTGAGCCACCAGGCCCAGCCTATAATAGTGTCTTAAACAATGAGAAAAGACAATGCAGGTAAATATCTATTGATGTGCCAGATGAGTCACAACAAATTAACTGAAAGAGCAAGCAGCAAAACAACATATATTTTTCTTTTACTTTTGGAAAACAATCAAAACACATGATAGATTAATGAATGAATAAATGGATGGATAGATGATAGATAGATAGATAGATTATATAGATGACAGAAAAAAGTACAAAGGAAATTACACTGGATTCAGTGCAAAGTGTGTCTCCCAAGCTCATGAGACATATGATAATTCTCCCATCCAAGTACTAAACAGGCTCAACCTTGCTTAGCTTCCAAGATCAGATGAGATTGGGTATGTTAAAAGTGTGATAATTCTGATTTCAGAATACAGAGCAACAATATTACCACGAAATCTGTACCTGTTTTCCAAATGCATGGTTCTATGTAACACTCTCTGTATTTCAGTAGCCCAGAGTAGAATGTCAGAAATTTAAGCATACAAAGTTAATTTGTTCTCCTTTTCCCCTGTGTTTTAATGTAGCATTGAAGATGTACTTATAAAAAGGAATAAACAGGCTGGGTGGGGTGGCCCATGCCTGTAATCCCAGCACTTTTGGATGCCAAGGTGGGTGGATCACTTGAGGTCAGAGGTTCAAGACCAGCCTGGCCAACAAGGTGAAACCCTGTCTCTACTAAAAATACAAAAATTTAGCCAGACGTGGTGGCGGGTTCCTGTAATCCCAGCTACTCGGGTAGGTTGAGGCAGGAGAATCGGTTGAATCCAGGAGGCAGAGGTTGCAGTGAGTTGAGATCACGCCATTGCACTCCAGCTTGGGCAACAAGAAAGAAACTCCATCTCAAAAAAAAAAAAAAAGGAATAAACAGTTGCTAATTGAGTAATTCTTACTTTAGCATTACCTGCCTGTGAGCTTAATATATTTTCTAGATATTAAGTTTGTTGTATGGCAGGAAACTTGGCTTGTTTAACTTTGTGTTTAACATAACCCTGCGAAATAAATATAAATTCGGATAGTAAATCGTTTTTTGAATGATCCAATATTAAATTGCTTCCGTTATTGGTATTTGGACATCATACTGAAATTTGTTAATAACAAATAAAATAAATAAAAATAAAATAAATAAAATCTTATGTTTGCTAGGGCTTATGCTCACCATTTAGGCACTGTGATCAAATTATAAGGATAATTACCATAGCAAGTAATTAAAAGTAATGGAAATTCCAATTTTACTAAAAAGTGAACCAGGGAGATCCAGAATGTTAAACAAATGAATAACTAAGAAGCCCCCAGATGTGGATAAAAAAGTGAAATATAAGCTTTCACTATTCGTTCCTATTCATTACATAATATATCTCATTTATGACAATAGGGAAATAAAAATGAGAAAACAAATAGGAAAAGTATTTAAATCAACATTTTCTTATTGTGACAACAAAATAAACTCTAACAGTGCTATTGCTGTTAAATTGTTAGAAAGGTTTTTAAGCAAGAATAGATATTAGGACATTTTCAAAAATTGTATTTTTTTTACTTCATAATTTATATTCTGGATATTTATAGAAAAACACACAAAACTGAGGAACTTAGACTTTTCTGTCATGGCAATTTCTATGATTATTTTATCTATAGAAGTAGCATATAAAGCAAACACTCTTTTTCAACCAAATTGTCATCATTTCCCAAATCACTAAATAATGTGTTTTTATTGTGTGTCATTCTGTCAAACACTTTTTAAAAAATATTCCCAAGGGGGGCATAGGGAAGCCAGATGCACTTAAGGCCTATTTGTTTCATTTTCCTAGGATTTTTGAAGGCAGCTTGTTTTCCTGGATAATTAATTTCCTGGATCAATCGCCCTCCTATTTTTAAAAGTAGAGCCCTTAGAAAACATTCCATAGAAATCCTAATAAGAGGTGCTTAGAGAAAGGGCCTTATAAAAGTTATATTTTTCGGAGCATCCACGTAGCAAATAAGTAGGTATTTGGGGATATTGCTTACATTGAGGAAGATTATTCATTTGAAAAGAAAATAGCAACTGGCACATTGCAATATTCCTCCACCCTTTTTGTGGTACCCCTTTCCTGTTTGCACCTCATTCTTAATTTATTATTAAAAGCCATCCACAACAGATGGGAGCTGCAACACATCCAGGGCTTACTTTGTACCAGACGCTGCAGGATTAAACAACCTGTCCAAGGACCCTAAGCTAGGAAGTGGCAGAACTGGGTCACTGTTAGATGCTGAAACTCAAATTCTTAACCATTGTGCTGTACTTGTTTTCACAGGCTCAACTGGTTAGATGGAAATGTCATTTTATTGGGTCACTTATCAAAACAAAGCAATTCAGTATGAAAATATGTTTTGGGTATCAAACCAGTACCTATGCATTTATTTTTAGTCTCCAGCATAATTAAATACTCTGTGCAAAACACTGCTTGCCTTTTCCTACTCCAGGAAAGTCTTTTGCTTTTATTCCACCTGATATTCCTCTCATGCACAAGAAACTTTCAAATCTATTTCACCTACTTTTCACGAGAACAATTTTCAGATTTTGAAAAAGCTGAGAGTAAGGAAGGTAAAGAAATTGTCCCCAAGTTATATACCTAGTAAGTAGTAAAATCAGAATGCATCCACATACATGTGTTTTGACTTTAGGGCTACTAAATCCTTCTATGGCATCACTTCCACTGGGCCCTACCAACAGAAGTCTTCCAGGCATTCTTCCTTAGTCACTTTCCACTATGCCTACCCAAGTCATTACCAACAGTACTTTTAATGCTGAGACCCACAGCCTTCCTTTACAGACTGATGCGTCTTCAAAACAGCAAGTACTTAATCGTTAAGATAGACAGCAAGATTCCTTGATCAGAAATTTAGGAAGGACAATTCATAAATTTGGGGGAAATCTAAGACTACAGGAAATGAAGAAATTATCATAAACCATGTCATTATTCTTTTTGACTTGGAGAAATTTAGCTCATTTATTCAGGTAAAGTTTTTAGGTAAAAAGTCTCTCTCTAGGTTTCTGCCTTATCTCTTTCTAGATGTCTGGCTCAATTAGTTAGCTCTTTATCTTTAAATCATATGCTGATAGTTTTATAGTCTAAGTAAAAATTTCTCCCTAAAACCCACTGTAGGGGACCAGAATATGCCACCCAAAATATAAGATTGTACACTGAAGGCAGTTAAGCAGCAGCAGATACAGAAAAGCTCTCTGACTTCCTTCTATTTGCCTAGTAGCAAGACAGATACACAAAGACAAAAGGTATCCTGCCTTCCTTCTACTAGAGAGAACAAAGGTAACACTAAAGACTTTAGATCCTTATTTTCTGGAGATGATGCAGAGGAATCTATATTAACAAGTTTTACTTATGAGCCTTTACCTGTCATTTATTTGCCTTTCCGTAAGTTTTTTTTCCCTTAGAAACTCGAAGTCTTTTTTTGTTATAACTTTTCTAATAAATGTGTCATTCTTTGTTGAAGACACTATATAAGCTGGAATTCAAAGCCACTTCTTTGTGAACTACTCATTCCCTGGGTGTCTCCCATGTACATATGAAATATACATGTTCATAAATGACTGTGACTGTTTTTCTCCTGTTAATCTGTCTTGTGATACAAGGGTTTGGTATTATTACAAAAAACTTATTATTGAAGAAAAAATTATGAATTTTCCCCTATACCACAGTCTAGTTATTTCTCATGTTTGATTTTTGTACTCAGCAGTCATCCTGAACCTATCTCCTATTCATTCACACAAGACGGTATACGTGTCCAAGAAAATCTTCTCTGCCTCCTTGTAGTTCCTTCTCTTCTGTTCTTTGTCCATTCAGCCATTCCAGATGGACAGTCCACTCATCATCTGCCAGCTTATCCTACCCTCTGATCTAATTTCAACAAACCTGGATCATCCCCGGGCTTTCTCATATTGCAAACATGAGTGTTTCTTGCCTTTTTTGCTACATAACCCTCCTCTCAAATATTTAATATTTGTCACATCAGTTGTTCTCTGAATCTCCACTCACAGAAAGAGTCTCCCCTCACATTTTATTCCGAGTTGCTCAGCTTTGTCTCATGTAATTCTTAACACAAACTTATAACCTAAAATATTATTACCATTATTTTTGCTAAAACCAAGTATGCTCAGAAAATACACAGTCATTTGACATTGATGTTGGTTTAGGAAGGATAAGAAAAAGGCACACATTTACCATTAAAAAGAAAAGGAGGACTCACCTTTATCTTTCAAGTAAATATTCTTTTGATAAGCTAATGCTCATGAGGACAAACCTAAATAGAATTTGAACTTTGAATAAATTCAGTAAAAATTATGAACAAGGATTATTTTCCCTAACATGAACCACAGTGATAACTAAAATCAATGTATTTTTGAAAATTCATAATGCTTTGAACTCCACAAAAACAACTAAACAATTTTACCTTTAAACATAGTTAGAAAAAAGATATTTAAATAATTCACTTATCAGTTTGAAGTCATTTGTTTAATAGGAATATTTTGTAGATAATGTGGGTTCTGTTCCAGACCATCACAAAACGAAAATCACAATAAAGGTAGTCACAAAAATTGTATTGTTTTCCAGTGCATATAAAAGTTATGTTTATACTATACTGTAGTCTATTAAGTGTGCGATAGCATTATGTCCCCAAAATGTACATACCTTAATTCAAATACTTTATTACTAAAAAATGCTGACACAGAGACATGAAGTGAGCACATGCTGTTGGAAAAATGGCACAGACAGACTTGCTCCAAGCAGGGCTCACACAAACCTTCAATTTGCAAACAATGCAGTATCTTCACAGCTCAATAAAGCAAAGTCACTAAAACAAAGTATGCCTGAACTACATTGAGAAGGGTAGCAGAATGTGCTACTCCAAAATATGTCACTTTAGTATAAAGATTAATTTGAGCTAAAAGTACTTAAAAGAAACCAGCAGGTGCAAAAAGGATACACTGACCTGGCCCCCTTTCTTCCTGAAAGCAGGAGTTAAAACTTCCATATGGAAGATGTTCTCCCTAGACCAGAAGGAAAGTAGCATTCTTCTTATCAAGGCTGGGAATTTGAGACTGAGAGAGTTCTATACAAACAGGCCTTGTTAAGTTAACTCATCTTTCTTTAGCCTCCCCACATAGTTAAGTTATATTTTCACAATTGCCTCTATTTGTTCAAGCTAACGTAAAAGCATTTAGGTTTTGATACTTCTTTGAGTCTTCATTTCCTAATGAGGGTTACCATTTCATTTTGCTGTGGTCTGAATGTTTCCCCCTGATAAAATTTATATGCTGAAATTTAGTCTCTACTTTGACAGTAATAAGAAATGGGCCTTTATGAGGTGATTATGTCATGAGGGCAGAGCTCTCATACATGAGTTCAGTGACCTTATAGAAGAGGTGGAAGGGAACTGTTGACCCCATTCATCATGTGAGTACTCTGCTAGAAGCTGTCTATGACAAATGGGCCCTCCCTAGACATTGAATCTCCTGGCGCCTTGATTTTGGACTCTCCAACCTCCAGAACAGTAAGAAATAAATATCTGTTATTTACAAATTACCCAGTCTAAGATATTTTGTTACAGCAGCCCAAACAGGCTAAGACATATGTCAAACTTATATTAAATAAATTTGTATGCTTTTCTCCTGCTAATTTTTCTTATGCCAGTTTAATTCTGATGTCCAGCTGAAAAATTCTAGGAAGGTAGAGGTGAAATGTTGCCTCCCCTACAATAGTTTTCAAATGTCCATTGTATTATCTGAACGCTAACACTCATATAAAAAAAAACTATAAAAACAGGATAATTATTTCACTCCAATAATATAGGCAGAAATGTATCTGTTTGCTTCATTTGAACTTTTATAGCCTAACACATGTTTTTAATTTCTTATAACAGGCCTGACCCCACCATATCAGTCCTTTATTCCAAAAAATGGATGAGGCAATATGATAAATTTGGAAAATGTGTCAAATTCCAAAATAAGACCAGCAATTTGACTACTTTAAAACTAGGAGGCAGCATTGCACAGTAGCAATTGGGGCTTTGAAGTCAGTCTAAGCCAGGGTTTAAATTTCCACCAGTGGCACCTGATAGGCTTTTGACCTTAAGCAGCTTACTTAGCCTCTCTAAACCTCACTTCTCATTTGCAAAATAAGACTAGGGAAGGCACCCAATTGGAAGAGTTTTTTTGTAAGGATTAGAGATAACTGAAACTTCAAGGAAGCAGATAGAACCCAAAACAGACCACTCAGGTAACATAATGCCTCCAGCTTTGTTCTTATTTTCTCTCTCTTTCATATATTTATTGCCAAATGCCTCTTGGGAGGCAGGACCACAACTAGATGAGGCCCACCTTTTAAAAATTGCATAGTATTCTATATTAAGTAAGTTCATTTATACTGATGATGAACATTTAAGTTATTTCTGGTGTGTTGAATGATATACCATACTTCAGGGAGCTTCTTGCAGAAAGGCGATATTGCAGAGAAGTTCAGAGCATGGGCTGTGAGGCCACATTACCTGGGTTAAATGCTGGCTCTGCTACTTAATTTTTTTAAGCGTTATTTTTCAATTTTTTTATTTCAATTGCTTTTGGGGTACAAGTAGTTTTTGGTTACATGGATGAATTCTACAGTGGTGATTTCTGAGATTTTAGTTTCCCCCATCACCAAAGCAGTGTACACTGTATCCAATATGTTGTCTTTTATCCTTCACCCACCTGCATTGTTCCCCAACACTCCCCCTCCATCGAGTCCACAAAGTCCATTATATCTCTCTGTATGTCTTTGAATCCTCATAGCTTAACTCCCACATACATTGGGAACATTGAGTATTTGGTTTTCCATTCCTGAGTTATTTCACTTAGAACAATGACCTCCAGCTCCATCTGAGTGGCTGCAAAAGACGTTATTCCATTCCTTTTTACGGCTGAGTAGTATTTCATGGTGTATTTATACCACATTTTCTTTTTTGTTGTTTGTTTTGTTTTGTTTTGTATTTTACTTTAAGTTCCAGGATACATGTGCAGAACTTGCAGGTTCATTACATAGGTAAATGTGTGTCATGATGGTTTGCTGCACCTATCAACCCATCACGTAGGTATTAAGCCCCAACTGCATTAGCTATTTGTCTTGATGCTTTCCCTCTCCTCATCCCCCAACAGGCCCCAGTATGTGTTGTTCCCCTTTCTATGTCCACGTTCTCGTTGTTCAGCTCCCACTTATGAGTGAGAACATGCAGTGTTTGGTTTTCTGCTCCTGTGTTAGTTTGCTGAGTATGACGGCTTCCAGCTTCATCTATGTCCCTGCAAAGGACATGATCTCATTCCTTTTTATGGCTGCATAGTATTCCATGGTGTATATGTACCACGTTTTCTTAATCCAGGCTATCATTAACGAGCATTTGGGTTGGTTCCATGTCTTTGCAATTGTAAATTGCAATTGTAAATATTGCTGCAATAAACATACGTGCGCATGTATCTTTATAACATACTGATTTATATTCCTTTGGGTATATACCCAGTAATGGGATTGCTGGGTCAAGTGGTATTTCTGGTTCTAGATCCTTGAGGAATTGCCATACTGTCTTCCACAATACCACATTTTCTTTATCCATTCATTGGTAGATGGGCTTTTAGGTTGGTTCCATATTTTTGCAATTGCGAATTGTGCTGCAATAAACGTGAGTGTATGTGTCTTCTTCATATAATTACTTATTTTCCTTTGAATAGATACCCAGTAGTGGGATTGCTGGGATCTGCTTTTACTTATTTAAGGAATCTCCATACTATTTTCCATAGTAATTTACATTCCTGCCAGCAGTGTAACTGTTCCCTTTTCATCACATCCATGCCAACATCTATTGTTTTTTGACTTTTTAAATATGGCCATTCTTGCAGGAGTAAGGTGGTGTCCCATCATAGCTTTAATTTGCATTTCCCTGATGATTAGTTATGTTGACCATTTTTCATGTTTGTTGCCCAAGTGTGTATCTTCTTTTGAGAAATGTCTATTCCTGTCCTTTGCCCACTTTTTGATGGAATTATTATTTTTTTGTTTTGCTTTGTTTTGTTTTTGCTGATTTGTTTGAGTCCCTTGTAGATTCTGGATACTAGTCCTTTGTCAGATGCATAGTTTGTGAATATTTTCTCTATTCTGTGGGTTGTCTATTTACTCTGTTGATTATTTCTTTTGGTGTACAGAAGCTTTTTAGCTTAATTAGGTCCTATTTATTTATTTTTGTTTTCTTTGCATTTGCTTTTAGGGTCTTAGTCATGAATTCTTTGCCTAGGCCAATATCCCGAAGAGTTTTTTCAATGTCATCTTCTAGAATTTTTATGGTTTTAGGTCTTAGATTTAAGCCTTTTATCCATCTTGAGTTGATTTTTTTATAAGGTGAGAGATGGGGATCAAGTTTCATTCTTCTACACGTGGCTTGCCAGTTTTCCCAGCACCATTTTTTGAATACGGTGTCCTTTCCCTAATTTATGGTTTTGTATGCTTTGTCAAAGATCAGTTGGCTTTAAGTATTTGGCTTTATTTCTGGGTTCTCTATTCTGTTCCATTGGTCTAAGATCCTATTTTTATACCAGTATCGTGCTATTTTGGGAGCTATAGCCTTGTAGAAAAATTTGAAGTCCAGTAATGTGATGCCTCCAAATTTGTCCTTTTTGCTTAGGATAGCTTTGGCTATTCAGGCTCTTTTTTTGGTTCCATATAAATTTTAGGATTTTTTATTCTAGTTCTATGAAAAATAATATATTTGAATAGGAATTGCATTGAATCTGTAGATTACTTTGGGACATATTGTCATTTTTACAGTATTGATTCTATCCATCTATTAGCATGGGATGTGTTTCCATTTATTAGTGTCATCATATTTTCTTTTTGGCAGTGTTTTGTAGTTTTGTTTGTACAGCTCTTTCACCTCCTTGGTTAAGTATATTCCTAGGTATTTTATTTTTCTTGAAGCTGTTGGTAAAGGGGGTTGAGTCCTCGATTTGATTCTTAGCTTGGTTGTTGTCGAGTGCTATTGACTTGTGTACATTGATTTTGTAACCTGAGACTACTGAATTTGTTTATCAGATCTAGAAGTCTTTTGGATGAGTCTTTAGGGTTTTCTAGGTATAGGATAATATCATTGGTGAACAGCACTAGTTTTACTTCCTCTTTTCCAATTTGAATGCCTTTTATTTCTTTCTCTTGCCTGATTGCCCTGGCTAGGACTTCCAGTACTACGTTGAATAGAAGTGGTGAAAGTGGACATCCTTGTCTTGTTCCAGTTCTCAAGGAAAACGATTTCAGCATTTCCCCATTTAGTATGATGTTGACTGGGTGTTTCATATATAAATTCTATTATTTTGAGGTAAGTCCCTTCTATGCCTAGTTTATTGAGAGCTTTTGATCATAAAAGGATGCTGGATTTTATCAAATGCTTTTATTGCATCTATTGAGATGATCATACGGTTCTTTAATTCTGTTTTTGTAATGTGTCACATTTATTGACTCTCATATGTTAAGCCATTCCTGAATGTCTGCATGAACCCACTTGATCATGATGTATTGCCTTTTTTATGTGCTCTTGGATTTGGTTAGTTGGTATTTTGTTGAGGATTTTTGCATCTATGTTCATCAAGGGTATTGGTAATTAGTTTTCTTTTTTTGTAAAGTCCTTTCCTGGTTTCAGTATTAGGGTGATAGTGGCCTCATAGAATGATTTAAGGAGGATTCTCTCTCAATCATCTGGAAGTTTCAGTACGATTGGTATCAATTCTTCTTTGAATATCTGGTAGAATTCAGCCGTGAATCCATCTGGTCCTGGGCTTTTCTGTTGTTGGTGGTGGTGGTAATCTTTTTTTATTACTGATTCAATCTTACTGCTTGTTATTTGTCTGTCTATTTCTTCCTGATTTAATCTAGGAGGGTTGTATGTTTCCAGGAATTTACCCATTTCCTCTGGATTGTCTAGTTTGTGCACATAAATGTGTTCATAGTAGTCTCGAATGATCTTTTGCATTTCTATGGTATTGGTTATAATGTCTCTAGTTTTACTTCTAATTGATCAGCATTTATTTATTTATTTATTTATTTATTTATTTATTTATTTATTTACTGAGATAGGGTCTCACTCTGTCACCCAGGCTGGAGTGTAGTGGCATGATCATGGCTCACTGCAGCCTCAACCTCCCCAGGCTCAGTTTATCCTTTCACCTCAGCCTCCTGAGTAGCTGGAAGTACAGGCACATATGTCCACGCCTGGCTAATTTTTGCTTTTGGGGGTTTCTTTTTGTATTTTTGGTAGAGATGGGGTTTCACCATGTTACCCAGGCTGGTCTCAAACTCGTGGGCTCAAGCAATCCACCTGCCTTGGCCTCCCAAAGTGCTGAAATTACAGGCATGAGCCACCACATCCAAACCCTGGATCAACATGCTTTTTAAAGCAATTTCCAAACTCATACCTCAACTTGGAAATTGTTTGAGTATTACATGTAAGGACGTTGGGTTGATCAATTTGGCAGGATTTATACACGGACAATTTTAACTGAATTGATTATGTTTTAGCATTTTGAAGACATATTACTTTGAGTCTTAGTTGTTCAGTTAATATTAATTTGGGCTGTGAATTTCTACATCCTTTATCTCCTTCTCCTCACCTTATTTATTTGTTTTTAATCATTTCACTTTGAGAAGTTAAAAGGTTACTGAATTTAACCTACTTGTTATGCCTCTGAATGCTATGGTGAACCCTTGTCTAAAGAGATAATGAAGAGGAGCTCTAGTTATCAAAAAGTAATAAATGATAGAGAAAGAGGAAAGTTTGAAATAACAATAGGTTCAAGCATTAAGTACATATATGTTACCGTAGTATGAAAGAGTTAAAACATACCTTAGTATGAAAGAGTTATACCTTAGTATAAGAGTTAAAACATCTGGTACAAATTTTTTATTTCCTTGAGATTTACTAATATTACCTATGTAAAGATTATGTTCTAATTTTACCTGTTGTATATTAATGAAACATAATTTATAATAAACCAAAACTAATTATTCTAAATTCTTATCACTTATTTCACCAAATTTAACTCCAACATAATTTTCCTTTTACCACACAAAAAGTTTTTTGCACTCCAGCCTGGGTGACGGAGTAAGACCCAGTCTCAAATAAAACCAAAAAGGGAAATTTTAAAAAAAATATTTTTTTTTTAATAAGCAGCCTATAATTTTTTTTCTAAAATTCTTCCAGAAAGCTATGTGAAATTAGATGAGTGTCTTAAAGAAATGAGCTCGATTTACATGCTTATAGCAGGATTCTTATAGAATATTAAAGGCTAAATATTATGCTAATTTAAAAATTATTCTCAGAAATCATATATAATGTCAGAGATTAAAGTCAGACAATTAATGTGGCACAAATTATTCATTGCCAACCCATTGTTAGAAAAGTTTAGAAAGATGTAATGACAATTAGTGATAAAAGGAGAATGGCTAGCTATCTAAATGGCTTGTCTCTTGTTTGCAGTACTTTGTACTCTACAGAATTTATAAATATTTCTTACAACTAGAATTTGTTGTGATCCCAATGTCCATCCAAACTGGCTCCTAAATCCTAATACTTTATGCCTGTTTAAGATTTCTTTTCTGTGATGTGAAACCTTTTCCATAGAATGTATTTAGGTCCTGTCTCGTTTTCTTCCTTTTCTGAACTGGGGATCCTGTGCTTCATGTTTGTCTTGAAGCAGACATCCCAGGCCCACAGTGATGCATGCTGGCTCTCAGAAGGAAGCCCCATCACACTCTGTATTTTTATGAGTTCATTAAACATTTTTAAATAAACAGGGTCCAGTTGGTGTCATGAGGCTTCATTCAGATGATGAAAGAAAAAGAAAGTAGAACAAACAAGATAGAGGAAGTAAAAGAAACAGAAGGAGAAATAAGCAAACTTAACCTCCTTTGGATGTTACACATAATGCTTACTATTTTTATAGGTTTTTTGTTTTAAAATCTGTTTAAAAACATGAGCCTATCTTGAGAAGAGTTTTGTGGGTGAGCACAATGTAGCTCCTTGTTGGCCATTACCATCTGGGAGTTACACTCACTGGGAACACAGTCAGCCAGATGCTGACTTCTATACATGCGGTCTGCCTCTTCCAACCCTTATGGGCATGGACTATTTTTCTGATTTGAATGTGAAAAATATCTCTAAAGGCCAGGTATTCCAAAAAATAATAAATGTGACTTTTTTTATTGTTATCTAGCTACCACCTTTTTTTCACATGATTTTTGGAAAGACTATGTACAGGTTCTGATATTTTACTCTCATGTATATTTAAAAGTTGTTGAGATACGTTTTTTCTTTCTGAAACTTATACCTTTTTCCAGACATCAAATTTGTCATTTTCATTTCTACCCATGTTTCAAATGTGTATATATCACAGTTATTTGTTTCTTTTTCTGTTTGGAATCAAGAGGAGTAAAGCAAAATAGAGTTACACCCCCACCAACCCTTCATGTTAGTTCTTCTGCAAGCACTTGAGACATAGGTAGTTGGTACAGAAACAGATCAGTACTCCCCGTTAGGTCAAGATGAAATCTTTGTTCCTCTTCACGGGAATCAATTTTAAGTTCCTCACCATCTAGTATAGGCTGACTATTGATTCTGTTTCTAAAACTTTAACAGTGAGCAAGACTGATAGTCTTATATGAATTCTAAGCCATAATTTTGTTAGAATCATATAAATATCTTTTTAAATAAAATCTGAGTTCCCAAAGCAATATTCTATATGACTTAATTGAAATTATTTGACACCAGTCAACTAAATAAGCCTGCAGTACAGGAGTCTGGGGGGTCCAGATTTCTCACTGTTCTCATGATTCTCAAATTCAACTATAAATCATCTCATTTCCTTCTGTTCAATATGACGAAACTCAAAAGCTTACTTGGGTCCAAAATCAGTGATAAATCTCAACAGCCACACTTGGCAGTCAATCTGCCTTGCTGTCACTTGGCAACAATGAGTCTGTGAGATGTGGAATCTCTAGGAGTGTCCTTCCAAGTACAGCCGCGCGAAACATTTTTTTCCTCCTAAAAACTCAATCGAAATGTAATAGTTTGCTTCCTAATTTGGAAAAAAGTAAACAAAATTTGAAAAGAATCCAATAAAGTTATTGTAAAATTCCTTTAGCCAGAAAATAATGTGACTATTTCTATGTTCTAAAGTTAATTTTTAAATTTGGAAATAACACTTTGGTGCACATTGATTGAATTCAACAAGAACTACTGTTGAAGAGGAACCAAAATATGTCACTCTGAAATATAACTTTAGGAGACAGGAATACACCACCACAAAATAAGATCGTAAGAGGTCAGAATATGGCACCTGAAAATGTGCCTCTTTGACATAGTATTATTTTAAGCTGATTACTTTAGTAATTGTAGACACAGGAGAATTCTGAAAACAAAGTATAAGTTGCCCTTTTATGAGGAAAATTTACACTTATAAAGAAATGTAAGGGAGTCTCCCTGTCTGCACCAGGAAGAGAAGGATAACTAAATTACGAGACTCATCAATGGAGAAGGCACCAATCTAAATCTGCATAACAAATCTTACCCTTAAAAAAATATCTTTTTAACTTTTGTGGGCACATAGCAGGTGTACATATTTATGGGGTACATGAGATATTTTGATACAAGCATAAAATGCACAATAATTACATCAGGTAAATGGAGTACCCATCACCTCAAGCAGTTATCCTTTCTTTGTGTTACCAAAATATCCAATTATACTATTTTAGCTATTTTTAAATGTACAACAAATCATTGTTGTACTACAGTCTACAGCAGTACTACAGTACTACAGACTACAGCACTACAGTCATCTTGTTATGCTGTTGAAAGCTAAATCCTATTTGTTCTATCTAATTATATTTTTATACCTATTAGCCATCCCCACTTCCCCCACCCACTTACCCTTTAGTCTCTGGCAACCATCCTTCTACTTTCTATCTCTTCATGAATTCAATTATTTTAATTTTTAGCTCCCACAAATAAGTGAGAATATGTAAAGTTTGTCTTTCTAAGCCTGGCTTATCTCACTTAACATAGTGACCTCCAGTTCCATCCATATTGTTGCAGATGATTGGCTCTCATTCCTTTTTATAGCTTAATAGTACTGCATTGTGTACATGTGCACTTTCTTTATCCATTCATCTGTTGATGGACACCTAGGTTGCTTCCAAATCTTGGTTCTTGTAAACAGTGCTGCAATAAACATGAGAATGCAGATATCTCTTTGACATACTGATTTCCTTTTTGTGAGGGGGTGGTATATGCCTAGCAGTAAAATTGCTGAATCACTTGGTAGTTTTATTTTTAGTTTTTCGAGGAACTTCCAAACTGTTCTCCATAGTGGTTGTACCAATTTACATTCCACCAACAGTGTGCAAATGCTCCCTTTTCTCCACATTCTCACCAGCATCTGTTGCTGGTATCTTTGGGATAAAAGTCATTTTAACTGGGGTAAGATAACATCTCATTGTAGATTGACTCACATTTCTCTGGTGATCAATTGTTGCGGGAAGTCAGGGAGCCTGAATGGAGGGACCGGCTGGAGCCACGGCAGAGGAACATAAATTGTGAAGATTTCATTTTAATATGGACATTTATCAGTTCCCAAATAATACTTTTATAATTTCTTATGCCTGTTTTACTTTAATCTCTTAATCCTGTTATCTTCGTAAGCTGAGGATATACATCACCTCAGGACCACTGTGATAATTGTGTTAACTATACAAATTGATTGTAAAATATGTGTGTTTGAACAATATGAAATCATTGCACCTTGAAAAAGAACAGAACAACAGTGATTTTTAGGGAACAAGGGAAGACAACCATAAGGTCTGACTGCCTGCGGGGTCAAGCAAAAACAGCCATATTTTTCTTCTTGCAGAGAGCCTATAAATGGACATGCAAGTAGGGAAGATATCACTAAATTCTTTTCCTAGCAAGGAATATTAATATTAATACCCTGGGAAAGGAATGCATTCCTGGGGGGAGGTCTATACACGGCCGCTCTGGGAGTGTCTGTCTTATGCCATTGAGATAAGGACTGAGATACGCCCTGGTCTCCTGCAGTACCCTCAGGCTTAGTAGGGTGGGGAAAAACTCCACCCTGGTAAATTTGTGGTCAGACTGGTTCTCTGCTCTCGAACCCTGTTTTCTGTTGTTTAAGATGTTTATCAAGACAATAGGTGCACTGCTGAACATAGACCCTTATCAGTAGTTCTGCTTTTGCCCTTTGCCTTGTGATCTTTGTTGGACCCTTATCAGTGGTTTTGCTTTTTCCCTTTGTCCTGTTCCCTCAGAAGTATGTGATCTTTGTTAGACCCTTATTAGTAGTTCTGCTTTTTGCCTTTTGAAGCATGTGATCTTTGTAGCTACTCCCTGTTTTACACCCCCTCCCCTTTTGAAACCCTTAATAAAAAACTTGCTGGTTTGAGGCTCAGGGGGGCATCACGGTCTTACCAATATGTGATGTCACCCCCAGTGGCCCAGCTGTAAAATTCCTCTCTTTGCACTCTTTCTCTTTATTTCTCAGCTGGCTGACACTTATAGAAAATAGAAAGAACCTACATTGAAATATTGGGGGTGGTTTCCCCTGATAATCAGTGTTGTTAAGCACTTTTTCATATGCTTGTTTGCCATTTGTATGTCTTCTTTTGAGAAATATCTATTCAGATCTTTTGCCCCATTATTAGATTTTTTTCCTATAGAGTCATATGAGCTCCTTATATATTCTGTTTATTAATCACTTGTCAAGTGGATAGTTTTCAAATATGGCCTCCTATTCTGTGGGTTTTCTCTTCACTTTGTTGATTGTTTCCTTTGCTGTGCAGAAGGTTTTTAACTTGATGTGATCTCATTTGTCCATTTTTGCTTTGGTAGCTTGTGCTTGTAGAGATAACTCAAGATATTTTTGCCCAGTCCAGTGTCCTGGAGAACTTCCCTAATGTTTTAGTAGTTTTATAGATTGAGGCCTTATATTTGAATCATAATTCATTTTGATTTGATTTTTGTATATGGCAAGAAATAGGGGTCTAGTTTCATTCTTCTGAATGTAGATATCCAGTTTTCCCAGCACCATTTATTGAAAAGATTGTTCTTTCCCCTGTGCATGTTCTTGGCACCTTTGTTGAAAACGAGTTCACTTTAAATGTATGAATTTCTTTCTGGGTTCTCTATTCTGCTCCATTGGTCTATGTGTCTGTTTTTATGCCAGTACCATGTTGTTTTATTTATTATAGCCCTGTAGTATAATTTGGAGTTAGGTAATAGGTAATATGATTCTTCCACTTTTATTCTTTTTGCTCAGGATACATTTGGCTATTCTGGGTCTTTTGTGGTTCCATATAAAAGATAGTGGTTTTTTTCTATATCTGTGAAGAATATCATTGGTATTATGATAGAGATTGCATTGAATCTATAGATTGCCTTGGGTAGAATGGACATTTTGCCAATTTGATTCTTCTAATCCATGAATATGGAATACCTTTCCATTTTTGTGTCCTCTTAAATTTTTTTCATCAGTGTTTTATAGTTTTTATTGTAGAGACCTTTCACTTCTTTGGTTAAGTTAATTCCTGGGTATTTTATTTTATTTTATTTTATTAATAGCTTTTGTTTTTTGTTTTTGTTTTGTTTTGTTTTTAGACAAAGTCTCGTTCTGTCACCCAGGCTGGAGTGCAGTGGTGGGATCTTGGCTCACTGCAACCTCTGCCTCCCAGATACAAGCGATTCTCCTGCCTCAGCCCCCTCAGTAGCTGGGACTATAGGTGCGTGCCACCATGCCTGGCTAATTTTTTGTATTTTTAGTAGAGACAGGGTTTCACTGTGTTTCGATCTCCTGACCTTGTGATCAGCCCACCTCGGCCTCCCAAAGTGCTGAGATTACAGGCAGGAGCCACCGTGCCTGGCCTATTAGTAGCTATTGTAAATGGGATAACTTTCTTGATTTCTTTTTCAGATTGTTCACCACAGGCCCATAGAAATGCAACTGATTTTTGTTTGTTGATTTTGTATCCTGCAATTTTACTGACTTTGTTTATCAGTTCTAACAGTTTTTTTTTTTTTTTTTCAGTTGTGGTCTTTAGGTTTTTCCAAATATAAGATCATATCATCAGCAAAAAAGGATAATTTAACTTTTTCCTTTCCAATTCAGATTCCCTTTGTGTCTTTTTCTTATCTGATTGCTCTAGCTAGGACTTCCAGTATGATGTTGAATAACAGTGGTGAAACTGGGCATCCTTGCTGTGTTCCAGATCTTAGAGAAAAGCCTTTCAGTTTTTCCCCATTCAGTATACTACTAGCTGTGGGTCTGTCAAATATGGCTTTTGTTTAGTTGAGGTATGTTCTTTCTATATTCAATTAATTTTTTCAGGATTTTTATCATGAAGAAAGATGTTGAATTTTATCAAATGCTTTCTTTATCATCAATTGAAATGATCGTATGGTTTCTGACTTTCATTATCTTGATATGGTGTATCAAACTGATTCATTTGCATATATTGAACCATCCTTGCATCCCTGATATAATTCCCATCTGATTGTGATGAATGATCTTTCTAATGTGTTGTTGAAGTTTTGCTATCACATTGTTGAGAATTTTTGCATCAATGTTCATCAGAGATATTGGTGTATAGTTGTTGTCATTGTTTTTTGTAGTTGTTGCTGTTTTCCTGATGTGTCTTTGTCTGATTTGGGTTTCAGGGTAATATGGACCATAGAATGAGTTTGGAAGTATTCCATCGTCTATTTTTTAGAACAGTTTGAGTAGGTATTAGTTCTTCTTCAAATGTTTGGTAAAATTCAGCAGTGAAGCCATCAGGTGCCAGGCTAGGAGATTTTTATTACAGCTTAAATCTCATTACTCACTATTGGTCTGTTTAGGTTCTGAATTTCTGCATGGTTCAATCTTGGTATGTTGTATGTGTCTAGGAGTTTATCCACTTCTTTTAGGTTTTCCAGTTTAAGGCATATAGTTTCTCTTAGTAGCCTCTAATAATCCTTTGAATTTCTGCAATATTGGTTGTAATGTCTCCTTTTTCATCTCTGATTTCATTTATTTGGGTTGTCACTCCTTTTGTTCTTAGTCTGGCTAAAGGTCTGTCAATTTCATTTTTGTTTTCAAACTGCCAATTTTTTGTTTTGTTGAACTTTTGTATTATTTTCTTCATTTCAATTTCATTTATTTGTACTCTGATCATTATTATTTCTTTTCTTCTACTATTTTTGGGTTTGGTTTGCTCTTGCCTTTCTAGTTCTTTAAGATGCATTGTTAGGGCCAGGCATGGTGGCTCATGCCTGCAATCCCAGCACTTTGTTAGGCAAGGCAGGTGGATCTCTTGAGCCCAGGAGTTTGAGACCAGCCTAGGCAAAATGATGAAAACTTGTCTACAAAAAAAATAAGACTTAGCTGTGTGTGGTGACACATGCTTGTAGTCTCAGTTACTTGGAAAGCTGAGGTGGGAGGATTGTTTGAGTTTGGGAGGCAGAGGTTGCAATGAGCCAATATCACACCACTGCACTCCACCCTGAGTGACACAGTGAGACCCTGTCTTAAAAAAAGAAAAAAAAAGATGCATCATTAGGTTGTTTATTTGAAGTTTTTCTACTTTTTTGATGTAGGTGCTTATAGCTATAAACTTCCCTCTTAGTACCACTTTCACTTTATCCCATAGGTTCTGGTATGTGTGTTTCCATTATCATTTCTTTCAAGACATTTTTCAATTTTCTTCTTAATTCCTTTATTGACCCACTGGTCAGTCAGGAGCATATTGTTTAATTTTCATGTGTTTGTATAGGTTCCAAAATTCGTCTTGTTATTGATTTCCCGTTTTATTCCATGAAATCTGATATAGTTTGGCTCTGTGTCCCAACCCATATCTCATCTTGTAGCTCCCATGATTCTCAGGTGTTGTGGGAGGGACCCAGTGGGAAATGACTGAATCATGGGGGTGGGTCTTTCCCGTGCTCTTCTCATGATAGTGAATGGGTCTCAAGACAGCTGATGGTTTTAAAAATGGGAGTTTCTCTGCACAAACTCTCTCTTTGCCTGCCACCATCCACATAAGATGTGACTTGCTCCTTCTTGCCTTCTGTCATGATTATGAGGCCTCTCAGCCACGTGGAACTGTGAGTCCAGTTAAATCTCTTTCTTTTGTAAATTGCCTAGTCTCAGGTATGTCTTTATCAGCAGCATGAAAACGAACTAATACAAAGTCAGAGAAGATACTTGATATTACTTCAATATTTTAAAAATTTATAGATTTTTTGTGGCCTAACATATGTCTATCCTTGAACTGAGGAAGGATATTTGGCCTAACATATGTCTTTTCCATGTGCTGAGGAAAAGAATATGTATTGGGCTGTTGTTGGATGAAATGTTCTGTAAATATCTATATTAGGTCCATTTGGTTTATAATGCAGATTAAGCCTGATGTTTCTTTGTTGATTTTCTGTCTGAATGATCTGTGCAATGCTGAAAGTAGGGTGTTGAAATCTCCAGTTATTATTGTATTGGGGTCTATCCCTTTATTTAGCTCTAATAATTTTGCTTTATATATCTGGTGCTCTAGAGTTAGGTGCATTTTTTTTTTCTTTTTGGAGAGGGTCTCACTGTGTCACCCAAACTGAAATGCAGTGGCAAGATCACAGCTTAGTGCAGACTCAACCTCCCTGGCTGAAGCAATTCTCCCACCCCAGCCTTCCAAGTAGCTGGGACTACAGGTGTATGCCTCCACACCTGGATAATTTTTCTGTTTTTTGTAGAGATGGGGTTTCACCATGTTGCCCACCTGGTCTTAAACTCCTGAGCTCAAGCAAGCAGCTAGCCTCAGCCTCCCAAAGTTCCGGGATTATATGCATGCTCCGCCATGCCAGGTGCGTGCATATTTATTTACAATTGTTATATCCTCTTGCTGAACTGACCCCATTATTATATAATCATCTTTGTCTCTTTTTATAGGCCTTGTCCTGAGATCGATTTTGTCTAAGTATAGCTACTCCTGCTCTTTTTTGGTCTCCATTTGCATGGAATATCTTTTTCCATTCGTTTATTTTCAGTCTGTGTGTCTTTACAGGTGAAATGTGTTGTAGGCAATACATCACTGAGTTTGTATTTTTATCCATTCAGCAATTGGATATCTTTTGACTGAAGAGTTTAGTCCATTTACATTCAATGCTATTATTGATAAGTAAGGACTTACTCCTGCTATTTTTTATTTGTTTTCTAGTTATTTTGTGGGTATTTTGTGTGTTTCTTTCTTCTTTCTTTCATTCCTATATGTCTTCCTTTTAGTGAAGGTGATTTTCTCTGGTGGTATGTTTTATTTCTTGCTTTTTATATTTTGTGTGTGTTTTTTTTTTATTTGAGATTACTATGAGGCTTGCAAATTCTAACTTAGAACCATTATTTTAAACTTTCGACAATTTGACACTGATTGCAGAAGAAAAGAAACAACCTAACAAACAAGCAAAGCAAAAACTAATAAAAGCTCTACATTTTAACTTTGTCTCTCCACTTTTTAACTTTTTCTTGTTTCTATTTATATCTTTTTATACTGTCTGTCTTGAAAAGTTGTTGTAATTATTTTTGATCAGTTCACTTTTTAGTTTTTCTACTCAAGATATGAATAGTTTACAAACCACCATTACAGTATTATAATATTATGTGTTTTTCTGTGTACTTACTATTACCAGTGAAGTTTTGTACCTTCAGATTTTTTGTTTGTTTGTTTGTTTTGTTTATTAACATCTTTTTCTTTCAGATTGAAGAACTCTCTGTAGCATTTCTTGTGGAACAGGTCTGGTGTTGATGAAATCTTTCAACTTTTCTTTGTCTATGAAAGTACTTATTTCTCCTTCATGTTTGAATGATATATTTGCCAGATATATTATTCTAGGGTAAAAGTTTTCACTTCAGCACTTTAAATATGTCATGCCATGGTCTCCTGGCCTGTAAAGTTCCCACTGAAAAGTCTACTGCCAGGGGTATTGGAGCTCCATTGCATGCTATTTGTTCCTTTTCTCTTGCTGCTTTTGGGATCCTTTCTTTATCCTTTGGGAGTTTGGGACCTTTGGGAGTTTGACTATTAAATGTCTTGAGATACTTTACTTTGGGTTAAACCTACTTGGGATTCTATAACCTTCTTGTACGTGGACATTGATATCTTTATCTAGGTTTGAAAAGTTCTCTGATATTATCCCTTTGAATAAACTTTCTACCTCTCTCTACCTCCTCTTTAAGTTCAATAACTCTTGGATTTGCCATTTTAGACCTATTTTCTAGATCTTGTAGGCATACTTCATTCTTTTTTTTTCTTTCATCTCCTCTGACCGCGTATTTTCAAATAGCCTGCCTTCAAGCTCACTAATTCTTTTTTCTGCTTGATCAATTCTGCTGTTAAGAGACTCTGATGTATGTTTCAGTATGTCAACTGCATTTTTCAACTCCAGAATTTTTGCTTGATTCATTTTATTTCAATCTCTTTGTTAAATTTATTTGATAGGGTTCTAAATTCCCTCTGTGTTATCTTGAATTTCACTGAGTTTTCTCAAAATGGCTATTTTAAATTCTTTGTCTGAAAGATCATATCTCTCTCTCTCTCCAAGATTGCTCATTGGTGACTTATTTAGTTCATCTGGTGAGGTCATTTTTCTTTTCTGGATGGTCTTGATGCTTGTGGACATTCATCAGTGTCTGGGCATTGAAGAATTAGATATTTATTGTAATCTTTACGGTCTGGGCTTGTTTGTATATGTCCTTCTTGGGAAGGGTTTCCAGGTATTTGAGGGGACTTGGGTGTTGTCATCTACATTTTTGGTCACTGCAGCCATATTTGCATTTAGGGGCACCCCAATCCCAGTAACACTGCAGCTCTTGCAGACTCATAGAGGTACCACCTTAATGGTTTTGGATAAGATCCAGAAGAATTCTCTGGATTACCAGGCAGACTCTTGTTCTCTTCCCTTAATTTCTCCCAAACAAACAAAGTCGCTTGCTGTGTGTTGAGCTGCCTGGAGCTGGGGGAGGAGTAACACAAGTACCCCTGTGGTCACCACAGCTGGGACTGTGCCGAGTCAGACGAAACCACTACAGCCCTAGGTCTTGCCCAAGGCCCAGGGTTACCACTGTCTTGCTACCATCTATGTTCATTCAGAGCTGTGGGGCTCTATAATCAACAGATGGTGAAGCCAGCCAGGCTTGTGTCCTTCCCTTTAGGGTGATGAGTTACTGCCAGTCCCATGAGGATCCACAGATGTTTTCTAGGAGCCAGAGCCTAGGGTTGAATAGGAATCTACTTGGTGCTGTATTCTACTGTGGATGAGCTAGCACCCAAGTCACAAGACAAAGTCCTTCCCAATCTTCTCTTCTGTTTTCACAAGCAGAGGAGTCTCTCCCTGTGGCCACCATTGCTCCAGGCTCGTAGCAAATACTGCCTGGCTACTGCTGATGTTCATTCAAGGCCCAAGGTCTCCTCCATCAGCTTGTGGTGAATGGTGTCAGGGCTGGACCCTCCTTTAAGGACAGTGGGCTCTCCTCTGACCCCAGGCAGGTCCAGAAATGCCATCCAAGAGCACACGCCTGGAATTGTGGACCCCAAGAGTCCACTTAGGGGTCTACTTGGGGTCCACAATTAGGTGTGGCTGAGCTGGTACTTAAGCTGAAAAACAAAGTCTCCTTTACTCTTCCCTCTCCTTTTCTTAAGTAGAAGTCCCTCCCATAGCACCATAGCTGGCAATATGCTGGTTCACAGCTGAAGCCCACACATATCTGAGTTTCATCTAAGGCCCACAGAGAGTACTGCCTGGGTACCACTGCTGGTTATGCAGGGCCCAAGAGCTCTTTAGTCAGCAGATGATTAATCCTACCAGAAGTAAGTACTTACCTTCAAGGCAGTGAGTTCTCTCCTGGTCCCAGGGTATTTCTAGAAATGTCATCTGAGAGCTAGGGCCTGGAATGGGGGCCTCAAAACCCTACCCAATGCCCTATCCTACTGTGACTGAGCTGGTATCCAAGATACAAGACAAATTATTCTTTATTCTTCCCTCTTCTCTCCTCAAGTGGAGGGGAGGTGTCTTTCCAAGAGCTGCAAGCTGCACTGCTTGAGGTTGGGAGAGGAATAGTGCAAGCACTCCTTTAGCCACCTGTGCTGGTGTCTCACTAGATTGCATGCCCCCCAAGTCCACTGCCTCTGAACCCAGCACAGCACAAGGACTTGCCCAGGAATTGTCATTCTTGTAGCCTAGACTGCCTTTCAACTTTATTTATGACCCTCGAGAAATTTAGCCCATGGAGGCAAGGCTTGCTGGAACTCAGGTTCTGATAGCTGGTATGAGTGATTTCCCTCTAGCTAGGGCTGGTCTAAATGCTCCGTCTGTGGGCACAGGCTGAGTTCTACCTGGTGTTGCTTTCCATTGTGACCGGGCAGCACTGAGTTTCAATGCAAAGTCCCAAAATCTCTTGAGTTCTCCCTCCCTAAGCCCACAGATTCTCTCTTTGTGCCACATGGCTACTGCCAAGGGATGGGTGTAGGGTGGCCTTGGCAATTGAAGACTCTTTCCTTCCCTCTTCAGTGCCCCTTTCAGTGATATGAAGTTAAAACCAGGTACTGTGATTGCTCACCTGATTTTTAGTTCTCATGAAGGTGTTCTTTTGTGTGTGGATAGTTGTCAAATTTGGTGTCCCTATGAGGAGGATGATCAGTGGAGGCTTATATTCAACCATCTTGCACTGTCTCTTAAACCCTAAATCCTTCCCCCTTGCCTCCATAACCAGACTTCCCTACACTCCTCTTTCTTTGTTTCAGCAGTCATAGTATTTAAGGTGGAATTCAAAGTAATATCTTTGAGATCTACTCCTTTCTCTGGGTATTTCTCATATATTTTATACATATATGGTTCACTTGTTAATAAACTTTTGGTTTTTTCCTCTTGTTAATCTGTCTTCTGTTACAGGAGTCCCAGCTGAGAACTCAAAAAGGATAGAGTGAACATTATTTTTCCTCCCCTATAATGACTTATACTGTATCTAGCACAAAGATTCTGTTTACTAAATGCACTAATCTACCTAAATTGCAAACCTCAGGAAACCCTTTTCGTTAAAGGAAAATAGTTCTTTAGAAGCCCCATATTGACTTATATTAGTTTTAGTGTTAATTTAATAAGAAATAAACCACAATTTTATACATAAATTCCTCAGACAACTCTTACCCGATTATAAAACTTTAAATTATAAATTAAATAAAAGCAAAATTATAAAATAAGAAAACTTAATTTTTTAGCAACAATTTAACACAACTACAAATTGAAACCAATTGCTAAGGTAAATGTGGTGCTGACAATTGCAATGTGGGCTCTTCTGAATTCAGCATTCCCATGCTAGTATTGTATTCTAAAATGTCGCTCTACTTCTCTCCATTAGAACTATTGAGACAACTTAGTTCTCAGAGTGAACCAAGACTTCTGTTGGCCTTTACTATTTACTTAGCTCTAACATGCCATTAAAGTATTAGATACAGCTGTTTCTCGTCTCAGTAACTTGCAACTAAGTGGCACCAGCACAATTTTCAACATCTGTGGGCACTAAAATCACATGATCGTTCTCAGTGATCAGATGGTTGTTCATATAATCCAGAATATGCTCATATTTTTCAGTTCATCTTTAACATGAAAATACAGATTTTGTAAAGCAATTATTAATAAAAATATGTGGATTCAAAAGGTCAAATTGAGTTTGAAAAATGCTGGATTAGTCCCTGAAACTTAACAGCTATCATATTTTCCGCCTTAACTCATTACCACTCATTATTTTAGAGATGGAGCCAGCAGTGAGCCCAGACACAGAAATTCAAATTTGAAAAGAATCAGTGTAATTATCTAGTTAACTATTCAAAACTATATTGAGTGCATAATATTCACATTAAGTTGTGCTAGATAGGGAGGATAAGACAGAGATTACAAGAAGCTCAGTCTATTTGTTACATGGACCTGTTGTCTAAAAGAGGAGAAAAATCAGATAATTAAATCACACAATTTATAATAATTTTCATAAGTGCTATAAGAAGTATTAGTGCCTTAGGGGCAGGGTGAAAGCTTCCTTTCTACTCATTGAAGGTTTACTGAAATAAATGACAATAGACAGATAAATAGAGAAAGAAGCCATAACAAATTAATGTGCATATGTATATTGGAGTCCTGCAAATATGAGACTCAAAGAAGGGCCAGATGGTTGAGGGTTGAATGCCTTCTTCACAAGGGAGAGGGAAATGGGGGGTGAGACAATTGCAAGGGGACAGTAAATGATTTTTAGAGGAATTAAATGAACCCAAAGAACAATGGTCTGGGACAAGTTTCCTCTGAGCTTTGCAGGAAATGGCAGGAAGGTGAGGGGTAGAACTTCACTGTGAATAAAGTTTGCCTTATTACACAGAGAAGGTCTTCCAGGTAATCTCTCAAAGTTGCCCTCAAAAGAATAGATGGAAAGGTTATCTGTGTATGGTGGCAGATTTTTAGTTTTTTATCTTCTCTGGTTGTTAAACGTTCTTGGTTATTTGATGAAATTCCTAGGGAAGGGATTTAAGATAATTCATTTCTTTTGGAAATAAGTTTCCTTGGTCAGATAAGGAAATTCCAGAGGGAGTCCTTCCCTGCATTTACTGAGGATTGGGGGGACATGAGAAGATTAGAAAGTCTTTCATTCTGAAGCCACTTCTGAGGCCTTCTTGTTTTAGTTCAAAGTGTTCAGAATACCAAAATGCCAAAATTTGGGATATCATTTTATGAGGCCCAAACAGTGCCAAGTCACCTAATATATCTAGGGATCTAACCTATCAGTATACTAAGATGAAAAGGCAGAATGCAGAGCTGCTGACCAGGGAGGCTAGCAGCATGCTGTTCATATAGAAACTCCATCATCATGAATGAGCCAAAGAAGAAAGATCAAATCTTGTGTCTGGGAGGTATAATTGCTGAGTGAGTAGGTTATTCAGCCATTCATGTTACTGTCTTCAACAACAAAAAAACATTTGGTCAATTATTTGGGAAATCAGAAATTCATCCCAGAGTTAGACAAAGGGGGCCTGAAATGACAGTGGCCTGAGATGAAAATTCACCTTGATGTAAAACTCCATCACTCCAATTTTCTGTTTGTAGCTCTTCCTTGGAACTCTGAAAAACTCCATTGACATACTACAAAGACCAGCTGATTGGACTGGAAGAATCAGCTTGGCAAGTAGTAGGTGTATGAATCCATCTGTGAGCTCAGAACTTTATTCATAGCTCAGAAAGATGGATGAAATATCAATATGAACATTACAATGGCTTACTTGCAAAAGCTGCTGGCATCATGCCCAATATTATTGTTTTCCTGATAATTTCCCATTTGTTCACCTCATGGGATTTTTATACTGCAACACAATAACATTCTTGTGAGCCATCCTACTCTCCTTTTGAAATAAAGTAGAATACGAATAAGTAAATGGGTACATAAAAACATATGAATATGTTGTTACTAATATCAAGTGAGAGCTCATTCCTGCTTAACCATTTTTGTTCTTGCTAAAGGATCATTTTTTTAAGACTCTAATATTTTTAGAGCAGCTTTGAGTTCACAGCAAAATTGAAAAGGAGGTACAGAGATTTCCCATATACTCCTGCTCTCCCCTCCAACATACATCACAGCCTCCCCCATTATCAACATCCCCCACCAAAGTAGCATATTTGTTACAATCAATGAAACTACATTGGCATTATCATCATCGAAAGCAGGATGAGTTTTTAAAATTTCAGAGTTGAAATGGATATTTAAGGTGAGTTATTCGTTTTTTATTCCTATATAACAAATTACCACAAATTTAATGGCTTAAAAAACACTCATTTATTATCTCACAGTTCTGTAAGTCAGGAGTCCTGGTGAACTTGGCTAGGTTCTCTGCTTAGCATCTAACAAGCCCAAAATCAAGTCATTGGCTGGGCTGGGGTCTTATCTGGAGACTCTAAGGAAGAATCTGCTTTCAAGCTCATTGGAGGTATTGGTTGAATCCAGTTCCTCCTAAGGACTCCTCTCCTTGCTGGCTGTCAGTCAAGAACTGCTCACAGGTCACAGAGGCTGCCTCCTTTCCTTCCCACAGGCCCCCTCCATCTTCAAAGCCAGTAATGACACCTTGAGCCCTTCTCTGCCTTCCTCTCTGCCCATCAACAGGAGAATGCTCTCTATTTGTAAAGGCTCATAGATTCAGTCTGGCTCATTAGGATACTCTTTCCATCTTAATGTCAGCTCTGTCATATAACACAACACATTTTGGGAAATTCTGCTTCTAGAAATTCTGCCTACCAGGTCATCTTGTCCGATCTTTTACTCAACACCAACTCTCCACCAGATAGTTACTTGGCATCTACTTGAATATTTCAAACAACAGAGCCTCACATTTGCTAGGAATCAGACTTTCCATTTTTCTACCATGTCAGTTGTCCCAGTGTCCCTTCTGAAGTTGAAGGAAAGCCTGTGTATTCTCTACTTTAGTGCCAGTCCTGCTTTTTTGAGCAACAAAAATAAGTATATTTTTTCTTCCATGGAATTGCCCTTCAAATATGCATAACTCTATTTATTCTTTTCCAATATAAACTCCCCTAAATCCTCCTATTTTCCTAAATCATTGAGCTAAGGAAAATTTTGTATTTCTCCTGTGTTATACAACTTGGTACTTAGAACCAAAGGCAATTTTGAATGGAGGCTCAAAATAAAAATATAATAATACGTTTTTAAGGTTAAATGTAGTAGCTATATATTGATACTTATAGAAGAAATTGATTTTTATATAAATTTATACTTTCAAAAGGATTTTTCTTGATTATTTAATATCTATATTATTTTCTAGAATTTCTGAGCTGTCAATTATTTCTAAATTATTAGATATCTGTCTTCCAAGATTTTCTGCTTTGCATTGTTGGATGTTTCATGGCAGAATTTTATTTTCTCCTCTGATTTTATTTTTCTGAATTAAAGCTGTTGGAAAATGATTCAGTTTCATATTTTTATGAAAACTCTTCCAAAGTGTGCTGATCAGTTGTGACAGACAATTCAGTTTCCTTCATCCTAAGCAGAAACATTTACCCTGAACTGTTTTATTTTTAGTCACTCGCTTAACCCTCTAGTGACTAGAAATTGGCTTAAATACAAGTATCTATTCACTTGTTAGGATAATTGACTAAAATATTGGTGTAAAATGCCTTGCAGTAATAACTAAAATGAGTTAAAATAGATCTAGAATACAGAATCTTAGGCCAGTTTTGGAATTATAGTCATTGACGTATTTATAACATCTAGCCTCTGGGAATGCAGCTTAGATGAAGTCTTATTTCTTTTGTTGCCCTGAGTTAGCACCACAGATCCTTGCACAGGGTAGGAATTCAAAAAATATTGATTGAATTTCATCAAGTTTCCATAACAGCTGCTGCTGGACTTAACAGGAAAATCTGGTACAGAAGTGAAAAACAATCTGTAGCCACTGAGATAATAATTAAACTGTTGACATTAATCTTTGGTTTAACGTGTCACTTCCTAAAACTTAAATTAAGGGTTTGGAAATCAGAGAAGATACCTAATTTGAGAACCTTTGATTCTTGTTTGATTTGATTCATTTTAAAAAGAAAAGGTAAAAAATATCTCCATGAAGCCTTTACTTTTCTAGCATACAGGCATTTGATAAACATTAAGTAATATACACATTTTGATGGACCAAGGGAATATAAACTCTTTGACTTCATTGTTTCAAAACTAACAAGGCTTTAAATAAATAGGGAGTGTCCTTTAATTTTCTTTATTTGCAAAAAAAATTAATCAAATTTTGGCTGTAGAAGGTTTTTCATATTTTGTAATAACTATCAGGGTAAGTTCTGTGAGTTCTCTCCTTCAGCGATTAGAATAATTTTGTTCTGCATGTAAAAGCAAATCTCTAAAAAATAGCAGTGTGTACATATTATAGTGATATAATAATCCATTTCATAAAAAAGATGCATTTTTATATGCAAGATGATAAGAAAATATTAATGAGGATAAAAATAGCACTTTGCTGATCAAATTTAAGCCACATCATTTGAAAAACTTTAAAAGGGCACTTGTGCTTTTAAATGCAAAAGAAGGAAAAATCAATTCATTTTTTCTAAATTGTTTCTTTTTGTATGTAAACAAAAATATAATTTGGAGTACACCTACACAAGAAAAATACACGCAAGCAAATTTTATTGCAAATCTAAATGAGACAAAAACAGTTCTGCAGGAGGGTCGATTTGTTATGATTTCCTACTCAGTTCATGAATGGCAGGCCACTTCCTTATGTTGTGTGGCTACCAAAACAATGTCTAGCATATTGAATTTGCAGATCAAAATGTGTTTTGTTTGTTTTTTGTATACACATCATTTGCTAAAGCAATTACAGTGAAGTAGTTACTTGGTTGGAAGAATTTCTGCCTTTTTAATAACTCTGAAAATCCTTTCATTCTCCTTTAAACAGCAATATCTACTTAGGTTGTCCACTCCAAAAGGGCAGACATAGCCACAAATTTATTCTCACTGCTTGTTAATGACAATGATAACAAAGACATGGGGTACTTTCTTATGGAAAATTCAGCTCATTATGCTAATATAATAGCCAGATATCACACAGCCACTTTCTTGGCCTCCTCCCCATCCCTACCTTACCCTAACATTGTTGTTAGCAGCAGAGAAGAAAAGAGCACGTGTTCTGGAGCAAGACTTCCTGGTTAATTTCCTCCCCCTGCTACTTACAGCTTGTGTGGCACTGAGTACCCAACCTCTCTGATGCTGTCAGGATTAAATGAGTTAATACATATAAAGTGTTTACAAAAATACCGGCCATGGGACACACTCAATAAAAATTAGCTATTATTCCTAATTTTTAAATTTTTAATTTTCCTAATGTGCCTCATACACTTGCCATTAATTTGTTCAATGATTTGGTAATTATATGTGTTTTGGGCACTGTCCTCAGTGCTGGAATTATAGCAGTGAACAAAACAGACAAGATCCCTGACCTCATGGAGCTAGTATTCTAGCAGCGGGGAGATCCAGGAGCATGGAGTGAAATCAATAATAAGTGACGATACTTTGAGAAAAAAGTGTGGTAAAGAGAAGGAGTGTAACAGGGTTGGGGTCATGAAAGGTCTCTCTGATGAGGTGACACTTGAAATGAAGGAACAGGACCTGAATAAATAGGTCTGTGTGGAGCCCACATCAGTCAGGAGAAACAGCAAGTGATGAAGAAAAGCAAGACTGGAATCTAGTTGACATGTTAGAGGAAGAGCTTGAAGGTCATTGTGATTGCTGGTCAGGTCCACGAGGAGAATGGTACGAAATGATGTAAGAGAAGAAAAGGGGCAGCATCAGCACCTACAGTCAGTTAAGCAGGATTCAGTGCTCTTGGTAAATGTGGGATGGGATCTTGGCTGCAAAAATCACACCCAACCACCCGTATGCAACAATACAGGAAAGCTGCAGCTGGAGGTGAGGTAGTTGTTGGGAAAGGAATGTTGCATATCTCATGAATTCCTTTAGGTAACGTAATTATAGCAGTGAACAAAACAGACATACACATACACAATAGCTACTTCTCTAAAATATTCACATAATTCTCATTGCTGCCTACTGCCTGTATACACAATTTAAAGTTGCCAATATTTCCATCTGTATTTTGAATCAAAATTGATCTATGAAGACATACTGTAAATATTTTTATATTGACTCACTCAAATAAATGGACTGTTCATTACACAAATGTGAATTTCATTTTGATGATTTTTTTCCCAAACTTCTGTCATCAATAAATTGAACCCAGATTTTTCTAGCTAAATCCATGGGAGAAGAGAATTAGCGTTTGCAACATAACCTGTTTCTTGAGTATCATGTAGTTGGATAATTCTTTTATAAATCTTTCCAAGTTCTAGGTATTCTTTCCACTCTAAAACATGGGATAATCTAAAATCTATATTAGAAAGTCTCTAATTCTAACTTTATCTAAACCATCTAAAATATGAATTGTCTCTCATCATATATTTTTATAGCAGATGGGAATCATGAACTGTAGTGAAATATGAATCTCCCAGGGCAGCAGCTACTCTGTCACCAGCCCATCCCTCTCATGAATGCAGCCAGACTTGCTGTGCTGTGGCTTCCCTGGTGTTCTCTCTGTGGATGAACTAGGGCACACTAAGGAAGGGGCATCTGATTAAACTTGTTACAAATGAATAGCAGATTACAGATGTTCCTCAGTGTTCAATGGGGTGACATCCTGATAATTTAGCTTCGCCTACCTTAAACATATTCAGAACACTTACATTAACCTACAGTTTGACAAAATCATCTATCACAAGGCCTACTTTATAATAAAGTGTTGAATAGCTCACCCAATTTATTGAATACTATACTGAAAGTGAAAAATAGAATGGATGTATGGGTACTTGAAGTATGGTTTTTACTAAATTTGTATTGCTTTTGCATCATCTCATGGCAGTGAAAAGGAGGCCTAGCATGACTAACTCCATTTTGCTCTTAACCCCCTTACTCCTTATGCCATTTAGGTTAACTGCTTTTCCTGATCTCTGCATATAGGCCAAGCTAACTACTGGAGGAATTCAGCCTATAGTTTAACTTTAAGGCAAGGATGATAATAGTATCTTCCCAAAACTAACCCCTGAGGAGACAAGGAGTGTACACACACAAGTGACAATATTATGTTAAAGATTTATAGGAGCTCTGTGACCTGACCAAGGAAAAGGAAGTTTCATAAACTCCATAGACCCTCACTGCCACCCAAATGTCTGTGCTCATTGGCTGTCTCTTGACCTCAACCCCACTCCTCTTTCCCCTTCCAGTAACAAAAGAGGCCTAAAATTCAACCCCACTCCTTTTTCCCCTTCCGGTGACATAAAAGAAGCCTAAAATTCACATTACAATGTTTTTTTAGGACACTGGTCCACCATCTTCTCAATTTGTGGGCTGAGTAAAAGTCACTTTCTTTGCCCCAAACACTTTGTCTCTAAACTTATTGTCTATTTTGCAGTGAGCATTATGAATTTTGGACTTGGTTACAATCATAAAATCAGAAACTCATAAGCTGAACCATCTTAAGTCAGGGACCATCTATCAAACAGTAATGCAATCTTTCATTTATGCTGAACAAAGAAATCTAAAAACCCTATGGTCCTAGTTATAAAACTTCAATTATCTGCTCTCACAAGGCACTTGTGAGGCTCCTGACACCTAAGTATCCTGATTTCAAACAACATAGCAGGGGTCCTCTGGCTCCAGAAGATTGTACCAGGGATGATGCCTGACTCAAATTCAAGGCACTGATGTCAAGGTGATAGAAAATAAGAACTTTGCTCAAGTTCAGACATGATATTGAATGTAACTGGTGGACTCCACTGGATTTTTTCTCCGGGATTTTTTAGATAAGATTTAGTGAGATACCAAGATGTGTAGAGGGGGAAAAATAATCTCTTCTACCTTTCATGAGTTCTGGGTCTTTTGCTAATTTGTAAGAAAACAAATTAACAAGAGAAAAACAAACAGAAGTTTAATAACATGTGTATCTTCTGTATAAATGGGAGCTAACCCAGATAAATGAGCAAATCACTTGAGCAGATCTCAGAGAGTTGTCTTAGACTTCAGGATTAAACAATATTCTTCTCTGAAACAAACAAAAAAATAAGGATGTAAGGAAAAGCCTAAGTTATGATGAGGTGGTCTGGACAAACAAGAATAAGCTTTGTTATGCAGATTGATGTAAATTCCATCTCTAGTAAGAGTTTCTATGATTTAGTCATATCCCTCTCTTTCTGGTACAGAGAGCAAGAAAAAGAGAGAGACCCTCACAAATGGAGATTTTCTTTATAAATGAAAATTTCAGTCAAAAAGGGTAACTTCCATTGTTTTCAGAACTCCTATGTTTACACTTTGTCAAAACAATCAGCTCAAAATAATCTCTATGCCAAAGAGGCATATTTGGGTGACATACTGTTAAGACTCAGAAAATGGTACTCCAAAGTATGGTGCTTTGACATGATGAGTGCTTTGAACTAAAAATGAACCAAGGTCCTCTGACCTCTTGTGCTATTGACTCTTGTTCCTCTTTCTACCCAAAAGTGAAAAAAAGGGGATTCCTATGAAGTTCCCTTATCTGTCTAAAGACAGATTTCCTCCTGTATCATCTGTTCTCATGCTGCTAATAAAGACATACCTGAGATTGGGTAATTTATAAAGAAAAGAGGTTAAATTTACTCACGGTTCCACATAGCTGGAGAGGCTGCACAATCATGGTTGAAGGTAAAGGGGAAGCAAGACACATCGTACATGGCAGCAGGCAAGAGAGCTTGTGCAGGGGAAAAACCATCAGATCTTCTGAGACTTATTCACCACAACGAGAACAGTATGGGGGAAACTTCCCCCATGATTCAATTACCTCCACCTGGCCCTGCCCTTGACAAGTGGGGATTATTATAACTCAAGGTGAGATTTCGATGAGGACACAGCCAAACCATATCACTTCCTAAAGGAATTCAATGTCTTGTACCCCCTTTCTAGGACTCTCATCAACTAGGAAAGACTAACTGTATCATAGCAGAGGAGACTAAAGGTTGACACACAGATTGTCAACAGCATCACCTGTTCTTCTGAGGGCTTCACCCAGACAACTTTTATTACCTGAGAGATTTTTTATCTACATAACAAAACAACTTTTGTTTGCTGTGCATTTCCTCCCAGCACCCTCCCATAACCCATTGCCACTTTCCCGCCAAAGCCCCAAGCCCTATTCCTGTCTGCAGCTCAGCATGTTGTAAAAACTTCAATCGTCTGGCTCTTCTTTGAGTTTCATATTTTGCGGGACTCCCAGGTATTTGCATATAATTAACATGGTTTTTCTCCTGTTAATCTTTCACTGTCAATTTATTTTATAGACTCAACTATTAAGCCTTCAGAGGGTAGAGAGAAAGTCTTCCTTCTCTCCTATAATAGTTTTTGTTCTCCTACAGTCATATTTTTGGGTGGTATGTCCTGAGCCCTTCACATTGAAAGGAATTAGCCAGCTTGCTTTAGGCAGACAGTAAGGAAAGGGTCCCCCGAGAACCTCCAACTACCCCACAAGTGCTTACACCAGATATTTTTTGCAGATAAGGGTTCTTGCACAACGGGCTTACCTAAACATGCCTGCAGCAGACTAAGGGCTCACATGAGCCCTAGGGGAATGGGGTAGAGTGACCAGGAATTCAAACTTTATACAAATAGGGAACCTAGTCCCATCAGCTTATATATAAAAGCCCTGGTATTCAGCTGGTAAGGGGGCAACCGGCAGCCTGCTTTTAGGACTCCTCTCTTTGCTAAGATCTTTCGTTTCCTTAGACCTTGTCTTCGTTTCACTTAATAAATTCTATTCCATTCACTCTTCAAGTGTCTGCATGCCTAATTCTTCCTGGTTGTGAGACAAGAACCCGGAACTAGCTGAGCTAAGGAGAAAAATCTTGTATCATTTTGGTGGCCCATATGGGGACCTAAGAAAAGGTGAGTAAAATGCAGACCCAAGAAGAAACCTCTTTCACTTTTTCATTTCCGAGCCTTCCTCTCAGACTTTTTCTGAAAACAAATGGAGCACCAGGTCTCTGTTAGCCAATTAAGAATGAATGGTACAGCTGCAGAGACTGCCATCTGCTCCCCATGTCTGCTACATGTGCATGCTGCGTCCAATGACCACGCTGGGTGGGAATGCACACTGGTAGCTGCCCATGCCCCAGGGCAGTCTCAGGGATCAAGGCCCCGGCGTGGCCAGCTGGCTAGCAATTCTCGCTCACTGTCTCCTCGCACCACATGCCCAGAGTCTTTCCTCCCCCAGCCAAGCCAAAAGGAGGGTACAACAGTTAAGAGTTTCTCTCCCTGTTGGAAGAAACTATTTGCATAATGCTATATATTTTCTCCCCCAGGCAGCTTCCCCACCCTGCACTGTAGCTGTTGTTTTTCCCCCCCCTTTTTGTAGCTATGTCAGGAGTTAACACATAGCCCTGTGAATACAGGGAATTTTTCTATGTGAGTGACTTTTCTTTTCCTTTTGGAAGGTGTCTTGCAAGGCCAGGACCCCGATTCATAGGACTCCCTTTTCTCTCCGTTGTTTGAGGAGGGCCACTTGGGACTTAATGAGTCCATGAACCCTCCTGAAGCACATTTTTGTCCCAAACACAACTCCTACCTTTGGCTTGAAGCCCTAAAAAGAAAAATTAGATCTGAGGGATCCAGAGGCAGGCAACAATGGAAGAAAAGGGGCACAGCACAGGTGAGCATGACTAATTTCTGCCAATTAGCCCTCCCCCCATTACGTGGGTAGGGGTCATGCTAGTATCCATGGCATAGACAAGGTCTAAGGAACTCAAAGGTTACGAGCAGCAGGGGAAAGACAGTGTGTGGGTAAATGTGGATAATTCTCACCCTCCAGACCCCCTGTTAACATGAGTGAAAAGCTGCATTGGCACCCATGGGCAGTACTCTGCTGAGGCCTCTGGGACTTAGGGATATAAGAATAAAATAAAGGAAGATGGACATTTCTTCTTTCTCTCCCTCACATACCCCTGGTATTCACTGGGAAGATAAAGTAACTAGGGACAGCTTGTTCCCCTCTTTCTAGGTGGGTAACAATAATCTTCAGTCTGTATTTCTCTTGAATGCCTCCTGAATCACTGGGATTCCTTTGAGGGAAAAAATGGCTTCTTTCTCCTTTTTCCTCCTCTGTCCTCTCTTCACAGATGGGTAACTGTGTCCCTGTACCACAGACACTCCCCTTGGATGAATCCCCCAGACTGGGAAAAGTTAATTTCCCCAAAACTTAAACTGCATGGCTTAAAATTGAGCTTGGGGGAAGGTTATTATGTTAAGCTACTGTAAACTACAAGAATAAAAAAATTTATTTGTCAATTGTGTTTTTGACTGTAACTACATTGGATATTTTGTCATTCGCAATTGTTGTCTTAGATCCTTTTCAAAGGTTGGTTTATAATCAGCTATAAGACTTTGACAGGTGCTCTTAAAGGTAGGTTTCTGATATCTTTGATGATTGTAACATTGGAATAGAGGAAAAATGTACAGGACTCATGAAGAGCTGAAATGTTCATGAATATCAAGCAGAACTAGAGTTAATGGAGTGGACTGAACTAATAGAAAACTGAAGTAATCTTTTAAGCTTTTTGCTTAAAATGTTGCTGATCCTTGTTCTGTTTTTCAGAGTCAAGGAAACTTATTTTGAGCTATTTATACTCTTTAGCAGTGGAGTAAGGTATACTCCTGTGAACAAAATTTGGAGCATATTTGTTTCTCTCTGCCTGGCTTCTCCAGAATTTGGAAACTATTTGTGAGTATGATATAAAATACACTGTAAAATGTACTTTAAAAGACATAACTATGATCAATTCAAGAAAAAACAGTCTTATGAACTGAAATAGACTCAAAATGGATTGACAAACAGGAGATTAAAAACACCACAACCTATTAAGTTCCCAGCATCAGAAGGAGGCAAAAGAGGCTGGAAAGAGTAGGAAATACCCTGTTCTTGAAACCAGGCTCACTGTGTGAGATGAGCCAAAATTAAGTGCTCCAATATTAAATCAAGGCTGGAAAAGAGAAAAAAATACTGTATATCTATAAAACCCAGGGATGGCTCAATGACACAGAAATAATCATCAACCAGAAACCCAAGCAAGCTATCTGCTGGCTGGGACTTTCAGGTCTCCAATATAAAATCTAGTATTATACTGGAAATCCCAGAGTGTCCTGGGTGAAATAAACTGAAAAGCCAGGAGACAGAAGGGGTTGAGGAAGGAAGGGAGGGAGGGAATCGAGGGAAATATCTCCCTTCCTGATGAGTTTACAAAAATTGTAAAGTACATGAAGAAAATACATGCCATGAAAGATAGCTAACCAACTGAAAGTAAAACGGTAAGATTACACCTATAAGGAGGTTATGATAGGTGAGCTAGCTTAAAAATGACTTTAAAGCAATATATTTTAAAACTTTAAGGAAAGAGAAAACAATGTTTTTCTAAACAAAATGGTATTGCATGGGGAAAACAAGATTTTACATAATTTAAGAACATAGAGATATTTAATCAAAATTGGACATAAAGGGATAATTTGGTTACTTGAAAGTAAGGTCCAGAATTTAAAACAGAACTTAGAAAAAAAAGATTCAAAACTATCAAAGACAATTTAGGAGACATGGAAAATAGATTGAGAAGCTCAATATTCATCTAAGAGAAAAGAATGAATATGTCGAGAAAAGAAGAAATAGAAGGGAATAAATTTTCAAAGAGAAAGTGGCAGGACACCTTACTAAAAATAGAATAGCTATGAGTCTCTGGTGGACAATAGTCATTTTGCTGCGCTTACATTAAGTGGGAATTTAAGAGCTGAATATCAAGCAAAAATAAAAGAACTTAAGAGTTTGCAGAAATAAAGGAAACATTACATATTAATGGCAAAGACATTGGGAATCCACCAGCAACAATGATGGCCAAAAAACAAAGGAGTAACCTCTTCAAATTGAATGGAACAGTAATGGATAGCTCAGTCATTATTCAAAGGGGAGGGAAATTTCAAGACATTTTCAGACATGCAAGATCTAAAAGTTTACTACCCATGGAGTATTTAAGAAACTACTGAATGGTGTATTACAGAAAAAACAAGTAAATTGTAATAAAAATATAGGTCTTAAGAAGCAATTTTTTAAAAAATGATAAAACCTCTTAACTCATTGAGGTCCCAAGAAAAGTGATTTGATATTGTTGATATGGAAAAAGTATATGTGGGGAAGAGGAGAAGGATTGTGTTGGCTGGATAACATGATCAAAATGCCCTTCTTGCTCATAAAGAAAAAACTGCTGAAAGCAGATAAATAAAAATGGTAAATATTTGAGACCATAATAAAAAAAAATTTAAAACCATCAGAGTAGAAATTTGTAATCACTAGGCCATCGAGCCAGGAAAACTGCTCAGCTTTCTGACTGCATAACCAATTTTTATTTTTTCCTGCCCTTAACCTTGGCAATAACTTCCCTATTCCCACCTTTATTAACCAGGCAGGCAATGAGGCAGGAATGATTTCAAAATATCCTGTAAAGTGTCAATGCCTTGAATTAGATACAAAGGAAGCAACAGATATGTTGTTGCCTTTTTATCTAGAAGAGGAAAGTAAATAACAGTGAGAAAGTAAACAAGGGTAGAAAGCAGAAAAAGATAAAAAATGAAGCTGAAAAGTAAAAGAAGCAATTGCTTTTCATTTAAAAGCATGGAGAAAACTGTCTTAGTCCATTCAGGCTGCCCTATAACAAAATACCTTAGACTGGGTAATTTATCAACAACAGAAATTTATTGCTCACAGTTCCGTAGACTGGGAAGTCTAAATCAAGGTGGCAGCAGATTTGGTGTCCAGTGAGGATCTGTTCCTTATAGAGAGTGCCTTCTGTATGTCCTCACATGGAAGGGTGGGCAAGCAAGCTTCCTTAGGCCTCTTTTATAAGGACACTAATTCCATGCATGAGAGCTCCACCCTTATGACCTAATTACCTCCCAAAGGCCCCACCTCTTAATATATACTGGGAAATAGATTTCAACGTGAATTTTGGAAGAATACAAACATTCAGACTATTGCAAGAACTTTACAGAAAAGGAAGCGAATGTGAACTGTGCTTAAACAGTGAGTATTTGGATACGTTTGTGGAGTTATAAGTAAGGAAGAAGTCCTTCCAGGCAGAATGAGGTAAGTTCATTTCAGAAAGGAAACCATAGGGCATATGAGGGACATTCATAGGAACTTTGTAAGGAAAAGGGAGAAGCTCAATTTACCTAGGGTTCAGGGCAGAAGATAAAAAATAAAAATACATCAGGACAAAATTATCACTATATGTGTATTCTCAAGCTGTTCTCCCAAACGACCTTTTACTCCTATTACCAAAATCTAAAAGAATTTCAACTTTTCAGGACTTAGCTTCTATCTCTTTATTATGTTGACTGGATAAATTATAGAAAATATCAGGACTGAAAGAATCTAGAATCACAGTTGAATACTTACATTGGAAAGGGAGAAACCTACTTGGGGTGAAGATTGGATCCAGGAAGGCAGAGGGATCCAGGGTCTCCAGGGACTGGGTTGGAGTAAAGGGGATAGGCATTGTGAGAGGAGGAGGAAAGGTGTCACCAAGGCAGCTGTGGGGCTGCAACTTCAGTGTTTGTTGGATGCACAACTGGAACCTATAAGAAAGGACTTATGCTTATTGATAATGCAATATTAATGGAAAGAAAATCATAAAGGACTTTTAATTCCAAACTAGAAAATTGAAGATTATGAATAGTAAGTTTCAGAATGAGTTATGGATACAGTGTGCTATGGCTGAAAGAACACTGAATTTTTATCAGAAGCACTGGGTTCATGCCTACCTCAGCCATTTATTACCTGTATGTAGACATTATTTAATTGGATCATATTTCTTCATACATACAGTTGATGTGAAAATTACAAGGACTGGAATTACATGAATTAATGTCTGTGAAAGTACTTTGTCTAATTTATTCTATAAATAAAACATTATATTTTTATTGTGGTGGTCATGCCATTATTATTTTCTGTGTTGAATCTCTTAAATGATCTTCACCAACTTCTTGGGATTCTGTTAAAATTATCAATTAAGGGGGTCTCTTTTGCTAGCATATGGTTGAGTCCATGACCAAAGATTAGTTAGAGATCTCATCTCTCATATGCAATACCTGATTTCTGGTAGGCACATAACCTGGAAGAGGAGAGCAGCATCACCAAGCACAGGGACCTTCAACATGGTTCTGTCTGAATACAATTTCTCAAACCAATAATTATATTTTACCGCTAGAATTTTTAAGGTCCAAAAGAACAATTTAACTTTGGGTTAATAAGAAAAAGTCACAGGCCAAGGAATTGAAAAGCAGTTTCCACCTAAAGTTTAGGGGCCTAAGGCTAGATATTCAGCATAATTACCAGTGCCTACATTCTAGAAAGATGGAAATAGGATGACTACCATCCTCCTTATAATTGATAAACACAGGGTTTTAAATCTTGCTATTGTTGTTGTGGGTTTCCCCCATCCCCTAAACAGATGCTCCTCGACTTACGGATGGGGTTACATACCTATTAACCCATCGTAAATGGAAAATATTGTAAGTCAAAAATGCATTTAATACACCTAACTGCTCGAACAAGCTTAGACTCACCTATCTTAATTGTACTCAGATCGCTTAGTGTGGCTGACAGGGAGCTAAAGCTTGCTGCCACTGCCCAGCATTGCAAGAAAGCATCATTGTACCATAAATCTCTAGCCTAGGAAAAAAATCAGAATTTAAAATTCAAAGTACAGTTTCTACTGAATGTGTGTGGCTTTCACACCATTCTAAAGTGAAAAATGGTAAGTTGAACCATCGTAAGTTAGGGAACTTCTTTACTCAAAATCAAAGATTTTGTATTAAATGCTTTCTAATTCATGACAGGAAAAAGTTAATATTTTATACTAAAACTGAGAGATTTATTGCCTTATTTTAATTTTAAAAAATAGTTATATGTTTTACCTTTTAGTAGCTGGTACAGCTATTACCGAATGTAATACTGAGAATGTGGGCATGTAATATGATTATTGTAAGAGTTTAGATTTTTGCACCAAAATTAAATCCAAAGCTAATTTATAGAATATGTAAATACCTAATTACATCTAAAGCTATTTACATATTCTATAAATATGATATAAATCCTGAGTTTTGAATGACATGTATTGCAACAAAATGGGTATTAAATGTAAATAAACGCCAGTGATTTTTATTAAAGCCTCTAGAAAATCCAGACAATCTAGAAATTAGATATTTGGAGGATTTTCCATGTAAATTTTTTGGATATGCACTAAAGGTATTATAGCTGACGCATTTCCCCATTATCTTTCAAAAGTGTAATTTTATTCTAGTTTATATATACTAGTTTCAAAATATTCTTGACACTAAGATACTTGAATTTATATTTGCTTTACAAAATAAAGAATGGCTTTTGACCTAGCAGTCAAAAGAATTTTTCAGGCAAAACTTCAAGTGCTTCAACATATTTTGTTTTGTTCTTTGTTATTTATATTAAAATGTAGAAATCATGTAGAAGTTGAGGTATTTCCTTTTTATATCCCCATGGAAGAATAGGAAGCTTTCATATGCAGGGCTCAAATAAAATTGAAAATAAATTAGATTAAATACTATGTATGTAAATCAATATATTTGATTATAATATACGATGTATTTGTAGGTCAAAAAAAGCAATAAAATTATAAATTTTGAAGATTATACCTGGATTTAGCAATGTTGAGGCCCTGAATTAGATACAAATGAATCAATACATATGTTGTTACCCTTTTATCTAGAGGAGGAAAGTAAATAACAGTGAGAAAGTGAACAAGGGCAGAAAGCAGAAAAAGATAAAAAATGAAGCTGAAAAATAAAAGAAGCAATCGCTTTTCATCTAAAAGTACTGAGAAAACTGTCTTAGTCTGTTCAGGCTGCCCTATAACAAAATACCTTGGACTGGGTAATTTATCAACAACAGAAATTTATTGCTCACACTTCTGTAGGCTGGGAAGTCTAAATCAAGGTGGCGGCAGATTTGGTGTCCAGTGATGTTCTGTTCCTTATAGAGAGTGCCTTCTGTATATCCTCACATGGAAGGGTGGGCAAGCATGCTTCCTTAGGCCTCTTTTATAAGGGCACCGATTTCATCTGTACTGAATGAATGCAGGTATCTTTATTCAAAATTATTAGAAATTAATAGTAGTATGAATAATAATATAAAGCAGAATTGTTTTAACCCAAACAAAATTATATATATGTTCTTGTCATATAAATATGTATTAAAACATTGTGGTTGGACCAGACAGTGCTGAAATAAAACCATAATATATAATTTTGGAGTATTTTTTGGTCATTTCTATTTAAAATCAGGCCCTTCTCTCAGTAGTTGGCAATATGCACCAAGAGAAAATTAGTAGCTATTATAGACGAAATGTATGTGTCAGCCCATTATGTGTGTGTCTCCCCTGAATTCATATGTTGAAATCTAATCTATAATGTGATGCTATTTCGAGGTGGGGCCTTTGGGAGGTATGTAGGCCATGAGGGAAGATCCCTCATGAACGCAATTAGTACTCCTACAAGAAGAGTTTAGAGAGCTATCCAGCTGTCTTTCCACCATGTGAGGATACACAAAGAAGTTTGCATTCTGCACCCTGGAAGAAAGTCCTCACCAGAGCCATGCTGGCACCCCAATCTCAGACTTCCAGCCTCTAGAGCTATGAGAAATAAATTTCCCTCGTTTATAAGCCACCAGTCTATAGTACTTTTTTTATAGCAGGCAAACAGATTAAGACAGTAGCTAAAAACAGGAGCCTTTCAGGATTTTAGAATGTAAATTAGCATTGGTCTCAAATTGAAGGTAAACTAAAATACAGGAACCGATTATTTACCAGACAAGTGTAGAAATTATATTGCTATACAGAGTAAGATACTGTGAATGACTCTATAAACTCTGAAACGAGTAACCTTGGCTACAAATCATTGGTGAAATCAATGTAATCTAAAAACAAAAGGAACCACATAGGATTTTAAAAAATTAATTCAGGAGTTTTATTGTTTGCATAATTTTCTATAAGGTATCCCAAAAGTTTACTGCGGTTTTAAATTTTAGTAACCTTAAACTGCACTAAGAATCTTGGGACCTCTTATGTTTTACTTATTACATATTTTCTTGACTTGAAAACAAATAAATAATTGTATTTTGTCAGAAATAAAGATCTTTAGTAGAAAAAGAATTTTCTGTTACAGAACCAAGAAGTTAAGTAGGAACACAACACTGTTATAATTTGAGTGGAAATATCAATATAAAGCCATGCCTTACATACATATTTATCTAATAAAGTGTATTTTTGCCCTGATCTTTTTCACTAAAGTAGATGAAAAGCAATGCCATTCCCACAATCCACCCTAATAAGCAGATTTTATTCTCTACTGTACATTTTTGCTAGTAGGAACCAGGGATCCTTGGAGAAATGTCTAATTCCAAGTTTGGCACTGTAAGGCATAAGATAAGCAGAAATTTATTATATTAGAAAGCACTTAAGATAAACCTGATTTCAAAAAAGGGTACCAAGACAATTCAAGGTGGAAGGAATAATCTTTTCAACAAATGGTGCTAGAACATGCAATGGATATCATGCAAAAGAATGAAAATGAATCCCTGTCTCACATCATAGACAAAAATTAAGTCAAAATACATCATAGAACTGAATATAAGTGGTAAATTTACAAAACTCTTAGAAGATCACATAGGAATAAATCTTTGGGAACTTGAATGAAGCAATAGTTTCTTAGATATGACACCACATGCCTAAGTGATAGCAGAAAACACAGATAAATGGGACTTGATCAAAATGAAAAAGCTTTGTGCTTCAAAAGACACCATCAAAAAAGTGAAAACCCTCAGAATGTGAGAAAATATTTGCAAACCATGTATCTGATAAAGGTCTAGATACATAATGTATAAATAATTCTTACAACTCAACCATTAAAAGACAATAGCCCAAATTAAAAATGAGTAAGGAATTGAAATAGATACTTCTCCAAAGAAGGTATCAACATGGCCAAATGTCAATAAACTAATAAGGAATAGGCATGGAGTACTGGCTCACCTTCCTCTCCTCTGTCAGGCATCTTGCTTAAGGATGTATTTTGTAAAGGAGGTGTGGGGGATCAACAACCTTATTGGTTCCTTGATTTTCCAATATGGTTATTTCTCATTTTGTGTGTGACTCTGTCTATTATAATGCACGGAACTCAGTCCATAGATATCACTTAGCACCCACTGGAAGGTTAAGACTCTGCCCCTACCTGAAAATTGAGTGCATAGACTTTCTCAAGACAATATACTATTTTATTTTATTTTAGATTCAGGGGTACATGTACAGGTTTGTTACATAGGTATACTGCATAATAGAGGGGTTTCGGCTTCTAGTGTACTCATCACTCAAATGGTGACTATTGTACCCAATAGGTAATTTTTCATCCCTCACCCTCGCCAAACCTCCCCACTTTTGGAATCCCCAGGGTCTATTGTTTCCATCCTTATGTCCATGTGTACCCAGTGTTTAGCTCCCACTTATAAGCAAGAACATGTGGTATTTTATTTTCTGTTTCTTAGCTATTTCACTTAAAATAATAGCCTCCAGCTCATCCATGCTGCTGCAAAGGACGAAAAGGATTTTATTCTTTTTCATAGCGGCCAGTATACTGTTTTCATTCCCTAATTGTAGGATGCTTATTCTCTGGGTGGCCTTAGGCTTTTCCTGAATTTCTCTTCCACATATCACAGATATTCTCGAACGTCCAAAAATCCTGGAAGAGAAAAGGAGTTTACCCTGAATGAAGGCCACAGCAAAGTCTTGAGGAACTAAATGGAGAAGTGAAAATATATCCTCAGGTCTGCTGGTATGAACTGGAAACCCAGTGGACTAGTACAGACTGCAGGATTCATAAACAGGCTTTCTTGCTGTCGTTTGAGCCGGCTGCTGTGACTAGGAAGATCACCTTTCCCTGCCTCTCACATCATCCATTTCCTTCACATCACAGTCTTGGGAAAAGGTTTTATGGAATAGATGGATGGATGAATAGGTAGATAAAGTAAACACATAGATTTGTACATCCATAGGGAGAATGATAAGGAAATCCGCCTCTCGATAATCAAGGTGATAGAGGAGCTAGAAAGAAATTTAGGCAGATAGAGAGGGTAAAAGGAGTCCTCAGCAAGGCTTCCTTTTAACAAAAAGCAGAAACCATTTCTTTTCTAACAAAGAGCAGCCTGTAAAATTGAGCTGCAAACATAGATAAGCAAGCTGGAAGCTCGCCCTGGTAAATGCTGGCAGCTGTGCCAATAGAACAGGGCTACCTGGAAGCCAGGTATGTTCAACATGGAGGCTCCCTTTTGTCACCACGTATATAGTGAAGAACCAGGCAACATGATGCCAGCCAGGTAGGGAACCCATCTGCATAATAAAAGACTAGGGTGGGCCGGGTGCGGTGGCTCACGCCTGTAATCCCAGCACTTTGGGAGGCCGAGGCGGGCGGATCACGAGGTCAGGAGATCGAGACCATCCCGGCTAAAACGGTGAAACCCCATCTCTACTAAAAATACAAAAAATTAGCCGGGCGTGGTGGCGGGCGCCTGTAGTCCCAGCTACTTGGGAGGCTGAGGCAGGAGAATGGCGTGAACCCGGGAGGCGGAGCTTGCAGTGAGCCGAGATCCTGCCACTGCACTCCAGCCTGGGCGACAGAGCGAGACTCCGTCTCAAAAAAAAAAAAAAAAAAAAGACTAGGGTGGGGCGGCCAGCCTTTTCCCGCTCGATGCAAATGACACACCTGGTCCGACCAATCTTTTGTGCCCTATGTAAATCAGACACCGCCCCCTCAAACTCATTTATAAAACCTCTGCATTTCACCAAGGAACTGGTAATGCATTTTCTCCAGGACCCCTCTCTGGACCCCTCTCTCCTCTTCCTTTTGCTTGTTAAACAAACTTCTGCTCTGATCCTCACTCTGGTGTGTCGGCATCCTAATTTTCCACGGCCATGGGACAACGAACCTCGGGTATCACCTCAGACAAACGATGCTGCTTCAAAAGTACTTCTATTTATTTAGTTAAAACCCAATCAGAATTATTCTTAATATTTTACTCGAACAACCCTTATGACTGTTTCACAGACCTTCAATTTAATATTTCTTTTTTTTTTCTAAAATATACTGTGACTTCTCTGAATTTAAATGTATATTTGATTTCTTTTGAGATGTATATCGCCAGTTTTTTCTCTTGAAATAGACTTTTTTTCAGAGTAGATTCTCTGCTAAAAACTGAAGTAACCACTCCATTCCACTATAACCCCATAGGCAAAAATTATCATCCCCAGGTTCATACAGAAAATTGAAGTCTACAGAGGTTTTTTTTTCCATACGTTGTACAGTGGCCAAGCTGAGATTTCAACCCTGATATCACTTGCTCTGAAGCACCAGCTCTTTGTCATGTAACAAGAAAGGCTTTGAGATGGTGTGTGTGAGTGTGCACACATATGCATAAAAGGCCCTCCCTCCCCTATGAATCACAAAACAGCTACCAGAAGGAGTGAGGTTAAGGAGAATTTTGCATTGATTTACAAGCAAAAGAAAAACCATGAAATTGATGTGGCCCCAGTTTCTGGCTGGCATTTGTTATTCTCATGTCTTCCTTCATGCAGATCTTGAATGAACAATGAGGGCAGTATACCAATATTTCTGAAGGTGAGGCTTTTTTCCACAGCAACAGCCCTCATGAAATTGCAACCAATCACATCTGGGATGACGTAGCCATTCTAATATGTTTTATTTTCTCCCATGGCACTATCGTCATCTGACATTTTGGGTTGCACTTGTTTGCATGTCTGATTCTAGCTGGTATACAAGTAAGTTCCTAGAAATCAGAGGTATTCATTTGTATTTCTAGAGCATATCACAGTATCTGACACAGAGTAATGCTAGATAAATGCATTTGGATTCAAATTAAATGTTTATATCTCTTGAAACATGGCAGTAGATGGTGCATTGTATACATGACTCAAATGGAATCTTTTACACCTCTAGGCCTGGGAGGTCAGCTTTATGAAAAACTTCAAAATTTAAACAAGTGATAGTAATCCTTTTTTGTCCTTATCCATTTTCCTTCATGTTTGTTTTGCTCACCATTCCTTCCCATGGGAAGCTGCTGAATATAAACGTGTAAAATAGTTAAGAAAAAAAATCATAAACAAAATGAAACCAAATACAATGTATGGTTATTTACATAGGTTTTCTCAAGTCAACTAATAAATAATATAGACAATTTGAAATGAGTTCACATTGATAAGACTTGACATTCATCTTTTTTTCCAGCTGTCACCAACAGTGATCTACTTGTGCTTTATCAAGACCACATATAACTAGACTCAATATATTAATCCCATGATATTTAGGAGAAATGAAGAACAATCTTTGGTTGAATTACATGAGACAAATCAGTTCAAAAACAACAAGCTATTTAGGAACAAGTTTCTCCTGGGATTCTCATGCTGTAGTTTCTGAGCCAGTATCAGTGTATGTTCTCTATAATCCAATTTCTTTTAAAATGGCTTTCGGCTCCCTTTTTTGTGCACTATTGATGTTAAGCATGAAGGAATGCAAACACTTGCACCATCAAAAGCAAATAGCATCTTACCACCCGGAATGCCCTGGCATGAGTCCACGCAAACAAGATTTAACTCTTGAGAATGGCAGTGGGTAGATAGAATTAGTGGGTGGTCTTTCCAGAAAAATGGCTTATAAACTTTATTGAAATAGTAATTTAGTGCCTTGGTATCAGCAGTTGTCTGCCAGTTATTGGTATCTTAACTGTTATATTAAAACAAAATTCAAGACATTAAATAGATAATCTTAATGCAATGCTCACAATTTTTCAAATTATAATTTTGTTAAGCCAGGAAAATTTTGATAATTACTGACAATTTGCATTACTGACCTACCAACACTTTACTTTTTTGATATGGCTTACTTTGTAGTGTGACTCCTAGGCAAGAAATGCAGCTTGTTTGGCCCATATCATTCGAGGATATCTAACTGTATTTGTGGAATCTTCTATAAGTCCAGCCAAGACACTCATTGACTATTTTAAACATCTACCTGATAACAAATAAACTCACCAATTATAAGAACCACTACTATATCCTACATAGTCAATGCTCTACTCAAAATTGCTGTTTTATAAAGGCTTATTTTACTCATGATCTAAGGGCGAAAATAAAATGTTCTGGATTAGATTCTTTATAAATTTTGATGGTGAGTTATCTATTAGCCATACATTTTCCCACTTGCCAAACAATGTCATTTCTCTGTTTAAATCACACAAATTGCAGCAATGTTCACAGCAGACTAAGTCTGTCAAGTGATATGAAAGTAACAGGATAATTTCCAGCTTAAAAACACAAGCTATTTTGCATTTTTCTAACGTCATGTGATATATTTATGAAAAAAAAGCTTCTATTTTTCTTTATTTCTTATAACTATGCTAAACAACAAACCTTGTGTTATATTCTCGATCCTTTAATCACTTTTTGGCACAGAACACTCTACAGAGCTATTTAACGTAGCCCTAATTTCTCTCTCCCTGATGCCTGGAAAAGTAGAAGTTCCTCCAGTGGTTGTGTATCTCTCAAATCCCTCAGTCATTCCCAGTACAATGTGTCAGTCCCATTACTGATCACATCTTCCAGTCAGGCTCTGAATGAGAAGAATTCTTTGCAGATATTTCTTTGGCATAATGATTTCAATTCCTTTAAATATATACCCAGAAGTGGGATTGCTGGAACATATAGTAATTCTATTTTGACTTTTCTACAGAAACTCCACGCTTTTCAATAATGGCTATATTATTTTTCCTCCAACAGTGCACAATTGTTCCCTTTTCTCTACATCCTCACGGGTACTTGTTATCTTTCCTCTTTCATCTTTTTGATGACGGCCATTCTATCAGGTGTTAGGCAATATCTTTTTGCGGTTTTAAATTGCATTTCCCTGATGATTAGTGATGACTAGCATTTTTTCATGTTATCTGTTGGCCATGTGTATGTCTTTTTCTGAGATATGTTTATTTCAATCCTTTGCCCATTTTTAAATTGGGTTCTTTGCTTTCTAGTTATTGAGTTGTTTGAGTTCCTTATATATTCTGGATATTAGCCCCCTATCAGAGTATGGTTTACAAATATTTTCTCCCAGTCTGTGGGTTGGCTCTATTCAGTGTTGCCTTTGCTGTGCAGAAGCTTTAGAATTAAAAACAGCATGTCACAGTGATATCTGCATTCCCAAGTTCATTGCAGCATTATTCATAATAGCTAAGTTATGGAACCACTGCAGGTGTCCATCATTGGATCAATGCATAAACAAAATGTGGTATATATATACACAATGGAATACTATTTAGCCTTTAAAAAGAAGAAAATTCTGTCATTTGCAACAATGAACCTGGAGGATATTATGCTGAAATAAATAAGCAGGCACAGAAAGACAAATAGTGCACAATCTCACCTATATTTGAAATCTAAAAAAGTCAAACTCATAGAAGTAAAGAATAGAATGGTGGTTACCAGAGGCTGGGGGAAGGGGGACTAATGAAGAAAGAGAATATGTTGGTCAAAATGTACAAAATTTCAGTTAGACAGAAGGAATACATATGTTTCAGTGATCTATTGCACAAAACAGTGACTATAATAAATAATAATGCATTGTATATTTCAATAACTAAAAAAGTAGATTTTAAGTGTTTTTACCACAAAAAAAGTATGATTGGTGGTGGATTTGTTAACTTGCTTGATTTAATCATTCCATAAAATAAAAATATATCAAAACATCATATTGTACCCCATAAATATACAATATATACAATTATTATTTGTTATTTAAAACATTTTTTAAATTAAATTTTAAAAATTAAATTGTATTTAAAATTAATTTAAATTAAAATTTTTGCTCTTATTGCTTGATAAAAGCAATAAGGTTCTGGATATACCATATGCAAACTCACTTTCAGACACTGTGACAGTAGGGGTCAAAAGATGTGCTACCTTTCCTCACCCATCATAAGGGCCACAGATGACACTCCTATAACAAAAGACAAGGTAACAAGAGAAAAGCATAACAGATGTATTAACTAAAATTTTAAGTGACACAGGAGCCTCCAGGAATAGAGGCCTAAAGACCCAGGAAGAGGAATTCTGGTTTCTGTGTCTTGCTTCAAGGGAGAAAGAATGGCAGAAGACAGGAGGAGGAGACAAGGTCAGAGAGACATTGCTTCTGAGGTTCTACCAGTCTCCTTCAGTTCAAAGTACCCAACATGCCAAAGCGCCCTATTTAGGGTAGCATGATCTGAGTCCCTATAACCCTATGAGTAGTTTACAACCAGTGGAGTATTTGAAAAAAAGATTAAGGAAAATAAAAATCTGAAGAGTGGACTCCACTTTTTACATTAACTAGGTCGTTGATGGGCTCTTTGGAGAAACCCTCAACATCACTTGAGTCTTATTGATTCTATATCAAGACGGTTGATAATATCTTAGCATTATAGTATTGTTTCAATTTCACAACACATTCATTAAGCTCACTTATTAAGTTCTATGAGAAAATGATTTCTTGACCTTGAAACTCTTAAGAAACAACAACAACAACGAGAAACAAACAAACAAAAACATTGCCACTTCACACGTTTCACTGAACACAGAAATCCTGAAAGATGGACCAGAGATTTCTCCCTTAGCCAGGCAGAAGTCTTAGGCAGAGAGAAAACACTCAATGTCAGGAAAATGAGGCTCTTTTTTCCTTAATATCTTAGCATTTTAATGTGAGTTTCTCAAAAAGATGAGGAAAAAAAGCTCAAAGCATTTTAAAATGCTCAAGTATTTACACAGTAATTATTCCAGCATGCGAGAAAAAGAGAAAACTGTGTTGTTTCTAGTTATTGTATCCAGCCTTCCCACTCGCCCTTGGAAATTATCTCCAAGGCGATATGAACTCCGTTTCACAGCTAAAAACCCAGCTTTTAAGAGCTTTCCCTAAAATGACATACCAGGTAATTTAGAGTGTGGATGTCAGATCCCTTTTGTCACACTCCAAAGCAGATCGTCTTTCTATTCTACCTTTGTGTAAACTCTTGAAAGGTATTGGTAAGTAAAGTGACATAATTTAACACTAATTATCCTAAACTGTCTTACTCATCTGCACCACACTGTCTCCAATCCTGCAATATTTGGAATTAAATCCTGATTCCAAGGCTAAAATCCAATGTATGGTTTTGCTCTATGAATTCTGCATTCTCCTCTCATCTGCGTCTTCCCCACAAAATACAGATGCCCAAAAAGAAAGCAGTGGAGATGGGCATAGTTCTCTAATTGAAGCAGTCATTTCTCTACATGTTGGTCTGATCTACAGCACTGAATTTCTGACTGGCTCACTCTGTCTGGATTCTGAGGGATTACCTGGCTCTCAAGACTGCAGGCTGCTTGCCTTAAACTCATGCCCATAACCTGGCCCTCAGAGACATTAGAATGCTGTCTGTATCTTCTTGGCACTGGATCCTTCTCCCACTGGCCTGGCCAGCCTCTTTCACCTGCATTCTTCCAGACCTGATTCATTGCTTATCCTTGTTCTAGCTGAAGGAGTTTAGAACATGCCACCCCAAAATATGCTGTTTTGGTATACTTATTACTTTGAGCTGAAGGCACTAGAAAACAGCAAATGCAACAAGAGGCTTTCTTTGAACTTCCCTCATCCACCTAAAGACAGATTCTCCAAAAAGAACTTCATCATTACCATCAGTCACCTCCCTGGAAGTTTCATTAACCAAGGAAGATGAACTTTTATCACAGGAGAGGGAGACTAGGAATTGACACCATGCCCAGGTAAACTTTCTCACAAACTATCATTGATTATCCTAAAGACCCATTCTTCTTTCCCCAAAATCATTCCCTCTCCCCTAAGTTGCCTCCATTCCCCTTACCCTCTCCCCTATGAAGAGGGTATATAAGCTCCTAAATCTCACTGGGTTTTTGAGTATTTACTTTTCTTTCCTGTGATGCCACTTAGTTCATAATTAATTTGTAGACCTTTTCTCCTGTTAAACTGCCTGTTGTGAGTTTATTTCATAGATTCACTTACCAAATGTTTAGAAGGTAAAGGGAGAGTCTTCACTCCTTTACACAATGTTTCTACAATTCAGAGGTTACAAACGCCTCTAGACTTTAGACAGATAGTATAAATGAATGAAGCTAAGCAGACAGACCAAAGTGCACTGGAGCATGACTGCTGGCCTCAGAGTCTAGAGCAGGAGGAAGCTACTACTGTGAAGTATTTCCAGAATATAGACCCAGTGTTATCAGCTGCACTGATTTTTAAGAGAAGATAGATATCCTGATTTTTTTTTATGTGAAATTGGTAACTAATTGGTATGGTCTGAATGTTTGTGCCCCTCCCAAATTCATATGTTGAAACATAACCCCCTGTGTGGTAGTATAAGGAGGTAGGGATATTGGGAGGTGATTAGGTCACAAGGGTGGAACCCTCATGAATGGAATTAGTGCCCTTATAAAAAAGACCCCAGAAAGCTAGCTCACCCTCCCACCATGGGAGGACACCATGAGAAGACAGCCATCTATGAGGAAGCAGGTCCTCCCCAGACACTGAATCAGCCAGCACCTTGATCTTGGACTTCTCAGTCTCCTGAAGTGGGAGACATAAATACTTGTCATTTATAAGACACAGTTTTTGGTATTTCTGTGTTATTTTATAGCATCCCAAATAGACTAAGACACTAATCAAGTGGTATTTCAAAGCATTATGTGGACACACAATACAACCAGACATTCCCCACCGTGATTCTGTTTATGACTTCTGCCTCTGATAATTGCTCAGCCCTGCTTAGAAAGTATAATTCTCACAATTTTAAATGCCTTACTTGCAAAAAGAGAGGTGAGACAATGACATGGATTGGTGTTGGAGAATTAATGATGGAAAGCTTTGATAATCACATCAACGTATGACAAAAGTAATCTACCCAAAGTAGCAATGGGAGACAGTTCTCCATGTGTCTCTCATATTTAAAGACATTAACAGCCTTTTTTGCAGATCACCTGTTCAAGAATATTTGTATAGCATGGGGGTCCCCAACCCCCAGGCCATGAACCGGTACTGGTCTGTGGCCTGTTAGGAACCTCCTGGCACAGCAGGAGGTTAGCGGCAGGCAAGGGAGCATTACTACCTGAGCTCCGCCTCCTGTCAGATCAGCCATAGATTCTCACAGGGGCATGAACCCTATTGTGAGCCATGCATGAAGGGATCTAGGTTGCTTGCTCCTTATGAGAACCTAATGCCTGATGATCTGAAGTGGAACAGTTCTATCTCAAAATCCACCCTATCAACCATCCATGGAAAAATTGTCTTCCATGAAACCAGTCCCTGGTGCCAAAACGGTTGAAGACTGCTGATCTAACACACAGCCTTGGAGGATACAGATGGAGGCCCTCCCTGGAGCAACACACAGGAGTGCTAATGGTCTGTTATGGAATAGTCACATTTTCTAAGTTCAGTTTCCTCTTACATAATATAACCTTTTGCACTATTTGTGTTACTCTGAGAACTGTGGCTCAGGAAACCAGTGAAGATGCTAATACCCTGGTTATTGTTATTGCTGTAAGTAGTAAAGTCCTTGGTCTCTGACCCAGGTGTTTCATGAGTTTTCCTAGTATGCATAAAACAGTGGTAGACTAATATATAAAGCTCCAAATGGGAAAAAATCTCAGATTCTCTATAGTTCTCGACAACTGATACTTGTTTTTTCTTTAAATTCTAGCTATAGTAGCTGCTCTAAAATGAACAGTCTAGAATCTTCTTCCATACTGTTTACCACATTTATCTGAATCAATATATTTCTCCTTTGCTTTTGAAAGTACAACAATGCCTTATTCTCCATCAAAACAGTCATGAACTTTCATCATTTCAAACACCTAAATCTCTTTCTATCTCATTGTTTTTATCTATTTTAGGCCTCCATCTTCACCTTCAGACAATAACTTGGTGCTTACCAATAAAGCAGAATGACTAGTAGGTAGACTGTCAACCTATGCTGCCTGAGTTTCAAACTGTGTTTTTCTACCTATTGGTTGTATTACTCTGGACAAGTTATTCAATCAATACATGCCTCAGTTTTCTTATCTATAAAATGGGGATAGTAATAGTAATTAACTCCGAGAATGATCTGCAAATTAAATCAGTTTACACATTTCATGTCTTTAGACTAGTATGTGGTTTATAGTAAGAAAGTAATACATGCCACCAATGATTATTCCGTTGAATATTTTTTGAAAAATTCTGTTAAGTTCTGACTTTAAATGCAGGTTGTTTGTGATTTACAGTCTATATATTAGGAAGCTGAATGATAATTTAGGGCTAAAAATGTGCTTGGTCCTTTCACAGTTCAAATCCTCAATAGATTAGAAAAACATTTTTTATAAACTTTCTGTTTTGAAAAAACAAACACCTCATATCCCAGTCTTCTACAAATGACATGAACCAAGCATCGACCCCTCTCCAGTCAAAATGTAAATATACAACTGTACTACAAAGTTTAAAACAAAGTATCGTATAACTCTTCCACTGATGACTGTGTTCACTCAGGATGCTTAAATATTATCACATAAATATTAGAAGTTCTCTTCACAGCCCTACTAAAAAAAGTCAATCCACCAAATATTACTTGTCTGAAGCAATGTTTCCATTGCGGTTTTCACTATGCTATGCCATGCCATTTCTCTTAGTGGCCTCAGATAACATCCCCTGATTTTCTAAGAGCTGTCCTTTCTATTTTTCTAAGCCTGTGAAAATTAAAATAAAACTTCCAAAGGGGTAAAGCAAAAGAGAAAAAGCTACAAAAATCTGGTTTGATTTTCCTACGCTTTCCTCCCTCCCTATATCCAAGCAGCTAATCTCCTCTCAAACACTACAATAGAGCAGCTAGACATAAAGAAAAGGAGATAAAATTGGCCAGCCAGTACATTGTTCTTGCTAATCTGGACCATTTACATAAGGGTTAGAAGGCTTGTTTCATCATTTAAACAGGCTTAAAAGCCTCTTTGCAAATGAGATTTAGTTCCTACAAAGGAATGAATTCTAGCTATTTGGTGAGTTTCTGCTAGACCAGCACTGGGAGCTGACTTGGCAGTAACTACAAGCTACTTCTTTGGCCACATACAGTATATGCAAAGATTGCTTCCAGCTGCCAAAACTGAAAGTGTCAAGCTGATTAAATTCTTTCCAGGAGGTGAACAGGATAAGGGGCAGGTTAAGAGGTCAATAATATCAGATCTTAAACTGTACCTGGCCAAACTCTTCCTCTATGCAGGTGCTTTAAAAGTGGCTTTGAATGTTCAGAGCTGTTAAATTTTCTTTGAAAGAGAACGGAATGGTGGACAGTGAATGAAATTCAGAGACAGAAGACATAAAATAGTCTCAAGCTGTGAAGTGAAGACAATCTAAACTCTTTGATTCATTGTTGGTCTGAGTGGCACTGGGCACAGGATAAACTGCATAACTAACTCCCTTGCCAATATTAGCACAAAAGATCGCTGGAAGGAAAAGATGTTCTTAACACAGAAGAGTACAATCTTTGTATCAAAATCTTAGATTTTAAAAATCAAGATCATGTTTATATATACTATACCTATTATGTCTTTTACCTGGCACACCTTGAACAGATGTTCAGTGTGACCTTGGCCTGAGGCTCAGCAGGGTAAGTAGGACGGCCTTGGTTAAATTTGCTCCCAGAAGGTACCAGGGTTGTTACTCCCTCCATTCTTAAATCATTAAGATCCTCTGTAACAACACAAACAATTACAGAGAAAAAAATTAACTCTAGTGGAATTAAGGAGAAAAATTCATATTTTCAGGTATCTGCCATTAGTTTGTTAAGCAAAACAATATATATCCCCTTTGCAAAAATCTAACTACATATATCAATTATTTTTCAAATTATTTCTAGACGTAGTTGGAGACAAATTATGTGTGAAGATTTACAAGAGACAAAACGGTGACAGACTGAATATATGGAGAGTGGGCAGAGCACTTATGACCACAGACCACTGACACACAAACTCTGCCATACCCACTGGGGAAGCCAAACTATAACCTCTGCAGCAATCAGCCCTAAATGGTCAGGACTTGGTCAATGACTGCCAGCTCTCCTATATTTTTCCTTTGTTCTCAACTCAGAACCAACCACACAAAACCAAATATGTTTCAAAACCAATTGCATAAATCCTCCGTTTCTAACGAGTCTGCTTCCAGCTTCCCCATCAACAACCTCCAATCAAAATATAACTGATGTCTTCCCCTTTTTCACTCTCAATGTTTGCTTTCTACCTTCACCTGGGGAGGAAAACAGTAAACCTGAATAGTCATGCTCCAAAGGTTTACTGAAGCCCACTTCTATTTTTCCCAGGTCCTTAATCAAGAATGAAAAGAACTAAATTTTCTCTTGAGATTCAGCTCTGTTACAATATGTATATGATCTCCTACTTTTTCAGAGAACAAGGAAGCTTGTAAAAAGGATTCCAATTACTTGCTCTCAGCTTTAGCACTAAAGATACATAAAGTTTCAAAAGATAAATCATAATTTTTACAAAAATCTAATTCATTATTGAAGGCATAACATATGTGAGGAGGAAAATCACCATCTTCTGATGACTAAAGATCATAAAAACATCCTAGATACCTCAAAAAACAATCAGGAGGATTGCACGTTTTAATTGGATATTACAAATGAGTGTCAAATAAATTGTTCCTGGGATGGTGACAACTCAGTCTAAATCATGAACCGGCCTTCTGGAATCTGAAGAAGCCTTGTCAACAGGCTTCTTCCATAGGCATCCCAAGTGAAAGCCTTGTTGTCCACTTGTACATAAGCAAACTGGAAAAACACTTAGGGTTTTAACTCAACTTCATGGGAGTCATCAAAAACTTATCACCTTGACCTGGTTACCAAGGCTTATTCCCCTTGTTTAAGAGCCTAGGTGCCAATTCAAAACCTGGTGCTTCTGCAGAGCTAATTACAGGCTCCTCCCTCTTGATCTCATGATTCCTCATGCAATACAGCCATTACTACTCCCTCTGAACACACACTTTTCAGCCAGCATTAAACACTCATGAGAGTCTGTTACTCTCTTCCTCTCACATTACTGTTCACCACTAGAACACCCTATTTTTGCTACTCTCCTGCCCCTACCAGAAGAAGTGAACCCGTGATTTCCCTACCGCAGTTAGGAAACTTTCTGCACTTCAGTATTTTTAAGAACTGCCATTGAAAACCGTGACCCAATATTATTTGTTGCTGGATCATATTTCAGAACTTTAAACTAGAGGTTATCAAGCAGAGTATGCTACCACTAATTTGTGTGACTATGAAATATAGTCCTCTATTGGAGGTAAAATTAGTCCAGATGGCAGAAATATTGTACGTACTCAACTTCATGGGAGTCATCAAAAACTTGTCCAGTTTGTTAACTGGACAACGACCTCAGAGTAAATATATATACAGGTACAATTAAAAAAAAATACATGACTTTGGCGTGCTCTGAAAACAAAGGGTTTCCTAACTCTGCTAGAACCTCCATCAAACATAGAGAAGATGTTTAAAACACTTTTAGATATACTCCTGCTCCATACAGAGGTAGTTTATTATAAAGATTGAAGCTAATGAAAATATAAACAATACAGAAGCTAAAAGAAATGTTCTAATGGAATATTTTGCTAAAGAAGCAGCCTTAATCAAGGTTATGAACCTATCTAAAATTTTAGAGAATAAATCTCTAGAGTACTTATAAGACACCATTATAAAATATCAATATTTAGCCCCTAATTCTGAAAAAAAAAAAGAAAAAAAAAAGTTCTAGCTTTACTCAGATAATCTCTGGCATTTTTGGTGGCACCAGATGGCTTCAAATGAATACTAATTAAATTCCTCCATGAAATGACTCATCATGGTACAGATAAACTGGTTACAATCTTAAATCTTCAGAGTAGACAGCTGACTGGAGACTTTCAGAGGGAGATAATGACCTCAGAGAGTAGACAGCTTCTGCCCACCATATTGGATCAAGATCCCTGGTGTAACTGCTATTATGTTTTTTATCTACTTAATTACAGCCATTCTCATTTTCTAAAGACCCCTGGTAGTTACCTACCCACAATGACTCTTTTTCTCTTTCATTTTATTCTTATTAAAATTTCGGATCAGAGCATAATCACTTTCTAACACTAATCTTGGATTATCCTAAATAGTAACCTTCAAGCTCATTGATTGCTGGATATGCTATCCCTCATGAGACTACCATAATCAAAAACCCTTGGAAAATTTCGGTCTCATCAAATGAGACCACAGGGAATTAAAGCCAAAGCATTTCCACTTGAACTTACATGGATAAATCAACCTGCGATTTTGCTAGTGTCCCTTTCTCACAAAAAAACCCTATTATTATAATCTACTAATTAGAATCTATGTAATTCTAAATTTGAATTCAACAGCCTTCATAGGAGGATGAGCCAATTACTTGTCACCTGGAAGAGATTAATAGAGATTCACATGTGTAACCCAACTAATGAACAGCCTTGATCCAACCTCAGGTCATGAACAATTTCTTTTTTCTGGATCCCTGTGTGTTCCTACCAGATACTACTTTCCTTGCATCTAGATAGCTAGTCCTGCTTGCTTCATGCACACATACATCATGCACTTTAAAAATAGCATTAGAAATCTTACTGGTACACAGACACCCTAATTCTATAGATCATCAAGGCTGGAAATTTTAACTCTGATGCAAGCTCCTAAATGAGGCCTCCCTTTAATATTCAGGCACTCTACTTGGAGGAGTTACTGATTCATTGTTTATACAAACAACCAAAGCAGTTTCCAGCAATAGGAACCATGCAAACAGAAGACTATAAGACATGTATCACTAATGCTGGCAGAAACTATAAGTGATACTACTTCTACCCTAGATAGAATACAGATCCATCTCAACTGTTGGCAAGAGAGTTGAACAATCTCATTCTTCTGGATTTTCTTTTCACTAGTCATGGTGGTATATGTACCATTGCTGATACTTCTTGCTATACTTGGATCAGTGAAACAGGTAAGGTAGAAAAGTCTACATGTCAGCTTGACAAAAGGCTACTTGGTTCTCTAAGTTTGGTCCTCATGACCTGTGAGATTTGTTTTTCTAGCCTGGGTTGGACAATTCAAGTTCTTGGTTCTGAAGAACAAAGTCAGTCACGCCATTGGCTCTGAAGAACCAGGTCAATATTAAATTGACTTAAATTGTTTTTGTTTTTATCACAGTGTCCATGATGCTGGTACATTGAATTCCATGTGGAGGCTTAAATGCTTGTATGTGGCCACTCTCTCAGCAGATGATTGCAATGATGATGCAACAAAAAAGATGAAAAAGATCTTGTGATATGATTGACTAAGGATACAACAGAACAATCATCAAGTAGTGAAGCTCGGGATCTCTCACCTTACCTTTTGACTAACATCCTTTTGGCAAAAAAGAGAGTGACCAAAGGAAGGGAGATTGAATATACATGCAGACAATCATTTATTTTTTATTGAGACAGAGTCTCGCTCTGTCACCCAGGTAAGAGTGCAGTGGTGCGATCTCGGCTCACTGCAACCTCCTCCTCCCAGGTTCAAGCAATTCTCATGCCTCAGCCTCCTAAGTAGCTGGGATTACAAGCACATACCACGACACCTGGCTAATTTTTTGTATTTTTTTTTTTTTTTAGTAGAGGCAGGGTTTCACTGTGTTAGCTGGGATGTTCTCGATCTCCTGACCTTGTGATCTGCCCACCTTGCCCTCACAAAGTTCTGGGATTATAGGCGTGAGCCACTGCACCTGCCCAGATCATATGCAGCATTAGAACGTTGACCCACAGTCTCTGCAGCCATTGCCTCAAAACATTCAGGACTTCATCAATAAAGATCAGTTTCCCTCGTTTCACCCCTATTTCCAACTCAGAACCAACTGGAGAAAGCCAAATGCACTCCCAAAACCAATTGCATAAGATAGTTTCTAGTCAGCCCTTCTTCAGTTTTCCCATGCCAACAACTTCCAATCAGAACATATTCAAAGCCTTCCCTTTAAAAATTATTATTATAAAGTTTTCCTACTCCCCCCGCATGCCTTTGGGTCTCTGGTAAATGCAAGTGATAGTGGCTAACTCCCGTTCTATAACCAGCTCTGAATAAATAGATAAATATTCTCTGCTTGTTTTCATTTGTGTAGTCTTCATTTATTTCCACAATGGCAACCTTCAAATATCTAAAGGTTTGTCATAGAGAAGAGATATTAGAGTTCCCCCTGTGCCTGCAGAGAAGAAATGTGCATAAGAGGAGAGTGTGTTTCTCATCAATATAACAACCTTTTAACATTTATAGTTGCTCAAAGGCATACTGTACAGTGCTGTGTAGGAGATGTGATTACCCCATTCCTGGAAATGTTAAAAGCAGAGGCTAAATAATTGTTTATAGTGGGCAAATTAGAGTTTTGCAGAAGCATTGTACTAAATGGCTTAATCCAAATCTAAGTTTCCCATACCTTCTCATCATACTTCTATGATTTAGGGTACATCTGTTAAAAAGAATATGTTGATTATGTAAAAGAAGAATGTTTGTTTAAATGAAGCAATCACCTTTTGGGGGCCATTTTGTTATGAATTAGAACTAAAAGTTGCTTTCTCTTTTTTTATCTTGGAGCCACAAAGCACACCACACTGACTTATTAATGTCTTTCATACTGATATGAAGAAATTGTGTGGTTAATTCTGGGCTAGGGAGCCCAGACATGCTGGCCCCTCATTACCTTTGAGGATATGTTCAAAGGCCAAAATCTTCAACTATCTACTTGCTTCTGTACCATTTTTCAACTAATAAGACACAGAATCCTGGTATGGAGTGCCATGGCAATTATCTAAGCATTTTTAGATTGTTTGACATATGTAAAGAAGGTAATAAGACATGAATTTTATGACTGCATTTTGATGAACAGTAAAAACTCCCTGCCAGAACTCTCCTTTCATGTGCAAATTTGAGTGTATTTAATGAGAATTTTTGAGGATTTCCTAGCAGATCCTCACACCCCATCTGGATAGCACCTCTTTTTTCCAGTTCAGAATAACTATCACAGTGTGGGAGAACAGAGAACCCTAGAGTCAGAAGCCTTCTGGAATTCATTTGCTGGTTCACTGGAGACTTCAGAGTGCTGTAAGCTGAAACTGCTTCAACAACTGCTATGGTTCTTGTAGTGTCAGATGTGACTGTGGTGATGGCAGTGAAATTGGCTCCTGCAGTCTTAGAAGAGGCCTCACTCTGAAAAGTATCCATTCACTTTTTCTTTCTTTACAAATACTCATTATTTTAAAGAAGATCAATGAGCTCCTAATAACTACTGAATACTTACCAAGCTCTAAAAGGTGACAGAACCATAAAAAATTTGGTTTGGTCATGGAAGGATACTAATAATCTATGCTAAATATACAAAGAACAAAAATAAAATAAAATACAATCTAGGTCTCACTAGTTCCATTTCCTTGACAACATTATTTAAGGGAGCAGGTGTCTAGGATTAAGTAATTAAGAAAAGTAAAACCCCAAAAATGCCTAAACCGAGGAAAATTTGGAAAGTTTATGATAATAGAAAGGGAGAAAAACAAATTAAGTAATTTAAGTAAGATTCTGTCTAAGGACTTTTCAATACTGCATAAGTCGAGGGAGGAAATACCAGGAACATATCCTAGATGTAGAAAACTGAGAATCTTTGAATACCAATGGTATTGAAGGAGGTAAAAATATGCCATTCTGGCATGTTGACTATTTTGAGTTAAAGGCATTTGAAATACAGCAGGTGCAAGAAAATTACTCTGACCTTCATTCTATTTCTTAAAAACACAAAAAATGAAATTCCAATGTGAAAGATGCCCACTTATGCCACAAGAAAAGCAACATTCTTATCATCAAGGACAAAAAAATTGAGACAGAGAGAATTCTGTACAGATCTTTAAAAATATCTCAACCTGTAAGCCTTCCCATATTATTTATTAGATTCTTCACAATTTACCATTCTTTGTCTGATTCAGTATATAAGTGATTGCCTCTGTTTTTTGGATCTTCATTTCCTTTTGAGGGCTCCCATGCCATGTAAAACTGTATTAAGTATTAAATAAATTCATAGGATTTTCTTCTGTTAATTTCTATTGTGTCAATTTAATTCTCAGGCTCAGCCAAAAACCAAAAAACAAAACCAAACAAAAATAAAAAAAAAAAACTCCTACAAGGGAAAAGGTAAAGTACTGCCTCTCCTATAGTATCAGAACCTTTCTGTCTTTTCTTCCTTCTTTTTTCTTTCTTCCTCTCTTTTTTCTACTCTTTCTTTCTTCCTTCCTATTTTGGGACTTCTTTCCTAAGATATTCTCCAAAATATTCTCTACAATATCCAGCCCAGTGCCATAGATATGGGAGATATACCATCTTTGGTTGCAAGTAGATAAAAATTTAGTTTGTTAAGAAGAAATTTGGTAAGCTGGAAATTTCTTAGAAGCAATTAGGAATAGTTTCCACAACAAAGAAATTTGTGATTCTTAAGATAACAGTGGTAAAGAAGGATAATATAAAAATCAACCGATGGGAATTTTAAAAAATATACTTGCCCTATTTTGATGCTTTGAAATTGAACTGTCTAGTAAGTGAGAGAAGAATGTTAAGAAGATAGATAACAAAATATTATGTGATCAACCCCATCCCAGAAGAAAAATAAATGTTTTAACTCTTATAAGAAATACATAAGAAAGCAACTGAGGTTGGGGGGAAAATGCCAGATATTGTTTTTTGGCACTTGGCCCTATTCTTACTAGCTTCCGTGCTCCCCTCTATTGGAGAGGCTAGAAAACTAAGAATTGCATTGATTATATTCTTTTACTATCTAGTTCGTCACATAAGTTTTAGGATTTGTCAAGCAGCTGCAGTAACTAGAAGATTTAACAGGTAGAAAAGAGGTAGAAACACTCATTTTCCTCTAGCAGCAACTCCAATTGGGTGGGCTGTGTAGGTACAAGGGCTGTTGGTTGATTATTTTTTAAAACTCTCTGTACTTCTATTAATATTACAGAAGATTTATGAAATCTGAAGCCATTTCCTGCAGTTTTCTAACTTCTGGGTAGCAATAGCCAATACCTGCACTGCTGTAGCAGAGGTTCTCCTTGAGGGCTCTGACCTGCAGCAGATTTCTGCTTGGACATTCAGACATCTCCATACATTCTCTGAAATCTAGATGGAGGCTCCCAAAGCTGAACTCTCGTCTTTTGCACAGCAGCAGGCCCAACACCACGTGGAAGCTGTAAGACTTGGGGATTGCATCCTCTTAAGCCATAGTTTGAGCTGTACCTTGGCCCCTTTTAGCCACGGCTGGAGCTGGAGTGGCTGGGATGCAGGGTACAATGTCCCAAGGCTGAACAGAGGAGCAGGGCCCTGGCCTGACCCATAAAACCATTTTTCCCTACTAGGCTGCCAGGCTTGCGATGGGAGGGGCTGCTGTGAAGATCTCTGACATGCCCTGGAGGTACTTTCCTCATTGTCTTTGCCATTAACATTGGGCTCCTCATTACTTATGCAAATATCTGCAGCCAGCTTGAATTTATTGCCAGAAGATAGGTTTTTCTTTTTTACTGCATGGTCAGGCTGCAAATTTTTCAAACTTTTACGGTCTGCTTCCCTTTAACTTCCAATTTCTGATTTTTTCTTTGTGAACGAATATGGGCATACACTTTTACCAAAAGCCAGGTCACTTCTTGAATGCTTTGCTGCTTAGAAATTTCTTCTGCCAGATACCCTAAATCATCTTTCTCAAGTTCAAAATTCCACAGACCTCTAGGGTGGGAGCAAAATGCCACCAGTCTCTTTGCTAAGATATAACAAGAGTGACCTCTGCTCCAGTTCCCAAAAAGTTCCTCATCTCCATCTGACACCACCTCAGCCTAGACTTCATTGTCCATGTCACTATCAGAATTTTGGTCAAAACTATTCAACAAGTCTCTAGGAAGTTCCAAACTTTCCCACATCTTCCTATCTTCTTCTGAGCCCTCCAAACTGTTCCAGCCACTGCCCATTACCCAGTTCCAAAATTGCTTCCACATTTTTAGGTATCTTTAGGCAGTACCTCATTCCTGGTACCAATTTTATGTATTAGCCCTTTTTCACACTGTATAAAAAACTTCCCGAGACTAGGCAATTTATAAAAGAAAGAGGTCTAACTGACTCACAGTTCCACATAGCTGAGGAGGTCTCAAGAAACTTACAATCATGGCAGATGGTGAAGGGGAAGCAAGACACTTCTTACATAGTGGCAGGAGAGAGAGAGCAAAGAGGGAACTTCCGAACACCTCTAAACCATCAGATCTCCAGAGAACTCCCTCACTATCAGGAGAACAGCATGGTGTAAACCACTCCCATGATTTAATCACCTCCCACCAGGTCCTTCCCTCCACACATGGGGATTACAATTCAAGATGAGATTTGGGTGGGGACACAGAGCCAAACAATATCAATAGTACTTTCTGAAATATTATGCATCTAATATGATGTAGCCTGAGATGTATAGGGATAGCAGAATGGAATATTAAAACAGAGTTTAGTCTTAGATGATAAAGGGAGATAATCAATGATTATAATAATTATGATATTATTATAATAATCATGCAGGAACATATCAATTCTGTGTTTCAGAAAGATAACTAGCTGGGCACAGTGGTTCCTGATTGTAATCCCAACACTTCTGGACGGAGGTCAAGGTGGGAGGATCACTTGAGCCCAGAAGTTTGAGACAAGCCTGGCAACATAGTGGGGACTTGTCTTTATTTACTTATTTATTTATTTTTATTTTTGAGATAGAGTCTTGCTCTCTTGCCCAGGCTGGAGTGCAGTGGCATGATCTCGGCTCACTGCAACCTCCATCTCCCAGGTTCAAGTGATTCTCCTGCCTCAGCCTCCTGAGTAGCTGCAGGTGCATGCCACCACCATGCCTGGCTAATGTTTGTATTTTTAGTAGAGATGGGGTTTCCCTATGTTGGCCTGCCTGGTCTCCAACTCCTGACCTCAAGTGATCTGCCCGCTTCAGCCTCTCAAAGTGCTGGGATTACAGGCATGAGCCATGAACCTTGGCTGGGGCCCTGTTTTTTAAAAAAAAAAAAAAAAAAAAAATAGCTGGGCATGTTGGGGCATGCCTGTGGTCCCAGCTACTCAGGAGGCTGAGGTGGGAGGATCACTTGAGCCCATGAGGTTGAGGCTGCAGTGAGCTCTGATTGTGCCACTGCACTCCAGCCTAAGAGACAGAGTGAGATCCTGTCTGCAAAAAAAACTGAAATATAATTGTAGGTATATTTATTAAAAACCAATTAAATAAATAAATAATTTGCTAAATTTATAAACATTAATTGTAGGACTTTTTTGGAATATAGTCAATATTACCAATAATATAACCACTATAAAATATTCCTCAATGACATAAATATATTCAACTAAAATATTCAGTGAATGAATTAATAAATATATTACCTATAAGTGCATTTCTTATTAAGATATTTGTACTTAAGACTATAAAATTATATATTCAACTAAATATCATGGATATAGTGTATATGTTGAATATATTCAATATACTGTAGAACTGTACTGTTGAATTCATGAGTCACTAGTTACATGTTATTACTGAGTGCTTGAAATGTGGCTAGTCTGAACTGAGTTATGCTGCAAGAGTTAAATATACACAGAATTTCAAAGAAATAATACAAATAAAATAATGCAAAATATCTAATTTGTAACTTTTCTGTTGACTACATGTTGAAATGATAATATTATGGATATTCCAGTTTAAATAAAATGTGCTATTAAAATTAATTTTACCTGTTTCTTTTTCCTTTTTTAATGTGAGTACTAGAAAATTTAAAATTATTACATTGTTTCAATTATATTTCAATTTGTAACTCATTATTTTTCTATTGGACAGTGCTATTTTATGATATATGTCATGAATATATTAATAAAAGTTATATTTTAAAATAAACTCTCCTATGTTCTATTGCTTTATACTAAATAAATATTCCTTAAATTGATACAAAGAAGAATACATTTATTGACAATATTTAAGAATAATATTCATGAGGTAAATGCAATCATATTATTGATTCTATTCAAAAGAATATTTTAAAATTATTTGCTATACTCTTATCTGGCTCTATTTTCTTTCTAAAGCCCTTATCATTACTTCACTTTGTACACACATACACACATACGCACGCCCTTATCATTACTTCACTTTGTACACACATACACACATGCACTCACTTAAACATAAACACACATTTACATACAGACACATATACACACACACACCTATTACATTTATTTTAAAATATCTTTTTCTTTTCTGACACCTTAGAATAGAAACTTGATCTTTCTCATTTATTATTATAATCTCAGTTTCTTAGAAGTATGTCTAGCACAGAGTAGGCATTCATTGATATTTGTTGACCATAAGATTTTGTATAATTTGATAATTAATTAATTGATCATCTGATAAATTATTCTTTACATAGGATTGACTTTTGGAATGTTAGTTTTTGGAGGAATACATTTGTTGCACTAAACAGCCACTGGAAAAACTTTAAAAACTGGAAAAGGGAGATGTGGCAGGAAGCAGTGACCAGGAGTAAGAAGAGAAAGAAATGTATTGAAACGTAATTTCAGAGGAAGATTCAGTAGGGTGTAGTGAACAACTGAATGTGCCATCTGAACAGGCTTCTCCATCTTACCACTTTTAGGGAATACAGGAAGAGATGGTGTTTTTGGTTTCACGCATGCTGAGATACAGCTATCTTCAAGATATACATATGGACGTCTGGTAGACACTCAGAGGGACAAGTCTGGATCTAGTGAAGGAGTTTGGAATGGAGCTATAGACCATCTGGCTGAGAAAACCTGGTATAATTATCATCCCAGTAGTTAAAGTTGAGTAGTGACACTCCTTGCAACTATTTTTACAAGTAAAATGTGTGCATTATATGAATGTTATATTTAAGAACTTATAAAGAAGAGAGTACTACATTTTTTTTTCTTTTTGTACTAGGAAGCTCAAAGCAGTAATTTGTTTTTAAACATACCCTTTAAAAGTGTGTTGTATTGAGGAAAATGAACCAATTTATGACCAAAGATATGTGAGCTTTTCATCTTTACACAATAGCAAATAACCAAGAATTAATCAAACAAAAAAAGTGTTTTGATTTAATTTAAGGAAATAACAGCTGCCTAGATGAAATAATCCCAGGACATTCATTCAAATGTAATCCATGAAATAATTTGCAGCTGCTTGAACTAGACAATGTGGGAGATGAGTGAATTTTCACATCTGTTTCAAGGAACTTTTTAACTAAAATTAAAAGCTTTCCAAACATTAGTCCCTTCACAGTGATTCAGCAATGGGTTACACAAGAATTTTATGGCAGTTTTTCCCTGAATTGCAATTGGTTTGTTGATTTATATCAATAAAGCTGATTTGGTCAAAGGTTTTAAGCAGATGTTATATATTCTGAGTGAATTATTAAAAATAAAGCAAATGTTAAGAAAACAGATCGGGACTTAGACAAGTTTAAAATAAAACGTGTATGAAAACATTTTTGTTATGTGAGACAGCTATAGTTCCTAAAAAGGGGAAAAGAAAAAAAGGAGAACGAAACATAATTCACTTTGTTGGGACATATTCTGGTTGAAAGACGAAGGAAAGATGTTCAGGCCATGTTTCTGTTGGTTCTCTATTTTTACACTCATACCTTAAATATGAATTCAGCATTCTTCTTTAGTACCTCAGAATAGTACAACTTCAAGCTCATAAATAATCAAGCTTATAAATAATAAGAACAAAATACATGTCAGAAATTATAGGTTTTAACTTTTTAGGTTAACCTTAGTTTAAAAACAATTTAAGTTAGAATTGCATTTGGAAAAAGAGGGTCTGGTGGAATTTAAGTGCTGCGTTGAAATTTTCCATTTTAATAACATAAGAGTAAGTAGGTTACAGAATATTTACTCTTCTTGACCACATGAGATCAATAAAGAAAGAAAGTGATTAGACTAATTAAGTTAGGGAAAATGTTTATATACATTTAAATTTACATATATTCCATGTCTTCTCTTGTTAACTGAAAAGAGTAAAAAACTTTCTGAGATTTTCTTTGTTACTTACCAGTTCCTTTTTAATTTCTTTGAATGTAACCATCAATAGCCAAACTCAATAGCCAAACCCAGGATGACCACAGAGTTTTGTAAAAATTAGTAGACTAGAATTTGTTTGCTTAGATTGCAAATGAATCACAAGACTTCTGCTAATTGAACCCCTCATTATTTAAATTGTGAAGGCTCTTCTGTTAGAAAAATAAAGACATCTGGGAGTGGTTTCCTTCTTCCAATCTGGAAGAAAATACCAGTTCAAGCAAATTCAAATCCAAACACTCCCCAAAACTGGGTTTCTGCATCAGAGTGCATCTTTATTATTCTCAGTTTTCACACACCACAAATACAAAAGATTATATTGCATACACTTTGTTTCCTGTAACTTTTGTCACCCTGTGAAGGTTTGACAGACAGAGGTTAGAGATTGTGAACAATTCTCTTTCATAAAAATCACAGAAATTCCTGGCATGTGAACTCATGTCAGGGGAGGGTTATGCCTTGCCTGGTGTAACTGAAAGCCCAGTAATAGCTTTAATTGAAGTGCAACACATTGTAAGCAACACAAAAATCTAGAGACAACGTCAGAGGAGGAGTTGTTGTCTCAGGGACCAGATTTTGAGGGGCAGTAGGAGAAGGCCATGGAAAGGAGACCAGCACAGAGGGTAGAAGGGTTCAGGAATACAACTGGAAATCAGAGTGAGGAAAGTCAGGCAGAACGTTCAGAGTGTCGACCTGGAGAAGGCAAGGATGGTACCTAGGTAGTCATCAGGAGAGGTTGGTTAACCTAAAAGACTAGGATTATGTAAATTATTGATTATTGTAAGATGATGGGTAAAAATGTGTAATTTTTTTCAAATATGAAAAACACTGCAAAATCTTGCAAAAGCTCATCATTTTAATTACCATTTTAAAGTATATTTATTCAATTCGAATTCTCCCAGGACACTTCTCTGGATAAAAAAATCTTATATATTTAATATTTCTTGAGAGTTAAGTCAGTCTTTTTGAAAAGCTTTTCTCACCCCAGCATTTTATTTATGGAATTTTTGCTGGCCCTTTTAGGTACCACTATATTACAGAAAGCATTATTTCAGTCACTATAAATGATACATCAAACATATTTATTCTTTTTAGTTTCTAAACTAATTGCTGACCCTATTTAATAGAATTTTTACACTTCTACAGCCCCTGTGTCAATAAATAAGATCCTATGTTGAGAACTTCCTATGTGTACTTTATTAATGTGTTGACTGCTCATGCATTTTGGCCATAAACCTAATAATCGAACCTTGTATCATAGTTGATGATATTTTGATTCTTAATCCAAACTACAAATATTAATTGAGCTCATTTTTATAAGTGCTTCTGCATTGGGTTACATAATATGCTAACTCAAAAAAGCCATTTGGAGAGACAAATGTATTATGTACTAATTGTTACAGTCCCTATTTTAGCAGTTAACTTTTCTGCATCCACGCTCTAAATTTGTCATTAGTAAAGTTGACTCTGTCTGAAGTCAGTTTACTTTATATACAACACAAATGCACAAAACTAAATTGACATATTAGTGGATTTCAGTTCAGGATTTAATTTTAGTTTATTTTGTCTTTGATTTCAAATGGAACAAGATTTGGATGGTGAACATCTCCCACTCTCCCATTCCTTTCTTTCCTTGTATTCTGTCTTTGTATTTGCTTAAGTCCTAAGCTCTGATACTACTGTTCCTTCACTAAACCCTTAATTTTGCATACCTCTTTTGCTTCAATTTTCCTCCATTTGATGTCCTTTCTACTTCACTTCCCTTCCTCTCTCTCATCTCCACATGGATTTTAAACATTGCTCTCTTGCAAAAAAATCAAACTAATATTTATAAAAGGTAAGTTGAACTTTGTGTTATTAATATTGAGATTTTCAATGCATCAAGCAACATTCTTAATGAAGCAAATTTTAACCAACTAATGCTCATAAAGTAAAAAATATATCATTACACCAGTCACATTTGTCAAGGTTCTAAATCCAATGTGGTTAATCTGAAATGACATTAAGTTTCATAGCTATCCTTATCATCTCCCCTCCAAACTTCCTTTATTTCTATCTCATGCTCAGCACTTTGGAATAAATTAAAAAAGAATCAAATTTGGAGACAAATTCAAAAGAAGACCCTTGCTGGCCATATACTAAAATTGCTGTTGATGTATATTGGCCATAGTTGCCAACTCACACTCCCTTGTGGTGTGCCACAGGGAGGAGCAGGCACATGACATACCTTTCCCACCGCTGAGATGCAAGCCACATGCCACAGGATGTTGCCTCCCTGTCTGACACATTGTAAATCCATTTTCCATTCTGTGTTGCTTTCTTGGAATTCACATGCTGTTCTCATCCCTTACACTTCAAGCCACAAAGCATCGCCACCCCAAGTGGAATTTTACAAGACCATTTTCAATTCTGTTTCATTTTCTTGGAGAGTTGCCTCTGTGAGCTCTTCCTTAATAACATCTCATGCAGCATTCTGTCACCTCACAACCTCATCTCACTTCCCACATTAGATACATATTTTGAATTTCCTAAAAGTGAGTATTTGGTGATAAGAGAAAACTTAAAAATTAAAAATATAAAAAGGTATCAATTAGCTACATAATATATTCCTTTTATCCAGCAGCCCTAGCCTCTTTCTATACTGGGAGCAGGCCAAGAATATTACGGCCCTGAGGTCTCTTGTACTTGCTCCCTTCTCAACCCCAGAAGCCTTTACCTAGCTAACCCATACTGTGTTCTCTCCCTACATTCATGTCTGCTCAAAGTTCACCTTCTAAGAGATCTCCTTGACTATTTTATGTAAGAGAGCAACCTCTATCATTCTTTATTCTGTTATACTTCTTTATCCCCATAGCATTTATTATCTCCTGAAATTACATTATAAATTTATTGTTCATTGTCTATTTACTAATAAGTTATCAGGAGGCAGCCTGGGCAATGTAGTAAATACCAGCTACACAAAAAAAAAAAAAGCAAGAAATTAGCTGAGCATGGTGGCACATGCCTGTGGTCCCCACTACTCGGGAGGCTGAGGCAGAAGGACCATTTGATTCCCAGAGGTCGAGGCTGCAGTGAGCTGTGATCGTGCCATTGCATTTTTTGTGACAGAGTGAAACCCTGTTTCAAAAAATAATAAATAAATAAATAAATTCCCAGGAGGGCAGGAACTGTCTATATTCGCTGCTGTATCGCTATTTCCTAGAATTGTCCTTGAAATATCAAAGCACACTAGTTATATATTGAATGAATGAGTGAATGATCACAACACCATGATATACATGTCATTATTGTCTCCATTTTATAGATAAGGCATATTATAGATAAGATCCCTTAGAAAGTCTAAAGGGTTTGCCTAAGGCACCCAAGTATTAACTGGAAGAGACAAGAATTGAAGTTTGATCTGTCTAAATTTAGAGCTAAGGGTCAGCTTTTATGTACATACCGCTGAAGTGTTATACATGCACCTTCTACAGATGATTTCTCAAACTAGTGTTTTTGTTAGTTAACATAATATTATTTGTCTTCTGTGTTTCAATTCATACCAAGTTATATCTACTTAACTCTGTGTGTGAGAAACTACTCTCCAATTTCAATTTTTTTTTTTTTTTTTTGAGACAGAGCCTCCCTCTGTCCCCCAGGCTGGAGTGCAATGGCGTGATCTCGGCTCATTGCAAGCTCCGCCTCCCAGATTCAAGTGATTCTCCTACCTCAGCCTCCCAATTAGCTGGGATTACAGGCGTGCACCACCACGCCCAGCTAATTTTTTGCATCTTTAGTAGAGACCCGGTTTCACCATGTTGACCAGGCTAGTCTCGAACTCCTGACCTCGTGATCCACCTGCCTCAGCCTCCCAAAGTGCTGGGATTACAGGTGTGAGCTGCTGCGCACAGCCCAATTTCACATTTTTAGAGGAAAAATATCATTTGTTGAGTGTCTACTGTGTTTCAATCACTCTCTTAGGTACTGCAATGGACTGAACATTTCTGTCCCTACCAAAATTCAGAGGTTGAAATCCTAAGCCCTGATGTGAAGGTATTAGGAGGTGGGCCCTTTGGGAATAATTAGGTCATGTGAGTGGAACACTCATGAATAGGATTAGTGTCCTTATAGGAGGGACCCCAGTGAGCTCTCTCCCCTTCTTTCTGCCACCCAAGGATTAAAAAAAAAGACAGTGGTCCACAACCCAGAAGAGGGCCTTCATCAGACCCCAACCATGCTGGCACCCTGATCTCAAACTTCCAGCCTCCACAACTGTAAGAAATAAATTTCTCCTGTTGATAAGCCACCCAGTCCATGGTACTTTGTTCAGCCAAATGGACTAAATGCTTTCAAATGTTACACCTTATTTTCTCCCATAAAACAACATCCAAGGCAGTGGTTGTCAACCACGGGTGATTTTTCCCTCCCCTTAAAACAAGGGAACATTGGGACAATGTCTGGAGACATTTTCTATTGTCATAACTGAGGGTGGGGTGGGGAGTGCTACTGTGATCTAGTTGGTAGAGGCCAGCCCCCCACAAGTAAGAATTATCCAGCCTAAAATGTAAACGGTGCTAGGTTGAGAACCACTGCTGATTGTCAAATGCCCTATTTATTGCATTACAGGCAGGTACTATATACGAATAAAATACATAGGTATAAGACAATAAAGAGTGTAAGCTGAGGACTGGGCAACTCTTTTGAAAGTGTTTAATGTGTGGGACAAACAACTGTGTAGGCCAGGTTCGGCTAAGCAATCTGACATTTGGTTAATAGAGTTTAATCTGATCAAGTTACACAGCTAGTATGTGGTACAGTCTGGATTTGAACACAAAGGCAATGTTCTTCCAACCATAACACAATAACCTGTTCACACTACGTTGCTGATTCACTCTACCTTACACAAAGAAGACTTGCTCCGCAAGGGTCTCTGCTTTTACCATAACACCAGTCCAGTATTTCATCAGATACCCCATCACAAATGATATATACGAACATTTTATGGAAAATGTCATGACACTATGAAAGAGACAGTTAAATTGAATTTTGCATAGCAAAACTTCCCCCAAATCATCTTTAAACATCTTTGCTCTTTCACCAATTTTTGTTCCCTGTGGCTACTCCATATTTTGCATCTCATCTTTTTTATTTTTTTGTTCTCTCAACTTTCCTAACTTCAGTTTCATCTCCAGTCCTTTTGAACTACAATTGATCTCACTCTGTTTACGCAGCCACTAAATACCATGACTAACAAAACAAAGATGCTATCTTGATATTTATCTTCTTTATGAAATATTGTCTCTTATGCTCACTTACTGCAATGCCTTTGCTATTATGAAAGTCTCAAGCTCATTGCCATACCATCGACCTACCACACTGCTATATAAGCAACACAAAAAGCACATATGTTCTGGTCCCTTTCTCACTTACAACTTTTATTTTTTTTTTCCTTTAAGAGCGTCATATGTCAGAAAGAAAACAAGAGGAAGAGGTTAGTAGATATTAATATGCTGAACACACTTGTGTCAGGATGACTTTAACATGGCCCCATGATCCCTGCTTTCCTCCCTCATTGAAAGTCATCTGGATGTAGTGATTTGCTTTTAACTGAAGAATGCTGTCAAGTTGATTGGACTTCACTTCTGTGATTCAGTTACAAGACACTGACTTCCATTTCTGCTGGCATACTTTATTGCTTTCTTGGCTTGCACACTTGTGTGAAACAAGTTGCAATACTGGGGAGGCCACACCACAAGGAACTGAAGGTGGCCTCTGGCCAATGATCAGCTAGGAACTGACACCCACAGTTCAACAACACTTAATGAACTGAATTCTGTCAACAACTGTGTGACCTTGGAGACAGATCCTTCCCCAGCTGAGTTTCAAAAGAGACCTCATGAGCCCTGGCTGGAATCTTGATCACAACCATGTGAGATGGCCTGAAGTAGAAGACCCAGTTAAGCTGTGCCTAGAGTCCTGACCCACAGACACTGTGGGATAATAAATGGGTGTTGTTTTAAGCTGCTAAGTATATGATCATTTATTACACAGCTATAAATAATGAATGCAACACTCAAGCAATTTTTCTTTTCCCCAAATTACTTAGAAGAAAATTCTTAGTGAAGTCTTGAAGAATTACTTCAGTGAGCAGTTTTGCCTTGACTAACCGAAGTTGAAGATCAGGTGAGACTTACATATAGAAGAAAAACAGTTAAGATTCCAAACCATCTTAAGACACCTGGGCATTCAAATTATTCCCTAAAATATTTTTCCTAGTTATAAAATGGCAAGCAAAATTATGAATTAAAGACTGACAGCTATCAAATGTTAATATTTGGCCAAATTTATGACATAACCAAGTTGACCGTAGAATATTTTATATAGAGTTTACAGTTTTGCTATTTTAAATTATTTATAAAAGTCTAAATTATTTATAAAGGCTGAAATTTTCTCTTTTGTGTTGTAGTGTTTATTACAGCTATGTTGTATTGATGCTGTGTCTTAAATTCAAACCACAATTATAACATCATTTGGGTAGGAAAAATATGATCCAGTTTGTGAGTCTCTGATCCAACATGTGGTTTTTACAAACATATTCTGACAAAAAGTGGAGTCAGCTTGTAGCAGCTTTTCATAGAAGACACACACACACACAAAGACTGCTGGAGCACCAAAGCACCACGTGCCCCACTTTGTCCCCACTGTCCCAGCTCAACATTTCTGGATGGACTCCAGCCATGGCTTAGATAAAGCCACAGCCAGAGGAGTACACATCTTGTACTTCTTCTGGGGTACATCTCCTAGAACTTTTGAAATTATGAAGAACACTTTTCATATAAAACATATTGAATAGATTTCCAGATCCAATTTCAATATATTGGTGTTCCCACATCTGGGCAAATATTTATATATTTCTAACTCTATGGATCACTATTTCCGCATATAAACAACTCCCTCCATTCCAGGAGGCTTGACTTATTTACAATCTCTAAAATACTTTCAGAGTGCCCCAAAACAAACTACAATTAGGATGGATAAAAAATCTAATTTATTTTCTAGAAATAATCTGACCTTGCTCTCAAACCTCCATCTTATTGGGTAATGGGGGAAAAAAAAAAAGCTAAAACTAAATTAATGGACACTTATATCTGCCATCTACAGTTATCTTCTTTTTCCTCTGGCTTAAACATTTTCTTTTTCTTTTTTTTTTTCCCAGTAAACTTAGTCTTTTTTTTTTTTGACACAGATATAGTTGAATTTAGGTTCAAAATCCCTAAAAAGACTCCTTTTCTGTTTTCAAGTTTCATTTTTCCTTCTTGCCACTCTAGGTGGCATCTGGCTGTAAGGGGAAGCGATGTGTCCTCAAGGCAGTAGACAGCAAGGGAGCTCCTCTCCGTGCAGGACCTGAGGCCATCTTTTGTGTTCCTTGCTCACTCTGGTAATACAGCTCTTCTCCCTGGTGACTAGACCCGGCCTGTCCTCAGCATGGCCAGGAGCCTGGTACGCATCCCTCTACCACTGACTCAGCTCCACCTTCACTCCCAGACCCTCTGAATGCCAACCCCAACCTCTTCCTGGACTCTGGCCTAGGCTGGGATGCCACACCCTCTGGTGTGAGGTCCCTTTGCGCCTCATTAAGTCAGTCCCATTATTCTCAATTTCCAGTTATCCTCCAGGTCCCGCTCAGAGCACACAGGAACTGGGGGCTCCTCCCTGTCACATAGGAGCTCAGGAAATGTTGGAAGTGCTATCCCTACCCCATCTGGCTAGTCTCTTTCTCTTCACCCCATTTCACCCTGCACTTCCGTGATGTGTGAATACTGAATGGAAATCAATGGCCCAAGAGCTCCCATATTTTCCATCAATCAGTCTGAGGTTTTTGAGTAAAGATTCTGTCACCTTCCTCTTCACTTCTAATCCTCTTCACTCTGACTATTTCTATACCCTACACACCCAGGTTTTCTATTCTGAGGAGTAAATGAGAACATTTATCTGTGACCTAATTTTGTCTTTTTACCTTTTTTCCTACTGGCCAGAAATTATAAGGGCTTTTGTCTTTCATTGTATCAGCTGGGTACCTTCCTTATATCCGTATTTTGCTAAATTGTGACTATGATTTATAATTAAACCTCTGAGGAGCTTTGCATTAGAGATACAAAGGGAGAACATGTGGAATTAGGAAAATTCCAAAATTCTCTCTCCACAGGTCTTTCTTTAAGATGAATATGTACCTGTGCCCTCAAAGAAGTTAGCTTTGAAACATAAAACTGACCAGTAAGTAACCTCCTTATTTTAGATGGTACCTTTTCTTCCTGGAGGTGATAGCTTCATTGTGGTCAAAATCAGCAGAGAAACATAATATAAAATTAAAACATGATTCAAAATTTAGAAAAATACATTGGTTCAAGGGCAAAATATTATCCCTATGGTTCACGATAACCAGGTTCCCTGCATGCCTTGTTTATTACAGCCTGCCTGTCCGTGCTCAGGTTTCCCTCTCATCTGCAAAAGCCTCTCATGATTTATCTGCCAATAAAAATTCAACCTCTCCTTTATTTATGTATTTATTTTTATTTATTTGATATAAGGTCTGTCTCTCACTCAGGCTGGAGTGCAGTGGCGTGATCTTGGCTCACTGAAACCTCTGTCTCCCAGGCTCAAGTGATCCTCCCACCTCAGCTTTTCAAGTAGCTGGGACTATAGGCACATGCCACCATGCCCAGATAATTTCTGTATTTGTAGTAAATGAGATTTCACCATGTTGCCCAGGCTGGTCTCAAACTCCTGAGCTCAAGTGATCCCCAGGCCTCAGCCTCCCAAAGTGCTGGGATTACAGGTGGAGTCACAGTGCCCAGCCCAACCTCTCCTTTAAAGTTCAGCTCAAACATCAGCCCTCCATGAAGACTTTTCCATCCCCCTAGCTCTCAGTAACTATCTCTTTCCATTGGTCTTCAGTAACACATTATCCATGGTATTTAAAACTTAATTAGATATTATATCTTTAACTATATATTAAAATATTTCATTTTAAATGTTTGTCTATTATTCTTTTACTCAAACATCCATTATTGAAGGCTGACACAAATGTGAGGACCATCTGCCTTTTGTCTGCTCCCCTCTAGATCCATTTGAACTCTCACTAGTTTGAGAAAAAGCTTTTAAGCTATTTGCTGATTTTATAGTTCTTAGATTCATTCACATTATTTTGATTTGTAAAAATAAAGTACTAGATAAAAGGCCAGGTAGAGTGGTGCATGCTTATAATCCCAGCACTTTGGGAAGCTGAGGCAGGAGGATTACTTGAGCCCAGGAGTTTCACTTGAGCCCAGGAGTTTCAGACCACCTGAGCAAAATAGAGAGGCCCTGTCTCTACAGAAAATTTAAAAATTAGTAGAGCGTTGTGTTGTGCATCTGTGGTTCCAGCTACTTGGGAAGCTGAGGTGGGAGGATCTGTTGAGCCTGGGAAGCAGGTTTCAGTGAGCCAAGATCACACCACTGCACTCCAGCCTGGGTGACAGAGAAAGACCCTATCTTCAAAATAATAATAAGATGTTCAACCTTTGGCAAAAGTAAAGAACTATATTTAGATAAAGAAATGGGAAAGAGGAAAATGGGAGAGCAAAATATCTAAAGAATAAACTAATGTTATTCTTACCATGGAATGAAAGGCCTTAAGTATTTATGTCAGTGGCATAACTTTTATCATTACTTTTGCAATTTTACTAAGAAAAAAGAGAGAGACCATGAGTTTAAACATCCCTTAAAATTATTTTAAGAAAATTGATATCCATTTGAGACATTCAAGACAAGATGATAGTAAGATTTGAAGATGAATTTTAAATTGGTAAATAGGAAGGGTATAGATGGTCCAAATAAAAAAACACAATAGAAAAAGGCATAAAAGAAAAAAGAATAAAAAGAAACGAACAAAGCCTCCAAGAAATATGGGACTATGTGAAAAGACCAAATCTACATCTGATTGGTGTACCTGAAAGTGACGGGGAGAATGGAATCAAGTTGGAAAACACTCTGCAGGATATTATCCAGGAGAACTTCCCCAATCTAGCAAGGCAGGCCAACATTCAGATTCAGGAAATACAGAGAACTCCACAAAGATACTCCTCGAGAAGAACAACTCCAAGACACATAATTGTCAGATTCACCAAAGTTGAAATGAAGGAAAAAATGTTAAGGGCAGCCAGAGAGAAAGGTCGGGTTACCCACAAAGGGAAGCCCATCAGACTAACAGCGGATCTCTCAGCAGAAACTCTACAAGCCAGAACAGAGTGAGGGCCAATATTCAACATTCTTAAAGAAAAGAATTTTCAACCCAGAATTTCATATCCAGCCAAACTAAGCTTCATAAGTGAAGGAGAAATAAAATACTTTACAGACAAGCAAATGCTGAGAGATTTTGTCACCACAAGGCCTGCCCTACAAGAGCTCCTGAAGGAAGCACTAAATATGGAAAGGAACAACCAGTACCAGCCACTGCAAAATCATGCCAAATTGTAAAGACCATCGAGGCTAGGAAGAAACTGCATCAACTAACGAGCAAAATAACAGCTAACATCATAATGACATGATCAAATTCACACATAACACTATTAACTTTAAATGTAAATGGACTAAATGCTCCAATTAAAAACACAGACTGGCAAATTGGATAGAGTCAAGACCCATCAGTGTGCTGTACTCAGGAAACCCTTCTCACGTGCAGAGACACACATAGGCTCAAAATAAAAGGATGGAGGAAGATCTACCAAGCAAATGGAAAACAAAAAAAGGCAGGAGTTGCAATCCTAGTCTCTGATAAAACAGACTTTAAACCAACAAAGATCAAAAGAGACAAAGAAGGCCATTACATAATGGTAAAGAGATCAATTCAACAAGAAGAGCTAACTATCCTAAATATATATGCACCCAATACAGGAACACCCAGATTCATAAAGCAAGTCCTGAGTGACCTACAAACAGACTTAGACTCCCACACAATAATAATGGGAGACTTTAACACCCCACTGTCAACATTAGACAGATCAATGAGACAAAGTTAACAAGGATACCCAGGAATTGAACTCAGCTCTGCACCAAGCGGACCTAATAGACATCTACAGAACTCTCCACCCCAGATCAACAGAATATACATTTTTTTCAGCACCACACCACACCTATTCCAAAATTGACCACATAGTTGGAAGTAAAGCTCTCCTCAGCAAATGTAAAAGAACAGAAATTATAACAAACTGTCTCTCAGACCACAGTGCAATCAAACTAGAACTCAGGATTAAGAAACTCACTCAAAACTGCTCAACTACATGGAAACTGAACAACCTGCTCCTGAATGACTACCAGGTACATAACGAAATGAAGGCAGAAATAAAGATGTTCTTTGAAACCAATGAGGACAAAGACACAACATGCCAGAATCTCTGGGACACATTCAAAGCAGTGTGTATAGGGAAATTTATAGCACTAAATGCCCACAAGAGAAAGCAGGAAAGATCCAAAATTGACACCCTAACATCACAATTAAAAGACTAGAAAAGCAAGAGCAAACACATTCAAAAGCTAGCAGAAGGCAAGAAATAAGTAAAATCAGAGCAGAACTGAAGGAAATAGAGAAACAGAAAACTCTTCAAAAAATTAATGAATCCAGGAGTTGGTTTTTTGAAAGGATCAACAAAATTGATAGACCGCTAGCAAGACTAATAAAGAAGAAAAGAGAGAAGAATCAAATAGACGCAATAAAAAACAATAAAGGGGATATCACCACCGATCCCACAGAAATACAAACTACCATCAGAGAATACTACAAACACCTCTACACAAATAAACTAGAAAATCTAGAAGAAATGGATAAATTCCTCGACACGTACACCCTCCCAAGACTAAACCAGGAAGAAGTTTAATCTCTGAATAGACCAATAACAGGCTCTGAAATTGTGGCAATAATCAATAGCTTACCAACCAAAAAGAGTCCAGGACCAGATGGATTCACAGCCGAATTCTACCAGAGGTACAAGGAGGAACTGGTACCATTCCTTCTGAAACTATTCCAATCAATAGAAAAAGAGGGAATCCTCCCTAACTCATTTTATGAGGCCAGCATCATCCTGATACCAAAGCTGGGCAGAGACAAAACCAAAAGAGAGAATTTTAGACCAATATCCTTGATGAATATTGATGCAAAAATCCTCAATAAAATACTGGCAAACTAAATCCAGCAGCACATCAAAAAGCTTATCCACCATGATCAAGTGGGCTTCATCCCTGGGATGCAAGACTGGTTCAATATACGCAAATCAATAAATGTAATCCATCATATAAACAGAACCAAAGTCAAAAACCACATGATTATCTCAATAGATGCAGAAAAGGCCTTTGACAAAATTCAGCAACCCTTCATGCTAAAAACTCTCAATAAATTAGGTATTGATGGGACGTATCTCAAAATAACAAGAACTATCTATGACAAACCCACAGCCAATATCATACTGAATGGGCAAAAACTGGAAGCATTCCCTTTGAAAACTGGCACAAGACAGGGATGCCCTCTCTCACCACTCCTATTCAACATAGTGTTGGAAGTTCTGGCCAGGGCAATTAGGCAGGAGAAGGAAATAAAGGGTATTCAATTAGGAAAAGAGGAAGTCAAATTGTCCCTGTTTGCAGATGACATGATTGTATATCTAGAAAACCCCATTGTCTCAGCCCAAAATCTCCTTAAGCTGATAAGCAACTTCAGCAAAGTCTCAGGATACAAAATCAATGTACAAAAATCACAAGCATTCTTATACACCAATAACAGACAAACAGAGAGCCAAATCATGAGTGAACTCCCATTCACAATTGCTTCAAAGAGAATAAAATACCTAGGAATCCAACTTTCAAGGGATGTGAAGGACCTCTTCAAGGAGAACTGCAAACCACTGCTCAATGAAATAAAAGAGGATACAAAGAAATGGAAGAACATTCCATGCTCATGGGTAGGAAGAATCAATATCGTGAAAATGGCCATACTGCCCAAGGTAATTTATAGATTCAATGTCATCCCCATCAAGCTACCAATGACTTTCTTCACAGAATTGGAAAAAACTACTTTAAAGTTCATGTGGAACCAAAAAAGAGCCCACATTGCCAAGTCAATCCTAAGCCAAAAGAACAAAGCTGGAGGCATCAGGCTTCCTGACTTCAAACTATACTACAAGGCTACAGTAACCAAAACAGCATGGTACTGGTACAAAAACAGAGATATAGATCAATGGAACACAACAGAGCCCTCAGAAATAACACCGCATATCTACAACTATCTGATCTTTGACAAACCTGAGAAAAACAAGCAATGGGGAAAGGATTCCCTATTTAATAAATGTGCTGGGAAAACTGGCTAGCCGTATGTAGAAAGCTGAAACTGGATCCCTTCCTTATACCTTATACAAAAATTAATTCAAGATGGATTAAAGACTTAAATGTTAGTCCTAAAACCATAAAAACCCTAGAAGAAAACCTAGGCATTACCATTCAGGACATAGGCATGGGCAAGGACTTCATTTCTAAAACACCAAAAGCAATGGCAACAAAAGCCAAAATTGACAAATGCGATCTAATTAAACTAAAGAGCTTCTGCACAGCAAAAGAAACTACCATCAGAGTGAACAGGCAACCTACAAAATGGGAGAAAATTTTCGCAACCTACTCATCTGACAAAGGGCTAATATCCAGAATCTACAATGAACTCAAACAAATTTACAAGAAAAAAACAAACAATCCCATCAAAAAGTGGGCGAAGGACATGAACAGACACTTCTCAAAAGAAGAATTTATGCAGCCAAAAAACACATGAAAAAATGCTCACCATCACTGGCCATCAGAGAAATGCAAATCAAAACCTCAATGACATACCATCTCACACCAGTTAGAATGCCAATCATTAAAAAGTCAGGAAACAACAGGTGCTGGAGAGGATGTGGAGAAATAGGAACACTTCTACACTGTTGGTGGGACTGTAAACTAGTTCAACCATTGTGGAAGTCAGTGTGGCGATTCCTCAGGGATCTAGAACTAGAAATACCATTTGACCCAGCCATTCCATTACTGGGTATATACCCAAAAGACTATAAATCATGCTGCTATAAAGACACATGCACATGTATATTTATTGCAGCACTATTCACAATAGCAAAGACTTGGAACCAACCCAAATGTCCAACAATGATAGACTGGATTAAGAAAATGTGGCACATATACACCATGGAATACTATGCAGCCATAAAAAATGATGAGTTCATGTCCTTTGTAGGGACACGGATGAAATTGGAAATCATCATTCTCAGTAAACTATCACAAGGACAAAAAGTCAAACACTGCATGTTCTCACTCATAGATGGGAATTGAACGATGAGAACACATGGACACAGGAAGGGGAATATCACACTCTGGGGACTGTTGTGTGGGGGGAGGGGGAGGGATGGAATTGGGAGATATACCTAATGCTAAATGACGAGTTAATTGGTGCAACACACCAGCATGGCACATGTATACATATGTAACTAACCTGCACATTGTGCACATGTACCCTAAAACTTAAAGTATAATAAAATAAAATAAAAAGAAAAAGGCATAAAATAAAAGATATTATAAAAGTCTTCTCCACAAGATAAATTCAGACCACAGGGCAAGAATTCCCATTACTGTCTCCTCTTGTACCATCAAGTTTAATTTCAACAATGTATGTTATTTCCACTTTCCTTTAATCTCACTGAAACCCACCAGCTATGTGTGTTCAGTAATACTGCATCTTTCTAGAAGAAAAATACATATTCTCAATGTTCCCATATGAGAAAATAGCCATACTTTGTATACTGCAAAACCACCAATATATATTCAAGTGGATGGAGCATTAATGGTGCTAGAAACAAAGCCAGCCAATTCTCGACTGGTCAGCACCTTATAAGATAACTAGAAATTACGTTTTTCTAAGCATGGGAATTTTAACCTGGATGTTGATTTATCATTTATCACTGTTATTATTTAAATTTATTAATTCAAACAGATCTATAAGATTCTCAAAAAGAACCATGTCAGCAAACAGTTCAGACACACATAGAGAAAAAATACATAAGTAATGAGGTAATGAGGTGAGGAAAGGACTAACATAATAATTGATCTATATGTCCATGTTTTCATTGATATTTTATTTTCTAAAAATCAGTAACTATAGCATATTTGTATGCCTAGTGCCATATTATAGGTCTTGGCATATGATAGATGTTTAATAAATGTTCATTGAATGTATAAATATGTAAAAGGTCCTGATGAGAAATACAATTGGATGAGTAAAGTGATATTTAACTATAAACAATCTTAAATGGCAATATAGTTTGAAATAATCAATCAAAAGGTTTTTCTTGAGCCGGGGCAAGATATTATTTCTATATTATGTCAGAATACTGGAAAGGTGATATGGTCTAGTGGTTCAGAGTGTCACCTCTGGAGCTAGACTACTGAGATTCAAATTCTGTTTACCCTTCTTGTTAGCTGTGTGATTTGGGGCAAGTTGTTTAACATCTCAGAGTCTCAGCTTGCCCATAAACAAAATGTGGAAAAGAACTGGCTAACTCAAGATTGTTATGTTGGTTGAGTGAGCCAGTGCATAAGAGGTGTGAAGTAGTGTCTGGCACATAGATAGCAGCCCATAAATGTTAGTGATATTAGTTTGGGAAGTGATAATGAATGAGAGGTGGAGGCAGTTGCAGATAATGATACGAGATGACCGTCCTACCTCCCTAAAGCTATGGGAAGAGCGTTCCATCATCCTGCATGTTCATTTCACAGATACCCTGCCCAGCATGCTTCATGTCCCAAGTGATCTTTCACAAGTTTGATTTTCTGAACTTTCCAGGAAAAGGCAACAGACATTAAACTTGGCATATGGTATTTGAAAACAAAGCCACATTAATCTAAAGTTAATGTGAAAAACAAAGCTTTTCTCTTCTGACTCACTGAGGTACAAGATTTCACTGTAGGTGTTTTCCCTCTTGGGGGCCACTGCTCACTGCTTGTTGTTTGTAAGTACATGGACAATTGAAGCTGGAGACTTAACTAACATGCATTTTCACTTTACCCCTTAATCAAAATTGTTAGCAGATTTAAACTCTATAAACAGTAGTTACCAACCATATGACAATCTATCTCAGAAGTGGAGGTTTCTATAAACTAGTTGATACTGACATAAGTTCATATCACTACAAAATAAAAGCTTATAAAACTTGAGGGAAAAGAGCATAATCTTTCAGCTTAATTTTGAAGACTAGCAACTACAAGGAGTGGTTTTTCTTCCTATCTGACTTAAATAATGCTGTGTATTAATTTCTATGACATGAATGCTTTATGGTTACAATATTAACTGACTCTAAAGGTATAAAAGTATTTATGAAATGCATCCATTTCTTGTGGGCTAACAATCCTAGAGAGGACCTCTTGAAATCAAAGTATTTTACCCAAGCCTAAGGATTTCTCTGATTTCCCTTTTTCCAAAAGAAATGCAGTTGAACTGAATTGACAACCAAGGAGAACAAATATAGCAGTCAGTCCTATGTTTCATGTAAAAAGCTCATCAGTTTTCATATTTCTGCCAAAACATTTCTTGCTTCCATCTCTACACCTTTGCTCATACGATTTCCCTAATGTCTATCTGAATAGTCATCCCCTTGAAAACTCATCTTAAGATTCACTGTAGGCTGGGCACAGTGGCTCACGCCTGTAATCCCAGCACTTTGGGAGGCTAAAGTGTGATCACCTGAGGTCGGGAGTTCGAGACCAGCCTGACCAACATGGAGAAACCCTGTCTCTACTAAAAATACAAAATTAGCTGGGCGTGGTGATGGCACATGCCTATATTACCAGCTACTTGGAAGGCTGAGGCAGGAGAATAGCTTGACCCTGGTAGGCGGAGGTTGCAGTGAGCTGAGATAGCACCATTGCACTCCAGCCTGGGCAACAAGAGTAAAACTCTGTCTCAAAAAAAAAAAAAAAAAAAACCAAAGATTCACTGTAACCAGAAAACATGAATTAATCCAATTTTTTTTCTAGTTAATCCTTGTTTTTCATCATTGGAATACATAAATAAAATGTACTTGACACTAACATTCCCTCATTAGTTACTTTTACTTAGTCCCTGACTGTTTTTTTATAGTTTTCAGGTGTTCCCAACTAACTTAAAAACGGAGAAAGGCATAATAATATCTTCCACCTCCTTCTATGGCTCTGGCTTAGTGGCTGCACTTCCTAAAGCTTAGTAGATACCTAAGACTTGTTGCTGAGTATGCAAATGAAGCCAAGAATTTATGAAAGTTTGCCTGTCTTTAATTATCTAAGTTCAAATATGATTACATTAGATTTTAATATCATGCAGATTTCTAAGGTCTTAATATAGGTTTACTATACTAACATGCATTCGATTATCCCCTAGGAATGAATCAGAGAGCCAGGTAGTACCTCATTTGAGAGAATCACTACATAAATAATATAACCACTGTTTATATAGAAGTGTCAACACTAACTCTTGGTACATGTAGTGCCACAAACAGTACATTCTCCAGTGCACTGCTCCACATAATTAGCTTCATGAATTACTCTTTTCCTGCCCACCTCCATTTCTCATGCATCCGCTCTTCCAGAGCTCCTAGAAATAACTGAACTGCATACTAAAAACTCTTGCAAAAAATTATGTTGAGGCTTATTTCTGTAAATTAAAAAATTCCATATTGCATATATCTCAAAATTACATAAGTATACTGCTGCAGACATCAGAAATTCACATGTGAGACTGGTCTTCAATTCTATATTCATTAGTTTTTCCTGAGTGAATGTGAGAGATAACGATGCACTTGATCCATGCTCAGCCTCAGCCCTTATCTATCCCTAATTGCATTTGGGTGAATCTTGGAATTGGCAGAAACTCCCTTCTGTTCCACGTCTTTTGCTTCATTCTTTATCTCCACCTGGCTCCACTTGCCTGGCTTTGTTGTGTTTGAACTCATCACCTCCCACCTTCCTGGAAACTAGTGGCTGGACCATAACTAGTACTTATCTGACTTGTTTCTCCCTTGAGGCCCACAGGCCTCCAAAACTAAGGAAGGATATTAATGGTACATGGAGAACTTCAGCATTTTCCCTGGAAAAGTCATCCAGGCTATCCAATGGAGTTTTCTCCATTTTCTTACCCACTATCAATTTTTCTATCTACTGCAAACTGAATACTGCCTTCAGCACACTGTGTTCTCAATAGAGCTAGTAATTTACCAAATGCCAAACCCAATGAGACTACTCAGACTCCATCTTAGTTTGACACCAATGATTACCAACTTCTCTTAAAACTCTTTATACCCTTGGCTTCTGTGACCACACCAATTTCTTGATTTCCTTGTAGCTCTTTGTGAATTCTCTTTCATGAAGTTCATTTCGAGATTCTTCAAGTTTACATTCTTAGTTTTCTTATTCTCTGTTCTCTCCTGGAAGATCATTTTCATTACCAAGGGTTTCAACTATCACGTGCATACTAGTAACCCCTAGATACACCTCCAGGGAGCTTAGCCCCATACAGTCACTGGGCACTTGAATATATAACACAGAAGTTAGGGATTGTTTTGACTCCTATTCCACTCTCAACTCTCCTCTCTCTTACTTCCAACCTATATGTCCAAAGTTTTTGTTTGTTTGTTTGTTTGAGATGGAATCTCTCTCTGTCATCCAGGCTGGAGTTCAGTGGTGCAATCAAAGTTCACTGCAACCTCAAACTCCTGGGCTCAAGCAATCCTCCTGCTTCAGACTTCAGAATAGTTAAGACTACAGGCCAGTACCACTGCACCCAGCTAATGTTTTATTTTTATACTTTTGTCAAGATGGGAATCTCACTATGTTGCCCAGGCAGATTTGAAGTCCTGAACTCAAGTGATCTTCCTCCCTTGGCCCCCCAAAATGCTGGGATTACAAGTGTGAGCCACTGTGCTCAGCTCCAAGTATTTCTTATAGTCACTTGTTTCACTTCATCCGTACTATTAACATTTTGGGTTGAAACATTCATCCTTCCTCTGTTGGATTGCTGCAAATGCCTTCAACTCTTCTCCTTATTTCTTATCTCATCCCCCCCATCAGACCTATCTTTGAGACAGCTGCCACATGATCCAAGGTATATGTGCATCTGACCATGTCATACCCAGACCTTCCTTGCCTACAGAACACATCTTAACTCCTTCAAATGTCATAGGAGGTGCTGCATGTTTCATACCCTGCCTGATTCTCAATTTCTTTCCCTGCTTCGGCCTATGATCTAGTATCATGGAGTGGCTACTTCCAATTTCCGTCCACACATCATGCTGTTCCTTAGCATTATGCCTTTGCTCACACTGTTCCCTCCACTTAAGAATTCTCTCTCCATCCTCTCATCATCTGCATCTTTGCCATCAGAGAAATTCTATCCAAAATTCAAGGCTCTTTAACCCTCTCCCCATAGCTCTAGAGTGGTTTGGCTCACTTGAGGTTCCTCAAGTTTACATGCTTAGTTTTCTCTTTTTACCCTCTGTCTCTCCTAGAAGATCGCTTTTATTACCACAGCCTTCATCTCTACATAGCTCTAGAGTGGTTTGGCTAATTTTCTCAATGTTTCTATTATACTCATTTCTTTCACATGGTATTATAATTTTTGCTTGACACATCTTTCTTTCCCACATACAGAGTACAGAACTTGAAGACAGAGTCCAAGTTTTATTGTTTTTTTTTCTGCATTTGGTGTCTACTTCTCTGCCCAGCACACAGTAAAAGCTTGTTGAATGAATGAGAGTGAATAAATTAATAAAAACTACTATATTGTTTCCTACTATCTGTTCATTTTTTGACCAGAAAGTTCTGTTTACCTCACTTTTAGGAACTTCACTGGCCTCTCTGACCACACAGACTTCCAAAGTCGCTCTATAATTCATCTTCATTAGAGTCTTGTTGAACATCTCAACCACATCCTTTTGAACGTATCTTAGCTATGACCTTTGCCAAAACATAATCAAGACTACACACATATGCTACCTTCTAAATGACATTAATCATTGCTCTTGTTGATGACAAAAGCAGCGGGTAAGAAATAATAGGACAGATTTCTCCAGATTCCAGATTTTGATATTCAACAGTCTTGTAGGTTCATTTACAAGGTACAAGAAATGATTTAACTTTACAATAAATCTGGATTTTTCAGGCCTCAAAGTGAACGTCAAGTAGGTGTCATGGGCTGAAAAATTTTTCCCCAAATTTCATATGTTGAAGTCCTAACTCCCAGTACCTTAGAATGTGACTGTATTTGGAGATAGGGGTCTTTGAGAAAGTAAAGATAAAATTAGGTCCATTAGAGTAGGCCCTAACCCAGTGTCACTGGTGTCCTTAGAAGAAGAAATGTGGACACAGACATCTGCAGAGAGAACACCATGTAAAGATATAGTGAAAAGGCGGCCACCTGTGGCCATCTGTGAGACAGGCTCCAGGAGAAACCAACCCTGCCGACACCTTGATCTTGGATGTTTATCCTCCAGAAATGTTGTTTAAACCACCCACCCTACAGTACGTTATTATGGCAGCCTTAGTGAACATATATAATAGATAATAATGTTAGTCTTGAATATTTTATTATTCATTGCAGGGAAACATAAAACTTGCTGCCAATGAAGCAAAGAAGAAGAAAATAATAATCCTTTTCTTCTTTGTCTTTTTTCGATGAACAAAGCCTTAGGAGACTAGCCTCGGGATACCTTCAGCTGTTGGCGATAGACTCTGATTGACGATAAGAAACACAGATGGGAGTTTTCATTTTTAAAACACTCACAAATGGTAAACATCTGGAGATATGTAGTATGTTGGTGAATGTTTCCTGAGAGATATCACTGTGCAACATTTTACTCCTGTGGCCAGAGTGCTTTGAGGATAGACACATGGAGATCTTAAATTAGTTTCACTAGTTTATTTGCATGTCAAAATATCCAATAAACAAGGAAAATCCAACCAAAAATATATCTTAATGCCAAGGATTAATTAAGTGCTATGGTACCAGAGAATTTTTAGTTTAATAGATTTTATGCATGACCTCAACTATGCCCTCCTTCACTCCCTTTCTGCCCTCCCACCCATTCCACAAAAAAAAATCCAGTGATCATTGCCTTTCCATTACAGCATTTTCCCAAAAAATAGTAAAGATTAGGAGGCAGGGTATCATGTTGCCTGTGTTGATTTAGCTACAAATTTATTGGATGACATTAATCTCACTAGATCCAAACCTAATACCAACAAGTACAATTTAGCTTCTGAGGTAATACAGTATGTGACATCAAATCTCTTAAAATACAGCAACCTCTGATTATTAGAAAGCCAATTAGTAGATTATAATATCCTTTATTCCATTACCTCTCTCTGTAAGTTATGGGCCAACTTTTATCCATAAATATTTTGTTCATTTATGATTTTCTTAATATTCAGTCAGGATATATGAGGGAATATCTTTTCCACCAACAAATATTTGTTGGATACATTATTCCAGGCACTGGGATGTAAAATAAAGTAAGACACAATTCCTGCACCCAGTTAGTAAGGCTATTTTTCTTCACAATATTAATATAAGCCATGTTACCAAATACTTATTAATTATGATAGTTTGCTTCCTAGATTTTTCTTAATGTATAAGAGAATTAATTACAAATGATCATGGTTTGGTTTTCCTCAATCCATCATTTATGCGTCATATTGCATTGGTTGAAAGTTGCAGAAAGCATAACAATTTTGCTTTATCCCTGACTTCATGAGGAATTTCACGTTTTTCATAGAATTTGTTTTTTAGAGCAGTATTATGTTCACAGCGAAACTGAGCAGAAAGTACAGAGATTCCCTGTGTACCTCCTGCCCCCCACACACACCACCTCTGCCATTATCAACATCCCCCAGGGGTTCATCTGTTACAACTGATGGACCTACATTAACACATCATCATCACCCAAAGTCCATAGTTTGCATTAGGGCACATTCTTTGTGCTTTTACATTCTAAGAATTTGGACAAATGTATAATGACATATATCCACTATTACAGTATTGAACAGAATTGTTTCACTGTCCTAACAATCCTCTGTGCTCCAGGGATTGATTCCTCCCTCCTCAAGCCCTGGCAAACACTGATTCTTTCACATTCTTTGTAGTTTTGCCTTTTCTAGTGTCATGTAGTTAGAATCATACAGTACCTAGTCTTTTCAGATTGGTTTATTTCACCTAGTAATATGCACTTAAGGTGTCTCCTCCTCTTCGCTGCCTCTCATCTTTTCAGGGCTTGCTAGTTCACTTTTTATAGTGCTAAAAAATACTCAGTTTCATGGCTGCACCATAATTTATTTATCCATTAACCTACTGAAGAACATCTTAGTTTCTTCCGAGGTTTGAAAATTATGAATAAAGCTGCTATAAACATCCATGTGCAGGTTTTTGTGTAGACATACATTTTCAGTTCATTTGGGTAAATACCAAGGAGTGCAATTGCCGAATTATATGGTAAAAGTATATTTAGTTTTATAAGAAACTGCCAAACTGTTTTCCAAAGTGACTGTACTATTTCGCATTCCTACCAGGAATGAATGAGAGCTGCTGTTGCTCCAAATCCTTGCCAGCATTTGGTGCTGTCAGTGTTCTGGATTTTGGCCCTTCTAACAGGTGTGTAGTAACATCTCATTGCTGTTTTAATTTGCAATTTTCTGAATGACAAATGATGTGGAGCACATTTTCAAGTGCTTATTTTCTATCTGTATGTCTTCCTTGGTGAGGTATCTGTTAAGATCTTTGGTCCAATTTTTAATTGGATCCTTTGTTTTCTTATTGTTGAATTTTAAGGGTTCTTTATATATTTTGGATGATAGTCTTTAATCAGATATGCCTTTTGCAAATATTTTTACCCAGTCAGTGCCTCTTGTCTTTATGTTCTCTTGACAATGCCTTTTGCAGAGCAGAAGTTTTTAATTTTCATTAAGTTTAGCTTCTTTTTCTTCTTTTCATAGATTGTGCCTTTGGTATTGTATCAAAACGTTATCACCAAACTCGAGGTGATCTAGATTTTCTACTATGTTATTTTCTAGTTTTACAGTTTTGCCTTTTACATTTAGGTCTCTGACCCATTTTGAATTAATTGTTATGAAGGGCATAAGGTATGTACCTAGATTTATTATTTTTAAATGAGGATGCCCAGTTGTTCCAGCATATTTCGGTGAAACTATGTCATACTATAATTCCATTATAGTGCCTTCACATCTTTGTCAAAGATCAGTTGATTATGTGGGTAAATTCCATATTTTTAAGCACATGAAAATTGTTGTCATTAAAAATATCTGCACTTATTGCTATAACTAATTTGTTGTTCATCTAGAACTTGTTTGTACTTTATTTTACTTGTTTTCTTACAGAATGATTTGCTGTCTATCTTTTGCTGATAAAGTAAACATTGTTTATCTTTTGTCATTTAAATCTTTTATTCCTGAATTTTATTTTAAAATGTTATTAAAATTTGACTTTTGGCTTAAAAAAAAAACAACTCAATGTTGAATGGTACATAGACAGCCCATTCATGTCTAAAGCTTATCCCAGCACCCCTGGATCTTTGATTCTTCTCTTCCATTTGTTTCTGGTCTCTTCTTCATGTCATATATCCTCTATCTTTACTTCTTCTATGACATCAGCTCTTTCATTGTGTTCAGTTCTTTTCTCATTTCCGCTTCATCTTGTGAAAAGCTTCTAAATAGTGCTTTCCATACAATAATTTGAATTTCCATGGTGTTTTTATCTTTATCTATTTCCAAGGCAAACTTTAATTTTGTAGGTTTACTTGTTAACTCTCATAAATTATATCTTAATCTTCTTTCACTTTCTGCCTTCTAATTTGATTATTAGTCAGAAGGATGCAGAAATATTTTTCTGTAAATTTTAGACCATGGATATTACTGTGTTGTGACTTCTTTTATTGAGGTTATACACAGTGAAATGCACAGATCTTTAGTGTAATTTGAAAAGTTTGGCAATTTATTCTCTAGCCAACAGTTCAATGAAAGTATACAACTTTTCTATCCCCTAAGGAAGTTCCTTCAGCCAATACCTATACTCATATCCCCACTGTGGTTTTTTTCGTCCACAGATTAGTTTTGTCTCTTCTTGAAATTTATGTAAATGAAACCATACAGTATGATTTCTTTTGTATCTGGCTTATTTTACTTAATATTCTGAGATTCAGCCATAATGCTGTATGTACCAGTAAGCAGATCAAAGATAGATAGATAGATAGATAGATAGATAGATAGATAGATAGATAGATAGATATATGTATATATACATATACATACACACTGAGTAGTATTCCACTTATAAATATACCATGATCTGGGTATATTCCAGATGAACAACTGGATTATTTCAGTTTGGGACAGTTATAAATGAAGATATTATGAATATAGTCAGGAGCATCTCATTTATTTCTTTTGGGCATATACCTGGGAGAGGAATAGCCTTGCCAAGTGCAAGTTTAGTTGTCAGGGTGATAGGGTAAGTATATATTTAACTTTATGAGAAACTATTAAGCTTTTTTCCAAAGTGGTTGCACCCTTGTACACTTTCAGCAGCAATGAGAGTTTTGGTCCTAGCCAAGGGGGAGTAGCTGCCTTCCTCCCAGGTGCTTCTTCTTGCAACAACAACAACAACAAACCCTGGACATAATCCCACGAACAAACTTAGGAAGATTTGAAAGATGAACAGAAGAGAATGGACTGATTAGGAACCTGAAGAATTAAGGGTGGCAAGGCTGTGATTTCCCTGGGTTTTCTTATTGCCTGCTATACATGCTGAATAGGGTGTTGCAGAAGCCTTGAACCCAGAACTGCCAACATGTGGAAAGAAAATAAGTTCCAAGAAAATCTTTCTTGCTCTAGCAAAAAGTACAGGAAAAGGGTGGTCTCATGAACAGAAAACATGGGGGGCAATACCTGCCCTACCTCAGCAAAAAGCCAACAGAACGACTTCCCCTCTCTGCATGGTTTCAGTGGGGCCAACGGGGAAATGGTCTTCCATTTCCCATTCAGCACCAGAGTGATGTCAACGATCTAGTACGAGCTGAGCCTCCATCCCACACATCTGGCAGCAATTAGACTTAATAAGGTGGTGTGAGACAAGGCTAGTCACCACTCTGCTTTACTTCCTCATATGGTTTGGCTGTTTCCCCACCCAAATCTCATCTTGAATTGTAGTTCCCATAATCCCCATGTGTTGTGGGAGGGACCTGGTGGGAGGTAATTTAATCATGGGGGTGGTTACCCTCATGCTATTCTCGTGATGGTGAGTAAGTTCTCAAGAGATCTGATGGTTTTATAAGGGGCTTCCCCCTTCACTCAGCTCTCATTTCTCTCTCCTGCCACCATGTGAAGATGGATGTGTTTGCTTCCCTTTCTACCATGATTGTAAGTTTCCTGAGGCCATGTAAAACTGTGAATCAATTAAACCTTTTTCATTTACAAATTACCCATTCTCTTTACAGCAGTGAGAGAATAGACTAATACACTCCCCAACAATGGTGTCAGCAGGGGCTGGGAGGAAACTGAACCTCCACCCCCATCGATATCAATGATTAGAAGGAGGTGGTGGGAGGTGGGATTAGTTGGCACTCCACTTCCACCCTTCCCTCTCCCGGTGTTAGCAACACATGGCAGTGGATTAACTCACTGCTCCCATCGTGTGGCAACAAGGCTTTTAAAGTCAGCATTCTGCTTCTCCCCTCCCTGGTGTCAGTAGGCCCCACGAGGCAGTGAGCTGGCTCTCCTCATTGGAGGCAATGAGATGACCTGATGGTGGGGGAGGGAGCTGAACTTCCATCCGTGAGGCCGTGTGAGAGAGTGCTCTAGTTTTCATCAAGGCCCAGTGGGAAATGGAACATCCACATCCACCTGGATCATGTGCTATTCCTAAACAGGGAGACTGCCTACCAGAGAAAGAAGATAAAATTCCACCTCAAATATTTTAATATAATATACAAAATGTGCAGTACACAATAGAAAATCAGTCTTCATACCAAGAATCAGGAAAATCACAACTTGAATGAGAAAAGACACCCAAGAGATGCCAATACCAAGATGAATTGGATGGATATTGCAGTTATCTGACAAAGATTTTAAAGTAGCCATCCTAGAAGTGACTCAATAAGAAATCAAGAATTGAATTGAATCAAATGAAAAGGATAAAATGAATCTCAGCAGAGAAATAGTAGTCAAAAGAGACTCAAGCACAAATTATAAAAGTTAAAAATATAATAACTGAAAATAATTTTTAAAAACTTACAGGATGGATTCAACAGTAGAGTGGAGATGACAGAGAATAAAATCAGTAAACTTGAGGACAGAGCAATAAAATTTAACTAATCTGAACAACAAAGAGAAAAATAAGACAAAAAAAACAGTCTTAGGGACATGTAGAACAATCACAAAAAAGTTAACATGTGTACCGTTGGAGTCTCAGAAAAAAAGAGAATGGGACTGAATAAAGTATTTGAAGAAATAATGCTTGAGAAACATAAACCTATGGATTCAAGAATATGAGCAATCCCAAATAGTGTAAACCCCAAGAAATCCATACCAAGACACAAAATAATTATATTTATAAAAACTAAAAAAAAGTATTGAAAGCACCACATGAAAGAGGAAGAAACAGCGCATGATTTATAGGGAAACACCAATTCAAATGATAGTGGATTTCAACATGAAGGCTAGAAGAATGGGACATACATTTGTCAAGTGATGAAAGCAAAGAATTGCCAACTATCAGCCAGGCATGGAAAGGCAAAAAATGCATGTTTTCACTTATATGTGGGAGCTAAAAAAGTTAATCTCGTGAAGATAGACAGTAGAATGATGATTACCCAGAGGCTGGGAAGTGTGTGTGCGAGGAGGAGAATTCACAGGTTGGTGAATGGGTACAAACATACAATTAGATGGAAGGAGCAAGTTCTAAGGTTTGATAGCAGAGTAGAGTGACTATGGTTAACAATAACATATTGTATATTTCAAAACAGCTAGAACAGAGGACTTAAAATGTTCCCAACACATAAAAATTACAAATGCTCAAGGTGATAAATACCCCAAATATTGTGGCTTGATCATTACACATTATTTGCATGTAGCGAAATATCACATATACCCCATAAATATGCACAAATATTATGTATCAACAAAAAATGTTTTTAAACCTGTCAACTGTAAAGCTATATCTATCAAAAATATGCTTTAGGAATAGAGGGCAAATAAAGACATTCTCAGGCAAAGAAAATTAAGAGAGTTTGTTGCTAACAAACCTATCCTAACAGAATGGCTAAAGAGATTTATTAAAACAGGAAGTAAATGATAACAAAGGGAACATTAGAACTTCAGATAAGAACTCTGGAATAGGTAAAAATGGAAGTACATGTAAAAAAATATTTTCATGAGTTTTAAAAATCATATATGATGTTTGAACTAAAAATTACAACACCATCTGATGTGGTGCTCAGTGCCGCAAGGGGAATTAAGTTAAGGCAATTATATTTTAAAGGTTGAAAGGATAAAGGGCTTGAATGAGAGTACAATTTCTACACTTGACTCAAAGTGGTAAAACATCAATACCTGTAGACTGTGATAAATTACATATGTATATTGTAATACCTAGAGCAACCGCTGAGAAGTCCACAAAAACAGATATGCTAAAAACCAATAACGATGGGAGTTCTAGTTACTCCACATACTTGTCATAATTTGGTATTGTAGTTATACTTTGCACTTTTGATGATTATATTGATCACATTTTTGTGTCTTTCTTATTGGCCATAGATGTATCTTCTTTTGTGAAGTGTCTAAGTTTTTTCCCACTTTTGTGGATTGTTTCAATTATAAAGTTTTCTAGAAATTCTTTTGACATATAGGTATGTATGTGTTTGTGTGTGTTTGTGTGTGTGTCTGTATACACACACATATACTTTTTTGTCTTTTCATCTTTTCAAATGTGACATTTGGTAAGCAAAACTTTAATTTTGATGATTTTCAACTTTCCAGTTTTTTACAACAGGTATATTTCACATCCTCTCTAATAAATCTTTGTTTTCTCCAAAACCTTGCATATATTATCCTCTGTTTTCACCTAGAAATTTTAGAGTTTTAGCATTTATATCTGGGGGTATAATACATTTTCATTTCATTTTTGTGTATTCTGTGAGGGAGGAATACAATTTAATTCTTATCAAGCAAAATTTATTTAACAGACTTTCCTTTCAGACTATGTATGTAAAGGTCCACTTCTAGACTTTTTTTTTCACATTGGCCTATTTTTATGTTCTTAGTTCAATACAACACTGTTTTGGTTACTGTAGCTTGTAAATTTTGATTTCAATTAGTATGAATCTTCCACTTTGTTCTTCCTCTATAAGATTACTTTCGGCTAAGATTTTTGTGTTTTCATACAAATTTTAGCAACTCCTTAGCATTTTTTATTTTTAAAAGCATGTTAGGATTTTCACTGGAACTGCATTATAACTATATTGAAATCTTGACAGGATTCATTTATCAAATTCATAAGCATGATATATATTATTTAAGTCCTCTTTAATATCTCTCAGAAACGTATATTTAGCATTTATGTAGACCCTCAATTTTGTTAAATTTATTTCTAAGTATTTTATGTCTTTAATGCTATGTTAAGTAGTATTTTGGGATTGTTTTATTCTGTTAATTCTGCTAATAGATGAAAGAAATATTGAATTTCTATATTAACTTAATCTTGTTTAACTTCTATTTTTTTTTCTTTTTCTACTAGAATTCCACTTAAATCTCACCATATTGTCATTTTCTATTCTCTTTTACCTCTGGTTTCATAAACTCCATATTTTCTCAATGTTGACAATACAAAACAAATGTCTGAAATTTACCTGTCTTTTATAGAGCACATCTTGTCCTCTCATAACAGAAAATCCTCTTCCTCGTCCTCTGTATCTTCTATTTATTTTACAATCTACAACATTTTCATTTTTCTTTAAGTTAACATCTTACAAATTTTCTATTCAGATCTGATATTTTTTCCTGAAAGAGAACTGACAAATTTTCAATGGATTCCTTCACTCTTCACCTAATTACTATTAGAATCTCTTCTCATGTCTGAAAAGGAAGATCTTACAAATGAAAATTTCTATTATCTATTCAACGAACGGTCTTCTTAGAATGGGGCAGAAGACAGAACAAGTAGTCATAATAGAGAAATCTATTTTTCATTTGGTTTCTGGTCTCTTCTTGATGTTTGTTGATACCCTAAAGCCATGATCCAGATTTCTGTCTCCATGTCAGCAAAGTTAGCTGTGCCACGGCCTCTTCCCACTGGTGCGCTTTGCTGTCTGAGGAACTGGACTTGCCACACCAGGCATAACATATAAACCTTGGGTCCCCAAGAACCCTCGGTACCCGTAGCTTTTGATCTCCATAAGCAAAAGTAGTCTCAAATGTTATGTCTAGAATATCGTATATCTCACAGTTCCTTTAGACATTTGGGGGATATGAATAGGGTAATGTATTGCTGACTACAAAGGAGAGTGGAAGCCCATCTGTACTGTCTTCATTTTGATCTGTGCTGCATTATTTCTAGCAGAAATGCATCAAGGATTATGAAAATTGGCCCATCTTCCTTGATTGTCACTAGTAAGGCATTGTTCATTTTCATTGATATGGGTAGGAGTGAGGAAGGAGGAAGTTATCCAAATATGTCCAAGCAGTCACCTTAGCTTAACATTACTTTTTAATTTTTAAAAACAATGATTAACATTGTTTTGAATTTGTAAATTATCATAGTTTCATCAAAATATTAATGTTCTTGAATGTAGTATCAAAAACAAGGTCACAATTCAAAAGTACTTTAAATCTAGCTAGTTGTAAGAAGGAAAAAACTTTCTAGTTTTAAAATAAACTATTCACCACCTTCATTTTTTTATCAGTATAAACAAAGTTACAACTAAGACATATGTGCTACTGGCTGTCAGACCATGACAAGAAGCAGGAATAAAGTTACTCTTTCCTAGTAGTTATATTACTTTAAGGCTTAACCTGGGTTTAAAAGTATTATCTGAAACATGAGAAAAACTTCTCTTACAGTATCAATTTTCTAGTAAAGATAGTCCCTTTGGGGTTCTTCCTTGGTCGCCAAAATAATGAGGGAAATAACCCACTTAAATTTCCTTCGTCCGTGCACACACACACACACACACACACACACCACCACAATGTGGCAGATGTATTACCTGAACTGCAGGATGAATGTATTTAAGTTCCTCTAATTTTCTAGGATTTGTTTTTAGAAAAATAGATGAGTTTTCAATGTAAAGTTCATGCTTTCTAATTTAAACACTTTTCTAAAAAAACACAGATGAGGTCCTTTGTTAAGAAGATGAAGACATTCCCTACAAAATCATTTTTAAAAATAAGTAACACCTTACTTCATACATATTTTAAAAATCCCAGCCATAAGAACAGTCTGAACACCAATCTGTAGGACACATGAGAATGCGCATGTGACCCACCCTTGCACATGAGACACAGGTGACTCTTGGTGTCATCTTCGCTGCTTGTTCCAAGGGGGTATCCTGCCTTCAGGAGCATGCTCAGGAGCATGAGAGGAGATTCGTCTGACATCCTGTCAAAAACCAGAAACTTCCCACCACCATGTGAAGTGTGGCTTTGAACATGCAAATGTTTCCCAGGGGCAATGTGACTGCATAACATTACTTTAATTAAAAATAAAGAAATCAAGTTTCAACACTCAGCTAAAAAGTAGAAAATTTTAAAAGTCTTTAATGATTCAAAGAAACCGCATGTACATGGAAGATCCATACTATATATACTTTGAGAAGTTCTTTAAATTATTAAAATAGTTTATCTTCCCATAACAGGAAACAGTTCTCTGTAGGTCTCTTGTGTTTCTGCATGCCTTGTCAGCCTTTTGTTCTGGACTATCTCTACATGAATGTTTGCAGAGTGGACAGCTTTGGAACTTAGAGTATCTTGCTAAGGTGCAGAAGGCAGGATTGTTTGGAGATAATGTCTACCTCCATGACAAAAGTTGTGCAGGTTTACTTCCAGCCCCTTATGAAAGACTGAGGTTTCCTAGGCTTGTGGTTAATATACTGCACTAACCCACAGATATGCAGGTGTCACCTGGCCCCATCGTGTACCCATTGGAATGGAGGTATGAGTAACCTGCCTAAGAAAAAGCTGATACTCTGGCTATGGCTGTTGCTGTGAGTAAAGAATTGGCCTTTGTCTCTAATACAGGAGTCTCATGTGTTCTGCGAGAACACACAACATTGTAGCAGACTATCTTATTGTCTTGCAAGTAGAGTAAAAATCTCATACTGTTCATAGTTCTTGACACCCATATATGCATTTAAAAATAATATATTAATTTCTAAAGGTAAATGTGTTCAGAGTAAGCATTATACTATTTAATCACAATGTGAAAGAGGCCCTAGGAAATGAAGTATCTGAGGAATATGATTATCCAATGGAGACGGAGAGAAAGGGTAGTAGTTGAGCTCACATTACTCCGCCAGAGGTTCTCTGTCTCACCTCCATCTCCAAGTTCCTAAACTTACCTGGAGATGAGAACTAGCCTTTTCCCTTTGCCCAGGGATCAGTCAAACTCACCAAAGGGAATATACACTAATAGAGAAAGAAATCCTAAGGCACTCGAGGGGCAAAAGTACAATAAAAAGAAACGCACAAACAGAATAGTCTGTACCAAAGGAAGTAGGCTTAAAAGACCAATTGAACAATAATCATAATGGATATCTTCAGAGACATAAAGGGTGATATTGGAAACATACAGCAAAAATGAGTAATTAGAAGAAAAAAGACCACTTGAAGATATTGGATAAGAAAACAAAACAGGCATTATTTGAAATAAATAACTGAAATTGTTAAATATAAGCATAGATACAAGCAAAAAAAATCACCTCACATTCTGGAAAATAATTTTAAGCATTTCTGCCTGAACATAGCAGGGAGGAATGAAGAGATGAAAATAATTTTTAAAAATTAAGAGAAAGATATACAGAAAAAATACACAAAAGTATTAATTTCTGTATGATAGATGTCTCAGGTGAAGAGAAAAGAATAAAAAATGGAGCCAATATTTGAAGAAATAATGCCTGAAATATCCCTTAAACATACAAGTCCTCAGATTCAAATGATTTATCAGGGGAATATCTAAAGAATGGATTAAAAGAAAGAAATTCCCCCCACATCCCAGAAGAAACATTACAGGGAAATATAAGAATCCTGAGAGCAAAGAAAATTCTAAAAGCATTGAGAGACAAAAAATAGATTATCTATAAAAACCAACCAAAACAACATCAGACTTTTCAATAGCAACAATATTTACATATTTTTGAAGAAAAATATTTCAAACTAGAATTTTATTCATCACTGCCTTAATGCAAGGGGAAAATTTTAAAATGATATTTTTAGACATATAAATAAGCCCTTACACTTGTATCAAAGATCAATTGACAATTGTTTAAAGATCAACAACTTTGAAAGAACTATTAGAGAAAATAGCCCATAAAGAGAAAAATGAATCAAAGAGGATGCTAAAAGTATTTGGGGGGTAAGTGTCAGTATATTACTTAGAAAAGTTTATTATTGTAAAAAAAAAAATTTTTTTTTTTTTTTTTACCATTTTTAACTGTAAAACCCCAGAACTAAAACTCTGGATGAAGTCAGCCAATGAATGCTGTTGGGCACTCAAAGGGGAGCGAGAGCAAGCAAAAACACTTGCCTTAGCTCAAAAGTGATAGGAAAAGATAAAAATATGCACTGATCTTAAAAAAGTAGGAGAAAATACCATAAAGTAAAAATAAATCTGTAAATTTTAAACCAGAAAGCCAGCAGGATTAAAATTGATCTATCCTATTAAAGGTATGAAAGCAGAAAAAAATGAAGCAATAAAGAACAGAACATTTAAAACAGAATAGCAGAAATAGTCCCTTATGGGAGAGTAATTTCCATAAAGTTACATGGGTTAAGTTCACTGTTCAAAAGTCCAAGACTGTCAGATTTAATTTTTAAAATACCCAGAATTATAATGTCTAAAAGCAATAAATATAAAACAGAAAAATGTAGAATAGTAGAACATAGAAATATAAAACTGATGAACCATGAAGATATAAACAATGAATTCTAGAACAGTTGTTTTAATATTTTTAGGGAGGGTTGAAAAACTACCTATTGGGTGCTATGCTCACTACCTGGGTGATGGGATCATCTGTACCCCAAACCTCAGTATCACATAATATATGCATGTAACAAATCTGGACATCTATCTGCTGAATCGAAAAAATGTTGGAGTAAAAATACATATTTTTTAGATAAAAGACAATTTAATATAGAAAAACATCGTAAGAGGAAAGTAGGAATCATATTTAAATAAAGGGAACACTAAATCAAGAAGCTATAACCATCATTCCCATATATGGATCTAACCTTGTCTTTAAAAATATAAAGCAACACCAGACAATTATAGGAAGAGTTAGATAAATGCAGATATCCATGGGCCAAGGGGACGAAAAATAAACAGAGTGCATTTGAGAACACCTTTACTATACCCAAGATCCAGCTATATAGAACTTTAGATGACCAATCAGAGACAGGCACAGTTTAACCATTCTAAAAAATATCCCAAGACCACAAGACTTTCACTAAATACCAATGAATACTCTATGGCCCCCAAAAAAGTATAACTAAAAAATTATTTTTAAAAAAACTTCTGTCTGTACACAAAATGAGTCAGTATTAAATAATCTCTTACCTTAAAAAGAACATTTGGGGAAATTTAAATAATAGCTAGGACTAAATTAAAATGAAAAACATATATCAAAATTTGTGGGACACAACTAAATCAGCACTGAAGGAATATTAGAGAGCTGAACATGCTTATTAAAAAACAAGAACTTTAAGGTAATATAGCCATGAATACTAAAGAAATAAAATGACAAAGGCTAGATCAGAAATAACTGAATAAAAACAGCAAACAATAAAAAAGAAATGATTAATAAAACTAAAAGGTACTTTTTTGAAAAGATTAATAGATAGCTAAATCTTTGGCAAGACAGAAAAAGAAAAATAAGAGAAAAGCTGTAAATGAACAAAATACAAAATGTGAACAGGAAAATATAAAAATACCAGAGGATTTATTAGCAAATATACACCACCAGTGAAAACATTTTTTAAAAAATTAGTAGAAAAAATTTTTGCTAGACCAGTAAGTGCTAAAAGATTGAAAAATATATTAATAAAAAAGTCCTCCATGCAAATGAGAACAAAAACCCCTAGACTAAGTTTTAAAGATGGACCCGGCATATTTTGATGGAACAATAAATAGCCTCTGTATTAAAAAACTGTCTCCAAAAATAGGAGAAAAAATTTTCATTTCAAGACCAATACTTAAAAACAGTGTCAAATGTACAATCTTTCACATATAGATATAAAAATACTCAATAAGTTAATTGATTATAACACTATACTAAGACAACCATAAATACATGATCAAATAAGGTTTAATTTCAATACTCTTACACCACAAAAATCTATTAGTGCAATTGATTTAATTAATAGACTAATAAGAGAAGATCACATCATCAATAAAGCAGACATAGTAAAAGCATTTGATAACATTTAGCAAATATTTCCAATTGATGAATCTCAGGAAAATGTAACGATAGATGAGGACTTCATGTCTTGATAAAGGTTAAACACCAAAAACTTACAGCAAGCTTCACATTTAACAGAGGTAACTTGAGATGCATTCCCTTTGTGACTAGGAGCAAGACAATGAAGCCCACCACAAAAGCCACTGCTCAACACATCGAATAAAAGAAGAAAAAGAACAAAAGATGGAAGGATTAAAAAAGAAGAGATACTTAGCACTTTGGAAGGCCAAAGTGGGCAAATCACAAGGTCAGAAGTTCGAGACCAGCCTGACCAACATGGTGAAACCCCATCTCTACTGAAAATACAAAATTTAGCCGGGTGTGGTGGCACATGACTGTAATTCTAGCTACTCAGGAGGCTGAGGCAGGAGAATCACTTGAACCTGGGAGGCAGAGGTTGCAGTGAACCGAGATCACGCCACATGCCACTGCACTCCAGCCTGGGCGACAGAGCGAGACTCCATCTCAAAAAAAAAAAAAAAAAAAAAAAGAAGAGATAAATTGATAAACTGCAGTTATTCAGCTGATATGCTACAGAAAAAAACTAACAGAAGTAACACAAAATTAGAATAAATAATAGAATTCAGAAAGCTTATAAGATAAAATATTAACTTATAAAACTCAAAACCATCCCTCTATGCTGGCAATAACCAACCAGATTTCTGAAAATAAGATACAATCACAATAAAAGCCCAAACAATACAATATCCAGGAATTAACCTAATGAAAAAGCCCAAGATCTTTATGAAGAAACATGTAAGAAGTCATTAAAAGTTATACATGAAGTTGAATAAATAGATATGCTAAATTGATTTACGGATTAAATATAATTCCAATCAAAATGCCATAAGGAATAAAAAATTAAATATATTACCATAGATGTCTATATGGAGAGTATGGAGAAAGAAAATGTGAATAGAGGATGAAAGAAAAAATATCTCTATAAAATAAATGGAGACATTGCAGGGACCAATGTTATGAGTGTGTTATAAACTGAAGCCAAAGGTCAACTTGTAAGTTTATACACTTGTAAGTTTATAAATTTTTTTAAAAGCGCAAATAGCTGTGATTTTACTCATAAAAAGATTATCTTATTTGGGGGGTTCCTTTTAATAATAATGTCACCCAGTGCATATATATAATTTCAATTTAAGAACAAACAAAATATCTTACTCATGAAAGACAGCGGAGTTCATGAAATTATACAGCATCTGAGGCCAGCCGTTAGTAATAGTCTGATCATGGGCAATTCATTTTAAGTCTTAAATTCCCCAAATCACATTTAATTTATCTGAGAAATGCAAAATATAGCATGTATTTTAAAAGTTAGTGAGAATATCACAAGCACATACATGTCATGTAAGAGCAGTTAAAGTTGTGCCTGTCACATGACATGTGTTTGGGAAATAGTATTTTCTCATAGACAATAGAATCATTCATAACGTCGAACGAGATAGAGTTTTAGTCAACTCAATTATCTCTGAGAATACATTATAATGTGTAGAGAAAGTATGTTACATTAGCCTGTAGTTTAGCTGCTTCTTCTCCCTCCCTACCAATTTTACAGGACCTACTGTTTATGAAATATTAAGCACGCTTAAACATTCCTTTTTCGTTGTCTTCTTTGTCTCACTACGAAGGTGAAACTAATTCCATGAGTAACATTAATGAGGTGGGGCTCAGTTACCTTTAAAGCAGCAATAAGAGATCTTTTCAGATTCCTATTAAATGGTTAAAATTTGACTTGATATTGCCCAAATATGCAAAGAAAATGTAGCTTCTGAATATTCTCTTAAATCTAATCTTCCTCTTATGGTCTCTACCCTACTAATGGAAGAAGCAAAGAAGCTATCAATAACATTATTTTGCCAAATAAAAGAGTTAGGACCTTTAGTTTGGCGATTTTCTTCTGAATGACTTAGACCCTTTCATGCCATATCTCAGCTTATCAGATTTTCCTCCCTTCCAAGATGGTGGCAGGGTATGCAGAGGAGTTCTCAAGACCTGACGACCTTGTGGCAGCAATAGAGGAAGGGCCTCAAATCGACATAGGTTTCTCATGCAGTGTGGCTGGCCTGATTCTGGCCTCCTTGGTGGTGAGATAGTCTCATCTGGGTTCTTCGGAATGCCATAATGGTGCCCATGGCCTCCAAGGAGAGCTCCCCCACGATATAGCATCTTCTCCTAACTCTGGGTCTTTGCTAGTCCATGTGTGGTCTCAGCTGGTCCAAGGCCCATCCCTGATATCGCTGGCCAGGGGAAGCCTCAGAGCTGTCTCAGTTCTCAGTAGACACTTGCCTCTGCCAGCGTAGCTCTGCTGCTCTCATATGACATTGATAAAGCTCTGAGCTAAACGCTGTGCGTCTCCTAGAGGCCTCAAGCTTCATACTGATTAGATAGACTCAGACTCAAATCTTGGGGGACTTCCACATGTAGTTAGATATTTTAAGAACTTCAACGATTTCATTTTTAAAAGTTTAATGATTTTAATATCTTGCAGTTGGCTTCGACAGGGGATAAAAATTAGGACTCTTTCGTCTACCCACTCTCTTCTCCTTTCCACCATCCTCCTCTGCCAAACATATTTAAATTTTCCTCCTGTTCCCGTACAACAGGAATTATCACTAGTTAATATCCTGAGTTCTCTGTACTTTGGGCTTAAAGTAAAACCCTATGACCTGCTTCAAAGGTCAGATTTGTTAGGTTAATGAAAATAAAAGGGACTAAGAAATATCTCTTTCTTAATATAATTGTTTCTGAAAAATTGAAAAGTTGTACTATAGATTTTTAAAGGTTTTCCTTTCCTCCTTTCTTTCCTTCCTCCATCTTTTGCTTTTCCCTCTCTCCCTCCTTTTGTTTCCCTCCTTCCTTCCTGCCCTCCCTCCCCCTTTCTCTCTTCCTTTCTTCCTGTCTTTCCTCCTTCCTTCTTTCCTTTCCTTTCCTTTTCCTTCCTTCCTTTCTCTTCCTTTCTCTTTTCTTTTTCTTCTTTCGTTCCTTCTTTCATTCTTTCCTTTCTTTCTTTTCTTGTTTTCTCCCTCCTTCCCTTCTCCCTCTTTCCTCATCCTTTTTTAAAAATTTTTTCTTATTTTTTATACCATGGATGCTGCTAAATGTCCTCCTTTTTTCTTTCTTCCTTTCCTCCTTCCTTCCTTCTTTCCCTCCCTCCCCCATCTTTTTCTTACTTCCTTTCCTTCTTCTTCCTTCCTTTCCTCTCTCCCTCCCTCACTCATTTCTCTCTTTTTCTTTTTACTTCCTTCCTTCCTTCCCCTTCCCTCCCTCCTTCCTGATTCCCTTCTCTCTCCACCTTCCTTATTTCTCTCTCTCCTTCCTTCCTTTCCTCTTCTCTCCCTTCTCTCTCCCTTCCTTCCTTTCCTCCTTTCTCTTTCCCTTGTTCTTTCTTCTTCCTTCCTCCCTTCTCCTTTCCTCCTTTCCTTCCTCCTCTCTTCTTCTCTCCTCCTTCTTTCTTCTTCTCTCCTTCTTTCTTTCCTTCCTTCCTTCATCCTTCCTTCCCCCACCTTTCTCTCTCCCTTCCTTCATTCCTTTCCTTTCTCTTCTTTCTCTCTCTCCCTTTCTCTCTCTCGTTCTCTCTCTTTCTTTCTTCTTTCTTTTCCTCTTTCTTCTTTCTTTCTCTTTCATTCTTTCCCCCTTCCTTCTTTTATTTTCTCTCCCACCTCTTATTTTCTCTCTTCCTTCCTTCCCCTCTTTCTTTTTCTCCCGTTCTTTCTTTCTCTGTATTCTTACTATATTAATCTTAGTATCCTTAATATAAACAAATATTTCTGGCTAAATAGAAGAGAAGTCAAACACAATGAAATATGAAAGAAAGGAATAGCTGAATGAACACACGGATGGATGGATAGACAGAAAGATAATATTAAATTAACTGTTGTTACTTCATCCTTGATTTTGAAGGAATCTTATGTCATATTCTCTAGTTTATCCTCAAAATCCCTGGTCAATGTGATTGATTGGTAGCCGATTTATTTGTGCCTGGCCGTTTGCTGTTCATAGCCTTGGGAATTAGCCTAGTCCAAGGGTGAGCAAATTGTGGCTTGCAGTTTAAAATTAACCTGTTGCCTGTTTTCGCCAATAAAATATTTTGGGAACACATTCACACCCACTCATTTACATACTGTCTGTGGCTACTCTGAACGATAGTAACAGGGTTGAGGAGTCTGCAACAGAAACCATATGGCCTGCTAAGGAGAAAATATTTAACTGATCCATTACAGAAAAAGTTTACTGACTTCTGACCTAGCCCATTGTTAGAGAGGACTAACTTTTAGTCTTGCTGAATTGTTCTTTGTGAGGAGATGGGATCGATATTTTACCAATTTTCTGTCATCAGTGTTAATTATGAGTGCCATGTAAAATGAAACTATCCAATTTTCCACTTCAAATGCATGAAGACCTATCTAATGACCCTAATGACCACACATTGGACTTTTGTCACATGAACTTAATACCTACAGTTCTTTTGGTCTTTCCTCATTCGACTGGGTTGCTAGACTTTTCAGTGTCCTGTTCTCCTTTCATTTTCCTGTAAATTTCTTTTCCCCAACATTCACAGAATATTTGTTTACCACTACATCTCCATGACATTAAATAGTGTCTGATGCAAATGCAATACATATTATTGATTAAAAGAATACAAGAAGATTTGTGTTGAAAATGTTAATATTTTAATGCATATTCCTTTATTCTTTAATCATGCATCAACACCACCCTATATACTATATGCTTTATACTATCTGCTTTATACTATTTGCTTTTTATCCTGATTTTTGCTGCAATATATTCATCTTTACATCATAATTATCTTTCCACATGAAATTCAGTGTCTTAACATGTAAAAGAAAAACAATAATACTTACTTCAGATAAATACACAGGTTCGAGCTAACAGACAACTAGATTTCCCTTAAATGCGCTCAAAATTTTGGATGGGGAAGGGCAGCTATTGTAGTCACCACATGTAAAGGCTATTAGTACAATTACCGGCATATGTAGGTATAGCTATAAGCATAAAAGTGATCTGAATAAATATAATTTGACTTTTCCTATTGTAGGTAAATGTCTCTTTAAAAATATGGCATCTAAAATTAAACAGAAATACCTAAAATATGAACTGGCCAGATTTGCATCCTTTGATCTGTACATACACTTTATGCTTTGAATGCAGTCTGAGACTGCATTCACATCTGCATTCACATTCTCTCTCTCTGTCTCATGACCTTTCTCACATTCTTCTCTCTTTCTCCTATTTAAACAGCCATGCTATTCTGATAGTTCTTTGTCCATGTAGCCATGTTGTTCAGTTAGTTATTCTTTGTCACACAAGCAGCAGTTGAATGTTGTTGTTATTAAATAAATCTTGTCAAAGAATAAAGGAATATGCATTAAAATATTAACATTTTCAACATAAATCTTGTTATTAAATATACTTTTTAATATATCTGTTAATTTCATTTTCTTAGTTTTATTTTATTAAGTTTTCTTGAATCTATATTTTTTATACAATGCTTATCTATCTTTCCTATCTTTGTGTCACTCAAAAAGATACTAAACTTGTCATCTGTCATTCAAATTTTGGCAAAATGTTCAAAAAGGGCCAGAGCCAATCCCTGAGAGCTCCACTTGAGGTCTAGATTGAAATCTATTAACCAACACAGATTCTATAAACTCATAACATAACAAGATGAAAAAGCAAGTTCAATGCTAATGCTCAAAGGTATTTGCATTGAATTTATTTATTTATTTCTATTACTTATAGATTATCTGTTCAGTAATATGTCTTAAAGCTTTGCCATTATTTAGTGCCTAAATATGGCACTGAATTTGGCAGTTTGACACATGACATTTCATCCTCAAAAAAGAAATCCTATGATAGATTACTGGAGAAGTGTGACCCCAAGAAATGAGTAATTGTCCCAAGGTCATCAAACCAGAGATGATGAGAAAAAGAGATGTGACTAACCAAAGTCTGTGCCTTTAATCACTAAGCTTTCCTGTCATCAAATTTACCTGAGTCTGAGGATTCATTTAAAGCCCCTAAAACAGGGGCTGTAAACTTTTTCTGTAGGGTTATGTAGTAGATATTTCTACTTAGCAGACCATAGAGAGTATTGCAATTAGTCATAGCATGGAAGTAGCCATAGAAAATTTGTTAACAAATGTCTGTGGCTTAGTTGAATAAAACTTTATTTGTAAAAACAGACAAAGAACTTAATTTGGTCCTTGGGCTATAGCTTGCTGACTCCTGATCTAGGTGGCATGTTCCTATTTCTTTGCTCATCAAAACAAAAGAAGTTTTGAGAAACTCCTTAGCCATCAAATAGAAGAAAATATTAAGCTTGCTATTTGTTTTCAAAAAAGGAAAGAAGTCGATCTTTATTTCATTTACAAACCAACATTGGTGCTCTCAATTTATCCCTGTATCTTATAGTCACATTTCAGGGAAAGAATGTGAGGTGCCTGAAGGGTTGAGTAGGATTTCCAGGAAACAGAGCAGTGTGTCTTTGTTCATCTGTTCTCAGTGAGCCGCACTGCATTACAGTTTATCTGGACTGATTAAATGGATTAATAGATTTTATTCTCCAGTTTTAACTAACTAGCCCTCACAAAGTAGAGAGATGGCTTAAGAGATTTCTGAATAGAAGCTACAGATTAAAGATAATACTAATAATGAAATCATAAGCAAACAACAAGGAAGTGGCCAAACTGGCCCTTCTTCATATATACAAGATCTTTGTCAACCACATTAAGCAGTAAAGAAAGAATCGAAATCACATAGAACAATAAATGCAGATTTTTGATGTAAGTGCATATTTTCTTTGAAATATTGATGATGGAAGATGTAGATAAGTTGTTAATACATACTAAATAAATATACATGTATTGAGGCTTTTTCTCCCCCTCTAATGTAGAAAGGTGTGTAATCAAAGCCAGATGTAGACTATATCTTCCTCTGTTTTCTGCTCATTTTTACATATATATACTTAGAATCAAAATCTCATCCTTCCTCAGTTCTTACTATTATACTTTGTATTAATAGGTGGTAACCAGCCTCCAAGATGGTCCCAAAGGTCCCCATCTTGGTATTTACACTCCCATGTAATCCCCACCTGCATTGTACCAGGGCTGGATTGGGTGACTGATAGAATATGGCAGAAGTGATGGTATGTTACTTCTGAGGCTAACTCATAAAAGACATTGTGGCCTCCGCTTGGGTCTGTCTGCCTCTCTTTCTCTTTCTGTCTCTCTCCTCCTCGATTGCTTGTTCTGGGAGTAGTTAGCTGCCATATCATGAGGACACTTCTGCAGCTTTAGGGAGAGGCCCATGCAGTGAGGAACTAAGGCCTCCTGTTAGCAGCCATGTGAGTGACCCTTCTTGGAAATAGACTCTCCAGCCCTGCCACGCCTGGCTGACCCACTGACTGCAAACTCACATGAGACCCTAAACCAAAGCTGCCCAGATAAGCTGCTCCCAAATTCCTGACCCACCCAAGCTGTGAAATAATAAGTATTATTTTAAGCCACTAGGCTTTAGAATAATTTGTTATGCAGCATAGATAACTAATATCATAAGTGACAGCAAAATAAACTACAAACTATTGCATAACTATCTCAATATTTTACCAAATATATGCCTCTTATCCAACATGAGAATCCAATCTTTTATTTAACTATATACTGAAAATGTCTTTTAAGCCATTCTTCACCAAACTAATTTGTAAATTATCCCATAAAATTCCTTCCTACCTTTCAAAGCTTTTTTTTGGTTTTTGGTTTTTGGTTTTGTTTTACTGTTTCATCACGCTGTCACTTCCAAGAAGCTATGTTTGTGGTTTTCTTTCTCTCTGTTCTACAGATGTGCTCACCATACTTCTAATTTTTTAACATTTTGCTCAGTGGATTGAAATGTAAGCATCCTAGGGGCAATCAAAGTTCACTTCTCAGACTGCCCAGTGCTGAGCATCAGCATTCAGTGACAGAATTTTATAACTAAAAAGGGCCTTAGTTTACAAGTCCTAATATTTGAGGTTCACAGAGAACAAGCAATTTCCCCAAGCCCACGCAGTGACCAGCCTGCCTTAGAGTCCAGGAATTCTAGTACTTCACATAGTCATATCACTACATTTCCATGGTAAAACAACACATGATATTGGTTCAACAGTTAATAGGCTGTGGAGCCAGAGGGAGAAGGGCTGTATCTAAGTCCATGTTCTTTATGGAATCCTTTCAGTCTCATCAAAACTCAATTCATGTTTATTATTTTTATCATGCCAAATATTCCATTTCTATGCAATAAGAACCAGGTTTTAGAAAAAGAAAATAAAGAAAACCAAGACCAGAGGAAGTTACAGTCATGATTTATTTTAAGAGCCATGTTTTAAACAATGTTTCTCTTTCCAGATTTCTGGACAATTTTGTTAACGAGAACACTCCACCTGCCGGGTTTTCCCTTGATCCTGGCTATGATTATGACTAATGATTCCCAGCTGTTCCCTTTGTGGTGCATTTGCTCTTTATGTGCATTTGGGGCCTAAGAGATACAACATTGAAGGTATGGACATGTATATATGAATATATTTCAAATATACATATCAAAATGGATATTTATATGCATACAAGACGGATTTCCGTAGAAAGCTATGTATCTCAGATGGTGGGACAAAACACTCACCTACTGAGGAGAGTGGATATCCATATGGAATGGAATACTGTTTTATTCATTTCTCCTTGTTTATAGTCATTCTTTGATCAGGTTCCATCCAACTTTTTTTTTCTCAGAGAACGCTATCAGGATGGAGGGCTTTTTGCAAAAATCTCAGTTGAGTTTGGGGGCAAAATGGAGTGGATCATTCTGAAGGTACCATTTCAAAGTTAGGGACAGATATTCTAATACTACCTGTGCAATGCATTATGAACAGTAGGCACATAAAAGTAAATATGTGTTGAAAAATAAAGAGAATTAATGCATCCATAACCTGTGAACCCACAGCTAGAGAGGAATTGTCCTCAATACTCTACATTAACAATTTTCAAACATTTTTCTTCCATGATAAAAATGTAATTTTTCACATGGCAGATAACATATATAGATATAACCAGACTTTTTTGAAAATTTTTGTGATTGCATAACATGCTTTAAGATTCATAACCATCAGTAAAATCCACTCACAAGGAGTACGGATTGGTTCAATAGGTGACAGTGTTCATGCAGCAGTCCCATGACGTCTATTTTAATTCTCCCTCACAAGAATATAAATTGAAATGAAAATGAGACCACGATATTATTTTAGGAAAACTTCAAATTTGCTCTAATTTGAAAAAAAAGCATTGTTTATACTCTTTCGCCATTTAAATATTTGTAGTTGAAAATTACAAGTCTTCACAGCTGTTGATGACATGAGTGTAGATTTACACCCTTGGTGAGAACAATTTATCTACATGACCTATTGACTTTTAAAGAAATGGAGGTGGATTAACGCAATGAAATATATCAGTCCGGGGATTTGAAAATGGGTAATAATTTAAGTAGGTATCTGGGTCATTACTTACCTGAAGAATTTGTTGAGATTAGCACCATAGAGTGAATAGGGAATACGTTTTAGATTCAGAGAGAATTGGATTCAAATATTAAATATTTGCTCTGTCATACAGTAGTTATGTGAAGTTGAACAAGTTACTTAAATTCTCTAAGCTTCAGTATAAGTGGAGATATTAATTAGTTGTTAGAAACATTAAATTAAATAAATAGAGCCCAATGAAGTTTTTCATGCATGGTAGTCATCTAATATATGTACTATTTATCTTCCTGCAAATCATTTCTTTTCTCTCCATGTTTGGCTATTATCTATTTCTGCTGTAGGAGATAAGAATATGGTACCCCAAAATATAACTGTAAAAGACCAAAATATACCACCCTAAATATGGCTCTTTTGCATAAGGATTATTTTGAGCTGATTATTTTGAGAAACAGCAGACACAGGAAAAGCTCTAAAAACAGTATACATTACCCTTTTGTAAAGGAAACTTACATTTATAATGAAAATTTCCATTTGTAAGAGTATCTCCCACTCTGTACAAAGAAGAAAAGAAGGATGAAATTACAAAAGACTCTTATCAATGGAGAAGGCACCAAAACCTTTATACCAAATATTACTTTTATCTACCCTGATTTTCCCAGTTATCTTTCCATAATCTGCCTCCTCACAGCCTTTCCTTGTTTTAGTTGAAGATGCTATGTAAGTCCAAGTTGGGTGTCTCCTATGGATGTATGTGACATGCATGTTAATCAACTTCTGTTTGTTTTTGTCTTGTTAGTCTGTCTTTTTTCACAGGGGCCCCAGCAGAGAGTTTAGAAATGTTGAGAGTATTGGAGCTCAAAAAACGAGTAATACCTAAAATATGGTGCTTTGGTATACTGAGTACTTTGAACTAAAGGACATTGGAAGGGCCTTGGAAGCAGCCTCAGAACCAAGGTCACTCTGACCTTCTCCTGCCTTTCTGCCTCTCACCCCTCAATCTTCCCTAAAGCAAGTCATAAAAACCAGAATTCTACTTCTCCAAGGTGGGTCATAGAAACTGGAAAGCCTTTTCCCCAAAGCCCACCATAAAAACTAGAATTATTCCTCTAACCTTCCCCACATTTCTGTCTAGGAGCTGGCCATAAAGAAATTCTCTAACCTACCCTTGTCCTATAGTAGATTATAAGACTCTTTTCCAGAGGGGTAATATCCTATACCTGGAGGGAAGGAAGGCCACACTGAGAGGCCAAGAAGAATCTGAACAGATGGGCCTTGCTGGGTTCCCCCACTTCAGTCTGTTGCATTAGGTCATTCCCTCTTTGTCTGATCATATTTCTACATAGCTCTCCGTTCTTCATTGAGTCTAACCATACAAATGAAGTTTTCCCTTGGGTCTTTGGGTGTTCATTCTGAAGGTTCCTGGGTCACATAAAACTCTGATTAAGTAAGATATGCCTTTCTCCGGTTACCCTGACTTTTGTTATAGGAGTGCCAGCTGTAACTCTTATGACTGATGGAAGGTATCACAACCTTTCCACCTCTACAGGGGAAAACAATTTTGTTTTTACCTCCTCTACACTGCTGAGTGCCAATTCCTATCCTTTTGTGTGTGTGTGCTTTCCCAAATATCACAGGAGTTGGAAGACTTAGAACTACTTTACTGAGACTCTCTTGCATCTAGAATTCTGGATGAAATTTGGTTCTGCCAACGAGATGTACTGGCAAGAAATTTGGAAGGTGAGACAATGATAAAGGATTCTTGCCCCTGCAACAGAAATGCCGGACAGCCTGTTTCAGGAATGTGAACTGTGGCAGTGGCTGTACTCCACTGCCTGCGACCAGCTTTGGGACCGCAGGACAGCTCTAACTTGGCAGTAGTTTCATGATGCTTCCTGATCATAGCAGAAGCTTCAAGAAGTCTGCACCACAGCAGTATGAGCAAAAATAAAAATACAAATAGACCTTGACACCCTGACTTTTGCTTTTCCATCTTTTCCAATAATTTTTGTTAGCACTCAATGGAGTTCAAGATGTACTACCCTAAAATATGGTCCCTTGTCATTGGAGAAAACAGCAGATTCAGAAAGGATACTCTCACCTTTCACTCACTCTTCTCCCCTGAAGCAGGCCATAAAACCTAAACAACATTTTTCTGACCTTCCCCTGAAGCAGGTCATAAGACCCTCATTCAAGAGTTGCCCTCCCAGTACCCAGAAGAAAGGAACATCTTTATTTCTAAAGACACATGGACACAGAGACAAATGTAAACAAATAGGCCTTGCTAAGTTCTCCCAAATTTATGACCATTAGATTATATTTTTTTATCCAATCATACTTCTCCACAACTACATCCACTTCGCCATTTCATCAAAACTTGCATAAGAAATACGCAAGTTTACCAGTTTCTTTGGGTCTTATTATGAAGGCCCTCGTGTCCCATAACACTTATTAAATAAATGTATATGCATTTCTCTTGTTAATCTGTCTCTGTCAGTTTTCCTTTCAGACGTAGCCAACACCCCTAAGAGATTTGAGGAAGACTTTTTCTTCCACCACACACTTAATTCCTGTATTAAATCACCCTGTACTTGAAATAGCTAGGGGATTTTCCATACTGAACCTTGAGTAATCTACCATGATGGGTTCCAGGCATGTTCTAGACACTGGGAATTAAAGTAGAAAAAGATTTCCTTTCTGATCTCAACAAAGTCAAATCCTAGGGTATAGGGAACTGCCATCATGAGAAAATCAGCATCTTTTCACTGTTCACAAGAAGAGCTATCTCTCTGGAGAATATTATACTTCATACTAAGTTAATAACTTTGGTACAAATTCTTTACTTTCTCATTTTCTCAGAAGTAATTGAGCTTATCTCCTATCTCCTTATGATTAGTAATAGGCATTGATTATACTTGTAGACAGAAGCTAACAACTAGAATTTTCTACCACTTAACAGTCTTATGACCTCCGTCCTCTACTGCAATCTACTTGTTACAGCTAGAACACACTTTGGACTTGGATCAACCTGATAGGGGCCATAAGTGTAATGTTATCATTGTACTGAGAGCATTCACTATAAAGTTTCCTGGGTTTTTAAATGACTTCCAATTAAGTTAAAAAACCCAAATCTAATGATTAAAGATTAGTATAATATAAACAACTATAACTACTAACACATTAAATAAGCATTTTAGGTCTCCTTTCCTTTTCTTCTTCTTTTACTCCTCTCTTCCTCCCCATCTCCTTCACCCCTGCCCCTTTCACTTCATCTTCTTTTCTTTTTATATATTTAAAAGACAGGGCTTTAAAAATGTATACCCCTTAAAGCTCTGACATTCTGTTCCTCTATTTAAGAAGAGAAATGCTCTTGTTCTGCAGAGATTTTGTCCAAAATCATCTTTATGGTTCTGCGAATGAATAATTCTCTCATTTACTATATATATGTATACTTTATTACTCATTATGTTTATTCTGTTTCTGTCCTTACTATGAATTTGCATTGTAATACCCCTATGAGCAGCCTTTTATAAAGTAATTCATTTGTCTTAGGTTTCTTTAAGAGTGAACAAAATTGATAACCTGAGCCCGGATGGCTTAGATAAGGTATAATGAATAGATTTAATCTGAATCTAGAGTAGAGATTACTCAGAGTGCTAAGTTGAGAATGTGTTTCAGGCAGTCTGAGATCAAGAAAGAAAAGTGACATTCTCATTTAACGATGACTGTTAAAACTATAGTTTGCAGTATAAGAAAGTAGCCGCACATATGCCATACATTTGGCATCCTTAGTCTAAAATTCATGCATTCTGTTACCCTCCCTTAGAAGGCACTTGCAGCTAGGCATAGCCTTTGGACCACAAATGGTGATGGGATGAAAGTGTGCAGATTTAGCAAGCTCCCAGGTGCTACTGATACTGCTGATCTGCAGAGCGCACTTGGAATAGGAAGGTAGGGAACATTTAAATAAAAAGAAATACAAAGTTTACTTTGCAGGTTTTCTCTACAGGGGTAAGATAAACCATCAGACTAGTTCCTTAAAGCAATAAAGGACAAAATAGTAGTCAAGGTTTAGTTGGCCAAGAGACAGGTATTGTCTGGGGAGCAGCAAAGCCAAGAGGGCCAAATCTAAAGGAGGATGAAATCCTTTGGAATTAATGTTTCTTTATATCACAATAAGAAAAATTAAGTTAGGTCTAAAAGTACCTGTTTGGTGTTTCTATCTGCATTTTAAAGAATGAAAGTGCTTTAGAAAAGCAAATTTTTAAATTCTGCTCCATCAATTATTTTCATTTTGTGCTTCTATAGAATTTGATAAAGGTCTTTTAGAAATATCGACTTCTCTCACTTATGTCAAGATGAACCGAGGAAAAGCAGTTTCTGTACCTGGGAGTATCAGGGCATTGTGCACAACTGTGGCCATTAAAAAAAAATTTTCAAAACTTTACAAGGACAAGAACTCAGAGGGACAGAGTCTAAAACAGCAACCATTTAAGTAGGTGTCACTCCTTAATTCTCATTTGGAAAATATGAAAAATTATTTTCTACTCAATTTTGGATAAGTTGTGCTGTGTTGAGCCTTATTTATTTTGCATGCTAAATCGCCGAGGATTGATACTTGTAAATTCTCCAAATTGGAAAGCAAAAGGAGTATGGCTAGGAATTGTCATTGTTTACTTTTAACTCTTAAACAATATAGTATTGTTTCCTTTTCAGCAAAGTTTTTGCCATAATTACAAGTGTAATAGACCACATTTTGATTAGAAATGGAACTGTTTGAAATTCACATATACTAGTTGCATTCAAGTATGTGTTATGTACTAGTGGCAAAATAATGGCAAATGAAGAGAAAACCTGCTAACTACCAGTTAATTTCCTCAGAATATAGATCAATATTGAAATATATATATATATAGTATTTAATCTGCAATGAACTATAGATATCTTTCACTAAATATTTTGCTGTAATTGGTTTTTATCTCCCTGGCCTCAATTGCTTATAAGCATATTAATGAATCTTCTTAAGAAACCCATCTCTATGGGCCACCAAGGCTGTTCTATATATAACAAGGCAACCCCATCAATGGTACCCTCCTGATCTAAAAGAATTTGTGTATTTTGCCAGAGGAACACATTTGTAGTAGTTTAGGCTCAGTTTCAATCAATAAGAAGTTCCTACTGAAATAATGTCTGATGTTAGACTGATTTAAGCAGGAAACAGAAATGAAGTCATGTTACTTTCCTTATAGCCTCATTATGAACTACATGAAGAAAGGAGGTTTAGAGTGTATCTTGGCATCATAAATATTATTTAATCCTATTCACAAGACATCAAATTCCATGTTTCTTGTACCCTAATATTTTAAAATCATTTTTAAGTCTATAGTAAAATGTATTAGCCCCAAAAATCTTGGCAAGTGAGTGCCTATTCCTTTCCTTCTCTCGCTTCGTTCCTTTCCTTCTTCCTTCCTTTATTTTTTTACCTACTTCTTGCCTCCTTCTTTTTTAAAGTTTTTTTTTAACTTATTATAAATGAAATCCCCCAAGACTATGGTGGAAAATGAAATGGAAAATACACATAAGTACACAGAAGAGGACAACAATCTCTTATAATGTTAGTCTCATGAGAGAGCCACTGTTCACATTTCAGCATTTTTTTTTTCGTGTTTGTATGCTAAATATTTTCTTTAAATTTCACAGAAAGTTTTTTTTTAAGCAGAAATACAAAAGTAAGGTTTTTAGAATTATTGTCTTTACATAAAAACATATTGTATACCACGTTTATTTTACAATCCAAGTTTTCATTTTAATAGCCTACATCATTTTTTTCTTGTGTGGGGTTTACTTATATGTTACTCATATTCATTTCTTTTCAAAAACTTAATTGTATCTAGATTTAATTTTTTGAAATTGCAAATCAAAGGCATTAGCACCCCCTAGTGGTATAACAAATTTTAAGCACAAATGAGTGCTATCTACATTTGGGTCAATTTTTCTTTCATTCATTCTCTTTTTAATAATGCATATAATAATTTTAAATATCCTACTGTAACATGTAATTTCAAATATATTCTGGCAATTTCCAAGTGCAAATTGGTAACGTAAGGCAATTAAAAAATGGTAAAAGTAATATGCAGATTTAAAGAGAACTTTAATACTTTTGTTACATATTTTAAATATCAGCACCTATATGATAATTCCTCTCTCTCCCTTATGATGATAACAGTCTATGTCTAAATCACTTAAATTAAATTTTAAGAAGCATATAGAACTCATTGAATATATGTATGAATCAGATGGGGTTTTGATAAAATGCTAGTTTTGGTTCAATGTGTTTGGGTGGGGCTCGAGAGTCTGTATTTCTTATTTTTTCTCAATTAGCAATACCTGCGCCTTGGAGAAACCTCATTGACTAGGTTACTGCCACGGCACAAAGCTAAGAGAGTCTGTATTTCTAATAAACGTCCTGAAGATATTGATATTGCTGATCGAAAAAAGCACACTTTGAGGAGGAGTAGTTAGGTGGAGAGGTATTTAAATATATTGTTTAAAGCATTTTCCAATATTTACAAATATTATACATAATCAGCTAAGTAATAAATATAAGGATATAAATGTTTTGGAAATAATTGCACTTTAAGAAGAGAAATATGTTAGCAAATTAATTGGTTTGTGTGCATTTCAATATGCTATTTTATATTAATAAATTCACTCTTAAATTTAATCTGTTTCTTTTATTCCCTTTTGATTTACAAATGTGGAAAGAAAAAGTTATGGTTATATATATTTTAAATTTAAATGTTTCTTACCTGACAGATTTTCACAGAAATCTTTGCTGTGTTAAAAATCAATTAGAAGAATGAATTTTGACCACAGAACTTTCATCAGCACCAAATTCCAAGGAGCAATGCATTTAGCAATGTGCTTGGCACAGAATAAGAACTGTAAATTTTCACCATTAATATATCATTCCATCAAATACAAATCCAAAGAAAGCCTTTACCTATAATAAATTTATTAATGATTTTATAGACAATAATATTGAAAGAATTGTAGCTGAGAAAAAGTAACTAAGAACTGGCGCTTCCTTCTGCAAAGGGGGCACTCTGCCTATTATCTGTGACATTAAACAGACTCTAGGTTTTGATAACTTTCCATTCCTAATTTTGCACCATAGTTGAAGGAAAAATCTGCTTGAATGTTAGCTGAATACGTTTATTGTTTGTGTTTTATTCCTTACCACAGAGTATTTGAAGTCCCAAATCCTCAGGGAAAGGTTGCTATTTTTTTAAAATACATCTACATAATTACAATGTTAGTCTAATAATCATTATTTCTAGATAAGCAGATGGATAACATACAGAATGATGATGATGATGTGTTTGTGTGGGTGTGTATGTGTGTGTGTGTGTGTGTAAAAAGAATATTTAATTGGTGGTAAGTAAATGATCTAGCATCTTGAATGTTGGGATAGGAATAAAAGCAAGACTATTGTACAGGTCCTAGAAAACTTTGTGATTGGCAGCCATTTCTGACGTCCAAATAACACAATTGTATTAAAAAAGGTAAGTAGCAAAGGCAAAAAAAAAAAAAAAAAAAAACAACCATCTACTAGCATTATGTCAGCTCATCATACCAAAAAGTAAGCATATATTATGATTCAACTTGTCCAAATTAGGAAATCAATCAAAGTTTAAACAGGTAAATAATTTACTTTGTCACTAGGAGCCAATGATAATACTTGATTAAATCTCAACAAAAATGATATGCTACTGAAAACCAGGAACCACAGCTCTTCAATGCAGGTAAGCCCCTTAGATCAAACAGAATACTGGCCCTGTTCACTCTCAACACAGGACTCCATTAAAAGCAGGGTCCATAGTAAGGGCTGCGGATATCAGCCTCCAAACAGGTTTAGGATGAGTTATCATTGTGTATGAGCTGTAGAGATTATACACCCTTATACTGACAAAATATATTTATTTTTACTTCAATTATTTTAGAAGATGAAAATCAAGTATCCATCTCTAATGGCAAACTCAACTTCTTACCCAATGTACCACTGCAATCTGTAGCACATACGGGTTTGAAAACACGAGTAGGCAGTAATGTAACACAAATACGTCAGGAAGTGACAGTATGAAGGATTAGAAAACTAGACGGTTTATAGAGCTAAATGTTGCAATATAAACTGAAGAATAACAGCCTGACAAAAAGAATGATTAGGAAATAGCTGGTATAAATTACTTTTAGCTTTAGATAATTATTTTTACACTGACTTAGGTATACAACAATTTTATTGGCGTTTTAATATAATTCACCCAGAATATGAATGCATCACGTTAGCTAAGTACAAGGTATATGTATAAGCAAAAATTATAAACTTATGACATCCTTGTGCTTTTCTCCTAATGACATTTCCAACTTTTAATGGTTTGTATTTCTTCCTCTGCAGACATAGGATAATTAATATAGATATGTCATTTTTGAGTTTATATTTTATATAAACTTATTATTTTACTTTAAAATAGTTTCTAGCCATGGCATTAATATTTATTAAAATTTCTGTACATATACAAAAAGGAATTTATTTCTATACATATGAAAGAAAGGAATAGGGAGTGTCTATAAATGAATGATTTTATAGACACTCCCTATTTGCTTTTTTTTAAAGAAGACATGTTTACTGAGAAAGCCCTAGCAAGCACAGAAAATCTTCCAATGTGGACTAATTTGGATTATTTTCTACTTTTGAAGAAACTACACTGCTATTAGATTTTTGACAAATAAAGCTATAAAATCTAGTAGAACTTCAAATAAGATCTTCCATAAGTAGAATAGTAACCTCTTATGCATGTGTTTCAAGTTTCTATGAAATGGAAGACAAATACATGCATTAAGTTACTACTACATGTGAGACAAAAACAGCAACTAGTGTCCTATTATGCTGGTTTCCATTATGGGTAAGATAATGCTTAACTAATTCTATATAATCTATAAGAAGTATTGTCTATTCTGCAGTTCCAAAAATTTTAAAGCACAATGAAGTACAGCAGAGATGACCTTTTCTATATGCTAAATTTTTAAAAATGGGAACATATACTGGTTTCAAGATACTAATCTTATGCTAATTTTGTGAGCAAAGTGAAATAAGGTAGAATAGATAATATGTCAGGTAGGTGAATAATTTCTGATTGAACAATGAGGTTCAGAGCATATCACATAGTCATGAGATAGACAATAAGCTAAGGTAAAATCTCTTGTAGTATCATAATACTCACAAAAGTTAATATTTTTGTCATTTTTTCTCAGTATTTGAATTAAGATAATTATTTCACCTATCAAATATTAATACTTACATATGTATACAGATGTTGAAATAGCAGCTAATATTATTAAAAAATTGAGTCAAAATCAAAAAGATCTGATAGACTAAGTTAACAATTCATAACATATGATAGTTTTATGGTGTGTCACTAGTATTACTTGAAAAATAATTTGGTAGTCAAATAAATTTGGGAAATGGGTAAAGTTTAAATCAGTTTCTTAACTGTAGAACTTCGCAAAACTTTTGATCATCTAATGCTCATTGAAAATGTGCAAGATAAGAATATGCATAAATACTTTCACAAATTTATTTCACCATAGATATTTTTTAAGGAACATCACATAGGACTAACATTTCATGAGATGTACTTTTGATAGTCTAATACAAATGCCAAATGACTAAACTTGAACAAAGAAAAAGCTAAATGCAACACTAAACAACATCCAAGATATGAACTCCACAATCCTGCTGCATTGAACAATTCCAGGGGAATTCACATTGTTGTATTCTATGTGGAAGCATGCCCTTAGATATTGTAAAAATGTGGTTATGCAATACCAGCCCTATGTGTTCAAAGAATAGAAGTAGATGCATTATATTGCTCAGGCCATCACGTTTTTTCCTGGACGCCACTTTTAACTAGAGTAGGCCTGTACCAGTCATCTATTATCATAACAAACAACCGCAAAATCTTATTAGTACAACGAATAAATCTCTCTCATGCATCTGCAGATCCATTGGGACAACTCTGCTGATCTCAGTTGGGCATAGCTGGGAGCCTGGCTCTAAGCTGCAGACTGGATCTGGGTTGGTTCCGTATATTTCTCATTCCTCCTTGGACCAGCAGTCTAGCTGGTGCACATTCTGCTTATGGGAATGACAGAGATGCACAAGAGAAGTAGAAACATGGTGACTTCAAAGGCCTCATCTCAGAACTGGCACCCTGTCATTTCCACCCACATTTCATCAAGTGAAGCAAGTGACAAGGCACAACTGAAATTCAAGTGTTGGGGGAGCAGTATACTCTGTTCAGTAGGAGGCACTATACAATAACACAGCTAAGGGTATGGATACAGCAGAGGGTAAAGACCCAAAATCAATGTTCAATAGACTACAATGTTTAACTAGAGTCGGTCATGAAGAGAGGCCAGGGATAGACAGAGCCTGAAAAACCAGGGCACTGTGGAGTAGTTGAAGAAAATGAGGATGTTTAGCAGGAGGAATGAAGATGGGAGAGCCATGATAACTCTACTCAAGTATTTGAAGAGCTGAGTGTGAAAGAGAGCTCACAATTATTGAGGGATGCCTCAGGACACTGAAATAATAGAAAGACAAATTCCAGCTCTAACACAAAAATAAGCCATGCCTTATCATTATCCATAATGATTTGAAACACATAAAATCTGTCTGTCAGATTCAAAGCAATGACCATCACACTCCAATCCTGCTAAACTTAGCACTTTCAAGAACTAAACACCAGGCATAAAACCCAAACATACTGTTTATGGGACACTAAAGCACAGCAACCAAATCTCGGCAAATAGGAGTAAAATACATTTAAGAGTCCCCCTAGGTATAGCTTCAAGCAGTGCAATACTTCTGAAACTTTATAAGAAACAAAAATACCATACACACTGATCAAAATGATATGGAATTTTATTTCTGGATCATCAGTATCAAGATTATAAATACTTGAGTATTATATATATATTCTGATAATTATATCATAAATTATATTAAAATATATATATTCTGGAAATAATAATTACAATAAAACTGCAACACAGTTCCAAAAATGCTTATGTATTCATGGAGTGTGAATGTCATATGGAGTGTGTAATATGCATAGGTAGTATGTAGTGTTAATAATGTCTTCAATAGAAAACATTAAAATGACAAGTAATTTCATTTAAGAAGACCAATTATTGAAAAACGTAGTTTGACAAATTTTTTGCTTGAAATACTGTGTGTGTGTGTGTGTGTGTGTGTGTGTGTCTATACAGTCATGCACCACATCCACATAACGTTTCAGTCAGCAATAGACCATATATACAGTGGTCCCATAAGATTATAATAATATATTTTTACTGCAGCTTTTCTATGTTTAGGTGTGTTTAGATACACAAATATTATACTTGCCATTATATTACAATTGTCTATGGTATTCAGCATGGTAACGTGCTATGCAAGTCTGTAGCCTAGAGGCAATAAGCTACACCTTATAGCCTACATACACAGTAGTAGACTGTAACATGTAGGTTCGTGTAAGTACACTCTATGATATTTGCATAATGATCAGATCACCTAATGACACATTTCTCAGAATGCATCCCCATTGTTAAGCAACACATAACTATATATATTATTTTACGTGTGTCATTATTGTTAGTCTTCAAAAATTCACATTTGGTTTTCATAGCAAATAGAAGGCTCAGTCACCGTGTTCATATTCTGAAATCAATGAAAGCAATGTAACTAAACTCCTATTTATCTTTGGCATTAAAATATAAAAAGAAGGCCATTTGCAATTTCTCTATGCTTCTTCCTACTTTTCTGTAAGTGCCACTTGTTTATAAGCCATAATATATAAGCTTGCACACCAAAAGAATTTTTCCTCCTCTTTTTTATACTTATTCACAGGCACCCACCTACAGTGAACTCAACCCACCAACAACACAATAAGCACAGCAGGCTTAAGAACAACTTTAAAAGTATCTTACAGACTGTGGGTTCTCAATACCTATTTTTGGATGAAAGGAATGATAGTTCCTGCTAGACTTGACCTTGTATCCTCTCTGAAGTTGTCTTGCTCCAAGTCATCTTCAACTTTGGAGCAAGAAGACTGAAATGGAATCTGCCTTGACTACAAAGTTCTCAATGGGTAATTTCCTTCTGGGGATTTACTTATGAACAAATTAAGCAGAGATTTTAAAAAGTGCCTTATTATGCAGGAAGGAGACAGGCCAGCAAATGAATTTGACACTGTAACTAAATGGCCTAGGAGTAGCTACAGGCAAAGAGCATTCCCTTTCCATGGAGGGAAAGGCTCACTGGCATGGCTTTCTTGAGATTGCTGAGGTTGGCTGTATGCGTGTTCTAGATGTTTTATTTCCAAGAATAGACAAGCTCCTTCCTCCAGGGTCCTACTCTCCTCCACGGAGGAATAGTGCCATTTCCCAGTGATTTCTTTCAATGGTCAAAGCTCCTTCCATCAGCTTCATGATAAGAGAGGAACAAAAGTGCCTATTCCATTTTCTTTAATAGAGGACACTCCTCTTACTCCAAGTGTCTGTACCAGACCCTTAACATGCACCATCTTATTTGTACTTTAGACCATTTGTATAAGTATTACACTATGATTTCCAATTTAATTAGAAGACTCTAGGAATTAAGTTGGTGCTTCTCGTACCTTAATGTGCACACTTATGACAATGGGATCTTGTTAAAATTTAGATTACAATTCAGCAGCTCTGGGGTTGGCACTGAGATTCCACATTGCTTGCAAGCTCCCAGATGATGGCTGTGCTGCTGGTTCTGGAACACCCTTTGAGTAGCAGGAGGTTAATGACTTATTTCACAGGGCTTTTACTTAGCAGGGGAAATATCGGAACCAATGTACTAGTTTTGAAATTTGTGCCAACGATACTAGGCCAAGTACATTTCAAGTTTGTAGAAATTAGATAGGGGAACTGCAACTATTATGATATTGGATACATCATACTCACAATGAGATTGGTTTACAATGTTTTATTAGCATAAGGAGTGCCTTTCTAACCACAGGAGAGCACCAAGTCTATGTTGTTGAATACTGACAATCACAATCACTGCATTACTCTATCTAGGTTGAACACGAGTTTCCTGTGATTGTTCCCATGGTTGACTGTGTTTGCACATTAGCTAGATTCATGAGAACAAGTGAGGAAGCTTTCTCAGGATGAGTAGGAAAGAGTAATTGCAAATATATATGGAAACAAAGATAAACAACGAAGATTATCCCCAAACTTAAATTTTCTTAATCCAGATTCGGCTTCAGATCTATATGCACTGGCTGGTAACTCAATGTTCAGGTCATGTTCAGGTGTGCCCTGTAGGAATGGTTTTGATACTCTGAAGAGAGAAAACTGTCTTCAGTATAGAAAAGTATGGGCTTCCAGCAAATTATTTTGAGGCTACTAGGGAATATAAGAGCATGAAAAAGAGAGGGAGTGTGCAATGAGAAGAGACTCAGTCTGGGGAAGGCTGAAATCAAAGAGCAGCCTGAAGAGAGACTTTGGTGCTGGGACTTCATCGATCACTTCACTTTTTCTTTTCTAGCAGTTCATTCAATTCTTCAGATAGGTTGTGAGTATGGGAAGAATGTAGGCACTCTACAGAGGTGGCTTCTAAAATATTAGTCCATAGTATTTGTCCTCAAGGCAATTTTAGAAGCTGAGGTAAACGTAGTATGTTTAAACTTTAATGACAGTGACATTGTCCTGTGAATTCCTTGACAGATGATACTCTAATTCAGCACAGAGTTTGTAGTACTCTGACAACTTAGCTAAACTATTTCCCTGAATTCCTTTTCCTGTAGCACTCAGGGTTAAGGATGACAAGGGAATTTTGCAGGTGATTTGGGAAGAGGATATGAAGCAGTAGTCATGTTTAGGCTGGGAGGTCAGGCAGTCACAGGTATGGTTTTGGTTGTCTGGGATCCACGCAGCTCCTGCAGATGTCTGCCATGGGGCAGTGTCCCAGCTACTGGGAGTCCCGGGCATCAATGAAGGTGGAGGCCTGGAGGTGGGGAGGGGCCGACAAGTGTTCCCTTGGTCTCTGTGGGTTCCTGTTTGTGTTTGCTGTCTCCTACTTCTTGGTCCCCTTTGCTTCTTCATTTCCTGCTCTGTGGACTTGAGCCTAACACCAGATGTAGAGGCGACAGCCTCACTCAAACTATTTAATTAGCTCCCACCACGTGCGTGGTGAATTCCCATAATAAATCCTTTATTCTGTATCACACAATATTTTGTTTCTTTAAGCAAATTTTTAGAGATGCTGGCTCAATTTTAAGGTTTCTTTTCTTAGTAAGGGAAAGTGTGTGAAGATTCAAGATTTTATCATAGAAACCCACACCTTACCTCTATAAGAGTCAATAAATCAGGAGGTTATTTATTTGGAAAGACACATGGGTGAAAAGAAGAGAAAACAGACAGTCTACAACGGGAGTTGACAAACAAAAGCCAAATTTCTAAGTTTGATCCAATGTCTGTTTTTGAAATAAAGTTTTATTGGAACAAAGCCATGCTTACTTGTTTCCTTATTATCTGTGACTAATTTCAAGTTTACGATGGCAGAGTTGTGCAGCGCAAGAGAGACGGTATGGCCCACAAAGTCTAAAATATTTATTATCTGGCTCTTGCCAGAAACAATTTTGCTTATCCTATTCTAGAACTTAAAGACAGGATCCTTTTTAGTGGCTCAGTTTTAAAATTTATCGATTTCTATTTTAAGAAGCCTTATATCATTAGAATTTCTTATATAAATATGTTTCAACAAAGGGTTATGAAAACTTATGGGCCTTCATAAAATCTACTGATCTAGTTATAATGTCAGTTACCATATATTAGTCATCTATAAGTATAGCTTACTTTATTGTGCTTTATTTTATTGCACTTCACAGATTTTTTTTTTTTCTAATTGAAGCTTTGTGGCAGCCCTGCATCCAGCAAGTCTATCAGCAGCATTTTTCCAACAGCATGGGCTCACTTCGTGTCTGTGTCACATTTTGGTAATTCTCACAACATTTCAAACTTTTTCAGCGTTCAAAAATACTGAAGTGTTCAAGTGAAAGGATGAGTTGCAAGTCTCTCACTTGCAAAAGCTGGAAATGATTAAGCTTAGTGAGAGAGACACAGGGAAAGCCAAGACAGGCAGAAAATTAGGCCTCTTCACCAGTTAGCCAAGTTGTGAATATAAAGAAAAAGTTCCTGAAGGAAATTTTAAGTCCTACTCTAGTGAACACATGAATGATAAGAAAGCACCACAGCCTTATTGCTGATCTGCGATCAGTGATGTGTGATCAGTGATGTGTGGTGTTCCTATTGTAATTGCTTTGGGGCACCATGAACTCTGTCCATATAAGATGGTGAACTTAACCAATAAATGTTTATGTGTTCCAACTGCTCCCCCAAACTAGCCATCCCCCTATCTCTCTGCTTCTTCTCAGTCCTCCCTATTCCCTGAGACACAGCAATACTGAAATTAGGCCAATTAATAATCCCCCAATGGCCTCTAAGTATTCAAGTGAAAGGAAGGGTTGCATGTCTCTCACTTTCAAAAGCTAGAAATGATTTAGCTTAGTGAGGAAGGCATGTAGAAAGCCAAGACAGGCTGAAAACTAGGCCTCTTCACCAGTTAGCCAAGTTGCGAATGCAAGAACAAACCAAACCCAAACCCAGCAGAAGAAAGCAAATAACCAAGATCAGAGAAGAACTAAATGAAATTGAAACCAAAAAAAAAAAATACAAAAGACTCGGGAGGCTGAGGCAGGAGAATGGCAAGAACCCGGGAGGCGGAATTTGCAGTGAGCCGAGATTGCACGACTGCACTCCAGCCTGGGCGACAGAGCAAGACTCCTCCTCAAAAAAAAAAAAAAAAAAAAAAAAAAAAAAAAAAAGATAAATGAAACAAAATTTGAAAAGATAAAATTGATACATCATTAGCAAGATTAACCACAAAAAGAAGGGAGAAAATTCAAATAAGCTCAATAAGAAACAAAATGGGAGATATTACAACTGACAACACAGAAATACAAAACATCATTCGAGGCTACCATGAACTCCTTTGCACACATAAGCTAGAAAAGCCAGAAGAGATGGACAAATTCCTGGAAAGGTACAACCTTCCTAGCTTGGAAGAATTAGATACTCTGAACAGACCAATAACAAGCAGTGAGATTGAAATGGTAATTTAAAAATTACCAACAAAAAAAAGTCCAGCACCAGATAGATTCACAGCAGAATTGTACAAGACATTCAAAGAAGAATTGGTACCAATCCTATTAACATTATTCCACAAGACAGAGAAAGAGGGAACCCTCCCTAAATCGTTGTATGAAGCCAGTATCACTCTAATACCAAAACGAGAAAAGGAACACAACCAAAAAAGAAAACTACAGACCAACATAGATGAACATAGATGCTAAAATCATTAACAAAAACTAGCTAACTGAATCCAACAACATATGAAAAAGATAATTCACCATGATCAAGTGAGTTTCATACCAGGGATGCAGGGATGGTTTAACATACGCAAGTCAATAAGTGTGATACACCACATAAACAGAATTAAAAACAAAAATCACATGATCATCTCAACAGATGCAGAAAAAGCCTTCAACAAAATCCAGCATCCCTTTATGATGAAAACTCTTGGCAAAGAAAAAATTCTTGAAGGAAATTTAAAGTCCTACTCCAGTGAACACATGAATGATAAGAAAGCACAACGCCTTATTGCTGATATGAAGAAAATTTGAATGGCCTGGAAAGAAGATCAAAGCAGTCACAACATTCCCTGAAGCCAATGCCTGGTTCAGAGCAAGGACCTGGTTCTCTTCAATTCTATAAAGGCCTAACTCTCTTCAATTCTATGAGGAAGCAGCTAAAGAAAAGCTGAAAGCTAGCGGGGGTTGGTTCATGAGGTTTAAGGAAAGAAGCCATCTCCATAATAGAAAGGTGCAAGGTGAAGCAGCAAGTGCTCATGTAGAAGCTGCAGCAAGTTATCCAGAAGATCTAGCTAAGATCATTGAAGAAGGTGGCTACACTGAACAACAGAAAACCAAATACCACATGTTCTCTCTTATAAGTGGGAGCTAAATGATGAGAACCTATGAACACAAAGAACGGAACAACAGACACTGGGTTCTACTTGAGGGTGGAGGCTGGGAGATGGGAGAGGAGCAGAAAAGACAACTACTGGGTACTGGGCTTAATACCTGGGTGATGAAATAATCTGTACAACAAGGCCCTGTGACATGACTTAACCTATGTAACAAACCTTCACATGTACCCCCAAACCTAAAATAGAAGTTTTTAAAAAGTGTTTGATATAATTATATCCAAAATTAAAAACACAACTTTACAACTAATTAACCATGGATGTATAATTGTAAATATCTGAAATGCTTAACATAGGAAATAAAAATATAATCAAAAGCCAGGCTTTACAAAAACAATGCTGTGATGTTTAATAACAGCATCTTGAGTAAAACTCTTGTTTAGCCAACTTCATTCTTACCTATTTTTGTATAATTTGTATCTTCCTTCAAGCGATTCCTGTTTCTTAAATGATTACCCATTTTGGATACATCTACATCTCTATTAAAATAAACCCTGTAGCTACATAGCTATGTTCCATTTAGAAAAATTTCTAGGAAGTCTAGAATTAGACTAGACTAGAATTAGGCAAACTCTCTAAATCTCATTTCAAACATTCTATTTAGAGGTGAAATAAAAGGATAAATCTAGACACACTGCCAGATCATATAATGTAATACCTTAAGCAACGTTATGATGAATTTTGCACACTCCATCACTACTTTTCACTGAGGTTAGAAAACTCTCAGCATCGCGACACAAAAGATGGACTCATTCTGCTGTCACCATTATTTTAGCTTCTAAAGGGCACACTGCATTCCTACGTTGTCTTTTAAATGCTCATTCCCTTTCTCTCTTCTCTTCCAGCACTGCTCTTTGCTTTTTCCTTCCCTCTCTTCCTTGGAAACAGGGGTGAAAAAAGGCCTGCTTTGCATATCCTCAGAGACAGCTGGGGAATAAGAGCACTGACTCATTTTAGCTTTACCCTAACCTGTAACCATTGGACAAGCAGCTTTATCTTCGGGAGGGATTGATTTGCTTCCTAACATGTAGTGAGAATAAGTTAACCAAGTGTGATCTAAGAAAGGCCTACACTGACAAAAGCCCATCCTTCAGGAGAACAACGATCCAATTCTGAAAACATCACGACTACAGTGCTAGAGACAAACCCAAAAAGACAGGAGCAATGATGCCAATCTGGGCAAAAAAGAACGAAGTAGAAAGGGGTTAGACATGATATAAAGCAGAGAAAAAGGTGTCTGAAAACTCAAAAAGAACTTAAGGAGGAAAAAAAGAGCAGTTCACTGCAATTGTTTCTACCTGCTCCTATGGGGCCAAATGGAAGAAAGAAGACACTTCAGATATTTTTATGGGAATAATTCTGATGCCTGGAAATGGCAGGCACCCTATTCTCAACCCAGCTCCAAGAGTATATGCACAGCAGAGTCGGCTTCCTCCTCCAGTAGTGGGCAGAGGGAGGATACCCTCATTTGTTCCTTGGCACTTTTGTCTTTTGATGTTCCTACTAAAATTTAACTCTCTCTCTCACTTCAGAAGAACAATCCAACCCTATAGATTCCATTAAATCCAAATATCTGGCTTATATTTTATAGCATCCACGAAATTGACATCTGGGAAATTGACAAACCTCTCTGTTATCTTTCCCGTCACCTGACATTGGCTCTCTTTTGCTCTCTGCCTTTGCCCTGGTGCCTGCAGATCACAAACCAGGAGGAAGGACAAGTGAGGTGGTTGAAAGTTGCTGCCACCCCGGATCTGTGCTGTGCTTGGGTAGAAATCTTCCAAAAAGCAGCAACCTAGTCCAGGGTGAGCCTTCTGTGTCCTACCCACATAGGACCAGGAGCAAAGAAGTTTATGCAAAAAGGGTGCAATATCCAGTTCTTCATTATATAAGGCCACCCATTTCAGGCTTGAATAGAGAAATAAATATGAACAACTCAAAATTATTTGCCAATGATATGACTAAGTATCCAAGTTGGCCTGACTAGAAAATTCCTCTCAGAGTTTCTCTCCCATCTTATCTGTTTCAATAAGCTGAAGTTACAATGATCAACTATATTTTGTTTCATTTTTGTTCTTTTAAAATAATATGGTCACTCTTTTTGGAGAAATATGTTGTTTGCAAATGCCGTTTTGCAAGATTTACAAAAACTGGAGGTTTTGTTCAATTGTAAATGTTAAAAATTTCAGAAATAAAGAGGTATATGGCATTTTTATCATGTTAGCAAATTTAGGGCATAAAGATATCTCCTTACTGAGAAACTATTGACAGCAAACTAATGTAGTTAAGGATATGCAGACTCTATAGTTATATAACATAGCATTTTTTATTTTGAAATTTAAATAAAGTACAGATATTTCTTTTTCAGACATGCTTTTGTCTTATCCAGTCATACTGAATATTGTGCAAAAGCTCCTAGTGATTTTCTGAAGCTAAATTGTGTTCAGTAATTCCTTTTCTTTTGCCTGATTTTGTTTCAATGTTATTTGCTCCTTTCTTTATTCTCCCTAGAAATTTGCACATGCTTCTGTTATGTCACTCAATAGAAATGTCACTTTTCGATTATATATCTCTTTCCTCACTAATCTATGAAAATTTTGAGGACAGAAACTTTGCTTTATTTATCTAAGTACCACTGCAACATAATACAACATGAGGGACAAACTGAGTGTTGATGGAGTTCATGTCTTTTTTTTTTTTAATCTTAACTCTTTCAAGCAGATAATCCCAAACTTGAAACATGAGCCCTCCAAAATCTGCTAGCTGGCTTTTATTTGAGCTCTCCTTCTCCCTTTGTAGCACTGGGATCTGTGGGTCATTCCATTTGAGAAAGAAGAAAACACCTTTTAAAAACCCTTTAAAAGTTGTGTTTTTATTTTAAACTTCCACTGGCTTTTGTTAAGGCCACTCACCATTTCTTATGATGATTCCAATGCACATAGCTTTCTGTTAATGCTTTATTTTCCTGACTCAGTCTGAACCTCTCTTTGCTAAACAGAGCTAGATATATTTAGAGTTATCACAACTGTAAAATCTGAAAGGACAGCTTTTCAAAATACAGAGAGTTAAGGCCCTAGGACACGCTTCATGTATCTTTGCATACATCCTTACTTTGAATAAGAAATCAATATTTTAATTACTGTTTTAAAAAAAATTGTAAGCATTTTCCTGGCTATCTAACCAGGTTAAGCAATTTCTCTGAAACTTTGTTAATTACTGAAAGTATCAAGGATGTGACAGTGTTAGTAATATTAGGAGGTTAATGGTGGTAGAATAAGGAAAAGAGTCACTGTAGCCTGAGATGGTGCATTCACATTCTATGTAGTAAACTGTGCCATTTAGATGTGTGTTTTAAAAAATTATAGTGCTGTGCCACAAAATATAGCTTTGGATACAGATCCAGGAATTATGGACAACTACCAAGGTTAAGGTATGAATAGAAATTCTAATTTCTTCAGGAAATATTAATGTTTCAACATTTGATAGACATTAGGAACATCAGCAACATTTTACATGTCATGTTAAATTACTGGGTATAAAAATAGCAAAGAACAAGTCGTACCACTTAAGGATCGCCCAATCTGATGAGAGACAGGTGCCTGTACATGTGAACCAGTAAGTTATGCAATATAGTTATGCATCAAGGGATTTTGCCCAAAATGCTTTTCTCTTCCTCTTCTTTGCCTTCATGCAATAAGTCCTTTTACAAACAACAACAACAACAAAATTGCTTACAATGTATCTCTATGATAATGTGTCTTTAGGACAAATCAGGCTGCATTTTCCTCCCATTACCCCTCCAACACTGTTCTAAGTAACTGTGCTTGTTGGAACTGTTGGAACACTTTCTTTCTAACTTCCAAATAATCTCAGAGGTTGATAAATGGTGTCTAACACAATGCCAGCTGTAGAGTCAAACTGCAGAAATGATTTGCTCAATGCTGAATGAAAATAAATCCCTTCTTAGACTTAGAGAGCAGCTAAAACAGATGAAAAGTCATACAAGATAATGAGTTTCCCAAGTATCAGATTCATTTTAGAATCATGATCTCACCCTACCAAATACAGATGCTTTGGTCAATGAGGGACCACATATACAACAGTGGTCTCATAAGATTATAATGAAGATGAAAAATTCCTATTGCCTAGTGACATCATAGCTGTCCTGACATTGTGCCACAACACAGTACTCACGTGTTTGTGGTGATGCTGGTGTGAACAAACCTACTGTATTGCCAATTGTATAAAAGTTTAGCACATACAGTCATGTATAGTACATATTAGATAATAAGAATAAATATTACTGGGTTATGTATCTACCATACTATACTTTTTATTATAATTCTAGAGCATACTCCTTCTACTAGTTAAAAAAAATTTACTGTAAAATAGCCCCAAGGTGGGATTTATTCCAAAAGAAGGCATTGTTATCATAGGAGATGGCAGCTCCATGTACCCACCTTCCAGTGGGACAAGATGTGGAGGTGGAAGAAAGTGACATTGATGATGCTGACCCTGTGTAGGCCCAGGCTAATGTGTGTGTTTGTGCCCTTGTTTTTTTGTTTGTTTTTTTGGTTTTGGTTTCTTTTCTTTTTCTTTTGAGATGAAGTCTTGCCCTGTCGTCCAGGCTGGAATGCAGTGTCGCAGTCTTGGCTCACTGCAACCTCCACTTCCCAGGTTCAAGTGATTCTCCTGCCTCAGCCTCCCAAGTAGCTGGGAATACAGGTGTCTGCCACCACGTCCAGCTAATTTTTTGTATTTTTAGTAGAGACAGGATTCCACCATGTTGGCCAGGCTGATCTTGAACTACTGACCTCAGGAGATCCCCCCATGTTGGCCTCCCAAAGTGCTGGGATTACAAGCGTGAGCTGCTGCGCCCGGACTTGTGCCTTAGTTTTTAACAGAAAAGTTTTAAAAATTTTTAAAAAGTTAAAAATTTTGTAAATAGAAAAAAAGCTTATAGAATAAGGATATACAAAGGAAAGATTTTTTTTTGTATAGCTGTATAATGTGTTTGCGTTTTAAGTTCAGTGCTATTAAAAAAGAGTCAAAGAGTTAACAAAAATTAAAAGTTGGGTTGGGTGTGGTGGCTCATGCCTGTAATCCTAGCACTTTGGAAGGCTGAAGCTGGCAGATTCCTTGATCCCAGGAGTTCAAGACCAGTCTGGGAAACATGGGGAAACCCTGCCTCCACAAAAAATACAAAAATTAGCCCGGTGTGGTGGCATGCACCTGTAATCCCAGCTACTCAGGAGACTACACTGGAAGGATCACCTGAACCCTGGAGGTGGAAGCTGCAGTGAGCTGTGATCACACGATCACACCACTGCACCCAGCCTGGGAGACAGAGTGAGACCCTGTCTCAAAAAAAAAAAAAAAATTAAATTAAAAGTGTATGAAGTTAAAAAAAAAAGTTATAGTAAGCTAAGGTTAATTTATTAATGAAGAAAGAAAAATTTTAAGATAAATCTAATGTAGCCAAAATGTAGAGTGTTTACAGAGTCTACAGTAGTGTACAGTGATGTCCTAGGCCTTCACGTTTACTCACCACTCACTTGACTCACCCAGAGCAACTTTCAGTCCTGCAAGCTCCATCTATGTTAAGTGTCCTGTACAGGAGTACCATTTTTTATCTTGCATACCATTTTTTACTGTACTTTTCTACGTTTAGATAAGTTTAGATGCACAAATACTTACCATTGCATTACAATTGCCTACAGTATTCAGTAGAATAACATGTTGTACAGGTTTATAGGAGCAATAGGCTCTGCCATCTAACCTAGGTTTGTAGTAGGCTGTACCGTCTAGGTTCGTGTAAGTACACTCTATGATGTTCACACAAAGACTAAATCTGGTAAGGATGCATTTCTTAGAAAGTGTCCCCATCGTTAAGTGAAGCATGACTGTAACCAAATGAAGGTAAATCTGTTGTCACTAATTTAAGTCCTGGTTTTAGAGCAAACTACGAAACAGCACAAGACAATGGAAGGCAAATACTTAGAGTAAAATGTTCAGGATGTGTAACTATAAGATAGTACATTCTTGATATGAAACTAAGTGAACAATAAAAAATGATCAGAAATGAAAACTCCTCCTTCTTTCCCTACTGCATGTGTGTGAACTGTCTCTCGGCACCTCTGTAGGTGCATAATGCTCTCCAATACATCTTCCAGTCTGCCACTCCGACACTGTTTCATTCAAAAAAAAAAAAAACACCAGAATCAGGTGACTCCCTTGCTTATCCTCTTCCATAGTTTTCCACTGATTTCCAAACCATTTAATATGGAATGCAAAGTCCCATTCTGACCTCAGCAGATCTTCCCAGCTTCATCACCCTCAGTATTCCGCCTCTGTCTGGTGAACCACCTAGTAGGAATGCTTCCATGTTCTCTGTTGTCCCCATCTGAAACCCAATGTTCCTCTCTGTACCTACTTGACTTTCAGGGACTGTGTTCCATCAACTCCATGGATCTTCTATTCACAGCCCACACTTCTACATTCAGGTGGAGCCCACCCACATGTCCCTAGGAGTCACATTCTTGCTACATCATAGCATGTACCACTGAGTATATTTTAACTGTTCATCTAACCGACTCCCTTCTCAAATTTTGAAGTTCCTGGCTACATGCTAATTTCATACCTACATCATGTTCAGATTTAATTTTTTAGGCTGAGGTGTTTTTCGACATCTATAAACAAAAGCAAATCCAGGTAATTTCTCCATGTAGATGAGTCTTCTGTATTAAAACAGGTCACACGTATTCTTATGACAACAAAAGAAAATGTTTTTTTGCCATAGACTCATGTGCCATTTCTCAAGTTTCCATCAGTATCCCTTCTGATCTTATTTTAAAGTTCTCTTTAATCAGTTTTAATTTGCAAAACTAAAATTCCTGTCCTGCCTTCTTCAGAAACTCCACCCTCAATTTACAGACTTACTCATACGTCTTATCATTTACAGGACATGTAAAAAAACACTCGCACTTTAAAAACTATACTAATATAAAGTCGTTTCTTATCCCAAAGCTGAAAATTATTTTTCCTGAATTCCTTGTCTATGTTGATGATACCAGCCTTCACTCAGGCTGGACACATAGAAATTACTTTAGGCTCCTCCATCTGTTACTTCCATAGCATAGTCATCATCTTCCACCTGTATTCCTGCAATCAGTGACCTCTGGTCTCCAAATCTAGGGATAACTCCCTTTCATCATTCCTACAACCAGCAGAATAACTTTTTAAAATGTAAATATGATCTTACCTTGTTTTATGTTCATGTTCACTCTCATTGGTTTCCTGCATCCCACTAAATCATCTCACAAGAAAACCCACCTTTCTAACTCAAGATCTTGTTAATCATGTCTTCTGTGATGCCTTCTGTGATTCTCCCAGTAATAGAATTAATCACCTATTCTCTCCCCTGCATGTCTTACTTTGTACATACTTTTAATGTTGTTTATACAACATGGATTTGTATTCGGTTTTTTTCTTCTTTGTTTCTTGTCTTTTTCTCTACTATTTGGGTAGTGACTGTACCTCATTTGGCTCTGTATTTTCCTAGTACAGGGCATAGCATAATCAATGACCTCAACAGCTAATCAGAAATGGAATCATAAGCCTCCACTAGCACTGATATCCTTCTACAATCACAAAAATAATTAGCCCATTTTTATATCTAAACATATTTTTTGCTAGAAGACCAGAAATTTCTTCCTGTGCTTGTGATCTCTCTCTCTCTCTTTCTCTCTCTCTTTCCCACTCGCCCTATCTCTTTCTCTCTTTCATCCTTTTCCTATTAGCATATTACTAACAATTATAGACATTTCTCAATTAATTAAATCCTCCATATTGGTACACTTTATGAGAAAAAAAAGAAACTATATAGTTAGAGATTTTCTTTTCTGTTTGGTAAAAACAATTTAATTTATTGTAAGAGAGGTATATTTCATTAATTTAAAAAATCAACATATATTTACTTTCCAACATTTTTAATGGAAAAATTTAAAATTATTTCTATTTAAGATTAGTAATCAAAGTTAGATTCAAAACCTAAAATGAGGTGAAGAATAGTTCGTTCTCCAATGCTATTCTTAAAATGGTGTTCACACAAGCTAGCTTCACTGCCTAATAGACCATTTTATTATGGCCTGTGTTGACTCAGAATAAAAATGCTGAGGGTTAATATAATAGTTTTCACCTATTATCCTATAACTTTTATCTATAAAAAGTTCAGAACTAATAAATGAGGATCAGCAGATGAAAGCCAGATGAAGTACCTTCTGAACCACAGGCGTTTGAGCATCTTTTCATATTTTAGGTGGAACATTTCCACGTTTTCTTTCTCCAGTTATAAAGGCATTTTTGGCCAAAAATCAGGGTAGAGAATGTTCTAAACTATTTCATTACTAACTCACATCTGTTCTAATTCTCAGCCTCTTATCTCTGACTGCCAATAACTGTGGCTGTCCATTATTCTGATGTTTATGCTATGGGCACCTGGTCTGGAAAGACTCCATCAGTCATATCCCTTATAATTAAACAGCATATAGAAAAACATCTTTGTTATTACAGAGTGAATGTTAAGTAGAAACCACAGTGAAAATCACCATATTCTCAGAATACCAAAACATCTCAACTACTCTTTGGGAAGGATGTTTATTCCCCATTGGTGTAGGGAGCTGATTTGATAAAGGCACATTTTTTGTTACAAGGTTGTTCTATGGCAGGCAATTTGTAGGGAAACCAAAGCACATTCTGATAGCTTACATGCAAGGTGGAGGTTTTGCTACTTACCTGCAAGATCTGGGTGGGCAGACAGCAAAGAAATAGCAATGAAATATAATAATGGTTTTGTTTGATGAGTCACTTAATTCCTGGGATAAGTAGCCTCATTATTGTCTAATAAACAGTAATTTGAATCTGGTATCTTTAGGAAGCAATTTGTAAGAGTTTATTTTAAAACTACAAACAGTTTTGTTAAGCTTTTGGGGCTCAAGTTTAGGATCAGTTTTCCAAAGGATTAGCTAATTAGAAAATTTAATTTACAAGAAAATCATTCCCCCACGGAGAAGGTTAATGGATTTTTCAGTGTAAAATTATTTGCCTAGAACTAAGTGCCAACTAAAATGCCAAATATAAATAGGTAACAAGTTAATTACAAAACACAGGAGCTAACAAACTTTATTTTACCCTCCAGGAAAATAATGTAGTCTGAAGCAATACTCAATCACTATGTAGATCCAGCAAGAATTTTTTCTGCTGTTCTTTTCATATACCAAAATTCAATAAAATACATATATTTTCACTGGCAATGTGAATAACTCAGGTTGTATGTATGGTAGAAATGATGGTCTGTAAGTAGACTCAGAAATAGGTTAAGAAAATTCAGGTTTAAAAAAATTTATTATAAGCATTCTTATTTCTTATTTTATGAGAAAGCAAATATGGTTTGTGAAAGAATGAAAAATTTAAAAAGGGAGTATATATGGCTACTAGAATCAACATTTGTGTTAGCTGTTAAAGGGAAATTCAATCACCATTAACTGCCATTTGTGGATGAAATCTATCATACCTACAACCTACATTACTACCAATGTTTTAAAATCCACAAGAACTTTGCAGTTCTTTCTAACAAACTTAAAATGCCATAAGGTCGACACCAGGGAGTACATCGGCCGAGGATCCCTGGGTAATGGTCTGATTCGCAGGGTCGTCCTCTCCAGCAGGCCTCAGAGGTGCCCTCGGCTCTTTATCACTTCCACACCTGCTCCTGTGCCCGGATCCTGGGGTTTGCTGAGTCAGGCTATGCCTCCTGACTTGTGCGCTACATACAGTCTTCAAAACAAGCTCACAATCTGCATTTCAAGCCTACAGAGTTTGCACTGTTAGCAAAATTATCAAGATACTAATCAGGGAAATGACAGAATAATCACAAAAAATTATTTAGAATAAATAATTTCATCCTAAAATTCATAGTAGTTTTAGTATCTTCTTCTTGTTTAAAATGGCTGTGTACAAAATCAAACAATAAGGAAGTATATAAAGCAAAAAAAAAAAAAAAAAAGATTCCCTCCTTCCTTAATACTGCTCCCCAAATTTAACTATAGATAGTAGCTTGGTTTACTAGATAGAGATTGAGATAAATATAAATATTTATATATCTATAGCTAATGAAATTTATATACTTTTTGGCCATAATTTTTTTTTCAAAAATGAGGTGACATACATAAGGTTTGCTACTTGTTTTTCAAAGCTAATAATTTGGATGTATTTCATGTACTAGTATGTGGATTTGATTAAATTACACAATGTAAGTTGCTACTAATGTGGCTGACTGACTGTCACAAAATGCTTTCTGCCATTTCAAATACAAAAGTGCTAGACACTCTCAGGTGTGAACCCAAAAGAAACTCAAACAAAGTTGCCCAAGAAAATAGGACAGGGATATTCATAGTGGTACCTAGGGTAATAGTGTAAATCTGGAAATTGATGAATAGAGAAATGGATAAATGCATTTTGGCATATTGATACAAGAGAATGCTAAGTAGCAGGTAAAGTAAATGAACTATACCTACATATACCTACATGAATAAATTTCTAAAACACAAAATTAATTGAAAAAGAAACTTTGAATTGTATGCATAGTACAATATTGCAGACGTAAATTTAAAAAATATATACATTATTATTGATACATCCCTGAGCATGTAAAACTGTGAAATAATAGAATAAAAACCAAAACCAACATCAGCATAATAATTACCTCTAGAGAAGGGAGGGAACTGGAATGATGGAGATAGAAGACTGAAATTAGGGAAAGGCAGAAAATTAATAGTATAAGAGTTTTCTAAAATCTTAGTCTTGCTAAGGAGAAGCCTAAAGCTGCAAGACATGTACGTTAAAAAAGTTAAAGAATGTAAGTAGAATGCATGAATCTCACCAGGGTAAAAGATAAAAGAACAAAAGAGAGGTGGAAAATAGCCAACACTCATAAAATGCTTCTTATTGCTATGCATCAAGCACTATTCTACATATATTTACTCTCTTAATCCTCACAACAATCCTCCAAATGGTATCCCAGTTTTGCAGATGAGGAAACTAAGAGAGAAGCTAAAATAATTGGCTCAAGGTTGTACAATTAGTAATGAACTTGAGAGGCTGAAACAATGGCTTTCTGTCTCCAATGCTTGTTCTCTTTACTATACCACACTATCCCTTTGGGCTTATTCAATAAAACTTGCAAAACAATAGAAATCAGTAAAGGAAAGGAAATAGGGTATGAAAACAAACAGAAACTTTTTAAAACATAAAAAAGTATTAAAAGTGTAAACATAAAAAAGTGGCAAAATAAAGCCAAGTATTTTCAGATCCACAATAAATGTAAACAGAGTAAAGCTACCAAATAGAGAGCATGTCTCTGAGGTTAATTTTGAAAAATACAAGAGCAATCTAAGGTTGTTTAACAAGGGACAAAACTAAAATATAATGGCACATAAAGTAATTTTTTTAAAAAAGATATGTGGGTGTGTATACACAATTCCATGCCATGTTTTGTTACACTGCATTTGAATTTTAGATCTGCCAATGACTAGACATTTGCCTTTGTCCAAGTCATTAAATGTCTTTGAGCCTCATTTGCCTTGTCTTTAAATGGGAGTGATATCAATCACACTATAGGGTTATTATGAAAATTAAATGTGATAATGCATATAAAACACTTACTATGGTGGCTTAACCTGTAGCAATGCTTAATAAACTATGAAGAAAACTAAAATCTCAAAGTTATTCTTTTAAACTATTGTATAATTATATTAAGGACCATGAATAGCAGCTGAGATAGGAAAAAAAGAGTGACTGTACCTCATATACAAAAAAGTCATTTAATCACATTTAACAAGTTTCTTTCTTTTGACTAAATTTAATCAAATATGATTCTCTGTTTAGATACAGGTTAATTCCATAATAGCTAAAAGAATTAAAGAAACTGTTAGAAATCAAATAAAGCCAGGGTCATCCACTAAACTTAATTCAAAGCAAAATTTCTCACAGAAGATCAGCTGCTACCACCACCTATGCATTAATAAATGGCTGCTTTACCTTATATTGTCAATAAAGGTAGGAATTTCAAGGAAGAACTTACTGAAAAATATAAACTAGAGTTGTAAGTATAACATACATCTCAAACTTTTGCTATATGAATGTGAACTTTATATAACAAGACTATAAAACCTTTAAAAGGTTAAATTTCAGATGATAAACCTGTAGATATTTTTATTGGATTTTTTTCAATTTGCTAACCAATTTGACTTGAGGCACACAGAGAAAAGAGCACATTTAAAAGTTTCTTGAAATATGATGTGTTATTAATTATACTATCTCATTTTTTGATTTTCATTGAATTTGAATTCCCCTCATTATTTCAACTTATTAAACTCAGAAGAGTTTTCCACAACTTCAAACTTCTCATTTTTTTTCATAAAACTTTTGTTGTGGCATAGAATAAACATATTTATTACTTCACAGTCAAGAATGTGAGAAGAGAAAAATCAACAAACCCAAAAGTTAGTTCTTTGAAATATTGACAAAAGTTACAAATCTTTAGCTAGTCTGACCAAGAAAAAGAGAGAGAGAGGAGGCTTAAATTACTAAAATCAGAAATAAAAAAGGGGGCTACTGACCATACGGATATAAAAAAGGAATGCTCTGAACAAGTGTACGCCGACAAATTAAATAACAGATGAAATGGACAGATTCCTAGGAATAAATAAATTATCAAAACTAACCCAATTAAAAAATATAAAATCTGAATAGGCCTTTGACAAGCAAAGGGATTGAATCGCAATTTAAAACTCCAGATACAGATGGCTTCATTGGAGAATTCTGCCAAACATTTAAAGAATTTGTACTGGTGTTTCATAAACTCTTCCAAAAAATGAGTGGAGGATATGTTTTTTTTTTTTTTTTTTTTTTTTTTGAGATGGAGTCTCGCTCTGTCGCCCAGGCTGGAGTGCAGTGGCTCCATCTCAGCTCATTGCAAGCTCCGCCTCCCGGGTTCACACTATTCTCCTGCCTCAGCCTCCCAAGTAGCTAGGACTACAGGCACATGCCACCATGCCCGGCTAATTGTTTGTATTTTTAGTAGAGACAGGATTTCACGGTGTTAGCCAGGACGGTCTCGATCTCCTGACCTCATGATCTGCCTGTCTCGGCCTCCCAAAGTGCTGGGATTACAGGTGTGAGCCACCATGCCTGGCCCCAGTGGAGGATATGTTTTCAGGCTCATGCTATGGGACCAGTTTTACATAATTCCAAAACCAGATAAAGGCATTAAAATAAAATAAAACAAAACAACAATATCTCTTATAGACGTAGATACAAAAGTCCTCAACAAAACACTAGTAAACTGAATTCAGCAACATATAAAAGGAATTATAGAAACAACAAATAAGGATTTATCCCTGAAATACAAGGTTGAGGTAACATATAAATAAAATATTAATACAAGATACCATATTAATAAAGAATAAAAACCACATGATCATCTCGTAGATGCCAAAATTTTGACAAAAATCCAACATCTTTATGATTCAACAACAACTTAACAAACTAGAAATAAAAGAGAACTTTCTCAAGTTAACAGAGAATCTACAAAAAATCCACAGCCAACATATACTTAATGTTGAAAGACTCAATGCTTCCCCCTAAATTACAGTACAAGGATGTCCACTCTGTTCACTTCTATTTTGGTCTTGTATATAGAAAATCCTAAATAACCACTAAAAAACCTATGATAACTGACAAACATTAAGTAAGACTGCAAAATAAAAAAATTAGTGTACAAAATGAATTATGTTCTACACACTGTCAATGAAGAATCCAAAAAGGAAATTAAGAAACAACTTCATTGACAATAGCATGGAAAAAACACTTAGGACTAAATTTAACAAAGGAAGTATAAAATTTGTACTCTGACAAACTAAAAAATATTCTTAAAAAATTAAAGATCTAAATAATTGGAAAGATATTGCATGTTAATGAATTAGAATAGTTAATATAGGTAATACTTCCCAAATTGATTTACAGATTTAATGAAATTTGTATTAAAATTCGAGGTGATGTTTTTGAGGAAGTTAAGTTGACTCTAAAATTTAGATAGAAATGCAAGGGAAATAAATTTGAAAAAGCACAGAGTTGGAGGACTTACTCATTTCCAAACATATCACATAGCTAGAGTAATTAGGATAGTGTGGTATTGTCATAAAGACAGACATGTACGTCACTGGAATAAAATTGAGAGTCCAGAAATAAACTCAAACATGTATGGTCAATTGATTTTCAACAAGAATACCAAGCAAATTCAATGGAAAAAATTCATCTTTTGACAAATTGGTGTTTTGCATGTGGGACTCCTGAATATCCACATGCAAAACAATGAAATTGGATTCATATTTCACACCATAAATAAAAATGAACTCAACAGAAATCATGGGCATAAATGTAAGAGTTAAAACTTTAAAACCTTTAGAAGAAAACATGAGTTTATTTTTAGACATTCTGACTTAGCTAAGGTGGGGCAGAGGGGAGTGGAGAGTACATATGAAGTTCAAAGTCTAGAAGCACAGACTCACTAAAAGACAGAGATGCAATCATGAGACTATAGAACACTTCTTCCCCCATCCCCATCTTACACATTGCTAAAGGCATATCTACAGCAGTTTCTCTTAACCAGTCCATCATGTCTGCCTATCAGGAAAGAACTACAAGACATAATAAAAGGCACAAAAAAGCCCCAAACAAACAAACAAAAAACCTCCTATAGCCTGAAGAGAGAGGAAACAAGAAGTAACCAGATTCAGATATAGTGTGGATGTTGAAATGATCAGTCTGAAATTTTTTAAAACCATGATTAATACAGTAAAGTCTCTAATGGATAAAGTAGATAGCATGAAAGAAAAGATGAGCAATGAAAGCATAGAGAGCAAAATTCTAAGAAAGAATTAAAAAAGAAATGTTACAGATAAAAAACATGGTAAGAAAAATGAAGAATACCTTTGATAGCTCATTAGTAGACTGGACATGGCTGAAAAAAGAATCTCTGAGCTTCAGATTATGTCAATAAAACTTTCAAAACAAAAAAGCAAAGAGAAAAAAAGAAATAAAAAAATCACATCAGCATATTCAAGAACTGTGGGGCAATTGTATAAAATGTAACATATGCATAATGAAAATACCAGGAAGAGAGGAAAGAGAGAAAAGAGAAGTAATATTTCAAGAAATTTTGACTGAGAATTTCCCCTAAGTTACTGTCAGACACGAAGCCACAGATCCAAGAAGCTCAGAGAACATTAAGTAGGAAAATGTCAGTAGAACTATACCTAGGCATACTATGTGCAAACTGAAGAAAATTGAAGATGAAGAAACTTTGAAAGAAACCAGAGGGGGGGAAGCAGAACAAACAAAACAAAAAAAAAAACTTTACCATTAGGGAGGAAACATAAGAATTACATTTGACTTCTCCTCAGAAATGATGCAAGCAAGAAGAGAGTAGGGTGAAATAGTTAAAGCACTGAGGGGGAAAAAAAAAACACAAAAACACCAACTTAGATTCCTGTACCATATGAAAATATCAAATCTCCTTTAAAACTGAAGGAGAAAAAAAGACTTTCTTAGACCAATTAAAATTGAGGAAATTTGTTGCCAGTAGACCTCTCTTTCAGCAAATGTTAAAAGAAGTTCTTCAGAGAGATAGAAAATGATGTAGGTCAGAAACTTGGATCTGTATAAAGAAAAAATGAGCATTAGAAAATAAACAAGTGAAGGTGAAATCAAAACTTTTGTTTTTCTTAATCTTAATTGATCTAACAGATAGCTGTTCAAAATAATAGCAACAATGTATTAAATTACACATGTGTGTATGCATATGTATATATGAAGTAAATGATGGCAATAATACAAGGAATATTAGGGAAGAATTAGGAGTATTTTGATATTACAAGGTATTTGAACTACCCATGAAGCAATATAGTATAATTTAAACATGGACTTGGAATAGCTATAAATATATATATTCCAAACTCCATAGCAACCACTAAAAAAAGTAAGAAGTATGACAGATATACTAAGAAGGGAGAGAAAGTTGAATTATATAAAATGCTCAGTTAAAACCATAAAGGCAGAAACAGGGTGGAAGACAACAGTAGGAACAAAGAACAAGAATAATACATAGAAAACAAGAAAAAATGGTAGATATTAATCCAGTTACATCAATAATTACTTTAAATGTTAATGGTTTAAATATGCTTATTAAAAGAGTTTGCCAAAGTGATCAAAGCCAAAATACGTACTGTCTACAAGAAACTCTCTTTAAATATAAACATGTATAAAGACTAAATTAAATGGATAGAGAAAGATATACCATGCTAACACTAATCAAGAGAGATGAAGTAGCTATATTATTTTCAGACAGAGCAAACTTCAGAGCAACAAAAACTATCAGGGATAAAAGAGGGGCTTAGAACAATAAAGGAGTTGATTAGTCAAGAATATATCACAATCCTTAATATTTATGTGCCTAACAACAAAGCATCAAAATACACAAGATGAGAACTGACAGAACTGTGAGGAAATATAGATAAATCTACTATTATAATTAGAGATCTCAATATCATCATTATCATTTCACTTCAGAAGCAAGACCAAATTTCAAGTTTAATTTTGACTCCTCAGATATTCTCATGATGTAACATTATGCAGACATGATTTTTATATATAAAAATCACTATTTTATTTTTTAGAAGTAAAATGTGCAGTGAAATGCACAGATACTAAGTGTATAATATTATGAGTTTTGGTAAATGTATGTATCAATATAAAATATTTCCATCACCATAGAAAGTTTCCTTATGCTAATATCAAGTCAATCCCTCACTCCCCACCTGTTCTGATTTCTATCACTATAGATTATTTTGGCCTGTTCTTAAATTTCTTATGATTAAATTAATATAGGATATAATAATCTGTGTCTAGTTTCCTTTGTGAACAAACATATTTATGAGTGTCTTAGTTAGCTAAAGGTGACAAAATAAAATACTGTAGATTGCCATAGATTGGGTGGCTTAAATGGAGAAACTTATTTTCTCACAGTTCTGGAGGCTGGAAGTTTCAAAATCAAGGTGCCAAAATGGTCAGTTTTTAATGAGGACTCTCTCCTTGGGTTATTGATGGCTGCCTTCTAACTGTGTCCTCACATCCTTTTATCTGTGTCCTCACTCCTTTTATCTCTATGTGTGCATGAAGAGAATTTCTCTCTGTTGCTCTTCTTTTAAAGGCTAACAACTCTATCAGATTAGGACCCCACTCTTATAACCTTATTTAACCTTAATTACCTCCTAAAAGCCCTGTCTCCAAATACAATCCCATTGGGGTTAGGGCATCAACATGAATTGTGGGAGGACAAAATTTAGTCAATAGCAATAGGATTCATCCATATTGTTACACGTATCAGTATGTAATTGATTTTTATTGTTAAACAGTATTCTATTGTATGAATATACAACAATTTGTTTACATATTCTCCTGATGATTGACATTTGTATTGTGTTCTGTTTGGGTTATTTTGAATAAAATTGTTTTCTTATGCAAATATTTTTGTGAACATATATTTTATCACCTTTTGGGAAAATATCTAGGAATGACTATGTCATAGAGCAAGTAGATATTAAACTTTATGAGACACTGCTAAACACATCATACAAAGTGATTGTAAAATTTTGCATTCCCATTAGCAATGTTTGAGAATTCCAGCTGCTCCACGTACTTAGCAACATTTAGTGTTGAGAATCTTTCATTTTACCAATTCTAGCTGGTAGGAAGTGGCATCTCAATGTTGTTTTAATTTTTATTTCCCTGATGGTTAATTATGTTAAACATTCTTCAAGTGCTTATTTCCCATTTGTTTATCTCTTTTGAGAAGTGCCTATTACATTTCCTTGCCTATTTTAATTAGGTTGTCTTTTTAAAAAACTGATTTGCAGGAGTTCTGTATATATTTTAGATACACATTTGTCAGATTTTAATATGTTGTATATATTTTATCTAAATCAGTGAGTGGAATGCATTTACAATTTTTCTTTTTATTTTTTGAGAAGCAATCTGTCATTTAATGAAGTTTAATTTATCCATTTTTTCTTTCATCTTTAGTGATTTTTGTTATTTCTAAACAATTTTTGCCAGGCCAATGTTTTGAATATATTATACATTTTCTCTGGAAGTTTCATAGTCTCTGCTTTTATGTTTGGGCTATAATTCATCTCAAAGTAATGTTTGTTGTGGCGTAGAGGGTCAAAGTTCATTCTCTTTCTTTACATTTATTCAATTGTTCCAGCACCAATGGTTGAAAATATTTTCCTTTCTGTATCAAATTGCCTTGGTGGCTTTGTTAAAAACTAATTGACCACATATGTGTGGATCTATTTCTGGACTGTAATCCATTCCACTAATCTGTTATTCTAGCCTTATGTCAATACCACATTGTCTTGATTATTATAGCCTTAGGGTAAGTCTTGCAATCAGATCCTATAATTCCACTGATGACATTGTTCTTTCTTCAGATGATTTTGGCCATTCAAGGTCATTATTTCCATATAAACTTTAGAATTTGAATGTCAACTTTCTAAGCCTATTAGAAATTCATTTGAGACTGTACTGTGTCATAGAGATTTAACAATATTTTTAAGTGTATATACTTATGTGTATAAGGGGTATTCATCTGTAATTTTCTTTTTTCTTTTTAATGTCTTTGCCAGGTTTTGGTATCAGCTATGGTGGTTTTCAAACAATCCGAGAAGTGTTCCCTCTGTTCTATTTTCTGAAAGAATTTGTTACATTTGGCATTATTTCTTCTCTAAATATGTGATTGAATTTACCAATGAAATCATGTGAACTGGAAGTCTTCTTTTTGGGAAGCATTTTGCTTACAAATTTAACTTCTTTAACCTACATGGGACTATTTAGACATACTTTTCTTCTTGTTTTACATCTGCTGTGATGTGTTTTGTCAGAATATTTTTCCTTATATCTAAGTTGGCAAATTTGCTGGCATACATTTGTTTGTAATAGTCTTTTGTTATCCTTTGTGTCTGTAAGATCTGTAGTAAAATCAGTTCCCGTCTTTCATTTCCAATACTGGTAATTTGTGGTTCTCTACTTTTTTCTTTGCCAGTACTACTAAGAATTATTCAGTGTTGGCATTGCTAATATTCTGTATGTTCACATATTTTGATTTCATTGATTCATTTCATCTGTATTTTTCATTTTTTCTACTTATTTGGATACAATTTGAATTTATTTTCTAGCTTTTTAAGATAGGAACTTATATCAATAATTTTAAAACTTTCTTGTTTAAAGCTCTGGGTTTCTCATTAACCACTGTTTTGGCTATATCTCCAGAGATTTTATGTGTTGTATTTTTATCATTTAGTTTGAATTATTTTCTAAGTTTTCTTTTTATTTTTCTTTGACCCATTTGTTATTAAAACTGTCTGATTTCCAAATATTTTGAAATTTTCTTAAATGTCCATGATGGATTTCTAATTTAATCATGTTGTTATAAAAGTACAGAAAGTTGACCCTGTATATGGACTATTTCTATAAACATTTCATCTGCACTTGAAAATAATTTGTATTCTGTAGCTGTTTGGCATATTGTACTATAAATTTCAATCTACTGTAAATGTTGATACTGTTATTCCAATCTTCTATATCTCTACTGATTTTTCTCTACTTTTCTATGAATTATTTAGAGAAATATGTTTAAATATCCATCTATGATATCCCATTTGTCTCTTTTTTTTTAGTTTTGTCAGTTTTTACTTTATGTATTTTGAAACTGTTTTAAATGCATATACATTTAGAATTGTTTTGTCTTCCTATTGAATATACTTTTTATCATTAAGCTATAACTCTCTTTTGCCTACTTTTTGCATATAATTCTTTTGCTAACTTTATACTTTGAACCTCTCTGGCCTTCAGAGTGTGAATCTTATAGTGAGCTTACAAGTTTTGCTCGTTTATCCAGTCTGACAACCTCTGCCTTTTAATTGGTGTGTGTAATTCATTTATACTTAATGTAATTATTAATGTGTTCAGGTTTAAGTTTACCATTCTGCTATTTTCTATTTGCCCCAACTGCTTTGTGTGCATTAGTTCCTCCTTAGTCAAATATATTTTAGTATTCTATGTGATGTTTTATATTAGCTTTTTAGGGAAAACTCTTTGTACTTTTTTTAACATTTTTAAGTGACTGCTCTTGGAATTAAAGAAATGCATTCCCAATTTATTATGTTCTACTTACAAAAAATATTATATCACCTCTTATAATAATGTAGAAGCTTTAGCACTGTAATTTCATTTACTATCATTCTTTGTGCTGTTTTATCACATAATTTTAATGCTGTGTTTATTATAAACTCTATACTACATTGTTTGTATTTTTGCTTTAAGCAGTCAATTGTCTTTGAAAATTAATGAAAAGTAAGATAGTCTTACATATTCACCATTTCAGCTAATCTTCATTCTTTTCTATAGATCTGATTTTCCCTCTGGTATCATTTCCTTCTAGCCTGAGGGATGCTTTAACAGTTCTTATAATGCAGGTCTGCTGATAACATGTTCTCTCAGCTTTTGCTTAACTATCTTTATTTTGCCATCATTTTGAACAATATTTTTACTGGATGTAAAATTTTGGAAGGCATTTTTTTGAGCACTTCAAAGCTATTATCCCATTGTGTTTTGGCCGTAGTTATTCCTGATAAAGTATCAGCTGATATTTCATCATTGTTCCACCACTGTACTATCTTTTTTTTCTCTGAATGCTATTGAGTTTTTCTATCTATAACTGAATTTTAGCAGTTTGACTATAATATGTATATTAGTCTGTTTTCATGCTGCTAATAAAGACACACCTGTGACTAGGTAATTTATAAAAAGAAAAAAAGAAGTTTAATGACTCACAGTGTCACCTGGCTTGGGAGGCCTCACAATCATGGAGGAAGGCAAAATACATGTCTTACATGGTGGCACACAAGACAGAATGAGAGCCAAGTGAAAGGGGAAACCCCTTATAAAATAATCAGCTCTCATGAGACTTATTCACTACCACGGGAACAGTATGGGGAAAACCGCCCCCAGGATTCAATTATCTCCCACTGGGTCCCTCCCACAACAGATGGGAATTATGGGAGCTACAATTCAAGTTGAGATTTGGTTGGGGACACAGCCAAACCATATCAATATGGCTAGGTGTATTTTTCTGATCCTGTTTTATCCAGAACTTCTTATGGATTCATGCTCGTAACCAAATTTGGGGATAAAATGGACATTATTTCTTAAAATGTTTTTTTCCATTATTTTTCTTTCATTATCTGCATAATTCTGATAAAATTTCTTATTATTTTGTATGTTGCACTGACCAATGAAGCTTGTTTTATTTTTTCTTTAATCTTTGCTTTTCAATTTGAATTATTTCTGTTGACGTATCTTCAAATTTGCTGATTTTTTTTCCGAATTATTTGATAAGCTATCAATCTTACAAAATGGTTTTTAAAATTTTGGATACTAAACTTTTCAATTCTAGACTCTTCTTTGGTTCTGTTTCTAGTTTCAATTTCTCTGCTGAGATTTTCCATCTATTTACTCCTTATGTTCTTTTCCATTAAATGCATACAATATGTACAATAATTCCTTTTTACAAGTCTTTGTTAGCTAATTACAACAGTTGCATATATTGAGGTCTGTTTCTATTGTTTACTTTCTGTTGATTCTTTTTAAGGATGCTGGCTTATGTGGTCTTCTCTAAAGGATGTTGAGTTTTGAGTTTTGTTCTGTCAGGAATTAAATTATGGACAGATCAACTTCACCTTTGTACTCATGGGTTTAGTTGGGTCTATTTAAACGCTTTCCTCATTCTTAGGCATGGCTGTCAATTCAGTGTGTGTCCCTAATATTTGACTTTTCCAAGGTTTCCTTTGAGTGACCAAGAAATTCAGGGAGATTTATTCTTTCTTGCTGGGTAAAAGCTCTACGATGTGTCCCAGCTCAGTTTGGTTTCTGTTTCTCTATTCACTTCTCAGACACAATAAGCATTCTCTCAGGTCTTGAGTGGTCCTGCTCTTGTAAGAGCATCCCAGTATTGAGCTACGAACCCAAGAGGAGCACCCCTGTAGACTATGTCCATACCCTCTTCTCAGCTTTCTTCTTTTGGTGTTCAACAAACACCAGTCACCTCAGCAATCCCAAATGCCAGTCTCTTGCTCCTTAGGTCTGTGGGATCACCACTCTTCATTCTACACCTGAGTTCCACTTTCAAACAAGTTGGCCAGGGGAGTGTCACCATGAGGAAAGCCGGGGTGAAACACAGAGCTCACCTTGTTTATTTCCCTACTCTCAAGAACCAAACACCTGTGCTGCCTTTTGTTCAGAGTCTAAAGAGTCAAGTTCAGATATTTTGTCCAGTTTTATAACTGTTCAATGTGGAGGGTTACAGCCAGTTATTACCAGTTATTCTGTTATGACTGGAAACAGAGCCCCTATATTAAATTCAAAAACTTTATCAGAAGAAAACTACATATATACTCATGTAAATATAAAATATTAATATGAATTTGGATTTTAATGTTTACGTGTTGCATAGTTAGTGTTTAATTGCAGGTTTTGGAATCTGACTCCTGAGTACCAACTATGTAATCTGGGTAAATTTTGTTTATCAAGAATCTGTGTCCTTTTCTGTGGTGAGAATAATATTGCCTGATCCACTGTATGTTTGTGATTGTTAAGTAATATACAGAAATCATTTAGCACAGTACATTGTATATTGTAAATGTACATAAATGTTAATGTTATTCTACACGCACTATATGCAAAAGCATCTAGAAAGCACATCACTAAAACATCAACAGTAATTATTCCAAGGTAATATTTATTTATTCATTTTGACTTCTGTATTTCTGTGCTTTCTACATTAAATATCTTTTCATAATCAAAATTAATATTATTTAAAAGGAAATTTGAATCTCAGATGATTTCACATTAAAAGGCCCTGAAATTAGCCTATATTGAATTACAAATGCCAATAGTTTTTTCAGAAAGCATCATTCTTTGTTCAAATGTCTAAACTTTTTTGCTTATTAGGAAGGTATTAAACCATGAAAGCATATTAATAATATGCATATTTGAATATCGAAGTGGCAGAAAGAACTAAGAATATTAAGATCCTGAAACAATTTTAAGATCAGTAATGACCATATATGGCTTTTCTCACTTGGTTTTCTTTGTTTATGGAAAAATTACTTAAACTGCTGCTTACTAGAGAAAGCAATAATACAACTTGGAAAATAAAGAATAAGTTTTTAAATATGTATAGTATGATGGTATTACTCTTTATGATTAGAGAGTATGTTTTAAACAAAATGGCATTTTCTAAAGGAACAATCAGGTTTGCTACTTGGCAGAAAAAGAAATAGCTCCATGAGCAAATAATCTAAACCTTATTGTAAAAGAAATGCTTTTGTGATTTTGGTGGGTTTTTAAAAAACGTATGTTCTTGGATAAGCAGAGACTGATTATAAAAATAAATAAATAAAATGTATGTTTTCAAGACTTTCTATCTCTCAGTTGAAAGCTTTATGTTGGAAAATAACTCCACTCACATTCTCAATTTTCCTTATCAAAATAGAGTTGCACAGAACTTGCTTGGCCCTTTTGTGTTTAGACTATATATATGAATAAAGATATCTTTCCTATCTTAAACTACTTTCTATAAAAGATGCCCTTAACTCAGCCACCAAGATGTAGAACTCAGATGGTATCAAAATATTACCAATGCTAACTGTGAAAGTTTCAGATCATAAATGCGAAAAAGTCCGTAAAGAAAAGATAAGCAAATCAGATGTAACCTGGGAGAAAAAAAGAAAAGAAAGGAAAAGTTTTGTCCCTTTTCCCTGACATCTCTTGATATATTTCTTATATTATTAGATGTGGATTCTCTGTATTGTGAGAAGATAAGAGAATGCATTGTAATACAAAGGTAGTGTATAGCCTGTATAAGCTTTGGAAAATGTTTATTTCTTTGAGGCAGGCTTGGAATTCTGCACATTCCATTCCCACTGTAAGTTGGAATTCATGGGGGCCAATCAAGTTGTACGTTTCTACAAGCCCAATACCATCTTTTCCATGCTACAGGAAAACCCCAGAGTGTCTATGACTATAAATCAGGGAGACAAGTAACCTTGTATTAGGTTGGTGCAAAAGTAATTGCCATTAAAAGTAGTGGCAAAACTGCAATTTCTTTTGCACCCACCTAATAACAAAAACAAATGCATATACATATAATAGAAAACCAGATATATCATTTTACCTTTTGATACTTTTTAAATAAAAAGCTTGAATATTTCAAATTGTTTAAAATAATTGGTTCAGTCAAACTACATGAAAAATTTGAACATGATAATGTTCTTTTATAATGAGTGTACTGTCTTTAAATAAGTGAATAGGCCAAGATTCATTCTAACACATTAGGGAAAATTCAAGTTCTATGCCATGATCTTTTCAGAAAGTTGTCTGTGATCTTTAAAAGAAGGGAAGAAATTAGAAGTAAGACTTAACTATCAAGAAGATGGTACTTGTTGAAATAATTTCTAACTATGTGGAGCATTTCTAACTGAGATATTTAGGATAAGACTAAGCATTTAAACCCCTAAGGCCAAACTTCTATGGTCTTACTTTATAACATGCACGAAACTTACATGCTAAAGACAGGAGAGGCGTTGGTATTAAAATGATATGAATTATAGTAACAAGTCTTTTCTCTATCTCTAATTCTTCTTTTTTTTTTCTTTCTGAGACAAAATCTCACTCTATTGCCCAGGCTGGAGTGCAGCGGTGCCATCATAGCTCACCACAGCCTCAACCTCCTGGGCTCAAGTGATCCTCTCCCCTCAGCTTCCCAAGTAGCTGGGACTACAGACGTACACCACCACACCTAAGTAATTTTTTTTAAATTTTTAATAAATATGAAGTCTCTCTATGCTGCCCAGGCTGGTCTTGAACTCCTGAACTCAAGCAATCATCCCACCTATGCCTCCTAAAGTGTTAGGATTACAGGTGTGAGCCAGCATGCCTGGAACTAGCTCTAATTCTTTATCAGATATACTGAGTACCTTCCATGCATGATTTTACTTCATCCTCACGAAACCCTAAGATATGAGTATTGTTATTAATTCCATTTTTCTGATAATGGACTGATACTTGAAGGAAAAAAGTTACTTTCCCTAAATCATATAATTAGGGTCGGTGGCGAAGCTTCAAACAAGGGCTATCTGAACACAAAGGTCACGCTATTATTACTTCTAATATTATGCTATTTTCTCTTCCATATAATTAATTTCCTGCAATAAATTTAAACTTTGTTTTACCATATTAATAATACTCTATTTTAAATTCTTTCTTTCTTTTTTTTTTGTTTGAGACGCAGTCTCGCTCTGTCGCCCAGGCTGGAGTGCAGTGGCGTGATCTTGGCTCACTGCAACCTCCGCCTCCTGGGTTCAAGCAATTCTCCTGCTTCAGCTTCCCGAGTAGCTGGGATTACAGGCATGCACCACCACGCCTGGCTAATTTTTTTGCGTTTATGGTGGAGACAGGGTTTCACCATACTAGCCAGGCTCGTCTCAAACTCTGACCTTGTGATCTGCCTGCCTTGGCCTCCCAAAGTGCTGGGATTACTGGAGTGAGCCACCGCACCTGGCCTCTATTTTAAACTCTTTAAATACAGAGTCCTCTCAAAATGTCTGTAATCAAAAAGTAACTATGACAGCATATGAGAGCACTTAAGAAGTGAAAAAGCGCTAGTCCAACAAATCCTCTTTTGACAATTCTTGAAAAAGTTTTAAAGAAATTAAAACTATATATGAAATTTTTTCTGTCATTAAGTGCCAGAGATAAAAAATAAATACATAAAATTGTATATGAAATTTTAAGTTCATACTAGATATAAGAAATACATCATTTATTAAAATAAGACCTTCAACTGTCTTTTGCAGACATAAACCAAAAAATTGAAAAGTAAAATAAAATCACTAGATTTTGATTTACCTTAATTAGAACACTTATATTTTTTCCATTTTGTTCTTTAGTGCTCCTCTATTTAATAGTTTCAGAGCAATTTAAAAAAATATTTAATATTGTTATGATTATTTTCTCTCTGAAATTGTTGAACATAAGACATTTTTAAAAGAAAAATCATAAGATTTTCATTTCAAAAATAATTCACACATAGGACTAGTTTACCATTTGGGATTTTGAAAATGTGTTTATAATATTCTTTTTAAAAATACTTGAATAAAACCTCATAAAAGCTGCCATTTTTTCAGATGTTGAAAATAATTGACAAGTTTTGTGCCCACTCTTCCGTTAACATGTATTTAGTATTAAACTTCAATAATTTTTTTTTTTTTTAGACGGAGTTTCACTCTGTTGCCCAGGGTGGAGTGCAATGGCATAATCTCGGCTCACTGCAACCTCTGCCTCCCAGGTTCTAGTGATTCTCCTGCCTCAGTGTCCCGAGTAGCTGGGATTACGGGCATGTGCCACCATGCCTGGCTAATTTTTTGTATTTTTAGTAGAGATGGGATTTTTGCCATGTTGGCCAGGCTGGTCTCGAACTCCTGACCTCAGGTGATCCACCTGCCTCGGCCTCCCAAAGTGCTGGGATTACAGGCGTGAGCCACCGTGCTTGGCCAACTACAATAATTTTAAGGTTTCTATTTAGAGATATTTTAATAAGTTGTTGGGAATATTGTGATATATGAAAATTTAAATGGATTCCTATAGTTATACATTTGATTTTTAATAAGTTCATCAAGAGTTTTAATGCTTCTTTAATATCTGTTGGTTTTGATGTTAAAATGCAACCAAGTGCTGAATTAATTACACTTCTTTGCACATTTTCAACCACGAATAAAACTACAATAAAGTTATGATTTTGCACTGCTTTCAAATGACTTTTAAATAGAGTACAAAATTTAAACTCAGTCAAGTTAGATGAAAATTACTACTATGGCTAAACAAATGATCTTGAAATATAGCATCACCATTTTATAAAGCATTTGAAGTGGGCAAGTTTATTTCAAAAGCAACAATACCTTAATAATATGTAACACTGCTTTTCAATTTAGTTTAGGTTTGTTTACACAGTGAATTAATGTGAAACCATCAAATTGTGCTGCTTCAAACATTTTCATATTTATAAATATAATTCAAGAAATTTTTAAGAACAGATTTTCAACACTTTTATAATTTTATTTACATAAGCATGTAAACATATAGTACAAATTTCTAATTTCTCTATATCTCCTTGTCTTTCCACCTTATTCCTACCCTAAGCCCAACTTTTGCTACTAGAGATACATATGTAGGCAGAAAACATTTTTCTTTTCCTCCTAGGAATTATACATTTACACAGAGGAAAATGAAAGACAGTAGAATAATTTTCTATACATCCTTAACCAAATCATCTATCCTTGCTTTAATATCCAAGTTAAAAATGAAAAATTTAGTGCTTTGTGTTGGTATAGCCAACATTTTGGCTTGCAAAAACATATAGCTTTACCTCTTATCTTTTCAAGCCTTTAATTTTATTGTGTTGTGGGAAACATACATTTTTGCTGTTTTTAGGCAACTTCCCAAAGCTAAAGAAAGCTTTTTTTTTCCTTTGTCTGTAGCATACAAAATGTATCTGGGTTCAAGGATATAAATTTATCTAGAAGAAAAGTTTTGTATAGAAATTCTATTGTCTTTTGTCAAATATTCCTGTTAGCCATGACAAAAAGAAAAAAAAAAAGCACTTTAGAGAAATATCTCATTTTTTTTTTATCCTCTCAACATCCCTGTTGAGTAGGAAGGTCATATGTAGTCACCAGCACTTTACAATTAATTACGTGTACCTGAGGGGACAATATTAGCAAGAGGTAGCATGAGGTCTAGACCTGGGTCATTAGAGTATAAGCTGGTGCTTTGGCCATATACCACTAACACCACCACATATGCCAATCACACTGTGTCTCATGCCTTTACAAGGTACTCAGTGAAAAGCTATAACATAAACAAGAAAAAATATATTATTCTATGTTATTGGTATGTGTCAAAAAACGTGGAACTTATTCAAAGTGATAAATAGGTTTTAAACAACTCTTTTCACAAATATATTGGAAATGGCTGTGTCTTATAAAGAAATTTTCCAATAGGTGTATAATTGAGATAAAAGGCATTTGTCAATAATTTGTTTATGGGTTTAGATTTCATTTTCAAACTATTGACGTTTATTCTACTATGTTGATTTATTTTTACCACTGGAAATTTTTTACAAGAAAATAAAGCAATATTTCTTACTAAACACCATAAAAGTAAATCACATAGGATGATGTATATATTTTGGTGGCATGCAGATTTGTATTTATTTAAAGGATAATCTCTACGATTTGCAAATGTTTTGATATTTTGCTGAAAAAAACAAAAGTGAAGAATGAAGGGTATGAAAAACAAAACAATTCTAAACACAAAACAAGTAAATCTAGAAGGTAATAAAAGGGACTGAGATACATTTAGCAAAAGCAAAGAAAGAATCCTAAATAAAGCTTTTTAACATGATAATATGATGAAAATGAATCATAAAGAAACCATTTTCTCAAGTCTATGCTAGAATTACTTTATAATTTATGTGATTTTTTCTACTCTAAGCAGTTCATTTTTCAAGTGCTCCTATAAAATATATCAGGAAGGAGGACATAAGAAAGTGATACAAACTGCATTAGCCAAAGCAAGACTTGATCTCTTTAAAAAAAAAAAGAAAATAAAAAGAAAGTCCTTAGATTTCTTATGAATAATCTTTTTTATGAAGAACATTCATTTTAAGGTGATAACTTTTCTGTTATCCTGATTACTTCCAATGAGCAATATTCTAAAGATCAAAAGAAACAAAGAGATAAAAAGAGTTTCTATGTATAGTCCCTTGTGTTTTAGATTATTTTACATACTTTATTAAAATATAGGTACATGGATAGGTAGGTAGATTTTTCTTTAAACATTTAGTGCTCCCTCTCTCTCCTTTTTAAAGAAATTTTACATCATTCAGTGACAGCATTCATTTCTCATTAGGCAAAATGCTTGTTCTTATTTTGCCAATGTGGGCACATTCTTCTTTAAGAAGCCTCCAATTTAAAAAACAGAACAAAGAGTGAATATTTACTTTATAAAAGTTGATCAGAATATAAGAAAGAAAGTGTCAAATGATCACCTTAATGTATTAACTCCTTCTAGTAAATTGTTTTTATTTTACAAAATTTGGTAACATATTGAGGTAATAGAAACTCAATGACTATATTCAGCAAAGAATCCCAGTATAATTACACTTGTTCTTGATTATTCATTTTAAAACAGATAAAATGTACTTGCAATCACCTTGTCGCAATGTAATTTTACTTTTGATTTTGGATTTTATATAATTATAGGCTAAGACCAAAAAGTATAAAACATAATTAATATTGTTTTCCTTTTTAGCATCTTTGGAATTTGATTTTTATATACTTGCCTCATCATCAATTCTGAGAAAGCATAATACATTTTTTATAAACTTTTACAAATTGTATGGGATAGTAATACCCATATTAGAATGTATAAGAAAAGTAGTTATATCTTTCAAATAATACTGATATTTTTAAATGAATATCAATCATAAAGAGAATAATCAAAAACGTGACTGAAACTCGCCTTTCAACAAGAATAAGATTAAAATGCATCTAATGTAAGAAAAATGGGCACATGTTTCCAAGGTGAAATATCTTTTAAACTAACGAAGTTCCTCAAATGTTCTCTGATAATTAATGTAGTAAAATATACAGGGATTTTTATAGATCTTTTCTTTTTCTTCTTTTTTTTTTTTTTTTTTTTTTTTTGAGATAGGGTCTCCCTCTGTCACCCAGGCTGGACTACAGTGGCATGACCACAGCTCACTGCAGACTCGACCTTCCAGACTCAGTCCAGTAGCTGGGACTATAGGTGCATGCAACCACACTTGACTAATATAAGTATTTTTTGTAGAGACGAGGTTTCGTCATGTTTCCCAGGCTGGTCTCAAATTCCTGGGCTCAAGCAATCCACCCACCTCAGCCTCCCAAAGTGCTGGTATTACAGGCTTAAGCCACTATGCCCAGCAATAAATCTCTCATTCTACCATTGTAACTTGTCATTCCATTTTTGAAAATCATTTATTTTATTAATTTTAAAAAATATGTGAAGATTTTCTATAACCTTTTTTTCATAGTGGTCATTAATTGCCAGAACGATTACTAAAATATTTGTACTAAAATATTTGAAAATATCTTATATTTGAGCATGAGATGACTTGGCAGATACTTTACTCAGTATCTTCTATAATTACAGCACCAATTTCAGAGGTGCTTAAAATGATTATATCTTAAAAATTCACAAGTTTGGCTGTTTTATTATCTGACAAGTGTTAATTCCATATTAAGTTACTTTTGCAATGTGAATTTATAAGGAGCATTTAAAGCAATCTTACAGAAAATATTTGATCTACTTAAAAATTACAGGTGTTGTACTATAATATTTTCATATGCCTAAAACATTTAGAAAAGAAATCCACAAATATATAATTAAACAACTGTGAATAATTAAATATTAATCAGTATATATTAACAATGCTAGTTTCCTTAATAAACAAAACAAGAGTCAATAGTTATTACTAACTTCTACTAGTTCAACTAAAAGGATTTTTTCCCTTCAAATCAACCAATTTTATTGAAGAATAATCCTTTTTTATATTAATGTCAACTAACAATTATACCTTTCACTTATTTATCACTTCACAAGGTTTACAGAGTGCTTTCCATGCATAATAAATATTTTTCAGCCAGTTATATCTTGGTATAGATAACAAAGACAAGTTAAACATTTACAAACACATAAGCTATAGCACACACATCTACAAAATGTAGATTCAAAAAGATTTTAAATACCAGATGTCTCTATTGCATCTTACAATGATTCTATATAAACTCTATAAAATTAGATTTCACATAAATTTCCAAGAACTTAGCATTTATATTTTTCTGAAATAGACACAATCACATACATTTTGCTGGAATCCATTTCAAAAACAAGAAATTGAATATGGCATTATTTTAAGATAAAGTCCAGTGGACTTGTAACATTCCAAGCTATAAGAGGATAATCTCATGACCTAGAGACCAACATTATTACACTGCTTGCCACCTGTGCTGAGATATGTGGAATTACATGAAGAAAGTCCAAACCTTCAACTATCTCTTATTATTAAACTTGCTCAGACCACAGGCTAAAATGTCTAAAAAAAGAATTAATGAGGACTAGTTATTAATTGCTCATCATTAGATAGTCTCCAAGACTCAATCCTCGGTCTTCAGCTTGGGAGACTAGAACCTTCAGTCAGGGCAGCTGAGATCTAGGGAGTACCAGCATGGAGTGGACAACTGCATCTCCTGAAAGAAACCCTGGATCTCAGTTGCCCCTTCCCTGTTACTGTCCAAAGCAGAGGAACCATTTACAGGTATAGTTATGGAGCACAATCGCAAAACAGCCCATACCTACGTGAGCAAACCTACAATGACCACACCCCACCTGCTGAGCTTACATCTATTTGCTTTTCAGGACTAGCCAGAGTAATCGGCTTCTCTAGGAAACATTCCTGGGTCACTGTCCCTTACCTCTGCTTTAGGTGTTACCCCTATACACAACTGTGTGCTTCATCCAATTAGCGCAGTTAGCACAGGTAGTGACGTATTGTATCTTGAACATTACAATGTAAAATTCCTTCAAACACAGATCACAATGATTTTATTTTTATGTTCCCAGACCCCAGCCAAGTGCTTAGCATAGAGTAAGTGCTCAGTAAATGTTTGTTGAATGAAGCTACCACTGCCACATAGGGCACGTCTGCCATGTTAATGATTTGGAGGTGAGGAAAAGACCCAATTGGAAGGGACCAACAGCATGTAATGAAAACGCCATGATACAATCTCCTTAATGTTAGCATGAATGCAGTTTTTACAGCATCAGAAAACATCTTTCAAACCTGTCACCATTGACCAAATAACACCTTTGTAGGCCTATGCAAAAATGATAAGCAATATATCATTTTTTATAATGATAGTATTTTACTGCCATAAACACTTAAAACCAAGGAATCTCATTTTTAACAAAAACTTCAGAAAATGGCCTATATTTTTCTGAGATTCCATATTCTATATGTAAAACGTGTTTAAGGCTTTCAAATAATTATATTATTTATTCTCTTTCTAAATAAAATACAACAGCATATTGTTATAAAGTATTTGAAAATCATACTCTTTATTTGTAGCAGAATAATTGATACCACTGACTTCAAAACTCATTGTTTTATATGTGGATCACTCTGAAATAACATTTCATTTTCTTTCTTCAGAAAAATGATGTTCCAAAGAGAAGTTCAGTTTAAAAATTTATATGAAGAGATTTCTGATGAAGCAAAAACATACATATACTACATTAAAAAATATAAAAAGATATCCTACATATACAAGATTAATAAGGTTTCATGAAAGTAACAGGCCTGAAGAAACTTTGAAATCTCTGCAAACTTTCCCGTCATTTACGGAAAACATAAAACCTGAATTTACTATCTGCCCCTTTCAACTTTATTCTATTTTTCTAAAGCATCCTCAAAATAAAAGGTAGACATTTTGGAGTGAGGGCTGAAATATGTACTTTGGGTATATTTTATAGACAATAGATGTAAACAAGGCAATTATTATCAGAGAATAAAGCAGACAGACTTGAATTTTGATCACAGTTGCACACAGAATAACGCTTCATTACGTAGTCAGAAGGTAAAGTGCAGCATACACAAAGCACAAAATACAGTCTAATAAATATTCATATGCTTAGGGTATTTCAATTTAGTTCTTACATGCAACTTTATGTGAGTCTAATGTAAATAAAATATGTACTAAATGGTTTCTTTTCCCTAAGACAAGGCTATTCAAAACTTTTAAAATCTCTTAATCACCACACGTTTTTTTTACAATGTCAAAGAAGAAAATGAGAAATTATTAATTTTTAAAATTACCCAGCAATTCCATTGCATCATCTTCATTATCAATATCTTCTTCTGTTACAGATGGGGTAGGGCTGTGGATGGACTCAAAAGAATCTTGAGAGAGCATTGCGGCCAGGAGTTTCTTATGTTGCTGTTGCTGCTGTTTTAATCCTTTGTTCTTAGGCTCCATCTTTAAGCTGAAGAAATATTTAAATGTTAATTAGCTGTGATAAGTAAAGAAAATCTACAAATAAATTTCCATTTGGTTATTTTATTACACACGTATGTGGACATGTTACTAAAGTTTTCCCCAAGGATAATGGAAATATCATCTTTCTTGGACACCCATCCGTACCTCACTAAGGAATTCCCAAGTGAGTATGGGGAAACTGAAATTTGGCTCACTTAAGAGGGAAGGTGCTAATTTACTCCTACCTATTGTTGCCATGTGGAAATTAAAGTCTACTCGATGAATTTTCTGATTTTTAAAGAAGAGCTAGAAGGTCCAGATTATTAGTCCCTGATTTACAAAGCAAATGCATGTTAAGGAAAACACATTCGATGGAATAAATATTTTATAATATTACATTAAGATGTTTTAAAATACTCAACTTTAATTTCTTTTGCATATGTGTATATAGTTGTCTGAACACCATTTGTTAAAAAGACTATTCTCTCCCTCATTGAATTGTCTTGCTTTTATTTATAGTGCTTTTGAGTCTATCTCTTTGTATAGTTTTATTAGTGACTGATCTTCCTGTTACAATATGTATATGTATATTGTACCACATTCAGCAGACTGTTTTATTAATATCAACATTTACCACTTGGAGTAAAGTATAGATACCTTACTTCCATTTTGGACCCTTTAGTTTCCCTACTTTTAAATATTATTGAGTATCAGATGGTGCTATAACTTTTGTTTCAATAGTTAAATAGCATTTCTAAAGCTCGTGAGGATAGTCCATTGTATATACCCATATTTCTGTTCTTTCTGTTTTTCTGTGTTCCTTCCTGATGTTTTGAAGTAGATTCTTTCTTGCCGCTGAGGTAGATTCATTGTCGCCACTCAGTTCTCCTAGCATCTTTAGTGGAGAAAGGGAGTCTCAAGTCTGGCAGGGAAGGAAAGCATGTCCCCTAACCATGTATTGCCAGTGAGAATCGTCAATTCCCCTGGCCTATGTCTCTGGCTTCTCTTGGTGTTGTTGGTGTAGCTACTGTTCAATCAGGGGAAGAAATAACCTACATGGGCCACCTTCTCTTGCTACTTTGGGAGTGAAGAAATGCTCCTTATTCTGTTAAGTGTGGAATTGCAAGGAGCCCTGCTGCTAAGCTGTTCCTCCAGCCCTCAGGTTCCTAACCATTCCACCTTCCTATGTACCCTTTTCACAGTTCTCTTTTGGTTCCTCTTGCTTTATTTCAGGGTTTATAGGGGTATGTATGAGGGACAGCAGAAAGTAATTAGTCCATGCCATCTTGTCCAAGCAGAAGTGACACGACTTGTTAATTAGAAAGGGCAACTGATACCTTTACACTGGAAAAATCTGGTGGACATCACCTTAACCAAGTGATCAAACTTAGCATCACCAATAATACTGGACAAATTGACATTATGTACTTCCTAATATGATATAATAAGAAAGTACATCCCATCAACTATGTAGAATTTTTTTCCAAAAATATCTAATCTGAATTTAATCAGAGAACAATCAGACAAACGCAGATTGGGAGAAATTTTTGAAGATAACTGGCCCATAGTCTTCAAGAATGTAAATGTCATAAAAAAGAAACAAAAGGCAGAGGACTGTTGTAGATTATAGAAGACTAAAAAGATTTGACAACTAGATTCCACACATGATCTTTTATTAGATGCTAGATAAAAAATAAATAAACAAGTATACAAAAATCCATAAAGGACTTTACTGGAAAAATTGAAGACATTTGAAAGTGGACTCTACATTAGATAACTTTATGGTGGGATTGGTTTGATATGATGATTATATTATGGGTACATAAGAAAATATCTTTATTCCTAAGAAATACACGCTGAAGAATAACAGAATTAACATTTTATAAAATCTGTAATTTATTTTCAGATGGTTCAGCAAAAAATAGAATATGATAATATGATAGATATATAGATAATAGGTCATAGATAAAGATGGTAAAATGTTCATTGGTGAATACAGGTGGAGGGTATGTGGATCTTGATATTACTACTTTTAAATATTCTGTGGTTTGAAACTTTTAAAAGTAAAAAGGTGAGGGAAAAAATAAGAACAAATATATGAAAACATACACATGTTGGCAATATTTATTTTAATTTTATCTTCTATCCCAACTTAGGTTCCCAACAGAAATAGGATTGTTGCTAAGATGTCGTAAAAATGCACCCCTTTTTAAGTAATTTTTTAATTTGACTAACCCTCGATATCATTCCAAATACTTAAAGAAAATCATGTTTACTCTTTAATAGTGGAAATAAAACATAAATATTCACTTGAAAATGGAAGGAAGAAGTTTATTTAGCTTCAGTCTCTTGCCATGGCATCTGTCCTCTGCATCATTGCATTACGTGTCTTCTAAACTGAGAAACAATGTAACAATGTTAAAGTCTTCCTTGACCAACTTTATTCATTGAGAAGTAAACAAAACCAATCAAAACAAAATTTTAATTTGGATTTCTTAGCTGATAGATCTAACATGTTAAGCTGAATTAACACCTAAATTATTTTATCTAAATTAAATTCATTTAAAATAACAATATTCATGTATTATTTTAGCCCCATTCGCTTTTGATTTTGACTACTAGAAGGGATATAGATACTGCTATGAATGACAATTGAACATAGTTTATTTACAAGATGAATAATTTGGGGCAAGTTACTTCTTTCTTTTCCTCAGTTTTGTTATCCATAATGCAGCTTACTGTAGTACTTCCAATATATTTAATAATCCAGTGGTTGGACTATTAAAAAGGGTTAATAAATGTAGAATAGTGCCTGGCAAATAGCTCTACTTAGGTCTGTTTAATAAATCAATTAAATTTTCCTTCATAACTTTAAATTTTATATTGTAAATTTAACAAAATGTAATAGAATATTATACTTTATAATATTCTATGCTTACCAAATATATTTTATGTTTTCATGTAAAAAGACAGTTACGGCTTTAAGGCGATTTTCCCCCTTAGGAGTTAAATAATAATTCACAAAGTATAACTGTTTGAAGCAGATGTTATATGTACATTCTGACTACTGCTTGTGCTTACTATGTACCTAAATATATATATAGGATGGTTAGATATTAAATATTTTATGCAAAATTAATATATACTGTATCTTGAAATGTTATTTTATATGAATAAGCATAAATCAAATGTCAGTTTATAAAACATAATATAATTATTTCTAAAAGGCAAACATATTATCAAAACATGCCTACTTACAGAAAAAGAGTGTTATCTAACCAATTGTAAGCTTAGAATTTTATTCCAGGTCCATAACTGTTTTTCTAGAATCCTTGAGGCTGGATGTGTTCTGTTGCATAAACTCTATATTATATAATACATTCCAGAGGGTCTGTGGCCTCACCCTGTTATCAAATACTTCAGTATTTCTACATCATTATGTATCAGCATTCCCACTGAGTGGGATAAATAAAGAATCTGCAGGGTTCAGATCAGGTTTTGCTATAATGAATTATGAAAACAACTTTCATTGTCAGAGCATTTTGAATTTCACAATTACAGATACGGATTGCGAGGAAAATATTTGAATAAATAACTGAGAGATGAAATCTCAAACACTGCTGTTTGGTCAAGTAAGATGGGGGCTGAGACTTGAGGTTGGAATTTCAGAAGGCAGAGGTCATTTGACTGACACTGGGTAACTTGGACAAGAGGTCGTCCTGTGACATTGACAAGGTTGCTTTCAATAGGTGGTGGGAATAACATTCTATTTGGAAAAGATTGCAAAATGAGGGGTCAGTGCACACAAGTAAACTACTTTGAGGAGCTTCTTTGTAAATTGAATGAAAGACAGAGAACAATTAATTGCTGGGGCCAGGGAGGCTTCACTTTTTAGAGAGAAGTTCCATCGTACTTTCATGCTGAGGGGAATGAGCTAGGAGAAAGGAATGGTGCAGGGAATGAAGAGAAGTGATGAGCTTACATGGGTGATTTAGAGTAAGGACCTAGCGCTGAGTGGAGGAGCTTGCCCTAGGCGGAGCATGAGTGACTCACCCATAGCCATAGGGAAGAGCAGAAAACCTGAGCACAGATAAGCCAGGTGCACAGAGAGTCTGCTGGAGGAAGCTTATGGAGGTTTTCTTTATGACTGCAGCTATTTTCTCTTTGAAATGGGAAACAGAGTCATTAGTTAAGAATAAGGATGATGGGGAAAAGTTTTGGAGATTGGGGGAGAGCAGGAAAAATGTGAAGTCATCATTGAGGAGAGTGAATATGTGAATGGCAGAGGCAGGTGCAGCTGCATTGCCGGGTAGCACCAGTGTGCCCCTGGAGTTTGGTGGTCGTGAATTCAGTGATACTGGCCAGTGTGGCCATGTGTCCTTCTCTAGCCTAGGTTGGTTCAGCCACAGAATAGGGAAACAATTAGATGTAAACATGGTAGAGTTTTTCCAGGAGAGTAAAACAGGAAAAGAGGAGCAGAAGACTTGAGGGCATATCCAAGGGACAAATTACCATGATGGGGCAGAGATAAACCTGACTAAGGAGAAAAATTAAGAACAAGGTGGGTGAGAAACAAGAAAACTTTGGCAGTCTCAGTGTTTTTGGGGTCCCAGTTAAAGCTGAGTGTCAGAGGCAATAAACTAGAAAGACGACAGGTGGTAGTCAGAAAGTGAGATGCCTGAAATTGACATCATGGATTTGCAGATAATGAGAATGAGAAGGTCTAGGATATGACAGAGGGAGTGATGGGGAGGTAGGGTGGAATTCAAGATACATGGCGAAGAGTAGGTAAAGAAAGTGAGAGGCCAGGTTTGGGGAAGGATCACCGATGATGTTGACGCTGACTTAACCAATGCAGCAAAGCTACTGGGGAGAGTTACAGGAGCCGGACATTTGAATGTTCAGAGAAAGGGGAATGGCTGGCAGTTAGCAAATTATTGCTAGAAGATGATGTGGGAAATTAACACACTGGGAAATTCAGAACAAGATGCAGAACTGGGGATTGTTTTAGGGAGGAGACAGCAAGATCTGGAAGCAGCAGACGATAAAGGATGACACCACCCTCTTCTCCAGCCCCACAGCCTGTGGATCCTACAACCATTAAGAAAAAATAGCTGCCTGCTGCAGGGATGCAGGAGTGTTCATACAGATGGTGTTGAGTGAGATCAGAACAAGAGGGGTTTTTCTAAGAGCACTTAGGGTTCCGAGGCCCCTCTTTCCCAGATTTGAACCTAAAGCTTAATAACAGGATTCTTAGAACAGCTTTCTGAAGAGAGACTGTAGAGCAAAGGATTTAAATGCACAGAATTTGAAGCAAGGCAGCCTAGCTCAGTGACCTAACGGCTATCAATCTTGGGATGGGGATGTAGCCACTCTGGGACTTAGTTTCCTCATTAATTTTTTATTTTTTATTTTTTTGAGACGGAGTCTTGCTCTGTCACCCAGCCTGGAGTGCAGTGGCACGATCTCAGCTCACTGCAAGCTCCACCTCCCGGGTTCACGCCATTCTCCTGCCTCAGCCTCCCGAGTAGCTGGGACTACAGGCGCCCACCACCACGCCCGGCTAATTTTTTGTATTTTTAGTAGAGACGGGGTTTCACCGTGTTAGCCAGGATGGTTTCGACCTCCTGACCTTGTGATCCGCCCGCCTCGGCCTCCCAGAGCGCTTACAGGCGTGAGCCACTGCGCCGGGCCTCTCATTTCTGAATAATAGTGTTTTCATAAGGATGAAATGGGTTACAATATGCAAAGCACATAGAGCAGCCTCTAAGTGGTAATTAATATCATTATGTGTTCAAAGAACACAAAGGGGGCATCCTGGACATGTGAACGCCTCCTCTTGAGCCATAATATCCCACATCAAGAGAAAGTGTACAAAAAGAGGCCTGATGAGAAAGACTAGCAGTTAATATTTCAATTTGGTGTTCATATACTCAAGGAATCCATTTTGCTTTGGTTTAGAAGAGTGATTTCTAAACCAGGATCAAATGGAAAGGAACAGTTTAAAGAGGTCACCCCACAGAACCTCCCCTGTGGGCCTGCCTGAGCAGGTGGAGCCTCCTGAGCCTTCATTCTGACCACTGGCCCTCCTCCTCCTGACTCCTGTCTCACTCGTGGGCCTGAGCTTGCTCCGTTTAGTTTCACGCTTTCTTTCTGAGCATAGGTTGGTAAACATTTAGTTTGATCTGATTCCATGCGTTCTTTTTGGTGAAAAATTGGATGATTTCTTGGACTATCTCCTAAGCTTGTTGAGTTCACCCTCACAGTCTTGTAGGCTGAACCTGTGTCCTTTTTTTTTTTTTTGACTCCAGTCATTAATTAAAGGGTGCCCTTTGCACTAAGGCCTTGGAAGTTGAAGAGGTCATGAAAAGTTTCACACTCAATTGTTGCATATAGATTTTTATGCGTAAGAGCTATTTTTAAGAATATATAAATATGATGTTTTAGAATCAGTTTAGCAGACACTTAAGTGCTTGTCATATACCTAGTACTGTGAACTGAGCAGTAACAAAATTTTTAAAAATCATTCTCCTCCACTTTTAAGCAATTCCTTTGAGTCTAGGATTTTTTGTCATGTCAGTCTTATCCAGTATCTAGCACATTACCTGGTATTAACATAAGCAAATGAATACTAAATAAATAAAAAGAAAACTTTCAACCTGTCCAGATGACTTCATCAATGATCTGAAATTAAATGCATGCTCTTTTGGCTTTAAAAAGAAATTTATCTTAAACAGGCATGGTGGCTCATACCTGTAATCCCAGCACTTTGGGGCCAAGATGGGTGGATTGCTTGAATCCAGGAATACAAGACCTGCCTGGGCAACATAGTGAAACCCCATCTCTACAAAAAATTTAAAAGAAATTAGCTGGGCATGGTGGGGCACACCTGTAGTCCCAGCTTCTCAGGAGGCTAAGGTGGGAGGCTCACTTGAACTGGGAGGGAGAGTCTGCAGTGAGCCAAGATAACACCACTGCACTCCAGTCTGTGTGACAGAGTGAGACTCTGTCTCAAAAAAAAAAAAAAAAAAAAGAAAGAAAGAAATTTGTCTCTTTCAGCTGCCATCTTTCCATGCTGCCACAATGGTGCACATGAATGTCTTGGTTGATATTCTCAGGAACATCCACAATGCTAAAAAGAGAGACAAACACCAGGTTCTTATCAAGCCATGCTCCAGAGTTATCATCCTGTTTCTCACTGTGATGAAGCATGGCTACACTGGTGAATCTAAAATCATTGATGATCACAGAGCTGGGAAGATTGTTGTGAACCTCACAGGCAGGCTAAACAAATATGGAGTGATCAGCCCCAGGTTTCATGTGCAACTCAAAGATCTAGAAAAATGGCAGCATAATCTGCTCCCATCTGACCAGTTCGGTTTCATTGTACTGACAACCTCAGCTGGCATCATGGACCACAAAGAAGTAAGACGAAGACACACAGGAGGGAAAATCCTGGGATTCTTTTTCTAGGGATGTAATACATACTTACAAATAAAATGCCTCAGAGGGAAACCAAAAAGAAATTTGTTTTGGATTGAACTTGTACTAAAAAAGAAATTAAGAAATTTATAAGTTATGAGGTATAATTTTTGTGTGTTTTAGATATTTCAAGCCTTCTGTTCTTTGATTTCTTGGGCAGATTACATATTAATCAATTACAATTATTTATGCTTAAAATTTCCATGTTAGATTATTTCTAAATTACTAAATTTGATTTATATTCCATCATACCTATCACTACTTGAATTTATGGCATATATTTGTATATTCACTTGTTTACTGCTTGTCTCTTTCTGCCAATAGAAAAAATTCTAAGAGGAAGGGGACCATTTCCAGGTTTTATTCACAGGTATGTTAGAAGCAATTATGAGCTTTAATGGAAAGAAAACTTCCTAATGGGAAGTGAATTTAGCTCTTATTTTAATATTTCATACACATTTCTAAATTATAAAATTTTCTCTTTATTTTGTGACCTATTTTCAATCTAACAGTGTTCACTTAAGAAAGAAAGCCAATTCACCAGATCTACAGTATTTATGGATATTATTTTTGTTTTAATAAGGTGATTCAGCTTTAGAGGAACTTCATTAGGCTTCAAGGCTTAATGAGCATATTTACAAATTCACATTACAATTTAATAAGTAATTTTAGAAAATCCATTACTCAGCTATTGCAAAGTTTAATTAAAATGGCTTAAAATAAGAGTATATAGGCTTATTAAATTCAATTTTTGTTTACATTTATATTATAAACATGGGATTATTTTTAATAACTCTAAATGTGCAATGAATGTATATGTTTTCCCACTAAATAGCTAGGCAAGTCATAGCAATTGATACCAATTGGTAGGATCTGACACTCACAGAAAGACTTCAATCATTTCCCAACACATTCACCTCTCTGTTCGGTGAATTCCTCTCACTTTTCTTACTCAAATGCTTTAATTTCTTTCTTAAGCACTCTTAATTCTGAACTGCTTTGAGAATCTAAGAAAGATGTGGCAGGACTCCATGTTAGTATCTCTTGTCTTAGTCTGCTAGTTTCCATTTATCACCCTCACAGTTTCTTTTCTAACCAGCACTTAATGCTTCAGGTGTCATTTGTATCAAACTATTTGTAACATACTTATTAACCTCTTCATACAATGTCATATTTGGGGGACCTAGGGAAAGAAGTTCACATACAGTACATCATTAAAAAAGGGGGTAAGCTTCTACGCATAAGACTCTCAAGGTTTATTATGCCATTTATTTAATTCCCTCTAATCTAATGGTGAAACTCTAGCCTATCATGTATCTATTATTCTGCATGAAAAGGAAAGCTGGCTATGTAACAAAGATGGAGTGTTGTAGTAGCCATTTGAGTAAGACTTAATGCACAATAGAGAAAAATTGAGATAGGAAAGGCTGCAAGAAATAAAGATAAGACTATAAATGGTTCTTCTCATCAATAAGCTTTATTTAGCAGATGCCTAGCGTCAGCCTGTGCCTTTGTCACTCATGTAACAGATGTCAAACGACAACAAAAATGTGCCAGCCCCAGTGGAGAGGGTGAGGTGAAAAATGGATGGAGTCATGCTTGAAAATTAAGTTTTCTCTTTCAGGAGTCTAGGATACGATTTTGTCAGTTGGTCATTAAAGTATAGTACAGGTTCATTTCTATTTAAGGGTAAAAGCTAATACTATAGTTACGGACTCTGGAGCCATTAAAAAATTTTCTCCAACCCTTTCTGCTTGATCCAAATCAAATCTAATGCGGTGTGAGTTGCTGGTATCAATTCAAAAATCCTATTTTGTATTAGAAGATGGAGAAAATATAGTTTCTAGCCCATGGTTTACTGCTGTTCCTGAAATTTAATTCAGATATGCATGTATTCTTTCTACTCTAATGGGGGCACCTGGGCAGAATTTCACCAGCTCTTTCTTGTCACAGTGTAATACCTCAATTTATAATTTAAAGACAGAGCAAAATAAAGCTGAAAAAAATTAAGACAAACATTTAAGAGACAGGTTCATGGACTGAGTTTTCTAGATAAGGGAGTCCGCTAGGATTAGAGAAGAGGTTCTCCCTTATTGAGTATTCAGGTGGGAATAAGAGCTCACTGAAGCTAGGAAGAAAATAGACTGACACTTGAGATAAATAGTTCTGATTATTATTATGACTAAATGAAAGTACAATGAAAGTTGACATTTCTCTATTTTACATTTAAGAACTAAAGATCTACCAATGAATAAAGATAAAAGTCTAGTAGGTTTTATAAGCCTGGTATTAAAAAAATTACCCTCATTGACAGATGAAATTGATCTGGCATTTCACAAAGAAGGTAAATGGATCTTTATAAATGGTTTTCCTCTCCTCACACAGGACACTTCAACTATTTAAATAATTTAAAAGTTATTTCTCATGGAAATAGAATCAATTTTCTGTAGGCCTGAAGCACATTAATGAGTATTCTGAATTTCCTTCCCTCCAGCCAAGTGATAAGTCACCGCAAAGAACCCCTGAAAGCTATTACATTGTAGAAAATACAATTTTCTCCTTGAGAAAGAACAGTTATTGGTTGCTGCTAAATTTAACATAGAAAATGCCAAGTTACTGTGGCTATGCTATGCACAGGAAAAACTCTTCTGTGACGGGCAGCTGGTAACACTCACAGAAAGCTTAAACTCCTGTCACATTTCCATTCATGAATATTTGTTTTTGCAATCTTGTCTAAGCCATGCCTCCCGTGATATTTTTCACCCCAGATACTTTGCAGAAATTTTCATTTTTGTTTTGAGTTTTACTCGTTGCAACTGGTATTACAAAAAAAAATTACTCTGAATATAGTTTTTCCAATAAATAAGATCTGGACATTTCAACATTAATTCACTATTACCAGCACATGGGCACGTAAAGTAAATCTCCTGCCACCATTTTGAGCATTAGGGGTCTAAGTAAAATCAAAGTATGGACTTTCACATTTACAAATAATAGCAGTTTCAAAAATTAAACAAAGAATATATATGTTAATAAATATATTCAATCATAGTTATCAACTCTAAACTTAAATGGTTCTAACTAAGGCTTCTCTTTCTTTATGGTCAATATTAACTTTGCCTCCTATGGTCTATTATACATTTAATAATTTTATTATCCCTGATGATTAACAATATCTTTCTGGTACATCAGAAGTCCCTCCTCTCCAATTCTTAACAGCCAGCCACTCTCTGTCCAATATTATAGTAGGTCTTGACTGGCAGCATATCTTGAAATTAATTCTCTATTTGGTTTTAGTAGCAAAGATATGGTGATCTAGATTTGAAGAAAACAAATCAACACCAAAACTCCAAAGCAGGTCTGAAACTCTCATTTTAAGAGACAGCAATTGATGTTTTTATCCTATGTATAGACTAACATAATTTTCTATAAAAAATTACTAAAACGGATTTCATAAAAACCATGAACTTGGGTTTATTTTCCCTTTACCTTTTAATGACTAGTAATATAGAATCTCAGCAGACAGCTCATCTCACCTTCCTGCAGGACTAGAGCCACTATCTTCACTTTCCCATTGGTCATTTTTGCTTCTTGGAATTGGAGGCTGTAGCATTTCAGCAGCTAGGGGATCAGCATCATTTTCTTCTCTACCAATCCATTCTCCAATCACACGGGGCCTCAGAAGAGAAGAATTAAATGTCACTGTTTCCTGAAGAGAAGAAAAGAATATGCTGTCTTAGATGGCTTTTTCTTATTAACAGGACAACAGGGAAATAAAGTTGCCTAGATATTTGACTGTCAAATGCTTTTTGTCTTTCTGAATTGATACAAAACTTCAGTTTCCTCCAACTCTACTAGATAGCTTGTTCTAGTGATTTATGCTAATTCCTAAGGTCACTGTGATAAAGGACCCAGGAGTGAAATCTTTGCTTTGAATTTGGAAGGCTGCAAGTGTGCTCTCAGGAAAGAGGTGTGGGATGAGCATTCAAGGCAGAAGGAAGAGTGTGTTGTAAACAGGGCGGCCCACATAGGCAGAGAGCTTGGTGTCACTGCTGGGAAATAGTAAATAATTGCCCAGGTAGAAACTGGGTTGGGGTCAGGGGATAGGGACAAGAAGAGATAGGGCTCGAAGGGTGTATTGCCTCCAACTGCAAAGCATTTTAGACATTTCAGGATCCAGTAGAAATTCGAAACACAGCACTATCAATGGCAGATATGTTATGCTAATTCAACAAATGTTAGTAATCTGTTTTCATGGACTCGGATATGATACAGCTATTAAAATACTATTGTAGTAGAATACTGAATACATGTATTGCTAGGGATTTTTTGTTATGTGAAAAAAGGGCAAGTTAAAAAGCAATACTTATAATCTAGATTTTGTTTAAAAAATTCATATCAGTGTATATCCGTTTCTTGTTCACTAATTCATTCATTTCTTCACTCTCTAATATTTATTAAGACTTGCTACAGGCAAAGAACTGCTTGATATGCTGAGGAAAACAATGGTAAAATAAAATCAAAATTTAATAGTGCCTTTATCTGAATGAAGGAACTACAGGTAATTTTAGTTTCTTCTTTTTGCATTGCAACATCATTTCTATTTGCTACAGTAAATATGTAATGAGAAAAATATATTTTTAATGCCTCTTCAGCTGAAAAATATAAGCCTTGCTTAAATATGTTTAGTGATAAATTTTACTATTACAATAGTCTTGAACAATTCTTTAAAAATTCAGAAGGTGGGCTGGGCGCGGTGGCTCACGCCTGTAAGCCCAGCACTTTGGGAGGCCGAGGTGTGCAGATAACGAGGTCAGGAGATCAAGACCATCCTGGCTAACACGGTGAAACCCCGTCTCTACTAAAAATACAAAAAAAAAAAAAAAAAAATTAGCCGGGCGTGATGGCGGGCACCTGTAGTCCCAGCTACTCGGGAGGCTGAGGCAGGAGAATGGTGTGAACCCGGGAGGTGGAGCTTGCAGTGAGCCGAGATCGTGCCACTGCACTCCAGCCTGGGCAACAGAGCAAGACTGCGTCTTAAAAATAAAAATAAAATTTAAAAAAAACAATAAAAATTCAGATGGTGTTCTGAGTCTTCAGACTTCACAACATATTCTACATTTCAGTACAGAATATAATACAATATAATCTTACAGTACATACAATGTAATATATAATCAACATACAAATATAATACCAAAAGCAACACATGAAATATGATTTAGAACATATTTGATGAGCATTTCTTCAAGTAATAGCAAGTGACAGAAAGGAATTAGATATCTTAATATTGATCCAGCCTACATGAAAATACAGCAGGTACATTTTAGGACCAGTGTTTGTAAAACTTAGCAAGTAATCTGAACTCTTTCTATACTTATATCCCTCACATCAGAAAATTAAAGCACTACAATGGATTTCAGCTGTAAAATAATGCAATCAAATGAATGTTTTCAAACAATCAGAAGGGCATATGCATCTGCCACAATTTAATATTATTTGAAGAACAGAAACTAAAGTTAACGATACTGTTCAATTTTAAATCTGTATTTACTTTTTAAAGCAGATGACTGTGAAGACATGTTTTTGAATTTAAAAATCTATAAACATTTACAACTTCAGAATACTTTTCCATCTGTGAGACTTTACAATGTTACTTATTCCTTGAATTTCATTTTCTCCAACTATAAAATGGGGATGATAAGAATTATAAAGCCTATTGTATCAAATGAATTAGTAAATAACATAGTTAAACCATAAAATTCTTCCCCCCCACCCCCAGGTGAAAGACCATTTTTTAAAAAATTTGTTTTGCTTTAATTTTCAAACCCTCAGGACTAATATTTTCATAAAAGACCATGAAAATCAATAATCATAAACAACAATCTTTACAAAACAAAGTCATATAAAATATAAGCCAAGGGTTATATTGAATGAAATGTTTTCATTCAACAAATATCAGATTGCTATAAAATTCACTAAATTATCTCAATTCCTATACTTCTTTTATTGGAGAATAACAAAAACAATTCAACTGGCTCTGCTTTGCAGGCTTTTAAAATAGAATTGCTGTGTGTCACTGTGTCTTAAATGTGTGTGGATGTATTCTTAGTGAGCTATGAGGTCTCTGAGAAAAAATGATTATATATACACACATATGTATACGAAATTTGTATTTTAATTTTCATAACTTTCCAAAAGTAATACAGGTGTGTTCTGCATCTCCTGACTGACCAGAAAGTAGAGTTGCATGATGTAAGTGCCCAAGTTTGTGTTTATGTTTACAATTAAGTTGACAATGAGCACTATTACTTTAAATGTCAAGGTCTCATACATAAAGACCAAAGGAAGCTAAAGAATCTGATACTTCGAACAGTCACTTCTATTAAATGGGAAAGCTAAGCCTTAGATCTGTGTCTTTTAATTCTTACTTTAATACGCTTGATCGTAGTTTTACAATAAATTTTTCATTTTGAAGCACATTTTATCATCGTACAATGTATGAGAAAAGAATAAAACTAGACCCTTGATTGCCACTGTTCTTTCAATCACAATTTATGTAACATATTCCCCTGTATCTACCACTTTTTTTTGCATACTTGCCTTTTTTTTTTTTTTTTTGAGTCTTGCTCTGTCGCCAGGCTGGAGTGTAGTGGCACGATCTTGGCTCACTGCAACCTCCACCTCCTGGGTTCAAGCAATTCCCCTGCCTCAGCCTCCCAAATAGCTGGGTACAGGTGTACACCACCATGCCCAGCTAATTTTTGTAGTTTTAGTAGAGATGGGCTTTCACCATGTTGGCCAGGATGGTCTCAATCTCTTGACCTTGTGATCCACGCACCTTGGCCTCCCAAAGTGCTGGGATTACATTCATGAACCACCGCACCCGGCCACAAATTTTAAGGCTAAATCAAAAGCCAACAACAGAATGTTCACAAAATCTACCTTGGACTATGAGTTTGGAGAGTTGGCGTCTTTTTCTGGCTTGATATACTAGAGGCTGTCTGTTATTTAGGGCCCTAAAGGGAGGGTCAGAGGAAGCACATTAAATGTATTAAGTCTATGATCCATATTCTAAAGGTTTTTCATTGCTATTCTGTTTATTTTGAGGGAAGAGATACAAACATGTAAAGTACAAAATAAGATTATATACAAATTTATATATATATAAATGGCCCCACATGTGTGTTTTGTAATTAAATATACTAGTTCAGAGAAGAGGAAGCTGAAGCTCAACATGGACTGGATTCAGCAGTGGTAGTCTCACCAAGGGACATGACCAAACTTCAGTATAAATTGTGCCTTCTTCCTTTTTTAAAATTTGGATTCAGGAGGTGCACATGTAGGGTTGTTTCATGGGTATATTGGGTGATGCTGAGGTTTGGGATACAGATAAACCATAAAATTCTGTGTATAAGCCAGATACAATTATTTAAGAGTGTGAACTGTATTCAAGTCATTTCTATATATTTGATGTATCACTGTGGAATGGACAAATTGAGTAAGAATAGATACATGGTAGTCAATAAGGGCAGAGAAACAGAACAGGGAATTGACAGTGCAGATTTTCATCCTATAAAGTTTCATTTTATAGATGTTATATTTAAAAGGTTGAATAATTAATTCAATGTTATTAATCTCATTTACATATGGGGCAGAATTGGGCTTGGAGATTTGTCTAGCTATAGGCTCAAAGTAGATGGTACTTGAAACAAAGAAATGAACAAAGAAATTGACCACTGGAACAACAGAAATAGATGAGTTTAGGCACTGTAAGCCAAAGAGTGAAAAAGGTTTTAGAGTTGGGTATAATCAGAAAGTGGAGAGCAGTAGAGAATCAGAACTAACTCCCTGGTTGCTTACTAGGAAATCAAATGCAATGGTAGATGTATTGCTATTGAAAAGTAGAGCACAGAGAGAGAATAAACAGTGTGATATTCAGGATGTTTAACTCCACCTGGTGTAGAAATTTAGTGAGAAATAGCTGACAAGCAAAGCAATACTAAGAGCTGCAAACAGAGTCAGAGGAGTTAGGAAGTGAATATTTTACAGGTGAAAAATGGGGCTCTACTATATTTTTCTAAATTCACAAAGCTCTTTATATTCCTCCCATTCTAGTGTTGATGAAAAAATGGAAGCAAAGAGCACTTTCTCCTTTTAAAAATGTATATATTTCTGAAAAATTTTGAATATAGCCTTTTTACACATAGTAGATCAAAGTAGCAGAGTTTTGGTTATATTATTTATATTTGATTAAGCTAAGTAAACATCCTTCCATAGATCTTTATGAAAGGGTTTTAGTGAAGACAGCAGTTCTAAACACTTCATATAACATAACACAGCAATCCATGGCAAAAGTAATTTAAAAATGTAAACGAATTAAAAATTATTTTGAAAATATTTTAAATACATGGGTAAAAAAACATTTAAAATTTCAGAGATAAACTTTTAAAATCCTAATTATTCTTTAGTAATGTAAAAATGCATGTTCCTTTGCCCTTTCAAGTATAGAGGTCCCTAGGTTTTGACGTTCTTAAGCAAGTCAGCGTAACTTTAATAAGAAAAGCAGGCAGGGTGTGGTGGCTCACACCTGTAATCCCAGCACTTTGGAAGGCCAAAGTGGGCAGATGACAAGGTCAGGAGTTCGAGACCAGCCTGACCAACATTGTGAAACCCCATCTCTACTAAAAATAAAAAAAATTAGCTGGGCGTGGTGGCACACGCCTATAATCTCAGCTACTCGGGAGGCAGATGCAGGAGAATCACTTGAATCTGGGAGGAGGAGGTTGCAATGAGCCAAGATCATGCCACTGCACTCCAGCCTGGGTGACAAAGAGACTCCATCTCAAATAAATAAAAAATAAATAAATAAATAAATAAATAAATAGCATTCCCAGTCAAAAATTCTCTCAAAGCTTACCAATTTCTGCAGTATGGCTTATCAGCAAGAAGCTCACCTATCCAGGAAGTAGTTACCTTGTCCTAGGCTCTCTCTCCAAGAAGTCTGCTTTCAGTGGTTATTCCAAGAGTTCAACTACTATGACCACTGGTTCTCAGCACAGCACTTGATTATACTCCAAGTTATGTGACTCTATTTCCTCTTGTTAATAAAACTGGATGTTTATGGAAGGCTGAGATCATATCTTAAACTCCTTTGCTCCCCTCATAATAAATAGCATAATTCTGATTTCATGAAAATAAACACGAAAAGATGTGTTGAACGAATTTTTAAAATCCTCAAGAATGAAAAACAGTGCATATGCAGTGAATTACGAAGTATCTCTACGTCTAACCAAAATCATGTAAATGATTCCCAGACAACACTGATTAATGTGCTTTTTAAGCCATATAAGAAGAATGTCTACAAGATGGTCATTTTTTTAAATGAAATATTTCTTATGAACTCTTAAGGTTTGGATAAATTATTTTGATCCTGCTATTTCAAAAAAGGAAGTTTTTGGAACACAATTCTGTTACACAAACACATTAGATGTTTGGAATAGATAATAAACATCTATGCACATTGATCTATACACATCAATATACACACTGAATTCAAGTTAGGGATTAAAGATGGTAATGTAAGCGGACTGTTAGCTCTTTTCCCACTAGCTCTTATTCTTTGTAATAATTAGTGTGAACTGATTCATACATAGTACAATTTGTGTGTACTGGCTGAAGGCCAGTACATCACATCAGCTGTTGAAAAGAGTATTCAAAGAATTTTTAATCTTTAATGATATTTACTTAACAGAATACATTCTTCCCAAAAACTTTATATTACATTCAGTGAAAAACCTGGAACCATCTGCATCTTACTAGTCAATACATTAAAACTGTAATATGAATAATGTAAAAGGAGAAAATTGCTTTTATTTTACTCAGAACATATTAATGAGATGATTGTGGCTCTCGAGTTTTGTTACTAAGTTTCAACTTTGTTTGCATATACTTTTCACAATATCAATTATAAATGGAGTGCAAGGACATAAGATCATTTGGGTTTACACTGCTTTAAGATGGTTAACGTTGGAAAGTTTATGAAACACAGGCCAATCTTGCTGATTTGTATCTACCCACACTTAAGTGGTGAAGATGAGAAATTAACTTCTATAAAAAAAAAAAGAAAAAAAAGAGAAATTATCTTCTATATCTCATAGCATGTAATTTACATAGAGCAGCTGGAGAAAGAAGGAAAAAAGGGAGGGCTGTAGGCATTACAGGAAAAAGACAAAAAAAAAAACTAAATAAGTGAGGTCAGATCTCAGAACTCAGGTTCTATTCCTACATTGTTTAGAAAGGCTTCCCAAATAATTAAACTACTTTTTGAAAATCGTATGACTGACAAAAATTGTATATATTTAAGGTGTACAAAGTGATTTTTTAAATGTACATATATAGCATGAAATGATTACAATAATCTAGCTAATTAAAATAAACTACTTTTTATCATGTGCACTTAGTATATTGAACACGTATACACTATTCAATTGTTTCAATGCCAGCTTTCTCATTCTGACTCATATCTGTTCCATTCCCCCCTGTTCATTTTGTTTGCTGATTCCCATAATCTCTTCCTTAAAATTATCTCCTACTATAAAATTGCACTCCCCTCCTTGATGAACTTCTATTTTCTTATATTTCTCTTATTGTGTTTCTGCCTGATCCACAAATACCCCAACTCCAACTATTTGGGTAACTGTTACACTGTTGAATGAAAATAAGACCAATTATAGAAAAAATTTTATGGACTACAAAAGCCCAGTCACAAAAGCCAGGTAGCCATGTCCTATAGGCTAGAAAAGCAAATTATACGCTATCTTAATAAATAATTTTAATAATTTTTGCACTGCTATTTCTCCTCATATTATGGGCTGGATATTCTGAAAACACTCACTCTTCAAAATATTTAATACTTCTAGCTGAAATGGAACAAGACATCATTTGAATGCAAAGCTTAGGAGAAAATAACCTGTGGGAAAAGAAGAGAAACCATCAGAAGGGAAATCCAAGTCCAGACTAAAAATGAGAGGGAGCTGATGCAAGCAGCTGCCCTGTACACGTTGACAGATCCCTGGTTGCCTTGCATGATAATACCATTAGTGGGTGGTAGAATGATAGACTTAATGGCCCTGATTCTTCACCTTCCTGCATCTGAGACAGCCAGGTGGGAGGGTATCCTTAGAGAAACCTCAACCAGCCTGAGCACTGAGGTGGAGACACAGAGGTTCACAACATTTGCAGCAGGGAGGAGCCTGTCCCCTCCTCATCCTGTGTGGAAGCTGGGATCTGAACTGTGAGGTGGGAAGCACTCTAGCAGGGACTCTGGCCTAGCGAGAGTCCCTGTTTCCACCTTTTACTCCTTTTTCACCCAATAAAACCATGTCTTACTCACCATTCAAATTGTCTGCGAGCCTGAATTTTCGTGGCTGTGGGACAAAGAACCTCATCTTTAACTGAACTAAGGAAAAGTCCTGCAACATTTTTGATGCCCAACATGGGGCTTGAGAAATGGTGAGTAAAATGGGGATTCAAAATCTCTTCCTGTTGCTTCTAAGCCTTTTCATCCTCAGACTTCTGAGGATAGCGGAAACCATACCCCCACCCCTCATCACTCCCGGGCTTTTTCATGGCCTTTTCCTTCCTTTTCTGGGACAGACCGGCAAGCAGCAGCTCCCTGCCACTCCCTGCTCCCTGCTAGGGCTGGGATCACATGGCCCAAAGGTCCCACACAGCCAACTGGCTGGTTCCCAGCCATGTGCTGCCACTGCGTTCCCCTTCCCTGGACAAGGGGTTCAGCTTCATTGGACAGTAATTAAGCATTTCTCCTGGTGGAGGAACCACTTGCATAAGAATAAAAGGTTCTTCACCAGGCATATTTAAGCTGTTTTTTTCTTCTTCTCTACCCCGTCAGCAGTTAACTTTTATTTTTTATTCCTTTTAGAAGACGTTTTTACTAGGCCAGGCCCCACAAGTATCACTGTTTATATTCTCTGCAAAGTTTTGATTGTGAAATCAAGCCTCTGTCTTGTTTTACATCCTGAGGGCATGGCTTGTAACTCCGGTGGCAAGGCTTTGTTTAGCAACCCTACCTTAGAGAATAAGTTCCTTTCTGGTTTGACATCTGCAGGTACCCCTAGCCCTGTCTTTTCAAGGATCCCACCCAGCAACTAGGTTTTCTTCTTCCTGTCTGTGTCTGTGCTGTGTATGATGTCTGTAATAAGAGCTCCTAATTAATTTGGCCTAAAGAAAGACAAGTGCTTGGATCAAGTATTTTTTCAAGGGAAGCTAAAAGCTGTGGTACCTTTCAGTTCATGTGACTTTAATCTTTCAGAAATAAAAACAGCCTTAAAGGTTATTGGTAAAATGCAGGGATCATTAAAATGTAACGTAGGTGAACTAAAATATGCAGGTCAGATGAAAGGTTTGCTAAGTGTTTTGAGGTTACAAACTGCTTTTTTGGTTTTGAAACTATTTGATGTGCCGGCTTCACAATTGGTAAGGCCTGGGGACATATGGAACTAATCACGCCCTTAATTATGCTGGAGTCAAACCTTGGCTGCACTTAGCACACAGTTAAAGCAACTTACCAAGTTTTACCTTGAAGTGAGAAATTGCTAGGAGTTACAATTATAACATGTAATTGAGACTACTGGAAATAGATTTACATGCAAGGTGTGTAAGAACAGTAAAATTTGTTGTTGGTGGTTTTTTTTTTTTTTGGTAAAAGGTTATAAGGAGGTATGGAAATGTAAATTTTTGCCTAGGGTTAAAGGACTGCTTTAAATTAGATAGGAAAAGCTAAAAGTTCAAACAAGTGGTGGAAGAATTCTGAAAATTAATCTTGCAGAAGAGGTTCTCTGTGTGAACATATTGACTAAATATGTTATATTTAGTTATAAAAGGTTATAAAAGGTTTTTACTTATTTAAAATTTCTGATTCATCATTTTGGCAAAATAAATAATTTATGATAATGTGGAATTCTATTTCATAATATCAGGTGTTTTAAATCTCGAACATATTTGACAGCCTTCCCCAAATCAAACTTCATTTTCAAAATTGTTTTCCCTGACACCTGGCTTTTTGAATGGTTCAAAGGGCCCCTGAAACATCCAGAAAGAAAGGTAAACAGGATTATTTAACATGTTTAGGTACACGGGATTGCCAAAATGATGTTCAATTCTTCTTTAGGTTATATTTTTGTGAATAACGCTAATGTATGTTCCAAAATTGTATGGGATTTCTAAAATTCTATTGTCTAAGTATATGCTATCAATCATAATTAACGTTGTTATGTTAAGTTATGGTAAACCACAAAGATAACCAAACTTCTTTGTCAGTTGTGTTTCTAACTGTAACTATCCTGGACATTTTGCTATTCACAGACAATTATTGTCTTGTTTTAATCCTTTTCAAAAGATGGTTGAGAATAAGCCATAGAAATTTAACAGGTGCTCCCAAATACAGGCTTCTGATAACTTTGAAGATTGTGACATTTGAATAAAGAAAAAAAACACTTCATAAAGAGCTGAAGTGTTCCCAAATATCAAGCAAAACCAGAGTTAACTAAATGGACTAAAATCAGAAAGCTGAAGCAACCTTTTTGACTTTTGCTTGGAATATTGCTGATCCATATTTTGTTTTTCAGAGTCAAGGAAGCTTATTTTGAACTATTTACAGCCTTTAATAATTGAGTAAGTTATACTCTTACAAACAAAATTTGGAGCATGTTTGTTTCTCTCTGCCTGGTTCTTCTAGAATTTGGAAACTATCCATGAGTATTCTTAACTTATGGCATTGTTAAATTTAGTGAACCCCAAGTTTCTCTTCAAAGAATCAGCATGTCAGTATGTTCAGCCCTCTTATTTTCTGTTCTCCATTTTAAAATTTAACTTCCTGGTTCTCTTCGCCCCTTGCCTCTAGTTTCAGTAAAAAAACTTTCCTGCCAGTTCTAATTAGTAATTCACATATGTTCCCCTGGTCATCTGCTTTGACCTGAGTCACCGCTGGTCACCTGCTCCATCCTGACTCATCCTGAGTCACCTGTTCTGTAACTGTCCTTCCCGCCAAACTACTCACTGCCCCCACTCCAACTAGTACCCCTGCTCTCTTTAAAATAGCCAGTGGAAATTAGCTTAGACTGTGCAGCCCAACCCTAGTCAATAGGGGAATGACACAGCAGTAGGGGCTACTTGCATCAGGAATAAAAACCCCTTCCCCTCCCTTGTTCAGGTGTGCTCTCACCATTGCTCCATCCACGAGGCGCACCATTCTATAGAAGTAAAAATTGCCTTGCTGAGAAAATTAAATTTATGTTTGAGTGCTATTTCTTTGGCAGCACCAAAAAATTTATTTATAACAGCAATATAGTTGTTTGCATCAGTGCCATAAGAATCCATTTTTCTTTTGCAACAGGACACAATTGGAGAAAGTGGTTATTTTACCAAGGCTTTGACTGGAAGAGTATGCTTCCCTTTAAGGAGTCAATCTCAACTTGCAGAGCCAATATAAGCCCACTGGGGAGACTGGCCTCATACCCTCATCTATGCAGTCCCTGTACAGGGTTCCTGACATATGGTCAGTGAAGAATGTCACTTTCTAACAGGCCGAGGAGATCCAAGTTTATCTTCAGACCTTAAGAGAAGAGGATCACACAACTCACAGGTATTGGAGAATACCCAACCCATGGCTTGGATGGGTTTTTAAGGCCTTATCTGAGATTCCTTGGGGGGAACAGAGTTCCCTCAAAGCCAATCCAAAAGGCCAATGTAGAAATAATTATTCTTGCTGTACTTTATGCAAATAATCAGGCCAAGTATAAGATTAAAGTCTATTTTGCAAACAACTCGGTCCTATTATGATTTTTTTTCTCAACATAAATGAGTACAGGAAAGACAGAAATCATGTTTCAAAACTTATCATACGTTTGTCATTAAATTCTAAACTCACTAGTTGTTTTTCAGTTTTTGCCTACATTTTAGACTAACCCTGCTTGTTCCTGTGAACCAACCAGCAATCTCTGGTGGCAGCTCCAAAAGAACAAGAGGAATAGCTAATGTAAAAACCTGGGTTAATATTCTAGTTCTGAGCAATTATCCTGCAAATCCTGCCAGGTGATGGGATAAATAGGATGCCTATCCCTCAGAGGTTTCCTTTTGGGAAAGTAAGACCAAGGGAGCTAACCAAAGCCAAGCACCATCCACCCAAATCCTACAAGCATAACTATAGTTACCAGTTTTCTGGGTATATCATAAGACATCCTTTCCTCTCCCTTGCAGGAGGAGGACTCAGTTCTGCAATTTCACCTTGGTATTTGGCTTACGATAGGGAGTGCATGCAACTCCCCAAGGCACATTTTGTCCCAGACTCAATTCCAAGCTTTGGGTCAAAGCCCTAAGAAAAAAACTGGATTTACAGGATCCAGAGGCAGACAACGACAGATGTTAAAAGGCACAGCACAGGTAAGCATGGCTGATTCCTGCCAATTAAGCCAAGCCCAAGCTTCCTGTTCCATGGATAAAGGCCACGTTAGTATCCATGGCATAAATGAGTCCTAGGAAATTTGAGCCTACCGACAGCAGGGGAGATAGGATGTATGTGGATAAAAGCAGATGATTCCACCCCTTTGGCCCCCTGCTTCATGGGTGCAAGTCACTTTGACACCCATGACAGCATCTGCCATGGTCTCCAGGATTCAGGCATGCAAGGATGAAAGAGGGAAAGAGGATGCTCTTCCTTCTCTCCCTCACTTACCCCAGGTATCTGCTAGGAAGAGAAGGGAACCAGGGATGCCTGCTCCCCTCTTTCTAGATGGGTTAGCCATTCATCTTCAGTCTGTACCCCTTTCAAATGCATCCCAAATCCCTGGGACTCCTTTAAAAAATGCCTTCTTTTTTATTTCTCCTCCGTGGTTCTCTCTTCACAAACAGGTAATTGTGTCTCTGTACTATGAGAACACACACCTCAGTGCATCCTCCAAACTGGGAGAAGTTAATTTCCCAAGTCTTAAATTGGTTGGCTTAGGATTGAGCTCAGGGGAAGGGAACCCAGAAGCCCAACATGCCAGCAAAAGGATAAAGCTTTTTTTTGCCAGAAGGGCTTTTGGCTTCCCTCTCCCTGTGCACACTGCTAAAAGGCCTTGGGATTTTTGAGCTGTCCTTAGCTCCCCTTGTTTTGCTTTGATACATGCTTTCTAATAACCCAGTTTGTCTGCTCTTGCCTTCAGGCAATCAAACTCCAGGCAGTCATGCAGCCAGAGCCTTTGACAATGGCCCCTTCTGCTGGAACCCTTAGATTGGCCTCTGAGGGAGCTCTCACTGCCATTTTCCCCCAACACAGTGCCCCCTGTCAGCAGGAAGCAGTTAAGATTGGTCTTTATCCTTATCCTTATTTTAACAGCAGTTAGATGTACTTCTTTAGAGGGGGGAATGAGAAAGCCAGGTGGGAGAGGGGTCCCCAGAAAAACTCCAACTGACCTGAGCACTGGGGTGGAGACCCAGAAGTTCACAACATTTGCAGCAGGGAGGAACCTGGCCCCTCCTCTTCCTGTGTGGAAACTGCAATTCGAACTGAGAGGCAGGAAGCACTCTAGCAGGGACTCTGGCCTAGCGAGAGTCCCTGTTTCCCCCTTTTCTTCCTTTTTCACCCAATAAAACCCTGTCTTATTCACCATTCAAATTGTCTGCAAGTCTGAATTTTTGTCGCCATGGCTTCCAGATGCCTTGCATTTTTTGACTTGCTCTCTTGCATTTCTGTCATCCCCTTGAGAAAGACACACCTATGCTTGTCCGCCAGTCTCAAAAGGCAGATGCAAAACATTTGGAACAGACTGAAGTCACTCTGGACAAGCCCAGGTTATATCAACTGACAGCCAGCCAACCTCTGGACACATGAGAGGGCCCAAATGAGACCTGTTGAGCTCATCCAGCCAAGAACCAGCCTAAATCAGCCAAACCCCAGGAAAGTAGGAGAAATATTTATTGTATTCAGCCACTGAGTTTTGGAGTAAATTAGTACGTAGCTATGGCTAAATGAGGTAGAAATTTATCCTAGAAGTAGAGTGTTGACTAATAAAAGCCCAAAATATATGCCATTGATTTTGGGATATAGTTGCAAGGGAGGCTATAAAAATGTAAGAAAATTATTATGAAAGTTTGGAAAAATGGAGACCAGTGTTATGTGCCATTAAAGTGTTTGGTAAAATGGTCATCTATGATAACTTGGAAGATAGAAAGAGAACCTAATAAATTTTCAGAATTGGGCAAGAAGGAGAAGTATTGCAAATATTATCCACTTGATTTTAGCTACATATGATGAGTGTCTTCAATAAATAGATGAGCTTAGAAAATAACTGGCCAATTTGCAAGCAAAACTCAGAAAAAAACATTAAGAGTCTGGATGAGTTTCTTATCTCTGGTCTTTCCAGACAAATAGTTTAAGATTAATATATATCTTTGTGAAAATATTAAATTCACGGCCTTGCCAGAAAGATAAGGCCTTAGGGTAAAGAAGAGATCAAGGATGTAACTATAAGACCCTTTATTAAGACCTCTGAAAAAAATTGAAATGGTGCCTATTCAAGGTGTTTCACAACACCTAAACTACCAGTAATTAAATCTAGAAAAATAGGCTTGTCTTAAAAATAATTACGGATATAGTTTTTCACATAAGAAGAAGAGAGGAATCAAACTATATAAAGGAAATCCATAAATTATTTGGGACAATTTGATTGACAAAAGCATCAGCCTGGAGTTAAAGGGGCTGAAACTGTTTCAGATATAAAAAGCCCTCTGGGCCCCCAGTTTTCTACAGTAAGTAAGTAAGCTGAGGAAGTTGCTCAAAGGCATATTTTCCAATGCCCTCTTAGAAGTGGCCAAAGAGGTTAACAAAAAGGAAAGAAACTTCCAGAGGGTAAAGCCAAGAGCTGCGGAGAACAATAAATGGAGACTCTCAGGGAATCCAGTTCCCACTCTCTAGGTGCAATTAAGAAATACCCCCACACTCCTGGGTAAAAAGATCTGATGACATTTGCCCAGCAAGATTTCAGAATTTCTATGAGCCAGTGGTTTGTATGAACCTCCCCTTTTCTAATGGTAGTGTTTAATCTGATTATCTCATGTCAGTCTCATCATCTAATGGAAACAAACAAACAAAAAACTGTCTTTTTTAATATAGAGAAATTAAGAGAATTCAGAGACAAGTAATAAATCAATGGGTTCAGAAAGTTTACTGGATTTAAGATAAAATTACAAAAATCATTTTTATTCCTATTTGCCAATAAATGTAACTTTTAAAACAGATAGCAAATTTATAATAATAGCCAAAAATACAAGATGCCAAGGAATCAATTCAATAAAAATTTGCATGACTTTATTGTCAAATCTTGTAAAATTTAATTAAATGGAATTATGGCATATTCATAGGTAGGATGACTCAGAAAGGTGAAGATGTCAATTCTCCCATAACAGTCTAAAACACAATGTAACTCCAAACTCAGTAGAATAACAGAAATAAGCAATTAGGCCAATGGAAGAAAACAGAGGGCTCAGAAACAATGTAAGTGGCAGAAAAAGCATGCGTATCAATGGACAAATGACAAACTTCAAAAACGGCTCTAGAAAACTTATCATCCATGTGAGGAAAAATATATTCCAACTTCTCACCATATTAAAAAAGAGATGTGGTAGATTAAAGACCAAAATGTGAAAAACAAACTTCTAGAAGAAAAGAAAAAACAGTATTTTTATGACTCCAAGTAGGAAAGGATTTCTAAAACAAAGCGTCAATACCACAAGTTAATGTTAAACATTTATATTAATAGAAGGCACTATTTAAAAAGTGATGACAATCCTCCAAATTAGGAAATAATTGAGACATGTATACTAACAAAGGTTGGCATCCAGGATCTATAACAAACTCACACAAACTCAAAGAAAAGAAATGAGCAATAAAAATGGGCAAAAAAAAATCAGGCATTTAACTTTGTTGTTAAAAATTAAGAAACTGCATAGCCAGATGCAGTGGCATGTGACTGTAGTCCCAGCTACTCAGGAGGCTGGGGCAGCATGATTGCTTAAACTCAGGAATTCAAGTCCAACTTGGGTAATATAGTGAGACCTCATCTCATAAAATAATTATAAAATTACTAATTAAATCTATGAGAAGCAATTTTCATTAAAATGTTGGATAACAGATAATGTTGGCCAGGATCAGGAGTTAAAAAAATTATGAACTGTTGGTGGGAGTATACACTGATACAATCTCTTTAGAGAGAAATTTTGCATTATCTAATAATAAAATGTACATGATGTAAATGCCATATTGCTGAGAAAGTCATCTTCTAATTTTGTATCTGAGTGTGTGTGTGTGCATGTGCATGTGTGTGTGTGTGTATGTGTGTGTAGTAACATAACAAAACCAAAAACAAAAAAAACAAAAACACTCCAAGGGGTTAAAGTTAAAATTCAGAATAGAGATGGAGTTGGCTACCATGCAATAGAGGTTGGTTTCACTGATGAGTTATTTTTAGCTACATGGTAGTTACCTAGGTGTTCATTATATTATTCTTTATATATTTTGATGCATGATACAGTCATAACAACTTTTGAAAGTAAAAAAATATATATTTGCTAGATTAATTGAATTCCAACTAGTTCAGTTTTTCAGTTTTGGTTCAGATATATTTTTATTCCTCAGTTAACTTCAATACCTCTCCCTTGCCTGATTCTCAGCCAGTCATGTTGCTCATTCTTTTTTTTTTTTTTTTTTTGGAGACGGAGTCTCGCTCTGTCGCCCAGGCCGGACTGCGGACTGCAGTGGCGCAATCTCGGCTCACGGCAAGCTCCGCTTCCCGGGTTCACGCCATTCTCCTGCCTCAGCCTCCCGAGTAGCTGGGACTACAGGCGCCCGCCACCGCGCCCGGCTAATTTTTTGTATTTTTGGTAGAGACGGGGTTTCACCTTGTTAGCCAGGATGGTCTCGATCTCCTGACCTCATGATCCACCCGCCTCGGCCTCCCAAAGTGCTGGGATTACAGGTGTGAGCCACCGCGCCCGGCCCATGTTGCTCATTCTTTCAGTGAGAAAATGAAAGCAATCAAAAGAGAATTTGTTCAACTTCTTACCACCAAACCCACCAGCTACTGGCATTCTTTGAGTGAATGAAAGAATGATACAAAATTCAAGTAATAATGATCTAATATTCAATAATACATTATCGACATAATTAGTCATTTAAAAATGTAAATAAAAAGTACAATGAAATACTACTTCACTCTCATGAAGATGGCTATAATTTCAAAGACAAACCATAACAAATGATGGCCAAGATGTGAAGAAATTGGAACCCTCCATACTTGCTGGTGGGAATGTAAAGTGGCACAACCCCTGTGAAAATCAATTTGGGGCTAGGCATGGTGGCTCACCATGCACTTTGGGAGGCCAAGGCAGGCAGATCACCTAAGGTCAAGAGTTCGAGACTAGCCTGACCAACATGGTGAAACCCCGTCTCTACTAAAAATACAAAACTTAGGCCAGGCATGGTGGCTCACGCCTGTAATCCCAGCACTTTGGGAGGCTGAGGCAGGTGGATCACCTGAGGTCAGGAGTTTGAGACCAGCCTGGCCAGCATGGTGAAACACCATCTCTACTAAAATACAAAAATTAGCTGGGCATGGTGGCAGGCACCTGTAATCTCAGCTACTTGGGAGGCTGAGGCACGAGAATCGCTTGAATGCAGAAGGTGGAGGTTGCAGTGAGCTGAGATCACACCACTCCACTCCAGCCTCGGCGACAGAGCAAGACTGTCTCAAAAAAAAAAAAAAAAATTAGGCATGGTGACACATGCATGTAATGCCAGCTATTCGGGAGGCTGAGGCAGGAGAATCGCTGGAACCCAGAAGATGGAGGTTGCAGTGAGCCAAGATCGTGCCATTGCACTCCAGCCTGGGTGACAGAGCAAGACTGTCTCAAAAGAAAGAAAAAAGAAAAAAAAGAAAATCAATTTGGCAGTTCCTCAAAAGTTTAAACACAGAGTTACCATATGACCTAGCATTCCCTATCCTCTGTATATACCTCAAAGAAATGAAACGACATGTCCATACAAAAACCTGTACACAGATATTCATAGAAACATTATTTATAATGGCTGAAAAGTAGAAACAACTCAAAGATCCGTCAACTGATGAATAAGAAAATGTGGCATACCCCTACAATGGAATATTATTCATCAATAAAAAGAAATGAAGTACTGAGACACAACAACATAGACAAACCTTGAAAACATTATTCTAAGTAAAAGAAAACAGTCACAAAAGGTCACATACTATATGATTACATTTATATGAAATTTCCAGAATAGAAAAATTTATAGAAACAGAAAATAGATTAGTGGTCGTCTAGGGCTGAGGAGTTGGAGGGACTGGGGAGTGAGAGTAACTGCAATGGATAGAGTTTCTTTTGGGGATGATGAAATTGTTCTAAATTTAGGTTGTGGTGATGATTGCACAACTCTGTGAATATCCTAAAAACTACTAAACCATATACTTTAAAAGGATGTATTTTATGATATGTGAATTATATTTCAATAAAGCTGTTAAAATAATACATGAAATTCATTTTCCCTTTTACAGTAGACTAATTAACTAAATCCAGATCTAACTGGGTCTAACACTATAGTATGGACTTGGAATGACACAAATGAAGGATCAGAACCCAAGAGGTGAACGTTTATTCCATGTCTATGAAGTACTAGTTTTGAGATCTTGAGCAAATCACTGAGTCACTTTGGCCTCAGTTTTCTTATTTGGAAAAAAAAAAAAAAAGAAAAAGAAAAGAGAATAACTACTCCATTGGACCGTTTTGAGAACTAAATTTAATAGCACATCCAAAAAGCACCTCATATGTTTCCCAACAGGTGCCCAATATTCTCTCTTCTCCCCTTCTTTCCTATCTTCTGCATCCTACCTATGATCTAAAACTTTTTACTCTTTATTATGAAAATGTTCATACAAATACAAAAGTGGAAAGATAAATGAATGCCTTTGTACCCACACACATTTTCATCAATCATTAATTCAAGGGTAAACTCACTTCATTTTTATCTGTGACCCCCACCCCACCTGGCACATCGCTTCTACATTCCCCCTTCCTTGCCCAGATTATGTCAAAGCAAATCTCATTCATCATATCATTTGTAAATATTCTGGTATGTACTTTTTTTTGGTAAACAAATGTAATAGTATTAACATAGATAACAATAATACTCTAATATAAACAAATATTTAATTAGTTTTCCAATATCCCTGTTTATCTAGGAAAATTATCTCTGGACAAGTCAGGCTAAGCAAGACTCCATACACTGCAACTGATGGACAGTCTTTTACATTTCTCTTAATTATTACATTTCTCTTAATCTATAGCTTCTATTCCTCTGCTTCCATTTTTCTCTTATGCTTTTTGTTGTTCAGAAAACCTGGGCCTTTTGAGCTTTTCATCTTGTAAGTTTTCCACAGTCTGTATTTTCCCCTTCACATTCTTGTGATGTGGTTTGAAACGTTCCTCTGCTCCTTGTAATTTCCATAAACTGGTAGTTAGATCTGGATTAAAGTTTTCTGTTGTTTTTGTTTTTGCCAATACTACTTGAGAGAGAATGGTTATCGTTTCATCTGGAGGCACATAATGTCCCACTGATTCTTCAGTGATGTTGGCAGCATTGATAATTATTGCTAGATCCATTAATGTACTACCATTGCCAAATGGTAATTGTCTAATTTCATAATTCTACATTCATTTATATACTGGAATACTTCCGTAAAGAGAAATTTCCTGTCCTCAAATATTTGGCTACCTTTAAGTGTAATTTGTATAGGAAAAGCAGATCAAATGTTTGATTTTTTTCCCTCCACTTTTACTAATTTTTAAAAATAAGAACTTGGTCCCCTAACCTCCCCCAAAAATGACTAACGATGGCTTTTTTTATGAACATGTGGATTTTAAAATATTTGCTATAACTCACTATATTGGGGTTATTATATCTTACTCATCTTTAAATCCTCAACTCTTCCCAGTGGAAGATTACTTATGCTAGCTCCGAGCTTTTTTGACAAAATCTTAGTGATCTTTGGTAGTGTTTTTGCCTTCTGGTACAAGATAGAGCTATTTCAGGCACTTTTTGTATATTCCTTGCTCCAGACCTGGAATCAACCATTATTCTAAGGGAACCTGATTCCTCTCAATGTGAAATGGTGAAACCCCATCTCTACTAAAAATACAAAAATTAGCCGGGCATGGTGGCGTGCGCCTGTAATCCCAGCTATTCAGGAGGCTGAAGCAGGAGAATCGCTTGAACCTGGGAGGCGGAGGTTACAGTGAGCTGAGATCACGCCACTGCACTCCAGCCTGGGGACAGAGCGAGACTGTCAAAAAACGAATAAACAATCAAACAAACAAAAAACATCCTTAAAGACGAGAATCTGAACACACACACACACGGAGTACTAATTCTATTGGGTTGGTAATAAGTGGATAAACTAAGAAATATCTTTTTTTTTGAAATGTCAAAATATTTACTTATTGAAGAAAGCAACATGACAACAAAATTGACTGATCTTTCCCTTCTACCCTTTGTACCTATGTGTATCTAGCAGAAAATTCTTAGCTCTGGCTATGGGCATACAGAAACTTCCTATTGATGATTATATTCAAATGTTTATTTACTTTCCCCAGAATAAATTGGGGGACTGGCATTGTCTGGATTGATCACGGGACAGATACTCACAAAGCTCCATCTTGAGTTTCATGTTTATGAGCAAAAAATGGACACAGTGGCTAAAAGAAATTTTGTTGTGTGTGTAGATATGGCACCTATCACTAACATTATTTAAAAAATGAAACCCATACCTATATCCAGGAAAATTCCCACTCTGTGCAACTGGGGACTCACCTCTAGAGAACAGGCAAAGGCATAGTGCTGGCAGCAAAGACCTTTCCTTTTCTGGAACCTACAGTCCAGAAGCCTTGTTCTGAAGAAAGTACAATGTCCCCTGTTGATTCACAGATTCCTTACAAATGCCCACATCCCATACTTTGCTGGTGCCCACATCCACCTCCCAGTAACAGTGGCTGGAAGTGAAGCCGGGGCGCCCAGGACACACAGTGCAGAGTTGAACCTCTCAGCTTGCTCCTTCCTATTCTGGCTGAAATTCCCAAATGGACACTACTTAGGTCTTCAGAAATGGTGAGATGGTTGTTGGCTGTGTCCACATCCAAGGTCATATCCACTTGAAACTTCCTCATCCTTGGGTTCATTGTTAGAATAGATTTCAGCTTGAGCTCTAGTTCCTTGATCATGGAAACCAGCGCCCTCAGCTTGAACTTGGGCTTGATATTACTCTTAGGAGAGACCACAGAGCAGAAGGGGCACAGTAAACCTTCCCCATGGGCTCCTTCTGCAGTGAATTGATGCATTGGAGGCAGAAGGCATATCCACATTTCAGTTGCACAGGTTCTTCAAGATCATTTGGACAGATGGGACATCTAATTATTTCTTTGAAGTGTTCAGCCATGGCAAATGTCTCTTATTCCCAAGCTTCTTCTGCCTCCCTGTCTGCAGTGGTTTGTGCAGACAGCTCAGATCGAGAAGTATCTATTTTAAAAATTTTTTAATATAATTCAGACTTCCAGAAAAGTTGCAAAAAGAAAAAAAAATTCTGTATACCCTTCCCCTGATTTGCCCGAATGTTAATGGTTAATGTAATAATGTCAACACTGTTGGTTCGTATTTTGAATTACTATTTTGGTTGACACTTTGCCCTACCATTTTTTTCTCTCTCATCTGTGTGTGTGTGTTGAGGGCTGGGTGGGTGTGAGTGTGGATGTGTGTGGGTGAGGGTTCTCTTCTTTACATATAAAATTTCCTCAGAACCACTGGAAAGTAAGTTGCAGATATGATGCTCCTTTGTCCCTAAACACTTTAGCATATAGGACATTTTCTTATATGGTCAAAGTATAATAATACAATACTAATGCACCAACCTTGTTTAAATTTCCCCAATTATCAGAATACTGTTGTTCATGGTAAAAGAATATCCTGGATCCCACGTGGCATTCAACTGTCATTTTAAAAAATCTCCTTTAACCTGAAAGTTTTCAGGCTTTCTTTGATCTATGACCTTCATGTTTTTGAAAAGTATGGGCCAGTTATTTTTTAGAAGGTCCCTCAACTGGTGTTTTCCAATGTTTCCTTATGATTATATTCAAGTATGCACTTTGGAAAGAATAACACAGAAGTGATATATTTCTGTTAGGCCATTTTTGTTACTATAAAGGTATACCTGAGTCTAGGTAATTTATTTTAAGAAGAGGTTTAATTGGCTCATGGTTCTGCAGGCTGCATAGGAACCATGGTGCTGGCATCTGCTTCTGGTGAAGTCTTCAGGAGTCATGGCTGAAGGCTATGCAGAGCCACCATTTCACATGGCCAGAGTGGGAGAAAGAGAGTGAGGAGGATGGTCGCACATACTTTTAAACAACCAGATCTCACATGAACTAACTGAACAAGAACTAACATCATCAAGGGAACGGTGCTAAACCATTCATGAGGGATCCGCCCCCAATCCAATCACCTCCCACCAGGCCCCACCTCCAACACTGGGGATTACATTTCAACATGAGATTTGGAGGAGACAAACATCCTATATCAATATTCTTTTCACATCAAAAGACACATGATGTTGATTTTTCCTCTCACTGAAGGTATTAACCTTGATCACCTGGTTCAGGTGGTATCTTCCAGGTTTCTCCAGTGAAAAGTTGCTCCTTTTGTTAATTAACAAGTATCTTCTGGGGAATATCCTGGAATTCACCAAAATTTTACCTACGAATTTTAACATCCTTTGCTGACACCTGACTGCATCAACTACTATGACGGTTGCCAATTTGTGGCTTTCTAATTCCATCATTCCTTCTAAATTTACTTGTTGGTAGTGTACTATGCATCCTCCTTCACCTAATGCATGGATGTACGGCTGTATGTATATCAGTATGGACATACGGATTATTATTGTATTTAATGGGCTATAACACATTTCCATTATTATTTATTTTTATGCTTGAATTTTCCCAGATTTTGCCAGGAGAAGCCAGGATAATCTGGCCCCTGTGTCCTTTTGACAAGTCCCATCATTATTTGAATGTATCTTTGATTTCTGGCACTAAAAAATATTCCAACTATGCAGCCATATAAAAGAACAAAATCTTGTCCTTTGCAACAACATGGATGCAGCTGGAGGCCATTATCCTAAGCGAATCAATGCAGGAACAGATAACCAAATACCACATGTTCTCACTTACAAGTGGGAGCTAAGCATTAGTCACACATGGCCATAAAGATGGGAACAACAGATACTGGGGACTATTAGAGTGGGGAGAGAAAGAGAGGGGCAAGGGCTGAAAAACTACTCATTGGATACTATGTTCACTACCTGGTTGATGGGATCTTTCATACCCCAAACCTCAGTTTCACGCAATACACTCACATAACAAACCTGCACATGTACCCCCTGAAGTGATTTTTAAAAAAAGATATTCCAGACTCAACTTGTGCTTTCTTAGTACAGTCCCAGATTCAGCCATTTCTCCAGGGAGACTTGATTCCTTTTAAAAGCAAATGCTATTTAGAAAACAATCTCTGGGCTCTAGTTGTGCTGACAGCCACTAGAATGTGCATTTTATTTTTTAAAAGAAAAAATACTGGGTTCTTAATGATATTTCTGATTTGAAATCAGGATTATAATATTTTTACTTAAATTTATGGACCTTACATTATATATATTTCTTTTCCCCATGCCAAAAATTCTAGTTCTTAAAGATACCAACATAATTACTTCTTCTGTATATCACGCAAAGCACACACAACAGTCTCATTATAATTATATCAGCACTATCATTAACAACACGATTACTAAAAACACTTTCAGACTGTGGTGCTGTTCTCCCTGTCCTTAGAGTACCTCCCACTAGAGACAATCAAATCACTATCGATAATGGCTTAGAGTAATTCATCTCAGCATGTTTATGCCAAAAAATTGAAATGCAGTTGTGCTCACTTGTTTCATTTTGTTTTGGATAATAATAAATTACTGTTTTAAGATTTAATATTTAAGTTGTTCCAAAGTCAAATATTCAAAATTCTAAGAGGGCAAGCTTCTATCCCTATCTTCTCCTCTCTTTACCTTTCTTTATTTCTACCCCCATACCATCTCTTCTGCCATAGGCAACTTTTAAAAACAATTTGATGTGTGTGCATATGCATGTGGGTGTGTGTATTTTACAATAGGGCAGGTTTTGCTATTGTTGTTTTAGTTTTCACAGAAGCAAATGTGAGCTGGGCACCGTGGCTCATGCCTGTAATCCCAGCACTTTGGGAGGCTGAGGCAGGTGGATCACCTGCGGTCGGGAGGTCGAGAGCAGCCTGACCAACATGGAGAAACCCCATCTCTACTAAAAATACAAAATTAGCTGGGCATGGTGGTGCATGTCTGTAATCCCAGTTACACGGGAGGCTGAGGCAGGAAAATCGCTTGAACCCGGGAGGCGGAGGTTGCGGTGATCCAACATCGCACCATTCCACTCCAGCCTGGGCAACAAGAGCGAAACTCCATTCCCCCCATCTCCCCCCAAAAATAGAAGCAAATATGTATCTATATTTTCATTGCACTTACTTAGATGAATGGTAGCATACTAAGAACACATTTCTCTCCCTTCCTTTTTTCATTTAGCAATATATTATCCCAGGGGTCATTCCTTAATCCATAGAGATATCCTTTCATTTGTATAGCTGTATAGTACTGTCTTGTATGGTTATACTGTAATTATCCAGTATTTTTATTTTAATGGACATTTTGGTTTTTCTACTCTTTTGTTATTAAAATAGTATGACAAGGTACAGCCACACATATAGGTCTTTTTGTATTTTTGCTAGTGTGTCTTTGGAATAGATTCATAGAAATAGGATCATTTCATCAAAGAATAATTGCACATATAATGTACTAGATATTGTAAAATTTCCCTGCATAGTGTTTGTAGCATTTTGCATTCCCACTAGCAATGTGTGAAATTGTCTGTGTTTCCAGTGCCTCACCAACAGAGTATCTGACAAATGGGGATTTTTGTTAATCTGCCAGGTAAGCAGTAATGTTTAATTTGCATTTATCTCATTTTGAGCAAAGCTGAGCATCTTTTTATGTAGTTAAGAGGATTTTTTTCTATAAACAACCTCCTTATATGGCTCATTTGGAATTTATATGGCTTATATGGAATTTAGGTCTTTTATTCTCTGTTTTTAGAAGCTCCCTACAATTAGAAATATTAAGTTCTGTCTGTGATATAAACTGCAAATATTTTTCTTGGGTTGTCACTTTCCAAGTTTTATTTTTGAGAGACAAACATGGGCCACATTTTTAAGACAAACATGGACCACAACCATGCTGAGAGAACTTAGAGTGAAGTTTACATGGCTATCTTTCTTAGTATTAGAAATTTTACCTGATAAACATCAAACATACGACCAACATAGCATATAAAGCAGCTCTACAGATATTTTCCTACTGCCCAAAATATCATATAATGCACATGTAGGTCACATGTGAGTAGGCAAGAGATTCTGGAACACAGAAGCAAGACAACAGGATCACAGCAATTTCAGTATGCTCTGCTTGTTATAGGAAATCCCCAGAACATTCTCCAATTACTGACCAAAAAAAGCAATAAAACTCAGATTTGTCTGCCTGGGGAGAAATAAACAGAAATAGAAAGTGAATAGCAAAACAAAGCTATCTGGTGAAAAGACATTCTTACTTGGAAGGAGTTAAGATTTTGCCCCTTCCATGGGTGTACTTAGTGAGGCAAGCGTCAAGCGGCCTGACAGCCCGTGGCACACTGTCTACAGCTGATGTCAATGGTACACATATAGCCAGTGTGAAGCAACTTAAAATAGGCCCTCCTTGAGCTTCCTAACTTTTTAGAAAGGCAAGATTACATAGCAATTAAGTAAATGAGTTTTGAAGGTAAATTTATGCTCAAATTTGAATTGTGCATTATATTACCTCTCTCTTAAATTTGCTCAACTCAGCAAAATCTCTGGGCTTTCATTTTCTTATGTGTAAAATGGAGATCATGAGAGCTTTCTCATGGGGTTGTTATGAGTATAAGTGAGAATGTGTCCTCAAAGCACTTAGCACACTGCCTGTCACACTACGTGCTTGATAAATACAGTCTTCATGAACTGTCTATTGAGTCTATTACATGGTCTCATATATATTTATCTTGCGTGGTAAAGCAATTTTTGTGAGCATGAACATTATACTATCTGAAGTCTATTTCTTAAGAGGAAAAAGTCTTCTTTTTAAGACATTATTCTGTCTTAACTCTCTTAACTACTTTATAAAAACAACCAGAGCTCTTAATGTAATAGAATAACAAAGAAAATGTCTTGTGGTAGGAAAACCAGCAAAAGGCCACAAAAGACAGAACAACATAAACAGAAAAATAAACTTTTAGTAATTTCTGGCTAGTTATTTACCCAGTAATTATTTACCAAAAGCTTAGCATGGGCTATACAATAGTACCCATTGTGGACAAAAAGTTTCTAGTAATAAACATAGCAATTATTAATTGAATAATTACTCTGCACTAGGCACAAAGATAGGAAATGTAATGACATAACCAATTGCACAGATTGAGAGTGTAGACTCTGGTCTGTTAAACTGCCTGGGTTTCAGTTCTAGCTCCTCCACTTACTATGTGACAAAGAGGAGTTTATAAAACTCCAAGTGCTTCTGTTATTCCATCTGTTAAACTGGTGAATAATAGCACCTGTCTCATAAATATGATATAATTGTTAAGAGCCATAGGCTCTGGAGCTAACTGGCTTTGATTTGTGCTCCACTTCTATTTTCTTTTTATGTGACTTCTGCTAAGTTTATTAACCTCTGGATCTTAATTTCCTCACCTGTCAAATGTGGATAATACTCCCTATTTCCCAAGATATTAGTAAATACTAAATGAGATAATGCAAGCAAATAATGTAGAATGCTATCTGGCATATAGTAAGTTCTCAATAAATGTTAACTATGTTTATTAAGATAAAATGGCATAATCTATATAAAATGCTTAGTCCAAGGTCTAGAATTTAGTATGCACTAAATAGTACATTGTTATTATATATATATATATATTATTGTTACATGTCTATTTAAAGTTTCAAGGACTAGAAACAGACTCACTACCACTCAACATGTAATAAGAGCTAAAGATAGCAGTATTTCTGATGAGTTATCTAAAAGATATACAGACTGCCTATTGCTCTAAGTACTCTAAAATATACCCCACACTAAAGCTAGAACATCAGGGAGGACTGTCCTGTACTTCGCTATTGAGACCTCCGGGGGAATTGTTCTAACTGAAGTTTACTTTTGCTTTATGACATCTGCCTAGGTCAGTAGACACTATTCTAAGAGCTCCTGTGAATGTACTGATGTTATAAAGAATATATACATATACACGCACACAAATATATATATATTTTTTGAGATATATATATATTTTTTGAGAGAGATATATATTTTTTGAGATATATATAATATATATATATTTTGAGATGGAGTCTCACTCTGTCACCCAGGCTGGAGTGTAGTAGCGTGATCTCAGCTCACTGCAACCTCCGCCTCCCGTGTTCAAGTGGTTCTCCTGCCTCAGCCTCCCAAGTAGCTGATATTACAAGTGCCCGCCACCATGCCCGACTCATTTTTTGTATTTTTAGTAGATACAGGGTTTCACCATGTTGGCCAAGCTGGTCTCGAACTCCTGACCTCAAGTGATCCACCTCCTCGGCCTACCAAAGTGCTGGGATTACAGGCGTGAGCGACTGCACCCAGACTAAAAGACTATATTTTTTAGTTACAGAAAAATCATAACATAAAATTCACCATCTTAACCATTTTTAGTGTACAGTTCAACTATGTTAAGTTTATTTATGTTGTTGTGCAGCCAATCTCTGTGCGAACCAATGTTGGGCAGACATCTTTCACCTTGCAAAATGAAACTCTACACTCATTAAACAATAACTTCCCATTTCCCCTTCCCCTCAGCTCATGACAACCACTGTTACACTGTTTCTGTAAATCGGATTACTCTAAATACTTCATATAAGTAGAATCATGCAGTATTTGTCTTTTTATGACTGGCTTATTTCACTTAGCATAAGTTCCTCAAGGTTCATCCATGTTGTAGTATGGAACACTATTACCTTCTTTTTGAAGGCTGAACACTATTCCATTGTATGTATATATGTATATACTGCATTTTGTTTATCCATTCATCTGTCAGTGAACATTGGGTTGCTTTCACCTCTTGGTCATTGTGAATAATGCTGCTATGAACATGGGTGTCCAATTATTTCCTATAAATCTTGCTCTTAGTTCTTTTGGATATATACTTAGAAGTGGGATGGCTTCATAATATGGTATCTTAGTTCATTCCTGCTGCTATAACAAAATAACTTGAACTAGGTCATGTATAAATAACATAAATTTATTTGTTACAATTTTGGAAACTGGGAAGTCCAGATCAAGGTGCTAGCAGATTCAGTGTCTGAATCTGAAGGTAAGAGCACGCCCTTTGTCTCTGAGTTGGTGCCATCTTGCTACATGCTCACATGGTGGAGAGGAAGCAGAAAAACCAAACAGGTTTCCTCAAGCCCTTTCATAAAGGCACTAATCTCATTTATGAGGGTGGATCCCTCATGGCCTAATCGCCTCCTAAAGACCCTGCTTCTTAATGCTCTTACATTGGGGATTACATGTCAATATGAATTTTGGAAAGATACAAACATTCAAACCATAACAGATGGTATTTTATTTTTAACTTTTTAAGGAACTGCTATACTATTTTCCATAGTAGCTGCACCATTTTACATTCCCACAAACAGTGCACAAAGTCCCACTTTCTCCATATCCTCACAAACACTTGCTATTTTTTCATTTTGTTTGTTTGTTTTCTGATAGTGGCCATCCTAATGGGTCTCAGAGGGTATCTCATCGTGTTTTTTTCCCTCTGGTGATTAGTGATATGGAGCATCTTTTCAGATGCTTGTTGGTCATCTGTACATCATCTTTGGAGAAATGTCTACTCAATCCTTTGCCCATTTTTAATTGAGTAATTAGTTTTTGTTGTTGAGTTATAGGAGTTATTCATATATTCTGGACACTAACTTCTTATCAGATGTGTAATTTGTGAGTGTTGTGTCCTTTGATGCACGGAAGTGTAATGATATTTTGAGGGTATCAATGCCTACATTATACAGCATCTTTTTCAGCAGGAGGTTATAGTGATCCTCCATTCTCTTCCCTTTGAAATACTTTCCCATATACTTCTTGGAAATATTTTATATTGTGGATATTTTAGTTTAAATTACTTTCCATGGGAAATTAACGTTAGTTTTAATAGTCACTAAAACCATCTACATTTTACAGAGAAGGTAACTAAATTTCAGCATCTGGAAGTAACCTCCTGAAGGCTATGTAGTTAGTAAATGGCAGGTGCCGACATTCAATCCAAAGCCTTTCTGTGGATTTTTTCAGAATACTGGGCTACTTCTTGAAGCAGTGAACAAAAACTCTGTCATTTGTGATGCAGTCACTGTGCTCGCTAAAGGATCTCGGTGGGTGAGCACACTTTCTGCAGGGCTGACTAGGGAGGCTGGAACTTAAAGGAGGGATCACAGCCAGAGAAAGAAAAGGGAATGACATGAACAAAAATGTGAAAATAAATAAAACTATGACCTAGAAGTACTGTCTTCTGGCTACTTTACCCTATTTCTTGTGGAGTGCAATACAGTTTGGATGGAAAAAAGAAGGAAATCAAGCATAAGAGATAGATGTCAGCCACAACATGGAGACTGTTAATTCTAGTCTTAGAAATCTGGACTTGAGCCTGGCATGGTGGCTCATGCACAAAATCCCTTGGGAGGCTGAGAAGGAAGGATTGCTTAAGGCCGGGAGTTTGAGACAAGCTTGAGCAACATAGTAAGACCCTGTCTCTAAAAAAATTAAAAAATTAGCCAGGCATGGTGGCACACGTTTGTAGTCCCAGCTACTCAAGAGGCTGAGGTGGGAGGGTCATTTGAGCCCAGGAGATCGAGATTGCAGTGAGCTATGATCGCAGCACTGCACACCAGCCTGGGTGACAAAGCGAGACCCCATCTCCATTAAAAATAAAATAAATAAAAGAAAAATGGCTAAAAAAGAAATTTGGGCTTAATTTGGTAGATACTAGAGAGTCAAGAAAAAAATTTCAATAAGATTTTGCTTTAGGAAGAATCTTCTTGTGGCATGTCTTAGGTAGGGTTCCCTAGAATGAGATGCTGAGAAAGTGATTTATTGAGGAGTTCTCTCAAGTGAAACCTATAAAAGAATGAGGGAGCCAGGAGAAGATGAGGAAAGAAGCGTGTAAACACCCAACACTCATAGCAGCTGAAGGATAGGTCACACCACCCTACTGGAGGGAAACTGGGCAGGCACCAATCATGTCTACTATGTGGCATTTTGAAGGATGAATTGGAATCATGGGAGCTTGAAGAACCACATACAGATATAAAAGGTACTACCATTTGAACTTGGATAGTGGCAGTGTGGGCAGAATCACGACTTCCCAGAGATGTTCATGTCCTAATACCCGAAACCTGTGAATATGTTCCATTACAAATGAATTAATATTTACATTTCTATATGTAATTAGTTTCATAATTACATTTGCATGAATATGCAAAAGGACTTTGCATGATTAAGATTAAAGATCTTGAGATGAAGAGATTATCTGCATTAGCCAGGTGGCCTCAACCTAACATAATTCCATAAATAGGGAGAGTTGTTCCTGGCTGAAGTTAGAGACAGAAGAGATGTTGCTGGTTTTAAAGGGATAACAAGGGGGCCATGCACTAAAGGAATACAGGCAGCCCTAGAAGCTTGAAAAGGTGAGCAAACAGATTTCCCCTGGAATGGAAGGAAGGCAGCCCTGATTACACCTTGACTTTGTTTAGCTCAGGGAAACTCATGTTCAACTTTGAAACTACAGAGCTGTAAGATAATAAATTTGTGTTGCTTTAAAGTGTCACAGCAGCAATCGAAAGCCAATACAGTAGTCATCGAAGAGAAAGAAAAACGTTAGTGACAAAGGAATTGATGGAATTCCCACAACTTAAAAAAAAAAAAGCTTAAAAAATAATAACCTCTGTTTCATTTTATTTCTTTATTTTAAATAGAATTAATGATTCTTATTACCTTTCTCAGAGTTCACAAAGTAATGTAAAAGGCCATGAAGAAATGATTTCAATGAAATTATAACTGAATTAGAAAATGATGGTTAAAAAATTCCATATTTTATAAAGGTTGGGAAAAACATATATTTAGTGAATCCCCAAAATTGTTAAGGGAAAAGTAAAAGGAAGAAGCTATATTTACTGTTACATTAAAGACATAGGTACCAGGTGAATACTAACTGCAAACCATTCCGATTGGCTGTTTTTCAGTGGCTGCCTCCCTGAGATTCACTTTTTCTTATTCAGGAAAATTCAGGACTGTGAGCTTCATGGTCACCAGAGGGTGCTATGGGACAGGCTCTCCTGCTCCTCCAAGGGTGACTGCCAGACAGGCAAAGAATGGTGGCAATGGCTCTGGAAGCCTGTGACTCCTTTCTGTTATCTAGCACTCCAAAAATCAGATGCAAAAGTGGGGTCGATTTTTTTTTTCACTGAAATTTTTTTTAAGTGAAAAGTTATTTATGACAACTTTTGGCATCTTCCTCAATAAAAATGAAAAATAATAAATGTGCAATAAAATTCAGCAGTTTCCACAAAGTCTTCAAAAAACAGGAATATTAGGTAAGTAAATGAAAATCAGCAGTGTCATACAATTTAGTTAAATGGATATTCCCCTGAGCTACTGCCGGGAAGAGAGAGGGTGTGAGGGAGAAGGCCATGTCCTGAGGCTGACACTTAACTGGGTGTCAGGGCATCCATAATTTATCCTGTGAGGGTTATATCTGTTTCAGTTCCAAGAACAGTTAAAATTCTTTAGCTCATCAACAAAGGTGTGGACACCAAAGCCGCTGCAAGTCAGAGCTCAGAAAAAAAGAGAAGGACAAGAGCCAAGCACAGTAACAACCGCATACGAGCTAATTTATGGCTCAGGCAGCCAGGGTTTTGCAGAATGTATTAGAAAGAGCAAATGAACCTAGAAATGGTGATGGTTATATCTTAGTACTTAAAATGAACATAGACCATAACTGCAAGAGGAGGAATTATTACATTTCTGCAAACTGTAAGGAAACTCATGGCATAAGAAGGAGACCAGCTGGGGTGAGACAATGACAGGCACACAGAGGGGGGACTAGAAAAGCAGAACAAGGCCGGAAAGCCATGCCTACCACTTATGCACTTGCCATTGAGTATGGTCAACATGGAGTTCTGCCTGGAGTCGGTACAGATGACAATGAAACTAATTCTAAAATATTATGATGGTTTGTTTATTAAAGGAAATAGATATTTAAGAATATATTCATAAATTATATTTTTTTAGTGAGTCAGAAATACATTCTTCTGGTACAAAATCCAAAAGGTGTTGTATTATATTTGGAATAGGATACTAGCTTTGTGGTTTTTGTAAAAATAATACAATTATTACAGAGTAGCTTATTGTTTTAAAATGTCAGGATTTATATGATACCATTTTTTGTAGAGGTTGAGCATCCCTAATTTGAAAATCTGAAATGCTCCAAAATCTGAAACTTTTTGAGCATCGACACGATGTCACAAATAGAACATTTTATACTTGACCTCGTGTGATGAGTCGCAGTCAAAATCCAGTCAAGACTTTGTTTCATGCACAAAATTACTAAGAATATTGCATAAAATTATCTCCAGGTGATGTGTATAAAATGTATATGAAACACAAATGAATTTTGTTTTAGACTTTGGTCCCAGCCCCATGATATCTCTTTGTGTATATATGAGTGTTCCAAAATCCAAAAAAACACCTGAAATTCAAAACATTTCTTGCCCCAAGTATTTTGGATGAGGTGTATGCAACCTGTACAATACTTTCTATCATTTTTTATGTATCTATCTAGCCCCCAAGCCAAATTTCAATATATTTTCTGTCTCAAAAGATATCTAGAGCAGTATTCACCAAATATTGATGATGGCTATTTCTATGTGCTTCTCTCTTTCCAGCTACACATCTGATGTTAGAGATTTTTCAGCCAAAACAACATATCACAACAGATTGAATGCAGAAGCAGATATGAAAATGTAGCAGTTTTCAATTAAGCCATACATTAAAGAGATTTTCAAAATGTAAACAATGCAAATTTCTTACTAACATCTTGTTTTAGAAAATAAAAGTATTTTTCCTAAAACTGTTATTTGTGTTAAGGTAATGGTTTAATCACTGCTATTTTAAAAAAAAACGTAAATTCGTTATCAGTTTAAATTTTTAACGTTTAGATATCTAATATCAATATATTATCAACACAAGAATCTAATATTGATAGATATAATCTTTATAAATCAAGACTCTTTGGGGTCCTCTCCAATTTTTAACAATGTAAAGGGCTTTTGAGACTAGAAAAATGAGAATATGTTTAGTTATAAATCAAATCTCTCTCATAAGCAACAACTCATATAAACATGTTTAATAGGCAATTCAAAATAAACAATCTAAATGAGAACTCTTAATGTTATCCAAACCTGACAAATTTGATTTTTTCCTAGTTTTTCTAATTTTAGTAAGCAGTACCACAATTGACCTAGTTGCTCATCTCCCAAACCTAGCAATCCATCATTGACTGATTTGTTCTGCAATTCCCCACATCCAATCCATTAGCAAGTTCCAGTGACACAACTATAGAAATATATTTCTAACCACACCACTTCTCACCACCATCATAACTACTACCCCACTTCAAAGTACCATCATAGTCTCTTGGCATCTCGGAAAATTAAAATAAACAAACAAAAAGCTTTATTGGTAAGGTTTCCAAAGAGGAGCTATCAAAAAATACAATGTTTTCCATATCATTATCATTTAGATACAAGTGGAATAAAATAATTTACATAATATAGTGTTATGAAGTTATTTTGCAATATAGTGATTCAGTGATTACAGTGATTCCATTTTCTCTAACCAAATTCTAAAGGCCTTGACTCAAAAGAGTAGGTGATATATATATTTAATGGAATAGCTTTCATAAAACAATATGCATTTAACTTTCAAAGTTTTAAAATGTTAGCCCAAATAAATTATACTTGAACATTTTATGTTTCAGAAAATTTATTTATGTTGAGACAGTGGAATAAAAGGTAAGTTCTACATTTTCTTTTCACCAGATGTATAGTTCAACTTACCTTATCGAGTTCATCTGAAATTGCAATACCTGGGATTTAAAAGAGATTTATAAAAAAAAGTTTTAGAAGCAATCTTTAGTAACCTAATGTTCAAAACAAACTTTCTATTTGTAAAAGTAGTGCATTTCCTATTCTATTTGTTTTCTTTTTATTAGTGCTTCAAAATAATGTGGCACATCCTTTTACCAATGAAAACAAATTAGGAATTTAAGTCAATTATGACAGCCATGAACTGCTGAAGCAATGCAAATGATGCAACAAAAACAAAGCAGCGCCATATTCCTTGCAGGTGGTTAAAGGCAGAACAAACTTGCGAATGTAATTGTAGAGATATCATTTTTATGTTATGATGACAATAAAGTATAATTTAGCCTGTTACTATTTTGCTCCTTGTTAAGAATTTAGATTCCCAGAATAATTAGATATTAAGGCAGAATGGTGGTCCAAGATGACTTATTCTAATGTCTTTAGTTTGTGGATGAGGAAATAGATGAGAAAGTTTAAGGAATTTTCCCACAGTCCCTCAGATTGACAGCTCCTCGAGCCAATGCGTAAATGATTCTTCATCACAAGTTCCTTCCCCCACCATCCACATATTTCTCACTGCACATCAGTATAATTTCTATCTTTATCCTTTCTCCAAAATTATTCTAAGTCAGCAATGTAAAAAGTTTAGTCCTTAACTTATTTCTCTGTGATGATACACTATCAATTCCACTTTACTGAAATGCTGTCCTCTCTTTTCTGTTCTCCTTTGTCTCCTTCACAGGAATTCCCTTTTTTGCAGGGATAGGGGTCCTTTCCTGAAATGGCAAGGGCTCTTTGTTGAGCTGTCTTTTCTTCTCATTTGATATACTTCTCTTGATAATCTACCCCATACCTTTGATATTTTTATTTCTCTATATGGCACATCTTTACTGCCAGCACAGACTTTCTTCCTGAGCTAATTGTTGAATTCTTGTGGGCATTCCATTATCAACTTGTCAGACTAAAGACATCATCCTCCTCAACTCACTCTGCGTTTTATTCTTTTGAACAATGGGGCTAAACTTCAGCACTGTGGCAGGGCGCTGGAGCAGGTGTGGCCAGCTCTCACATTCAGGGCACAGAGCAAAGGGGGGTTGGTGTCAAACCCCTGTAGGGAACGAGCCAAGAGATAAGGAAAGGTCTAAAGTTTGAAGCCCAGGAGAACTTGGAGAAAATAAGAATAGGAATTGAAGCTGAAGTTCAGCAGACTACAAAGAACAAGAAAGAATGAGCTGGGTTGGAAGAAAGAACCTGAAAGCAGCCTCAGGACAATGAACCTCAGTAGAAAGAGTGAGTTACAGGGTTCAGATCCCCTGCCTGCCTCGGGTATAGATGTGGAGGGTATAAATGATATTTCATTAGTTCTTATATCATCTCCCACACCACTAACCTAATGAATCAATTATACACAAAGCTGAAAAAGTACGCACAACTTCATCTCAGTAAATGACACCATTGTAGATCCCCTTGTAGATGACACTAGAAACACAGGTACATTTGGGGCTTATTCTTCAATATTTTATAAAATTCTTTTTTTGGTAGAAGTCATTGGTAACTAAGAATTTTTATGTGTCACATCAAAAGAGAGTCTAACTACCATTTCAGGGATTTGGGGTGACCAAAGCTTAACAATTATTCAAGGACTTGCTGTATTATGAAGGTAGTGCCTTCAAACAGTTAAAGGAGAAAAAGCTTTAAGGAGGGCTGGCATTGGAGCTGGGCTGTATCACTGCTGAGTGAACCGTGATGGAGAACTCAGATATGACAGCACCACAGTCAAGGGGAAGATGTGAGACTAAGAGATCTCAGAGTGCAATTATAAACATTTGTGAAGACCTAACATAAATCATACATTTGTGGAATTTTTGGGCTTAAAAAATATAGAGAATTACAAATGGTCATTTAGAATAACTCAGATGTTAAGAAAAGATAGGACATTTATGGGATACTAAATGGCTTATGTCACATTCTATAGATTTAAAATACATTATTACAATTTATAAAAATCCAAACATGTCTTTTAAATGCTTATATTTACATGTAATATAATTCTACAAAAAAAGTTCCTTTCCAATATGAATTCAAGATTAAGACTGAATATCTTAAATATAAAATTTTAAAGAGCTTAGTCTATTTTAAGAGAGCATAGATAATATGAAACAGAATTCTGTTTCTCACCCAAAGTCATAAAGCTTAGATATCTGAAATTAAATAATCCATAATTCAATTATTTGGGATTTTTTAAACTCTCTTAACCTCTTGATTTATTTTTATTTATTTATTTATTTATTTATTTATTTTTTATTTTTTTTTGAGACAGAGTCTTGCCTTGTCTCCTAGGCTGGAGTACAATGGCTGGATCTCGGCTCACTGCAACCCCCACCTCCTGGGTTCAAACGATTCTCCTGCCTCAGCCTCATGAGTAGCTGGGATTACAGGCACCCGCCACCATGCCCAGCTAATTTTTGTATTTTTAGTAGAGACGGGGTTTCACCATGTTGACCAGGCTGGTCTCAAACTCCTGACCTCGTGATCCGCCTGCCTGGGCCTCCCAAAGTGCTGGGATTATAGCGGTGAGTCACTGCACCTGGCCCGATCTCTTAATTTTTTTTTTAACTTCCTGCATCATGCTCTCGGGCTTACAAAACGAGTTTTCTCATTTAACTTTTAGAAAGCTACCAGTTGATCTTTAAGTTTCTTTTAGGCCTCATATTTATGAATCCATTATTCATAAAGATAGTGGCAATATATCACTGTTCCAGAAAGAAGCAAGAACTGGCAAGTAAGTAAAAAAGCCCTGTGAATAGTCAAAATGTGTGTCACACAGAACTGGCACATTACTCATGGGCTACCTCCTCTCAATTTTAGCAAACATATGAGCTGTTTTTCAGGGCTGGAAAATTTTAGCAGTTGAAAATGGAGATGAAGAGAAACATTGCTTTGAAGATGTATTTCAGTACTAAGAAGTAATGGACCCCAGAATACAACTCAAACTAGCTAAATGGAAAACTTGGTTTGGAGAAAGAATTATGCCTTTAATTATGCCAACTCTTTGGTCTGACCATATTTTGTTCAAATACTTATTATCATATTTTCTTAAAATTTACATATTTTGATGACTTTGCCTGAGAAATTATCCAAATAAATCTCCACTCTATTATCTGTAATTCTTTCAGCTTTCTATTATCAATGTCAAATTGCCTAGGGCATTTTTTTTAACTTCTTATTTCATTTTTAATCAAAGCTTATACAGATTAAAAGCAGATGAAAGAATTTTAATGAAACGCTTCACAGAGGCATGAAGCTCTAATGGGAACCATTTATACTGAGTGGCCAGGATATCTCTCCCAGTGTCTAGCAGAATATCCACAGCTATTCCCTGAGAAGAGATTAACAACTTTTAGGCATTTTATTAACTTTTAAAAGGTATCATATTTTAAATTGAGACTCTTTTTTAAGTTAATGAAGACTGGGGATCTTCAGAAAACAGAAAATATGCAAGAGAAAATGAAGTGGGTTGCGAAGATATGTTGGAAGAAAGAAAAGCCCAGGACTTGAGGGTAGGACTCTTAATGAGCACTGGAACACATGGTCCTTGTAAAAGTCAAACTAGAGCTTAAAGGAAATATCCTATCAGGGTGATATAGTTTGGATTTGTGTCCTGCCCAAATCTCATGTTGAATTGTAATCCCCAATGTTAGAGGTGAGGGCTGGTGGGAGGTGACTGGATCATGGGGGTGGATTTCTCATGAATGGTCCAGTACCATGTCTTTGTTGCCGCTCTCATGATAGTGAGTGAGTTCTCAAATGATGTGGTCCTTTGAAAATGTATAGAAAATGTGTAGCACCTTCCCCAACCTTGCTCTTGCTTTTGCTTTCGCCATTTGACTGCTAGTTCCTGCTTGGCCTTGTGCCATGATTGTAAGCCTCCAGAGGCCTCCCCAAAGGCAGATGCTGGTTTTATGCTTCCTGTACAGCCTGCAAAACCATAAGCCAATTAAACCCCCTTTCTTATAAATTACTCAGACTCAGGTATTTCTTCACAGCAATGCAAGAATGGCCTAATACACAAAGTAACCATTGCTTAGGGTAGCAATAATGTCTAGCTGTAGGAGTGAGCTGCCTGGAAGTGAAGGGAAAAATTAGTTCTTTCAGAAACTGAGCTTCTCTTCTGGATAAAGAAGCAGTGGCTCCCACAGGCATGTCAGAGGTAGACATGAATCAGGTAAAACTTTCTGATTCACTGTGGAGCAAACCTATCTAGATGGCCTCCATCTGTGTCATTTAATTTATAGGCCTTTCCATTTATTCTCAACTCCAAAGAGGTCTCACTGTGCGCAGGCTAAAGCAACTCCATCTTTGATGCTAATCTGCCATGTTGACTTCTGATCAACCCAGTTCTGGGAATGCCTCTAAGATTTCCCATTTATCTATTATTCCTTGTTTAAGAGCAGGTACTTACCATAAATCCTGCCATTAGGTCAAAACAACCTTGATGCTATCGTACTTCAGTTGTCCTACATATCCCTTCTAAATCACGTATGCCCTTTCCCTATGATATATAAGCCCTGGGTCTGGAAGATAACGGTGCAGGGAGTCACCTTGTCTTGCAACCTCCCCAGGCACACACGGCTTCTGATCATTAGTCCCTATTAAATGTTTCTTTCTAAATTCAACTTGCAGCCTCTTTCTTCAGCCTTTCAGCTTCCTCAGACTTTTGGGGGTACATTTGCATAAACCAGCACAGCACAAAACACATTAGTATCAGAAACTTATTTCAAAACACAGTTCTCATATTCTCATATTTGAGTTGCCTCCTATAAGCGAAATAAGAGCAATAGGTTTCTTCAAGACTTCCATCTTTCCAGGCATCTGCTCAGCCACAGAGTTAGAATTAGGTTGTAGTTATAGGAAACGGAAGTAGCAACTTTTCAAAATTCTCTATACCTTAGTGTAATTCATTTCACAAAAGTAGGTTCGATTCATATAGTATAAAATAGTACTATTTCTCCAAAATCTACTTCCCTACTGGAAAAAAATGCCAATTGTATTATAATGTAGAAAATTAGACTCCCCAATTCTTTCTTGTTTTAAGCCTTTTTTCAACTGTGAAATAAAATTCAATACAAAAATAGAGCATATAACTTGGAAATATTAGTTTTATGCTAGAGCTGGCCCATACTGGCTTCTGAAAACCAACTCCCCACATTCCTTCCCAACACCTCATTCAGTGATGTCACATAGGTAGCTTGAAATTAGCCATAGTGGGAATATTTACATCATGGAAATTGACAAATGCTGAAAATCAGGGCTTATTTTCAGAGTTAGCTTACTGGCATGCCACTGAGTATAAAGAGTAATGTTAAAGAAAATACCTGTGTAAGTAAAACTTTTATCAATAAATGGGTGATCAACAACCTCTGACAATTAGTCAACTAAAACACCCTTTAGACTGGGCACAGTGGCTCATACCTGTAATCTTAACACTTTGGGAAGCCGAGGTGGGAGGATCACTTGAACTCAGGAGTTCGAGACCAGCCTGGGCAACATAGTGAGACCTTGTCTCTACTTATATTTTAAAATAAATTTTAAAAAACACCCTTTATATAGACTGCTAATTGCTTTTAGAGCAAAGAGCATTCCTGCTAGAAGTTGAGGAATTCAATCCTCAACTGGTGTATTAGTTTGTTTTCACATGGCTGATAAAGACATACCTGAAACTGGGAACAAAAAGAGGTTTAATTGGACTTACAGTTCCACACACGTGGGGAGGCCCCAGAATCATGGTGGGAGACAAAAGGCAATTCTTAGAAGGCAGAGGCAAGAGGAAATGAGAAAGAAGCAAAAACAGAAACTCCTGATAAACCTATTAGATCTCATGAGACTTATTCACTAGCATGAGAATAGCACAGGATAATCTGGTCCCCATGATTCAATTACCTCCCCCTGGGTTCCTCCCACAACACGTGGGAATTCTGGAAGATACAATTCAAGTTGAGATGTGGGTGAGGACACAGCCAATCCATATCAATCCTTCCCTGGCCCCTCCAAATCTCATGTCCTCACATTTCAAAACAAATCATGCCTTCCCAACAGTCCCCCAAAATCTTAACTCATTTCAGCATTAACCCAAAAGTCCACAGTCCAGAGTCTTATCTGAGACAAGGCAAGTCCCTTCTACATATGAGCCTGTAAAATCAAAAGCAAGCTAGTTACTTCCTAGACACAATGGGGGTACAGGTATTGGGGTATAGGTATTGGTTAAATACAGCCATTCCAAAAGGGAGAAATTGGCCAAAACAAAGGGCTTACAGGGTCCATGCAAGTCCAAAATCCAGCAGGGTAGTCAAATTTTAAAGCTCCAAAATGATCTCCTTTAACTCCAGGTCTCATATCCAGTTCACGCTGATGTAAGAGGTGGGTGCACACAGTCTTAGGCAGCCCCGCCCCTGTGGCTTTGTAGGGTATGCCTCTCTCCTGGCTGCTGCCATGGGCTGGCTTTGAGTGTCTGTGGCTTTTCCAGGCACACAGTGCAAGCTGTTGGTGGATCTACCATTCTGGGGTCTGGAGGATGGTGGTCCTCTTCTCACAGCTCCACTAGGTGGTGCCCCAGTAGGGACTCAGTGTGGGGGCTCTGACCCCACATTTCCCTTCCACACTGCCCTAGTAGAGTTATCCATGAGGGCCCCGCCATGGAAGCAATCTTTGCCTGGGCATCCAGGCATTTCCATGCATCCTCTAAAATCTAGGCAGAGGTTCCCAAACCTCAGTTCTTGACTTCTGTGCACGTGCAGGCTCAACACCACATGAAAGCTGCCAAGGCTTGGGGCTTATACCCTCTGAAGCCACAGCCCACATTGTACATTGGCCCCTTTCAGCTATGGCTGGGACACAGGGCACCCCGTGCACACAATATGGGAACCCTGGACCTGGCCCATGAAATTACATTTTCCTCCTGGGCCTCTAGGCCTGTGATGGGAGGGGCTGTCATGAAAGTCTCTGACATAGCCTGGAGACATTTTGCCCATGGTCTTGGGGATTAACATTAGGTTCCTGGCTACTTATGCAAATTTCTACAGCCAGCTTGAATGTCTCCCCAGAAAATGGGTTTTTCTTTTCTATTGCAAAGTCAGGCTGCAAATTTTCCAAACTTTTATGCTCTACTCCCCTTATAAAAAACAGAATGCCTTTAACAGTACCCAAGTCACCTCTTGAATGCTTTGCTGCTTAGAAATTTCTTCTGCCAGATACACTAAATCATCTTTCTCAAGTTCAAAGTTCCACAAATCTCTAGGGCAGGGATAAAATGCTGCCAGTCTCTTTGCTAAAATATAACAAGAGTCACCTCTGCTCCAGTTCCCAACAAGTTCCTCATCTCCATCTGAGATCACCTCGGTCTGGACCTTATTGTTCATATCACTATCGGTATTTTTGTCAAAGCCATTCAACAAGTTTCTAGGAAGTTTCAAACTTTCACACATTTTCCTGTCTTCTTCTGAGGCCTCCAAATTGTTCCAACCTCTACGTGTTACCCAGTTCCAAAGTTGCTTCAACATTTTGAGGTATCTTTTTGGCAACACCCCACTCTCAGTAACAATTTACTGTATTAGTTTTCACACTGCTGATAAAGACATACCCAAAACTGGGAACAAAAAGAGGTTTAATTGGACTTACATCTCCACATGGCTGGAGAGGCCTCAGAACCATGGCAGGAGGTGAAAGACATTTCTTATATGGCAGAGGCAAGAGAAAATGAGGAAGAACCAAAAGCAGAACCCCCTGATAAACCCATCAGATCTTGTGAGACTTATTCACTAGCATGAGAATAGCACAGGAAAAGCTGGCCCCTGTGATTCCATTACCTCCCCCTGGGTCCCTCCCACAACATGTGGGAATTCTGGGAGATACAATTCAAGTTGAGATTTTGGTGAGGATATAGCCAAACCATATTAATTGGTTATCCTAGAACAAAAGTTGAAAACATTTTCTGTTACGGGCTAAATAGTAAATATTCTAGATATAGATCATATCATACTCACACATTCTTGTTCTTGCTTTATAAATAACTCTTTTAAAATGTAAAAATCATGCTTAGAACATGAGCCACAAAAACAAGCCACAGGTTAGATTTGGCCCATGGGCGAGAGTTTGCTGAGCCCTGCTCTAGAAGCACATACCAATTTTCATCCTTGATTAACCAGCGCATTCATTTCTCCAAGAATAGTTTCAAATGGTGTTGGTTTTCATCAGGCCCCTCTACCCATCTCTTCCTCCTTCTTACTGTATAGGACCTCAAAGTTTAATATCCTGAAAACTTGAAAACTATAAGATTTGAACTTCCTGGACTTCCTGACCCTTCATCCCCCTCAAAAAGCCATGGATGCTGTTCTCTTCAGTCTCAGAGGACAAAGTGCACTTATATCCATTTGTTTTTTTGGCTCCATCCCCAACCTCCATCTCTGGTATTTACTCCAACTATTATCTTCTCTCCCTCTCCTGAATCTGCAAGTTCTTTATCTTGGTTTCCACTAATACCCTAAAAACCATTAATTGTACACACAGACACATATTCTCTCTCTCTGTTGCTTTCTCTCTCTCTCTCTCTCTCTCTCTCTCTCACTGTTTCTCTGTGTCTCTCTGATACATGCACAGAAGAAACTAAAGGAAATCAGACCAAAATGATGAAAAAATTCCAAATTTCCCCACTAATTGCTGCCCCTTTTCACATCTTCTCTTCCATCATAACTTTTTGCAGGACGTACTCCTCCTTTCTCTACTCCTCATCTCTCTTCACTGCTGTCCATTCCTTCTTCCGTCCACTGCATACCAGCTTCTGCTTCCAGTAGTCTCTAAAAATTATTCTTTAATTATTCTTAAAATTATTCTTTATAAAGTAACTATACACATCCTGATTATCAAGTCAAATTGCATCTTTTCTCTTCTATTGCAAATATACACCCTTTATATTTCATTTTATCAAATGAAGACATGTTTAGCATTAAAAAATAGGGAAAAATAAAATAAGCCCCCAGTCACAGACAACTAATGACAATAACTTATTCAGTGTTCTTTCAAATAATATTGTATGCATATGATATGGTTTGGCTCTGTGTCCCCAACCAAATCTCATCTCAAATTGTAATTTCCACTTGTTGAGGGAGAAACCTGTAATCCTTATACGTTGGCAAAGGGAGGTGATTGGATCATGGGGGCAGTGTTCCACATGCTGTTCTCATGATAGTGAGTTCTCACAAGATCTGATGGTTTTATAAGAGGCTCATCCCCCTTCACTTTCATTCTCTCTCCTGCCATCTTGTGAAGAAGGTGCCTGCTTCTCCTTCTGCCATAATTGTAAGTTTCCTGAGGCCTCTTCAGCCATGTAGGACTGTGAATCAATTAAACCACTTTCCTTTATAAATTACCCAGTCTCAGGCATTTCTTTATAGCAGTGTGAAAACAGACTAACAGCAAATTGATACTGGGAGTTTGGGGCACTGCTATAAAGATACTTGAAAATGTGGAAATGACTTTGAAACTGGGTAACAGGCAGAGGTTGGAACAGTTTGGAGGGCTCAGAAGAAGATAGGAAGATGTGGGAAAGTTTGGAAATTCCTAGAGACTTGTTGAATAGCTTTGACTAAAATGATGATAGTGATATGGACAATGAAGCCCAGGCTGACGTGGTCTCAGATGGAGATGAGAAACTTGAGCAACTGGGAACTGGAGCAAAGGTCACTCTTGCTATGCTTTAGTAAAGAGACTGATGGCATCTCTAGGGCAGATCTGTGGATCTTTGAACTTGAGAGAGATTATCTGAAATTGAAACTTATGTTTAAAAGGGAAGCAGAGCATAAAAACTTGAAAATTTTGCAGGCTGACTATGTGGTAGAAAAGAAAAACCCATTTTCTGGGAAGAAATTCAAACCAGCTGCAGACATTTGCATAAGTAACAAGGAGCTGAATGCTATTCACCAAGACAATGGGGAAAATGTCTCCAGGGCATGTCAGAGGTATTCATGGCAGCCCCTCCCATCAAAGGTCCAGAGACCTAGGAGGAAAAATGGTTTCCTGGGCCAGGCTCATGGTCCCTGCTGCTCTGTGCAGCCTCAGGACATGGCATCCTGCGTCCCAGCCGTTTCAGCTCCAGTGGTGGCTATAAGGGACCAAAGGCTGTTGCTTCAGAGGGTGCAAGCCCCAAGTCTTGGTGGCTTCCATGTGGTGTTGGGCCTGTGGGTGCACATAAGTCAAGAATTGAAGTTTGGGAAACTCCACCTAGATTTCAGAGGATGTATGGAAATGCCTGAATGTCCAGGCAGAAGTCTGCTACACGGGTGGAGCCCTCATGGAGAGCCTATGCTAGGGCAGTGCAAAGGGGAAATGCAGGGTTGGCTCCCACAGCCTCAGGTATCCCTCCTTCATGGCTGGCATTGAGTGTCTGTGGCTTTTCCAGGAGCACAGTTCAAGCTGTCAGTAGATCTACCATTCTGGGATCTGAATGATGGTGGCCTTCTTCTCATAATGCCACTAGGCAGTGCTCCAGTGGGAACTGTGTGTGGAGGCTCCAACCCTACATTTCCCTTTTGCACTGCCCTCGCAGAGGTTCTCCATGAGGAGTCTCTGCTTTGTTTCAGGCTCTATTCATTTCTGTCCTTGCCTCCAGGCATGGGCCATGTCAACTCTGTCCCCATGTTGCCTCCAAGAGTGATTGGTAAAATAAAAATGCAAACTTGCTTAGGATCATAATCTACTGACAAGATTCCTGTAGCATAGAAGTCCCTACCCCTGATTCCTGACTTCTCTGTAACCCAGACTTCTAGCTTCATTCCCTTTATTATTTGCTTCACCCTTCATGCACCAATAATATGACATGTGATCTGAGAGATCAAAATAGACACCCCTTTATCAACTAGGATGGACCTTAAGGTTAAGGAAACAAAGGTTACCTAGGAGTTGAGATTTCAAGGCCCAGCTGACATGGCAACTTCCTAAATTCCTATGGCTACAAGAAAATCCATACACTTGCTAAACTCTCTAGGAATAAGGGCTATCAGGAAAATTATCATACTCCCTCCCTAACTCTGAATTACAACCCAGACCACTAAAGTAACAGGACCAGCCTTACAAACATTCTTTTGTGATAAGCAACTGCAGACTTTAAGCCAGTTTCAGCCAACTTATAGAGATTGTGAATAAACTGTCTTTATATCCTATGATTCACCTTTTGACATAGTGATATTCCACTTCATTTTAATGCTAAAACCACACCCCAAAGTGAACATAGGATATATGTTACATATATCTTTGCCCATTGTGCATGTACTCAACTGCCCACATAAATATGTATGGTTTTCCCCCAAATCTACTGAATATGTATGACATCTTTGTAATACAGACCCTGTAGGGCATAAAACCCAACTCGCCCTTTCCCTCTTCAAAAAGAGCACTTTTAGTTCATACCAGACTATCTCTTACTGGTTTGCAAACTGGTATCAGCAATAAAACTATCCTTTTTACTATTTAGTCATCCTTTTGGCCTTTTCAATGATAAAACTTCCTCTTTCTTTGAAATACATCCTTACACACATGCTTCTCTCTTCCAGGAATATCTGTCTCCACGACACATCTTGACTCTCCTCCTACTGTACCTTGACCTTTGGATACTTCCAAATTTGATTTGGATAACTTTTCTATCAAGTTGTCCCTAAACCCCTTTGGAGATTCTTCTATGACTCCTCAGCTCTTTTAAAGTACTTTGTACAAGACTTTGAAACTATGATTTCCAAACCTGTCTCCACTACTAAAATGTAAGCTTGAAGTCTAGTTCCACGTGTTAGTCATCTTTGCATTCCTGCATACATTCAATGAATGTGGGAATGAATGAACAAGTAATTGCCACATTATCCATCTCTATTTTCTCTCATGCATAGTTATTCTATCACTCCTTAGTCTGTTTGTCAGAAAAGACTTCTTGGGTACATTCCTGACTGACTCACTAAAAAAGTCCTTTGCTATTTTTTTCTCTTGGCTGAGTGCAGGTTGCTATTAGCAGTCACAGAGCATAAATATCTGTCCTCTGTTCCCCCAGCAGCTGGGCTCTCTTTTCCTTGGAAAGGCTCCAGCCAGTGTTTTCATATGAACTGAAATCCATGGACCAATGTCTGGATGGCCTAAAGATACTCATCCCACCACTACCTCACATCACAGGGAGCTGTCAGAAGCAGCAAAAGCATTAGACCCAGAGAACACTGGAAACCCTGCCACCCTGGGAATAGTGCCTCACGAAGTAGAAGGTTTTGTTGGCCAATTGCATGAAATAAAAAACTGCTGGTCTTTAGCTTTTAGGATGTTTATTTATTTGTTTACGTGCTTACTTAGCTATCTATTTATTTTTAAGCATCACAGTCAAAGCCAAAGATCCCAGCAAACAAGTCAAATCTACTAACAGCCAAACCCATGTCATCTTATCCCAAAGGCTCACATTTTAAAAAGCAGAAGGCTTGTTTAAGTGAAGAAAGCCTGACTAGGGGGAGGTCTCAGAAAAGAGGGATCAGGATGAAATGGAACCAGAGGTAGCCCTCTTCAAGCAAACCATAACCAAGTTATGTGCTAATCTTTGTGCCAAGTCCTAGGGAGTGCAAGAGCAAAGTGGCTCTGCCCTCAGGAAACTCAAGGTCCAGAGGAGATAAATAAAAACAGATCATAGCATATAAGTGTGTTCAGAGAAAAGTATAGAAGCACAAAGAGAGGGGATGCAAATCTACCCCAGAAGAGGACAGCAACAGAGAAATAATCTTGGAGGAAATGGTATTTGAGCTGAAGCTGAAGAGAAAAGTAAATATGGCTTGCTGAAGAGGGAAGCAGTGGAAGGAGCTGATGGTGAGACTTCAGGGCATGAGGACAACATAAGCAAAAGCATGGAAAGGGGGAACCTCGAGGGAGTGCGGTGCATAAAGAAAGTCATAAGCAATGGTACTGGAGACCCAATAAACGGCCAGATCCTGGAGCACTTTCTCTGAAGTTCTATGGAGGCACTGAATACCCGAAACAAGTGAATGTCAGGCTTTCACTTTAGAGCCACTACACTTATAGTGAAGGCTGATTGGCAGAATGGAGAAGCGAATCAATAGTGTGTGTTCCTTGCTTCTCCTGGGCACCAAGCTAGCCTACTTTTTCCAGCTCCCTTGTAGTTAGCTGTAGAATATAGAAAGATAATGTATGTCACTTCCATGATTTGCATTAGAAACCTGCCCCATGATCTTTTACAGGCTCTTTCTGCTTCCGCAGTGACCTTAAAAGTCAGTGTTGAAGATGGTAGAATGACAGGATGGAAAGCGTCTGCATTCCCAGAACATCACATGAAACTATTCGCTGAGTGAGAATATATTGACGTTGTATCAAGCCACAGAGATTTTGGCCATGAAACTCTCCTAAACATAAATTTATGACAGTCCAGACAGCCATAAGCTCAATAAGGGCAGAGGCTGTCCTCTTTTTTTTTCTAACACAGGGCAGGAATGAAATATCTTAAATGGATAAACCAATAATCTGGTCAGAGATGTTGAGAGAGTGAACTAGAAGATATTGATAGGAGTGAAGATATAAACTAGACTCAAAACATATCTTAGAGGAAAAATTAGCAAGATTTGATAACTAATCAGTTATGAACAATAAGGAAGAAAGAGGAATCTAGAAGGGTTCCAGTTTGGAAGGATAGGTAAGTTATGGTACCACCACCTAACACACAGCATGCAGCCGAAAGGTCACATTTGAAGAGGGAGGTGTGGTCCACTTAGATACATTGAGTTTAACATGGCATTGGGATAGCCAAGTGGAGATACGCTTTGGGCATGTTGTAAAAACACATAAAAGGTGTGGATGGAAATACACTCATTTGAGTTAGCTGCGTAGGGGTGATAAATGAGGAGGGTGAATGAGGTTGAATGGAGAGAGCACTTGAAAGAACAAAGGCAAAGGATCAATCACGAACCATAGGAACAGCATTAAGAGTGGCAAGGAAGAAAGATAAACTCCTGAATGAGGCCTACAGGAAGTGATGCAAAGGGCATCCAAAGAGGATGGAGGGCCAGCACCCAGAAAGGAGGTGAGCAGGGAGTCAGAAGAATGACAGCGTAATCAACAGGGTTACAACTACCAGAGAAATTTTGTAACATGAAGACTGGAAAACTGCTCATTCCATTTGGCAATTTGGAAATCACCTGGTGACCAGTGTGAGATAAGTTTCAGAAGTATAGGTGCGATTTTATAATTAGTTTGAGGAGTAGAAAGAAGATGAGCAAGTAGAGACAGTGAGCACTAACTGACATATGAGTTAAAAAGAAATTATTTAGGCAGGTAGTGAGGGTAAGGAAGCCCTCAGTAAGGTTTTCCTTTTAATGAAAAGCAGCCCCCAAATCATTTTCTTTTCTAGCAAAGAGCAGACTGTAAAATCGAGTTGCAGACATAGACAAGCAACCTGGAAGCTTGCATGGCTGAATGCTGGCAGTTGTGGCAATAGGAAAAGGCTATCTGGGACTAGGGATGTTCAAAATGGTGGCTCTGTCTTCCCTTTTCCTTTCAAACCACGTGTGCGGTAGGGAGCAGACAACATGGCACCTGCCAAGTGGAAAGCCTATCTGCATAATAAGATTAGGGTGGGGCAGCCAGCTTCCTGGTATGTTATGTAAACATCACACCTGGTCCAACCAGTCTTTGGGCCCTATGTAAGTCAGATACCACCTCCTCAAGCCTGTCTATAAAATCTGATGCACTCGGCAGTGGGCCAGAAGTCCCATTTGGGCACCCCTCTCTCTTACAAGAGAGAGAACTGTTCTCCTTTTTCTTTCTTTTGCCTGTTAAATCTCCACTCCTAAACCCACTTCTTGTTGTGTCTGTGCCCTCAGTGCCCTTGGTGTAAGACAATGAACCTCGGGTATTTACCCCAGACAACGATGCCGCTTCACAACTACTCTTTCAAACATTGTATGAAGGAGGAAGAAGGAAAACCAATGATGTCTGGAGTTAATCTCAAGGGAAGAGATTTTGTGGGGGTTTTTTTGTTAACATTAGTTAGAGCAGTGATGTCCAGTATGGTAGCCACTTGTCCTGTGGCTACTGACCAGTTGAAATGTGGCTAGTTCCAAAACGAGAGGTGCTGTGAATTAAAATTTACACTAGAGTTTGAAGACTTAGAATGAGAGAAAAAGAATATAAAATATCTCGAAAATTTTTTATATGGAATACAATGAAACATAATAATTGGATATATTGGGTTAAATACAACATTTTATTCCAATTGTTTTCACGTTTCCTTTTGCCTTTTTTAAATGTGCCTGTTTGAAAATACAAAACGTATACCTGGCAAACATTACTTTTCTACTGGAAAATGCTTAGCTGAAGCATGCTATAAGTGAATAAGTAGTACTAGCAATAATAATATCTATGGCAGGCAGAATTCTAAGATGGCCTTCAGGATTCACTTTTGTTGCATCTTTTCCTCTTTGAGTGTGAGTGGGCCTCCTGAGCATGAAGGGTTTTCACACCCTCAAATAGAATACTAACCAGGAGACTTTGAGTAAATCAGAATGGGGATTACTCTATATGGCTCTGACCTAATCAGGTGTGCCCTTTAAAGGAAGGTAAAGAATCAGACAGCTACTCCATCATGGCCTCAAAGAAGAAGCAGTAAATGACTATTGAGATGGGGGCAAACACTTGAAGGAATGGGTAAGAGCCCAGGCTCCTGGGAAGAAAAAAGTAATGTTTGAGGAAAGTATAGAAATGCTACAAAGTGAGGGCTCAAGGCACCAAAAACCCACTATGCCTACTTCGTCATGACTATGTGGCAATACAAGCCACTGTTGGAATCATTCTAACACGTCTGCCTTTCCAAGAGAGCAATATCATGCAGATTGCCACAGTTTATGATTGACTTTAAGATAAAATGTTACATTGAAAGGTTTGAAAAAAAGCCAGAAAAAGAGCATGGTACAGTTGTTACTGAAACAGAAATCATGTTTGCAAACTGAAGAGACTATCTAGTCTTTCCTGGTATTATTTGAGTTGTGTGTGTGTGTGTGTGTGTGTGTGTGTGTGTGTGTGTTCATTTAAGTCTCTAAAAGCTGGCAGTAGATAAGCTGAAATAACTATCATTTTGAGAGATATAAATGATTATTTGCTGTCAATCTCAACTAAAAAAATAATACTTCTAAAACATGTAGGATTTTTTTAGACCGTACAACCAAGATAAAGTGAATTCTCATCAGTGACTACATTAAAATTAGATCACTAAAAACTTTCAGCCTTTTGCATCAATGATTATGCCACTGGAAAGAAAGGTCCACAGTGTCAAAACATGGAATATTCCTTATGAAGGTACCTGGAGGAAAATCCCATCCCCTATGTCTTCCTAGTAATTAAAACAATGGGTAATAAAGTTACTATCATAGAAAAAGAGTTAACAAGCTGAAACTATTATAAGAGTCAAATAAAAATGAATTACATCCTGGTTCCAGTTGGAGGAAGTAGGAATGCCATTACATAGCTAAACTCTGGGCAACTAGACTGATAAACAATCATCAGCAAACAGTAAAGCTGCATTTGTATTCATGTGTACTGACCAGGGCAGGCATGTTGATAACTTGGTAGTAAACATGTTGTGCCTAAGACAATTCAATAATAAAGCTCAGATTCAGAAAATCATAGAAACTCAAGTCATTCCAAGAAAGTATAATTTTGCTCAGAAAAATAGTCAAAGAGCAATTCTTCCCTATGTAACCAACCATCCTCTTAACTCACATAAATCCCACCAGAATACCCTAAAACAGTAGAGTCCCTTAAAACCATTAAGTGAAGCCAAAAACAACCTTCTACTATATCTATAGGAGTTGACTATGACACTTCATTCTGGCCTCACTATGGAGTCACATATAGCTTTTCTGGCCCTTATTTTATCCCAAGAGTAATGTCCTATACCTGTATCTCTTCTACTCTGATGACCAAGGTCTGTCTTTATTGTTTTACTAGGCTGGCCTGCAAGTATTAAACATGGCCCCCATTAGCTTCTGATCATTGGACTCAGTTGTGAGGCTCCACCTGTGTTATGATCTGAATGTTGGTGTCCTCCCAAAACTCATAAGCTAAACTCTAATCCGCAATGTGATGGTGTTAGGAGGTGGAGCCTGGGAGGTAATTAGGACATGTGGGCTCCTTTCTCATGATTGGGATTACTGCCCTTATAAAAGAGGCCTCTGAGAGCTCCCTTGCCCCTTCCACCATGTGAGGACACAGCTAGGATATACAATCTGTGGAACCAAGAAACAGGTCCTCATCAGATACCAAAGGTGTCAGCACCTGGATTTTAGACCATCCACCCTCCAGAATTATAAGAAACAAATTTCTGTTGTTAATAAGTCACTCAGGCTACAGTATTTTGCTATAGCAGCCCAAACAGGGTAAGACAACCTGGAAGGCCACAGCCAGGTTTTCTTGGTCCACAGCTTGAACTCTGACACTTCTGCTACAAAAGTGGGCAACTACATAATTGAAATGCAGTCAAATCCCTATATTAAAAATTTGGGGGAACACAGCAAATACTATTTTACAAATTAAAAACAGTATAACAAGTGAAAGGCAGGTGTCACATTTTAAAGGACAAAAGTTGATTGACCATGTATTTGAAAATCTTTACAATGATCAGACACATTCTTCAATCATCCTTCTTTTAGTTCATGTTATTAGGTAAATTGAGAGACTATAAAGAGCCCTGAAGCTCTGCCCCAAATGGTAAGATTCATAAATACGAATATGTGCCTTTGCCATATGAAGAGAATCAGGCTCTTTTCATAAACATAATATAATCATAAGCCAAAAACTCACTTTACTCTTATTTTCTACAAAAGGAAATTTAACCAAACGTGGAGCTTCCTTGAATCCCATTCAGAGGGTTTTTACTAATGGCAAAGCATAAGATCCTGTGATAAGGTAGCTTAACTTCTGAAAGGGGTTCACTGCACAAAAATATAGAAGGGTCTAATGAAGAGCTGTGAAAAAACTAAAGCTGTACACACATACACACACACACACACACACACACAAAATACCAAATGTAAATATGTATAATTATAATTACATATATAAGCATATATATATATATAAACTTCTTTCAAAATATACCAAGACAATGTTTGCCTTTGATAAAAATAATGAAATTAGTAAGATTCTGCAATCTAAAATAAAAATAGAGATCCTAAAATATAATCCACTAGAATTTGCTAGTGTTCTAACTACTTTCCACTGAAAATTCTGTAGTATTCCATGGCAATAAAAGAAAATTTTGGTGAGGCCATGGCATTAATGTGCTTCTAAAGGAGCCCAATTTTTAAAATTGAGAAAAACTTAAGGGAACCAAAAAAATGTAGGAATACTTTTAACTCACTACTAAAACCATATAGTGTATACGTATGGCTGCATATATAAATGAATTTATTAAACCAAAATAATCATTTTATTGCCTACTCTTACAACAATAGCAGTTATTTAAAAGGTTTTACTTGAAATGTATCATTTTTAAACCTTCACACCTAGCAGAGGAAGGCGGCATAATCATGTCTTTCTGCTTTGGAGATGAGCGGACCAAGGCACATGGAGGGTAAATGATTTATCTGATTTATTATGAATTATGTCATAGATGGCAGAGAAAAACCATAACCTAGGCCCTCAGATTACAGAGATGTTGCTTTCATTAAAAAAAATAATCACTAGGCATTGTGCTAGGCTCTGAAAAGATTCTAAGAAGAATTTGGTCCAGTTACCATCCTTAAGAAGTTTAGAGACATCAAAAACTCACAGAGGCAATGGGTATGTTTATTAATTAGAAAGATGCAAAACAGTATGTTTCCAAAGAAAAGAATGAAGAAGCTACTATTAGGCACATATTTAAACTGGATAACAGAAACCATGTACAAGTGTTGGAGCCAAACAGCTATGAGGGGTTCTACAGCTCTTTCTACTCCATGTGATCAGTCTACCCAAGAATCTGTATAATATGCAAAATCAAGTTCCTTTCCAATCTCATGCCCTTAGAACTACTCAGCCTCTTGCAGAATTAGAATGAGGATGTTAGAAATGGGTTATTGGCACAAGTAATGAATGCTTCGGCTTTAATATTGGTTAGGAGTTTCAATTATAATCAAGTAAATGAACTTACTTCGAGAGAGATTCTCAAGGGCTTTCCCCAGCTTCTTGCTCTCCTGAAGGATGTGATTCAATTCATCAAAATCACGGCTTTGTGGTTTAGTCCTCCAGTTCCACTTTGGATGCTCTACTGACCTTGGCACTATGTTTAAAAAAAATGGTAATTTCATAAGCATGCTACATAATGACACAAACTGACTATTCATCATCACGTGAAAGACTGTACCAAGATCAATGTATAGAATAAAAAGTGTTTATCTTGAAGATGGTTTGCTTGTGAGAAAAAAGAGGGGAAGATATGAAGCCAGGCTTAAAGAAAATATTTTAACTGAAAAAGTAAAGGGAAGTGTGGTGGAGTTTATAGAAAAAAGAAAATTCAGGTATTAACTTAAAACTAATCATTTCTATAACACAGGGAGAAACACACAGGCAAAGTGTATTTTGTATTATGTCATCAGCCTAAAAAAAGCACTAACTCCCTCAACAGCAACTGGTAATTATTAAGTAAATATTTTTAGGACATTCATAGAAGGCTAAATATACGTATTTATCTTCATGTCCTCCTCAAATTCCCATTAAAATTACATTACAGTGAAGGGATTTTTTTCCTCAAAGAATTAGTTGAACAAGTGTAGAAGACATTATTAGGCAAGAAATAGCAATATATTTTGAGAGAAGATGCAAAATGGATGGATGAGTGGTAACTGGATTTTGCAAGGCAAAGAAAACTGAAACCTAAGTCTCTGAACAGAGGAATGCCAAGAAAATCAACATGTCACACTATTTAAATATTAAAGCTTCAATCCAGGAGAACAATGTCAAAGTAATAATAATATAAGAACTTAATTGCTTTTCAGATTTAAAGGGCCCATTAAATGTCGGGCACAGGTCGAGGCATATTTTTTTTAAAAAATGGTTTAATAGTGGCAATAAAGAAAACATTGTAAAACTTTTCAGGGGCAAAAATAGCAAATCAAATTGACACCAGACTTCTCAAAGGCAACACTTGGCCTAAGAAGACAAGAAGCAATTCCTTCTAAATTCCAACTATAGAGTACTTCTTAGAACTGTATACCCAACTAGGGAACAAATTAGGATACTTTGAAGGACTGAAAAATTTATCTTGCAAAAGCATTGTTTTTCAGAAAGCTCCTACTGGAGTTGCTCTACCAAAATGAACAAGTAAATCAAAAAATGGCAAGACTTGGATTTCAGGAAACAGGTGACCTCCCATTCTCCCAATATGGAAAAGGAACAGGGAATTCTCGGGAAGATAGTGAAAGACAGTCTCAAAAGGCAGTTGAGAAAAAGTCTAGAAACCAATGAGTCAAGCAGGGAGCAAGAGGACAGAGGGCTACAGAAGAGAAGTCTCTAAAAATTTTTAAAATAAAGGATAACTATAAAATAGAAGTTAAGTTTACTTGTCTCTGATCATATTGAGAAGGTTTAATTCTTTGGGCAGGGTTTGGCAAAGCATTAGTGATGGGTACATAGTAAACAAAGCAAACAGAAAAGCAAGAGAACTGTCAATTCTAGAATAGTTGGACATCTTATGGCTCAACCATGAACAATATTAATTAATTAGTCATAATAATACCAATGTAGAGTACATATTTAATCAACATTTGAAATAACTGCATTACTATAGGGCCAGGATGAGATGGGGGTTAGAGTTTGGAGCACAAGGTATGAAGGATGTCAAGAGATAATGCCTCAAATTTAAAAAGGAAGAGAACCTTATGTTTGATTGTGTAGATTTAGGAACCAGAAGCAACATCTAAAAGAGGTGAAAGTGATTGCAGGTTAGGAGCCGAGTTGGGTAGAAATCTCATAGTACTACTTAAACTTTTTTAAACCATGTACCATTATGTTTTGATAAAAATAAAATAAATTTTAAAAATATTTATATGGTAAGGACATAGGAAATAGTCTCCAACTAATGAAATATGTCATTCTGTCACCTTTTTAAAAAGTAATCTGGCAATATCTATTATGATGAAAAATGCACCGACCCTGTGACCTAGCAATCTTATGTCTGGTAAAGTCATCATAAAGAAATGAAAGCATCTATATATATATATATATATATATATATGTACAACGTTGTTTATTTTCACAGAAAGTGTAAGACTTTGTTTATTTTAGCAAATATTTCATGGCCGCAAAACCCTGTTAGTAATCTAAATGTCCTTCAACAAAGGAATGGCTGAATAAATTATCTCCCATTCACATTGTATACAATTATTTAAAAGGGCAAGTTAAATCTAAGTATATTACCATAAAGATACTTCCATGGTGCATTTTATTTTTATTTTTATTTCTACAAATATATAAGGTATACATGAAATTTTGTTACATGTATATAACACGTAGTGATCAAGTCACTGTATGGCTTGTGAACAATGTTAATTAATTAATCATAATAATATCAACATAGAGAACATATTTAATCAACACTTAGGGTGTGCATCTACTGAGTACAGTACACTCGTGTTAACTATAGTCACCCTACTCTTCTATCAAACATTGAGTTTATTCCTTCTATCTTACCGTATGCTTATGCTACCCTTTAGCCCACTTCTCTCATTTTCCCCCATGCCCCAATCACCCTTCCCAGTCACTGTTATCTATCTTTCAATCCCTTACCTCCATGTGATTAGTTTTATTGGCTCCCACATATAACTGAGGGCATGCAATATTAGTCTTTTTGTGCCTGGCTTATTTCACTTAAGATAATAACCTCCAGTTTCACCGTGTTGCTGAGAATGACATGATTTCATTGTTTTTTTTTTTAAATGACCAAATAGTATTTCATTGTGTATACGCACCAAATTTTCTTTTTTTATTAGAATTTCTTATTTTATTTTATTTTATTTTATTTTATTATACTTTAAGTTTTAGGGTACATGTGCACAATGTGCAGGTCAGTTACATATGTATACATGTGCCATGTTGGTGTGCTGCACCCATTAACTCGTCATTTAGCATTAGGTATATCTCCTAATGCTATCCCTCCCCCCTGCCCCCACCCCACAACAGGCCCCAGAGTGTGATGTTCCCCTTCCTGTGTCCATGTGTTCTCATTGTTCAATTCCCACCTATGAGTGAGAACATGCGGTGTTTGGTTTTTTGTCCTTGCGATAGTTTACTGAGAATGATGATTTCCAATTTCATCCGTGTCCCTACAAAGGACATGAACTCATCATTTTTTATGGCTGCATAGTATTCCATGGTGTGTATGTGCCACATTTTCTTAAACCAGTCTATCATTGTTGGACATTTGGGTTGGTTCCAAGACTTTGCTATTGTGAATAGTGCTGCAATAAACATACGTGTGCATGTGTCTTTATAGCAGTATGATTTATAGTCCTTTGGGTATATACCCAGTAATGGGATGGCTGGGTCAAATGGTATTTCTAGTTCTAGATCCCTGAGGAATCGCCACACTGACTTCCACAATGGTTGAACTAGTTTAGAGTCCCACCAACAGTGTAAAAGTGTTCCTATTTCTCCACATCCTCTCCAGCACCTGTTGTTTCCTGACTTTTTAATGATTGCCATTCTAACTGGTGTGAGATGGTATCTCATTGTAGTTTTGATTTGCATTTCTCTGATGGCCAGTGATGGTGAGCATTTTTTCATGTGTTTTTTGGCTGCATAATTGTCTTCTTTTGTGACGTGTCGGTTCATGTCCTTTGCCCACTTTTTGATGGAGTTGTTTGTTTTTTTCTTGTAAATTTGTTTGAGTTCATTGTAGATTCTGGATATTAGCCCTTTGTCAGATGAGCAGGTTGCGAAAATTTTCTCCCATTTTGTAGGTTGCCTGTTCACTCTGATGGTAGTTTCTTTTGCTGTGCAGAAGCTCTTTAGTTTAATTAGATCCCATTTGTCAATTTTGGCTTTTGTTGCCATTGCTTTTGGTGTTTTAGACATGAAGTCCTTGCACATGCCTATGTCCTGAATGGTATTGCCTAGGTTTTCTTCTAGGGTTTTTATGGTTTTAGGTCTAACATTTAAGTCTTTAATCCATCTTGAATTGATTTTTGTATAAGGTGTAAGGAAGGGATCCAGTTTCAGCTTTCTCCATATGGCTAGCCAGTTTTCCCAGCACCATTTATTAAATAGGGAATCCTTTCCCCATTGCTTGTTTTTCTCAGGTTTGTCAAAGATCAGATAGTTGTAGATATGCAGTGTTATTTCTGAGGGCTCTGTTCTGTTCCATTGATCAATATCTCTGTTTTGGTACCAGTACCATGCTGTTTTGGTTACTGTAGGCTTGTAGTATAGTTTGAAGTCAGGTAGCGTGATGCCTCCAGCTTTGTTCTTTTGGCTTAGGATTGACTTGGCGATGCGGGCTCTTTTTTGGTTCCATATGAACTTTAAAGTAGTTTTTTCCAATTCTGTGAAGAAAGTCATTGGTAGCTTGATGGGGATGGCATTGAATCTATAAATTACCTTGGGCAGTATGGCCATTTTCACGATCTTGATTCTTCCTACCCATGAGCATGGAATATTCTTCCATTTGTTTGTATCCTCTTTTATTTCATTGAGCAGTGGTTTGTAGTTCTCCTTGAAGAGGTCCTTCACATCCCTTGTAAGTTGGATTCCTAGGTATTTTATTCTCTTTGAAGCAAATATTCTCTTTGAATGGGAGTTCACTCATGATTTGGCTCTCGGTTTGTCTGTTATTGGTGTATAAGAATGCTTGTGATTTTTGTACATTGATTTTGTATCCTGAGACTTTGCTGAAGTTGCTTATCAGCTTAAGGAGATTTTGGGCTGAGACAATGGGGTTTTCTAGATATACAATCATGTCATCTGCAAATGGGGACAATTTGACTTCCTCTTTTCCTAATTGAATACCCTTTATTTCCTTCTCCTGCCTAATTGCCCTGGCCAGAACTTCCAACACTATGTTGAATAGGAGTAGTGAAAGAGGGCATCCCTGTCTTGTGCCAGTTTTCAAAGGGAATGCTTCCAGTTTTTGCCCATTCAGTATGATATCAGCTGTGGGTTTGTCATAAATAGCTCTTATTATTTTGAGATACGTCCCATCAATACCTAATTTGTTGAGAGCTTTTAGCATGAAGCGTTGTTGAATTTTTTCAAAGGCCTTTTCTGCATCTATTGAGATAATCATGTGGTTTTTGTCTTTGATTCTGTTTATATGCTGGATTACATTTATTGATTTGTGTATATTGAACCAGCCTTGCATCCCAGGGATGAAGCCCAGTTGATCATGGTGGATAAGCTTTTTGATATGCTGCTGGATTCAGTTTGCCAGTATTTTATTGAGGATTTTTGCATCAATGTTCATCAAGGATATTGGTCTAAAATTCTCTTTTTTGGTTTTGTCTCTGCCCGGCTTTGGTATCAGGATGATGCTGGCCTCATAAAATGAGTTAGGGAGGATTCCCTCTTTTTCTGTTGATTGGAATAGTTTCAGAAGGAATGGTACCAGTTCCTCCTTGTACCTCTGGTAGAATTCGGCTGTGAATCCATCTGGTCCTGGACTCTTTTTGGTTGGTAAGCTATTGATTATTGCCACAATTTCAGAGCCTGTTATTGGTCTATTCAGAGATTCAACTTCTTCCTGGTTTAGTCTTGGGAGGGTGTATGTGTCAAGGAATTTATCCATTTCTTCTAGATTTTCTAGTTTATTTGCGCAGAGGTGTTTGTAGCATTCTCTCATGGTAGTTTGCATTTCTGTGGGATCAGTGGTGATATCCCCTTTATCATTTTTTATTGTGTCTATTTGATTCTTCTCTCTTTTTTTCTTTATTAGTCTTGCTAGCGGTCTATCAATTTTGTTGATCCTTCAAAAAACCAGCTCCTGGATTCATTAATTTTTTGAAGGGTTTTCTGTGTCTCTATTTCCTTCAGTTCTGCTCTGATTTTAGTTATTTCTTGTCTTCTGTTAGCTTTTGAATGTGTTTGCTCTTGCTTTTCTAGTTCTTTTAATTGTGATGTTAGGGTGTCAATTTTGGATCTTTCCTGCTTTCTTTTGTGGGCATTTAGTGTTATACATTTCCCTCTACACACTGCTTTGAATGTGTCCCAGAGATTCTGGTATGTTGTGTCTTTGTTCTTGTTGGTTTCAAAGAACAGCTTTATTTCTGCCTTCATTTTGTTATGTACCCAGTAGTCATTCAGGAGCAGGTTGTTCAGTTTCCATGTAGTTGAGTGGTTTTGAGTGAGTTTCTTAATCCTGAGTTCTAGTTTGATTGCACTGTGGTCTGAGAGACAGTGTGTTATAATTTCTGTTCTTTTACATTTGCTGAGGAGAGCTTTACTTCCAACTATGTGGTCAATTTTGGAATAGGTGTGGTGTGGTGCTGAAAAAAATGTATATTCTGTTGATTTGGGGTGGAGAGTTCTGTAGATGTCTATTAGGTCCGCTTGGTGCAGAGCTGAGTTCAATTCCTGGGTATCCTTGTTAACTTTCTGTCTCATTGATGTGTCTAATGTTGACAGTGGGGTATTAGATTCTCCCATTATTATTGTGTGGGAGTCTAAGTCCCTTTGTAGGTCATTCAGGACTTGCTTTATGAATCTGGGTGTTCCTGTATTGGGTGCATATATATTTAGGATAGTTAGCTCTTCTTGTTGAATTGATCCCTTTACCATTATGTAATGGCCTTCTTTGTCTCTTTTGATCTTTGTTGGTTTAAAGTCTGTTTTATCAGAGACCAGGATTGCAACCCCTGCCTTTTTTTGTTTTCCATTTGCTTGGTAGATCTTCCTCCATCCTTTTATTTTGAGCCTATGTGTGTCTCTGCACGTGAGATGGGTTTCCTGAATACAGCACACTGATGGGTCTTGACTCTTTATCCAATTTGCTAGTCTGTGTCTTTTAATTGGAGCATTTAGTCCACTTACATTTAAAGGTAATATTGTTATGTGTGAATTTGATCCTGTCATTATGATGTTAGCTGTTATTTTGCTCGTTAGTTGATGCAGTTTCTTCCTAGCCTTGATGGTCTTTACAATTTGGCATGATTTTGCAGTGGCTGGTACTGGTTGTTCCTTTCCATGTTTAGTGCTTCCTTCAGGAGCTCTTGTAGGGCAGGCCTGGTGGTGACAAAATCTTTCAGCATTTGCTTGTCTGTAAAGGATTTTATTTCTCCTTCACTTACGAAGCTTAGTTTGGCTGGATAGGAAATTCTGGGTTGAAAATTCTTTTCTTTAACAATGTTGAATATTGGCCCCCACTCTCTTCTGGCTTGTAGAGTTTCTGCCGAGAGATCCGCTCTTAGTCTGATGGGCTCCCCTTTGAGGGTAACCCGACCTTTCTCTCTGGCTGCCCTTAACATTTTTTCCTTCATTTCAACTTTGGTGAATCTGACAATTATATGTCTTGGAGTTGCTCTTCTCGAGGAATATCTTTGTGGCGTTCTCAGTATTTCCTGAATCTGAATGTTGGCCTGCCTTGCTAGATTGGGGAAGTTCTCCTGGATAATATCCTGCAGAGTGTTTTCCAACCTGGTTCCATTCTCCCTGTCACTTTCAGGTACACCAATCAGATGTAGATTTGGTCTTTTCACATAGTCCCATATTTCCTGGAGGCTTTGTTCATTTCTTTTTATTCGTTTTTCTCTAAATTTCCCTTCTCACTTCATTTCATTCATTTCGTCTTCCATCACTGATACGCTTTCTTCCAGTTGATCGCATTGGCTCCTGAGGCTTCTGCATTCTTCACGTAGTTCTCCAGCCTTGGCTTTCAGCTCCATCAGCTCCTTTAAGCACTTCTCTGTATTGGTTATTCTAGTTATACATTCGTCTAAATTTTTTCAAAGTTTTTAAGTTCTTTGCCTTTGGTTTGAATTTCTTCCTGTAGCTCGGAGTAGTTTGATCATCTGAAGCCTTCTTCTCACAACTCGTCATGTCATTCTCTGTCCAGCTTTGTTCCGTTGCTGGTGAGGAACTGCGTTCCTTTGGAGGAGGAGAGGCACTCTGCTTTTTAGAGTTTCCAGTTTTTCTGCTCTGTTTTTTCCCCATCTTTGTGGTTTTATCTACTTTTGGTCTTTGATGATGGTGATGTACAGATGGGTTTTTGGTGTGGATGTCCTTTCTGTTTGTTAGTTTTCCTTCTAACAGACAGGACCCTCAGCTGCAGGTCTTTTGGAGTTTGCTAGAGGTCCACTCCAGACCCTGTTTGCCTGGGTATCAGCAGTCGTGGCTGTAGAACAGCGGATTTTCATGAACTGCAAATGCTGCTGTCTGATCGTTCCTCTGGAAGTTTTGTCTCAGAGGGGTACCTGGCCATGTGAGGTGTCAGTCTGCCGCTACTGGGGGGTGCCTCCCAGTTAGGCTGCTCAGGGGTCAGGGGTCAGGGACCCACTTGAGGAGGCAGTCTGCCCATTCTCTGATCTCCAGCTGCGTGCTGGGAGAACCACTGCTCTCTTCAAAGCTGTCAGACAGGGATATTTAAGTCTGCAGAGGTTACTGCTGTCTTTTTGTTTGTCTGTGCCCTGCCCCCAGAGGTGGAGCCTACAGAGGCAGGCAGGCCTCCTTGAGCTGTGGTGGGCTCCAAGCAGTTCGAGCTTCCTGGCTGTTTTGTTTACCTAAGCAAGCCTGGGCAATGGCGGGCGCCCCTCCCCCAGCCTCGCTGCTGCCTTGCAGTTTGATCTCAGACTGCTGTGCTAGCAATCAGCGAGACTCCGTGGGTGTAGGACCCTCCGAGCCAGGTGCAGGATATAATCTCCTGGTACTCCGTTTTTTAAGCTTGTCGGAAAAGCACAGTATTAGGGTGGGAGTGACCCGATTTTCCAGGTGCCGTCTGTCACCCCTTTCTTTGACTAGGAAAGGGAACTCCCTGACCCCTTGTGTTTCCCGAGTGAGGCAATGCCTTGTCCTGCTTCGGCTCGCGCATAGTGCACTGCACCCACTGTCCTGCGCCCACTGTCTGATACTCCCTAGTGAGGTGAACCCGGTACCTCTGATGGAAATGCAGAAATCACCTGTCTTCTGCGTCACTCACACTGGGAGCTGTAGACCGGAGCTGTTCCTATTTGGCCATCTTGGCTCTCACCCTGCACCAAGTTTTTATTATCCATTTATCTGCTGATGGACACTTAGGTTGATTCCACATCTTTTCTATTGTGAATAGTGCTGCAATAGACATGTGAATGCAGGTATCTTTTGGATATATTGTTTGTTTTTCTTTGGGTAGATACCCAGTAGTGGGATTGCTGGATTCAATAGTGGTTCTATTTTAAGTTTTTTGAGAAATCTCCGTACTGTTCTCCATAGTTGCTGTACTAGTTTACCTTCCTACTAACAGTGTATAAGAGTTCCCTTTTCAGCCGGGCACGGTGGCTCACGCCTGTAATCCCAACACTTTGGGAGGCCAAGGAGGGTGGATCACGAGGTCAGGAGCTCGAGACCAGCCTGGCCAACATGGAGAAACCCCATCTCTACTAAAAAAAATACAAAAATTAGCTGGACGTGGTGGCACGCACCTGTAGTCCCAGCTACTCGGGAGGCTGAGGCAGGAGAATCACTTGAACCTGGGAGACGGAGGTTGCAGTGAACTGAGACCATGCCACTGCACTCCAGCCTGGGTGACAGAGTGAGACTCCATCTCAGAAAAAAAAGAAAAAAAGAAAATGAAAGAGTTCCCTGAGTTCCCTTTTCTCTGCATCCTTGCTAACATCTATTATTTTTCTTTTTAATGATAGCCAGACAATGCATTTAAAAATAATAAAAACACATTGCTTAAGAATAGGTACAGTTTAAGGTCACTTTTATACAGCAAACCAACCCATCCATATCATATCTGCTAATGTGTACAAAGGAAAGAATATACAAAGACACAAACTATTTCTAGGGGAGTAGAATTTGATGGGAGACAAGTGAAGGAGACTATTTCTCTTTCTACAGGTCTGTATATTTTACATTGTCAAAATAAATAAATATTACTTCTGTGATTTAAATAAATCTAGAAATTAAAAATAAAAAAATGAACGCAGCTGCCTCATCTGAGCTTCTTGGTTTAAGGGAACCTGGGACAGGGATATCAGCTAAAATTACTAACATGCCAGTGTGCTAGCAGCAGAGAGTAGACACAGTAACCGTGATCAATCCAGAAAACACTTCGAGGCCCATGACCGCTACCTCACAGACCATTCCCCAGGGGAAGCCTATGGAGGAACCTAGGTTTAAGAGAGAGAAGTTCAGATGAGGGAGTGGAAAAAACAATATTTGTATCAGATTCTTCAAAACTTTGGCACTTTTGTTAACCCTCTTTGAATAATTTCTTTAATCTGCAATCTGTATCACTACATTATCTGATTTTCTGCTAATCACTATATGTTATCAAGGTCTCTCTTCATATTTTCTTTTTAATTTACAAAATAAGAACTCAGGTTTTTTGGTTTTTTTTAAATTCTAGTCAATATCCCTGGATATCTACCAGACACAGCCTAGGTTCCCATCATCCCAGCTGAGCCCAGCATCTGCAGACCTACCCACTGAATGCACCACATGGGCACGTCAGGTGAGGCCAGCAGGAGAACTGGCCAGTCTACATACAGAATCATGAGAAACCACAAATTGTTGCTGTTTTCAGCCACTGAGTTTTGGGAAAATTATATGCTGCACAATAGAGAACTAATTAATACCATACCCAAGAACATTTCCTTGGCGACTTTTGAGAGGAACTGAGACCAATTTCTTTTGATGTTTTTGTAGCTTGTGACAATTTGATACATGTAATAAATCTTGCCTAACTTATCATGGGAATCAAACGAGGACAATCAAAGCCATGGTATAATCAGGATCTAATCACCCATGCTGGGTGATTTCAAAAGCTGTTTTTATAAGTAATGGAAATAAATTTGGGAAGTCATTTGTCTGGTATGCCGTCTTTGGATGAGAACATCTCTAAAATTTTCTGATAGATTGAAAACATTATTTAAGTCATACTACACTAAAAAGTAAAGGGTTAACATTTAAAAATGTTTTAAAAAATATCCACAGGGAAAATGAAAAATAGAAGAACAGTGTCAACTACCTAATAAAACCTATAGAAGAAGATGACAGAATCTGAGATTAGGAAGAGTCTTTGGGGTCACTGACGCAGAGCTCACTCTAGTGCAGGTGCAAGGTACCCACAGCACCTTGCAAATAGCTTTTCCTCAGTCTTCGCTGAGGACACTATGTTACAAAGCAGCCTATTGTATATTAAGGAGTGCTAATTTTTGAGCAATTCTTTATTATAGTCATCAAATTCTAATTCAATATGACCTCCACCAATCGTTTTTATGAGTTTAAAATAAATTTACTGTTTCCTCCACATAACATTTGAGATACTGCCTATATATTTCCTTTGAACCAAAATAACTTTCAACCCTGTTTTCTAAAATTTAATAAATGCTAATGTTCTTATCTGAAAGTTCTCCCCAAGTACTCTACTTTCGTTTTAAATATGCCAGGAAATATCCCCAGTACTACAGTTATAATATACTGAAAACTGATTATAATGAGATAATTACTTCATGTCTTCTGCCTTCTGTATTTCCATATCATGATTTTTCAGCTATTGTACTTCTGTCTTCATTTTTTTATATTTATGTAGTTTATACTTTCTATACATATATGTACATATATACTCTCAATGACAGTCTATAAATATGCAGCTATTTATCTTTATATATTCTGTGCTAAATGCATCATTTAAAAAAATACCCTGAGAAAGCCTCCCTTAAATGCAGGAGCATAAACAAAACAACTGAGAGTTGATATCAATTTTTGGTTTTAACCTAAACCAACATATTTACCTCAATTTTCTCATCTGGATTATAAATTTGAAATGGTTATAAAGGATCAGCATTCACTATCATGCACAGAATATTGATAGACAATGTCTTTCTTGTCATTTCTGCCAAAATTCTGCTCATGATCTGCAACCATTCCATACAATAGGTAACCAGTGGAAATAGTTAATATTACAAGGCAAAACCTTCATCAAATCATGCTTATCTTATCTATGACACATAACTATTGAAGACTGATACTATAACGCTACCTTGCAGATCTTTGTCCCTATGCCAGCTTGCATTGTATAAGTGCTATTTTTTGGTTATTTGAAAATGCCAAAACATTACAAGGCAAAACCTTCATCAAAACCTACTTATCTTATCTATGACACATAACTATTGAAGATTGATAATATAATGTTACCTTGCAGATCTTTGTCCCTATGCCAGTTTGAATTGTATAAGTGCTATTTTTTGGTTTGTATGAGTGCATTTGAAAATGCACAATTTCTAAATTAATATTACATAAGGGCTAGAATACATTTTAGTAAAAATCCATCTTTACATTATCCTCATTTATTCATTTATTCATTCAACCTTTTATGCACTCATTCACATAGCATAAATTATGTGTTTGTCACTGTTCTATATAAATGGGGATTAAGGTAACAAAACACTCTGCACTGAAGATATTACATTCTACCAAGCTCACAATCTTTTGAATGGGCTAAGAAGTTGCTTTTTTCTTCAGAAAGTTCTTCTGATTAATATATAGTAGCTATTTTAAGTAAATTTTAGACAGAAAATTTTTTTTTTTTTCAGACAGAGTGTCGCTCTGTCACCCAGGCTGGAGTGCAGTGGTGCGGTCTCAGCTCACTGCAAGTTCTGCCTCCTGGGTTCAAGTGATTCTCCTGCCTCAGCCTCCCGAGTAGGTGGGACTACAGGCACCCACCACCACGCCCTGCTAATTTTTTTTTTTTTTTTTGGATTTTTAGTAGAGGCTGTGTTTCACTGTGTTAGCCAGGATGGTCTCAATCTCCTGACCTCGTGATCCACCTGCCTCCACCTCCCAAAGTGCTGGAATTACAGGCGTGAGCCACCACGCCCGGCTAGACAGAAATTTTTTTTTAATGAATTGATAACTGTTTTTTTCTACCCACAGAAGTTAATTACTATTAAAATATTTATGTCTTTTTCCTTTTTTCTTTAAAACATATGAACAATACTCAGAAATTTTTTTGGTTTTATTCTATAAATATTTATTCCAGGCAATATTTTAGTTAAGAAAATATCCTTCTATTCCTAAAGAGTTTTAACCTCATTATATTTACAATAAGAAATAGATGTAAATTTGTATCGAATAGCATTCAGTTATTGATTGAGTCAATAGTTTTTTTACTTGATCTACATGTATAATGTGCTGACATATAATGGTAATACTAAAAGAACAGAAGAGAAAGAATAATAAAGGAATAATGATCAAAAGATATTCCATGCAAATATTAATGAAAAGAGAGCTGGGTGGCTGCCCTAATATCAAACAAAATAGATTTTAGGACAAAAATCATTATAGGAGGCAAAGAAGGGCATTATATAGTGATAAAAAGGATAATCTATCAAGAAGATATAATAATTATAAACATATAAACACCTAGCTGCAGAGCCTTAAAATATAGGAAGGAAATATTGACATAATTTAAGGAGTTAGAGGGCACTATAATAAGAATAGTGGACTTTAAAATCCCCACTTTCGATAACGGAGCAAATAGAAGGAAGACCAATAAAGACATGAAGGACTTGAACAACACTGTAAACCAGTAAGACCTAACAGATGTACACAGAACATTCCACTTAACAAGAATACACATTCTTCTCAAGTGTGCATGGAACATTCTCTAGGAGAGATCTTATGTTAGGCAACAAAATAATCTCAAAAATTTTAAAGGATTGAAATCATACCAAGTATCTTCTCTGACAACAAAAGAATAAAACTAGAAGTCAAAGGAAAAAGAAAAATGGGAAATTCACAAATATGGGAAAATTAAACAATATTCTCATTTATAATGAATGAGACAAAGAAGAAATCACAAGATAAATTAGAAAATACTTTGTGACAAAAAAAAATATGAAAACAACATACCGAACCTTAAGGTATGCAGTGGAAGCAGTGCTCAGATAGAAATTTATAGCAGTAAATGTCCCCATTAATAAAGAAGAAAGATGTCAAATCAATAATCTAACTTTACACCTTAAGGAAGTAGAAAAAGAAGAGCGTAATAAACCCAAGCTACCAAAAGGATGAAAATAGTAAAGGTTAAAGCAGAGATCAATGAAACAGAATATAGAAAAACAATAGAGAAAATCAGCAAAACCAAAAGTTGGTTCTTTAGAAAGATGAAAAAGTTAAGAAAACTTTAGCTAGATTGATTGAAAAAGAAAACTCAAATTATTAAAATTAGAAACAAAAGTGAGACATTACTACAAACTTTAAGAAAATTAAAAAGTATTGTAAGAGAATACTATAAACAATTGTATGCCAACAAACTGGATGACTTAGAAAATTTCTAGAAACATGCAAACTACCAATACTGACTCAAGAGGAAATAGAATATCAGAATAGACTTATAACAAGTAAAGATTTTGACTCGGTAATAAAGAAATCTCCCAACAAGGACAAGGCCAGGATAAAGCGGCTTCCCTGGTAAATTCAACCCAGCATTTAAAGAAGAATTAACACCAAGTTTTATCTATTCTTCCAAAAAAATCTGAAGAACAGGGAACACATTCTGATTTATTCTAAGAGGCCAGCATTGGCCCAGTACCACAGATAAAGACATTACCAGAAAAGAAGATTACAGACCAATATCTTTTATGAATGTAGATGTAAAATCCTCAATAAAAGACTAACAAACTAAATCCAGCAGCATATTAAAAGGATTATACATCACGACCAAGTATTTATCCTAGGAATTCAAGGGTTACTTAAGAAAATTATAAAATGTAACACATCATATTAACGGAATGATAAGAAAAACTGCATGATTATCTCAATTGATCGAGAAAAAGCACTGGAAAAAAATGCGACACACTTCCATCATAAAAATATCCAACAAACTAGGAATAGAAGAGAACTTTCTCAACATGATAAAAGGCATTTTGGAAAAACTCACAGCTAACACCACACCCCATGATACAAGACCAAAAGTATTTCCCTTAAGATGAATAATGAGAAAAGGATACCTTCCTGCTTTCATCACTTCTGTTCAACCTTGTATTGGAATTTCTAGCTGGGGCAATTAGGCAAGAAAAGAAAAATAAAAGGCAACCAAATTGGAAAGGAAGAAGTTAAACTATCTCTATATTCAGATGGCATAATCTGATCTTTTGAGAGTCCTAAAGAATTCACAATAAAGTGTTAGAACTAATAAACTAGTTCAGCAAAATTTTGGGAAATAAAATCAAAATACAAAAATCAGTTTTATTTCTACACCCTGGCAATGACAATCTAAAAATGAAAATAAGAAACAATTCCATTTACGATAGCATCTGAAGGAATAAGATCCTCTGGAATAAATTTAACCAAGGACATGCCAGTCTTGTACACCAAAAACTACAAAACATTGTTTAACAAAATTAAAGGGGATCTAAATAAATGAAGACATTACATGCTCATGAATTGGAAACCTTGTTATGTTCCCAGTACTCTCCAAAGTGATCCACAGATTCAACGCATTTCCTAAGAAAATCCAAATGGCCTTTATGCAGAAATATTTTAAACAACTGACTCTAAAATTCATATAGAACTTCAGGGCACTCAGAGTAGCCTAAACAATCCTGAGAGAGAAAAAGAGAAAAATAAAGTCAGAGGACTCATACTTCCCAATTTCAAAACTTATCACAAAACTACAGTTATCAAAACAGTGTGTGTGGTACTCACAAAAGGATAAACATATAGCTTAATGGAATGGAATTGAGAGTCTAAAAATAAACCCTCGTATTCATGGTTAATCGATTTTCAATGGGGTGACAAGATTATTCAATGAGGAAAGAATAGTATTTTCAAAAAATTGGTACTGAGACAACTGATTATCCACATGGCAAAAAATGGAGTTGGACACCCATCATCTGCTATATGCAAAAATTAACTCAAAATGGAACAACTACCCACATGTAAGAGCATAAACTATAACTCTTAGAAGAAATTATAGAGATAAGTCATTATGACCTTGGATTTGGCAAGAGTTTCTTAGATATGACACCAAAAACACAAGCCAAAAAAAAAAGGAAAATAGATCAATTGAGCTTCATCAAAATTAAAAACTGATGTACATAAAATGACACTGTTAATGAAGTAAAAACATAATCCCCCCAAGTGGAAAAAATATTCATAAATCATATCTCTGATAAGGATCTAGTAGCCAGAATACAAAAAACTCTCATAACTCAAGAATAAAGAGTAACAACCCCCTTAAAAATGAGCTAAGTGTATGAATAGTCATTTTTCCAGAGAAGATATTCAAATGGCCAAGAAACACTTGAAAAGATGCTCAAAACTATTAACCTTTAGGGAAATGCAAATCAAGACAACAATGAGATACCACTTAACATCCAACTGGATGGCTGTAAATTTTTTTAAAAAAGGAAAGGAAAGAAAGGAAAATAACAAGATTTGGTAAATACATGAAGAATTGAAACCCTTGTATATTGCTAGTAAGCATGTGAAATGGTGCAGCTTCTTTGAAAAAAAGTTGGCAGCTCCTCGAAGTTACACATAGAATTATCATATAACCCAGCAAATCAAGTACACAGTAATATAAATTATTATATTATTTATATTATATAATATCAATTATTATCCAAATAATGAAAAAGGTAATAAAAATGCTTGTATATGAACACTCATAGCAATATGATTCAAGATAGCTAAAAGATAGAAGCAAACAAAATACCCATCAGCAGATGAATGGATAAACAAAATGTGGTTTAACCACACAATGGAATATTATTCAGCCACGAAAAGGACTGAAGTAGTGTGCATACCACCACAATGTAGATAAACCACAAAAACATGCTAAGTAAATAAGTCAGAGACAAAAGGTCATACATTGTGATTTCACTCGTATGATATACAGGAATACCTTGCTTTACTGTATTTCACTTTATAATGCTTTGCAGATAATTTTTTTGTTGTTTTTTTTACAAAGTAAACATTCGTGGGGACCCTGCATTGAACAAGTCTATCAGCTTAATTTTTCCAACAGCATGTGCTCGTTTTGTGCCTCTGTGTAATATTTTGGTAAATCTCACAATATTTTAAATTTTTTCCATTATTATTATATCTGTGATGGTGACCAGTGATCAGTGATCTTTGATATTACTATTGTAATTGTTTTCAGGTGCCACAAACCACACCCATGTAAGATGGTGAACTTAATCAATAAATGTGTGTGTTCTCTCTACTCCACTGACTAGCCATTCCCTCACCTCTCTCCTTCACCTTGGGCTTCCCTATTCCCTGAAACACAACAATTTTGAAATTAGGCCAATCTAAAACCGTACAATGGCCTCTAAGTGTTCAAGTGAAAGGAAGAGTTGCAGGTCTCTGCAAAAGATAGAAATGATTAAGCTTAGTGAGGAAAGCATGTTGAAAGACATGGTAGGCTGAAAGCTAGGCCTCTGGTGCCGAACATTTAGCCAAGTAGCGAATGCAAATGAAAAGTTCTTGAAGAAAATTATAAGTGCTATTCCAGTAAACACACGAATGATAAGAAAGTGAAAGAAGCTTATTGCTGATATGGAGAAAGTCTGAGTGGTCTGGATAGAAGATCAAATCAGCCACAACATTCCATTAAGCCAAGGTCTAATCCAAAGCAAGGTCCTAACTCTCCTCAATTCCACGAAAGCTGAGGAATCTGCAGAAGAAAATTTGAAAGCTAGCAGATGTTGGTTCATGTGGTTTAAGGAAATAAGCCATCTCCATAACACAAACGTGTAAGATGAAGTAGCAAGTGCTGATGGAAAAGCCACACCAATCGAGAAGATCTAGCTAAGATAGTTGATGAAGGTGGCTACACTAAAAAACAGATTGTCAATGTAGACAAAACAGTCTCATGTTGGAACAAGATGCCATTTAGGACTTTCATAGCTAGAGAGAAGTCAATGCCTGGCTTCAAGTTTCAAAGGATAGGCTGACTCTCTTATCAGGGGCTAATGCAGCTGGTGACTTTAAGTTGAAGTCAATGCTTATTCACCATTCCAAAAATCCTGGGGACCTTAAGAATTATGCTATATCTACTCTGTCTGTGCTCTACAGATAAAACAACAAAGCCTGGATGACAGCACATCCGTTTCCAGCATGGTTTACTGATCATTTTAAGCCCGATCTTGAGACCTACTGCTAAGAAGAAAAGCTTCCTTTCAAAATGTTACTGCTCATTGAAAATGCACCCAGTCACTCCAGAGTGCTGATGGCAATGTACAAGGAGATTAATATTTTCGTGTCTGTTAACACAATATCTATTCTGCAGTCCATGAATCAAGAAGTTATCTGGACTTTCAAGTCTTATTACCTAAGAAATATATTTTATACAGGTATATCTGCCATAGATATTGATTCCTCTGACGGATCTGGGGGCAAATAACTTGAAAAACTTCATTAAAAAGATTTACCATTCTAGATGCCATTAAGAACATTTGTGATTCATGGGAGGAGATCAAAATATTTATATTAACAGGAGTTTGGAAGAAGTTAATGTCAACCCTCATGGATGACTTTGAAGTGTCCAAGACTTCAGTGAAGGAAGTAACTGAATATATGGTGGAAATAGCAAGAGAACTAGAAATAGAAGTGGCATCTGAAGATGTGACTGAATTGCCACAATCTCATGATAGACATTGAATGGATGAGGAGATGCTTCTTATGGATGAGTGGAAAAAAAGTGGTTTCTTCAAATAGAATCTACTCTAGGTGAAGATGTTGTGAATATTGTTAAAATGTTACATCAGCTTAGTTGATAAAGCAGTGACTTAAAATACTGCATCAACTTAAAATATTGCATCAACTTAGTTGATAAAGCAGTGACAGGGTTTAAGAGGATTGACTCCAATTCTGAAAGAAGTTCTACTCTGTGTACAATGCTACCAAATAGCATCACATATTATGAATAACTTTTTCATGAAAAGAAGAGTCTATTGGCTCCATGAGTCCATTGGCAAACTTCATTGTTGTCTCATTTTAGGAAATTGCTAAAGATACCTCAACCTTCAGTAGCCAACACCCTGATCTGTCCACAGCCATCAATGTCAAGGCAAGGGTCTTCACCAGCAAAATGATTATGACTCATTGAAAGCTCAGATGATTGTTCGAATCTTTGGCAATAAAGTATTTTATTTAAAATATGTACATTGTTTTCTTATACATAATGTTGTTTCACACTAGACTACAGTAGAGTAGAATATAAATATAACTTTTTTATGTGCTGGGAAACAAAAAAAATTGTGCGACTGATATTGTGATATTCACTTTATTGCAGTGGCCTGGAACTGAACCCACAATATCTCCAAGTTATGCCAGTATCCAGAATAGATACATTCATAGAGACAAAAAGCAGGTTGCCAGGGGCTGGTAGGAGGTGGGAACGTTGAGTCACTACTTACTGGGTACATGATTTCCTTTTGGGATGATGAAAATGTTTTCAAACTAGATAGGGGCTAGGTAGCATAATATTGTGAATGTACTGAATGCCACTGAATTGTACATTTTAGGATGGTTAATCTTATGTTAATTTTATGTAAAAAAAAGTCTTGGCGTGATTTGTTATAAACCATAGTAACTGGAACATCTCTAAAAAGTTTTTGCCTCTCTTCAGGTATGATTTAAGGTAAGGATCAAAGTTGTGTTTGTTTGTTTGTTTGTTTTTCCATGTGACTAACTTTGTTGAGCATAGTGTTTATAAATATTAATTAAGTCAATGCAGTTGATAGTCTTGTTCAAATTGTCTATATTCTTACTAAATTTTTTCAGTCAATTTATTCTGTTTATATCTTCCTTTAGTTCTATAAATTTTTGTGTCATGTATTGAGAAACTTCTGTTATTGGGTGCATAACGCTTTAGTATTATGATGTCTTCTTAATTAAATAACCTTTTATGATTATGATATGGTCTCTTTATCTCTGGTAATATCCTTTATCTTAAATTTTTATTTGGTTTGATATTACTTTAGCCATATAGGCTTCTTTTTGTTGGAGTTTCAAACTGTTTGTATCTGCATGTTTTAAGTATGTTTCTTATATTTTAAAAAATCTATACTCTTTATTCAGTCTGACAATATTTGCTTTAATTGGAATGTTTAGTACATTTATATTTACTATAATTGTGGGCACGTCTGTACTTCAACTTACAATATTGGTGTCCAATTTCTATTTTTCCAATCTGTTCTTTGTTTCCCTGTTACTTTTCTCCTGCCTTTGTTTTGTGAGGATGAATACTTTTTTCACATCCTATTCTAATGTGTCTACTAATTTTTAATTTGAGCATTTTGTGCTAGTTCTTAGTGATGCTTTAGAGATGAAAAATGCATCTTTAACTCATCACAATCTACGTACAGAGATATTTTACTACTTCAGAAATAATTTGTTTTAACAAGTATTTCCAAAGAATAACCCTAAATCTGTTGTATTCTTATTGTCATATATATTAATTCTACATATGCTATTTTTTAAAAAAAAGTATGCTATTTTATTATTATTTTTGCTTTAAAAAGCTTGGTAACAGTCTAGTGAAACTAGAGGTTGGGAGTAGGTTACCTGAGTAAAAAGGAATATATTCAGACTCCAGACCACCAGCAGCACCCTGTGGCTACATAGCATCCTACAAAGAACACAGGACCTGCACAATGAGTGGACCTTTAGGCATTCTCCCTGTAATGATGAAGTGGTCAAATTCAGAACTGATTCTGTAATTTACTAATCTCCTAAGGTTTTGAACTTATCATTGGAAGAAAGCAAGAATAAAAAGAGAGAGAGGTAGGGATCCATGATGAAAAGGGATACTGAGACTTTATTCATTTTTTATTTCTTCCTTTATTCATTTTTATCATTTAGCATTTATTAATTGAAACAGGCACTGTGCTGGATATTACTGGCTATACTGTTGTAAAAAAGACATGCAAATTTTAAACTTGTATATTTTTTAAAATGTTGGGACCTAATTCTATATACCAAACTGATGAAGCAGGACAATTTGGTTACAATCACAATTTCTGAAGAACATTTTAAGTTGTTAACACTTCATATAATTCTCACAAGAACTTGGTGTGGTTAATGCAATACTTTTTATGAGTACCACTATGTAAATGAAGCTGCTCACAAAGTTAAATTTAGTTGCTTTCACAAATGACCCAGATGCAGATTCCAGTTAGCACATAGTGGTTTTTCAAACATTTTCAAACAAAGATAAATATTTTCTGCCTACTCCTTTCTCTGTTGAAACTAAAATCAAACATCTCACCCTGTAACAAGCACAAGGAATTGATGTATAAGAAGAACAGCTTGCAAGTTCTCTTTTCTTCCAAGAATAGCTGTGATTTGCTAGAGGCTCCTGAGATTTTTGACATGTTTATACATATGTGGGGATAGCAGAGCACTGGAGAATCCCAGTAGCTACCAAAGCAGTAGGCCATTGAGAGAGAAGGGATACTTAGGTGGTATAGCTTGGATATTTGTCCTCTCCAAATCACATGGTAAATTTGATCACCAATATCGGAGGTGGGGCCTGGTGGAAGGTATTTGGGTTATGGGGGTCAATCCCTCATGAGTGGCTTGGTGCTGTCCTCATGGTAAGGAGTGACTTCTCACTCTGTTGGTTCTTACAAGATCTGACTGTTAAAAAGAGCCTGGCACCTCCCTCTGCTATCTCTTTCTCCTTCCTCTCGCCATATGATGCGTGCACCCCTTCACCTTCTGCCATGAGTGGAAGCTTCCTGCGGCTCTCACAAGAAGCAGATGCTAGTGTCATGCTTCTTGTACAGTCTGCAGAACCGTAAGCCAAATAAACCTTTTTTCTTTATAAAATACCCAACCTCAGTCATTCCTTTGTAGTAACATAAAAACAAAGATATTACAGTAGTAGTGAAGAGAATATAGGGACTTCCATCACAAATTAATGAGTAGGACTTCAGGAAAATCCCAGATGAAATATTTTTTAAGAAATTTTATGAAATGTTTTGAATAGAAATCTTCTTTGCTTCTATTCTAAGAGATTTAATTTGCTTTTACATACTTCATTAAATATAGGTAGCTACTGCTTTCAATATGATGTAATGCTACAATTGGCTATGAGAAACAAGAGACCCGCTCCATGCAGTTTATATTCTTCAAGGAATATTATACTCAAAAGGGTCCAAGTGAATTACACATGTTTGAGAATATAAGCAAGCAAATACATACGTATGAATGAAGATCAATGTAAATGCGGAGTAAAAGTGAAATTCACTAAGATTAAAGGCCAGAAATATCAGATGAAAAGTTGGGCTTCAATTAATACCTTTTCTTCATTTTCTTAACAACATAAACTTACATGCTTTGAATAGCATTTGAATAAGAGACTTCCTTACATGATTTGGAGTCCGGTGATGGTGGAGAAATATTAGACACAGCAAGGTCACTTTTTGATTTTTTAGGCTTCTTTGCATTTAATTGCCAAGGTTTATCATAGCTTCTGAAATCCCTTCTTGTTCCTTTGGATTCTGTTAAAACAAAATATATATAAAATGGCAACAAAGTGATTTCAAGATTGAGCAAAAACCAAGTCCACGAAGTCATTAAATATACTTGACAAAACATATAGGTCACCTCATATCAAAAATAATGTACCCACGCAAAGGTATTACTTGTTTAATTTCATCTGTAAATTAGACTTTTAAATCTGATATGAATCAGTTTATATATGCATATGATTAAGATTATATCATATAAAACTATGAAATTGGCTGGGCGCAGTGGTTCATGCCTGTAATCCCAGCACTTTGGGAGGCCAAGGTGGATCACCTGAGGTCAGGAGTTCGAGACCAACCTGACCAGTATGGTGAAACCCGTCGTCTCCACTAAAAACACAAAAATTAGCCGGGCATGATGGCGGGCGTCTGTAATTACAGCTACTCAGGAGGCTGAGACAGGAGAATTACTTGAACCCGGAAGGCAGAAGTTGCAGTGAGCCGAGACTGTGCCACTGCACTCCAGCCTGAGTGATAGAGACTCTGTCAAAAAGAAAAAACAGGAAATTAATTTGAAATGTTTTTCAGGCGGGGGTTCCGATCAATTAAAATAACATTCTATGAATGTCATGGAATAAAGCATGGTATTCTGTTGTAAATAAAAATAAACATTTCAGTAAATTTCACTCACTTGATGCCACCTTATCTATCATGACAAGTAAAATCATTGATATTCACCCAAATCAATTTATCTTCTCTTGCAAGAAAGATAAATTTAAATCAACCAACATTGTTACTTTGAAATTCCCCTTAGAAGGTGGTCACTGTCTTGCCCATTCCACAATTAAAGGGTGTTTCAAGAGTTCATCCCTCTTGACTTCTTTTACAAGAATTTCATGTTTTTATACAGAACAATCTTTTTCCTCATCCCCATATCACCTGATAACTCTTTCTTCAACTCATTTATTCCTTCTTCATCTTCCATTCCTCTAATCTATGTGGCATTCTGTAGGGTTTCTTTATGCCTTCTTGTCTTAATTTACAAATTTAAAAACCACCCTAGCTTTATGGATGCCTCATAAGTCTTTTCTCTGGCTACTCACTTATAAATAACTAACATACACCATTACACATTAATGGATTCCTCAAACTTTCATGTTAAGGTTGTACTTAACTAGCTGTTACCCAATTTGTCCACCTCCAAAATCCCATTAAATACCAAAAAGGCATGAAAATTCTAAAGCATTAGGAACATAAATATTTGTCCACGGTCTGCTAGAACCCAGGAAGTATTTCCATAGATAAGGTTAAGACAGGATATAGGCCATTCAAAAAGAGAATGGAAGATTTCTAGGTGTCCACCTCAACCTTGGAGTCATCTCCTTATGTTGTTTTACAGTCTTTCAGAATTTGTCTTTCTATATCCATTCTTGGACTATAAATTCTTCTAATGCAACATAGGTAATGGGAGAAAAAAACCTTGGTCATAAAATATAGCATCTCTTTATATAAAGGAATATTAAAAGGAGCCAGAGAGGAATGAAATGAATGTTGTGACTTTCTTTATTCTCTGCTTCTAGCAAGAAAAAATCCATATTAATTCAAATAATTTAGCAATGATATTTTTATCCAGTTCATTGAAAAGAGATAAGAGATAGTAAGTCATGCATCAATTTTGCAGAAACTTAAAGGATTCAACTAATATTGAAAATTTTAATAGTAAACATGATTTCACCTCTCTAAAATTTTGAAAAGAATCCAAATAGTTCCAAGCTATATGGAGAGAGAACAAAGAAGAGTCCACCTACACTATTTGTTGATAAATCTAGAACTAGATAGAACATTCCTCATTGAAGTTTGAATAAAAAGAGAAAATATTATTTTAAGAATCATTTAATAAAAAACAAGAATACAGTATTCACAATGGAGAGGTAATCATAGTTTTAAAAAATATTTATAATGGAAAGCTATTAAATGTTGGAATGTGACTGTGACTATTTTGTCTTCTCAACAAAAATAAAAGAAAGTGGACTCAATGAAGCAAAAAGAAATTAGAGAGGAGATAGGCTAACCAACCTATGAATAAAAATATAACTGTGTACAGAAATAATAAAAAGAAGATGAGATAAAGAAGTAGCAACAGGAAACTAAAATGCAATACCAATATTTAAATTTGCATTCAAAGCCAGAAAGAGAAAACTGATAGTGTAGAAAATTGTATCAGTGACACAGAGAAAACACTTTGCTTGATACACCTCTCTAAAAGAGAGTCAACAAAGAAAAGCAAACACAATGCCAAATGAAATGAGAAAAACAGAGAACAGTAAATAAGACTCAACTTACACATAATAGATTTTCCCGAAAAATCATAGTTGACATTCCAGTAAAATTTGGAATATCAGAAGTAAAAAAAAATTCATAAGTATTCAAGAAAAATAATTTGTCTTTTATTCCCACAAAGGAATAAAAATAAGGCTGTTTTCAAGATTCTCCTCCACAATATTAAATGATAGACTTTTAAGGAGAAAATGTTGTGTCCCATGTTGCTAAATATATTTAAAGGCAACAAGAGGATATCTTCAGATATTTCTGAAAAGTATGATACCCATGTACTTTGAATATTGAGACGTTTTCTGGCTAATTAAAAGATGCACCAGGCTGGGTGTGGAGGCTCATGCCTGTAATCCCAGCACTTTGGGAGGCCGAGGTGGGCAGATCACGAGGTCAAGAGATCGAGACCATCCTGACCAACATGGTGAAACCCCATCTCTACTAAAAATACAAAAAAAAAAAAAGTTAGCTCGGCATGGTGGCTGGCGTGTGCCTGTAGTCCCAGCTACTTGGGTGGCTGAGGCAGGAGAATTGCTTGAACCCAGGAGGCAGAGGTTGCAGTGAGCCGAGATCATGCCACTGCACTCCAGCCTGGTGACAGAGCGAGACTCCATCTCAAAAACAAAAACAAAGAAAAGATTCACCAAAATCAAGAATTCAAAATTACAGTCAGGGTTTAAATTGGCATTATTTACCATCATTCAATTATAACCCCTTCAGTTTCATTAGTATCCAAAAATTCATCTATGCTTTTCTCTTCCTTCCTGCCATACGTTCCCTCTAAAATTTTTCCTCTTCCTCTGGGCCATTTCCTTCCACATAAACACTCTTCCATCCTCAAATATCCCGTTTCATGTCTTAGCACAGCCCCCATTCTTCCCACAATAGCGTTCCCTCCTCTGCAGCTTCCTGGGATGGTGGATGCTCTTGCCCCATGTCCCATGTTCCACCAACCACAGGCTGTGGAAGCAGGGCTGGATCTCCTGGTTCAGTGTTGCTTCTATGATAGAAGCCTCAACAGTAAAGTAAAAGTGTCTGTTCTCTTATGGGAAATGTCACTTAGCTATACTGCTCATTTCTCTTCATTATCACTCATTATCACCATCTTTTTGCCTCTGATTAATCTCACAGCCTTACTTCAGACAGTGGCATAGTCTTTTCCTGTCTCTTGTCCTTTCAACAACTTGAAAGAAACTATAGTGACCTCTTTATTCTTAGACAAACCATGCATTAAGCTTCATACTTCCTTGCCCTGCTCAACTCTGAAGAGCTTCGTTTCCCTGATATTGCTGCTACCTGCAAACTAAAGCTGCCCACAGGATTTTCTCATAATATGGAATCATTCCACATCAAACATCTTGATCTCAAATATCACAATCTCTCAGCACAGCTTGTATCCTTCTATATTGCTCATATTTTCACTATATTGATCTCCTGAAAGTTTTGATTGGCTTTCTCTGTCTGAACCTCTCCATCCACTTGCTCTCTGCTTCTCAGACAGCTTGATCACCTGCAGTTTGCTCACAAATACCCTCAACTCCTTTGGCAAAACTGTTCTCCCACCCTTGAGGTAGTAACACAACCACAATTCTCAAAGTCCCTCAAACTGTTTTCTCTCTTCCTTCCCAGAACTTCTGGGAACTGCTAGAGTAAATTAACAATCTTATTCATAGTTTCCATGATTAATTAATAATAATTAATTCATGTCCTTGACTTCTGTTAGGCCCCAGAACTGCGTGACAATCTTTTCTTAAATTTTCCTTTGCCAACTCTTTTTTCCTTTCTCTTGGTGACTTTCCATAATTGGTGCCCTTACTTCAATCTTCCCTATCTGACCCCCCAACCACTTGTCTTGGCAAATATCCTCACCACATAATAAATAGACAAAATTTAGGGCACCTGAAGTCATCTCACACTTGCCTTCTCCCAGTCCATCCTACACTCTAACTATAAATTTTACCCACATCTTCCTTTATTCTTTCACTCTTATTATTATCTGTATGATATTGAAGGTAACATCTGGGACTCCTGCTTTGACCCATCCCCAAAGCTTTAGACTCACATCCAATAGCCTGCTGTAATTATCTACTAAAGTGTGCCACAAGAAATTAAAATCATCAATAGGTACTAAGAGAACTGATAGAATAACATGGTAGTTCTTAAACATGATCTCTTTCCCATGGTGTTTCCTCCCACATTATCCCTACTCCTCAAATGCAGACAGGACTTTTAACTTGCTTTGAAACAGTAGAATATAGCAAAGGTGATGAGGTGTCAGTGTTATGATTACATTCTAGTATATAAGATCCATCTTAGTAGATTGGAATGAGAGAAATGCCCTTGTTGACTTTAAAGAAGTGAGTTGCCAGCAGGGCGTGGTGATTCACAACTGTAATCCCAGCACTTTGGGAGGCTGAAGCAGGAGGATCACTTGAGCTCAGGAGTTCACGGTTATAGTGAACTATGATCATGCCACTGCACTGAAGCCTGGACAATAGAGCTAGACCCCAACTCCATTTTAAAGAAGAAGAAAGAAGGAAGAAGGAAGATGAAGAAGATGGAGGAGGAGGAGGAGAATAAGAAGAGGAAAAAGAACAGGAGGAAGAATTAGTAAACTGCTGCTATGTGAGAGACATGTGGCAGGAACTCTGGGTTGCACCTAGGAGATGAGAGTAGCTCCTGGCTGAAAGTCAGTCAGAAAATAGGGACCTCAGCCATATAGCTGCAGAAAATTAGTTCTGCCAACAACCCAAATGAGCTTGGAAGCAGATTCTTTCCTAGTCCAGCCTCCAGATGAGAATGTAACCCAGCCAACACCTTGATTTGTAGCCTTGTGAGACTGGGCAGAAGACTCAGCTAAACCGTGCACAGACTTCTGACACATAAACACTGAGGTACTTAATGTGTGCGATTTAAAATGAAGAGTTGGCAGGGCATGGTGGCTCATGCCTGTAATCCCAGCACTTTGGGAGGCCAAGGAGGGCGGATCACGAGGTCAGGAGATCGAGACCATCCTGGCTAACACAGTGAAACCCCGTCTCTACTAAAAATACAAAAAACTAGCTGGGTATGGTGGCGGGTGCCTGTAGTTCCAGCTACTCGGGAGGCTGAAGCAGGAGAATGGCGTGAACCCAGGAAGCGGAGCTTGCAGTGAGCAGAGATCAGGCCACTGCACTCCAGCCTGGGTGACAGAGCAAGACTCCATCTCAAAAAAAAAAAAATGCAGAGTTTAATATGTTCCTTTCTCTCCAGATACTGATTTATAAAATATGGACTCACATGAGCTACAGTAAATTCACAGATGCTCAACTGATCTGCGTTTATGTGGTGGGTACCATCTTAGTACCTACAAACCAAAGCCCCTGCCTACCTACCCATTCTACTTAGAATCTAAACCCAAGAAAGTTAAGGCCAAGAAAAAGTAAGACAAGTAAGAGTTTCTTCTTTTTGTGCCAAAAGTTCATATTCTAACTTCCTATATGACGCAAATAACTTTTGTGTGGATAAATGACATCATAGATGTCTACATTCTTCAGAGGACACCCTACTCTCTACACACTTTAGTGTAGCTTTGGGACCTGGTATCAAGAAGGCATTCATATGAGATACAGCCAAAGAAGACCAAAATCCTTTCATGGGATCCCATAAAGCATGAAGAGGTGGAGAGAAGTGATAATGCCATCCAAGGAAAGTCATTTGGAGTACAGTTGGATTTCTACGGGAATCAGACAAGAAGTTAGTTACCCAAGCAATGGGCATGAGGGGATTTGGATTTGAAAGTAAATGTCAAACTAACAGACCAATGTGTAAACACATTTTATGAGCAAAGATTGAGTTCAAGTCTACTCAATTCTTTCACTAGTGTTTACTGGGGAGAGGAGGCTATGATACACTCGAAAAACTAGTTCCCTGATGTAAAGAGTCAGTGAATCTTCCTAAGGTTTACTACACAGGATAAAATTGGGGCATGGAGAAATAAAGAACAATCATCAGTTTGGGCAACAAGAAAAGTAATCCTGTAGAACTCTACTATTGTCTTTCTATATAGATAAGCTATAAGCATTTAATTCAAATTATTCATTAAAAAATAAGTTTAGGATAACTACTCTGAATTTATACAGGATAAAATCTTTTGATGCAAATCTGAATCTTATCTGTATTAAAATGCAAAATGCTGATTCTTGTATTTTGAGACATAATACATTACGATATATTCAAATTTAATAATTTATGACAAATTTTAGCATCTAGGTAAGGTCAGAGATGAACACATGAAACCTTTGGTAACTATCTATCTAGATTTATCTTATTAGTATCAAAAAGAGTTTTGAAATTTTGACATTAAATGAATCCCAAATTAACTGCATAGACATTCTTCATTTACCTGATTTTTCACTTTCTGCCCATAGAGCTGCAGATCCAGACAAAGTTCTTTGAAGTTGTCCACGGTTCCCTTGTTTAGACTGAAGATGGTCAATGAGAAATGGGATTGGCTGGTCAGGTGTCTCAGTTATTAACTTGGTCATTAATTCCTGAAGGCAGAATAGAGCACACAATTATAATTAATAATAACAGCAACAGTAATAGCAAGCACTTACTTAGCATGTAATATTGTCAGGTACTGGTCTAACTGCTTTATATACAGCAACTAACTCCATGCTTATAACAATCTTTTCAGACGGCTACAAGTTACTGCCCTCATTCTGAGGAAACAATAACAGAGAAGTAAATTGTCTATATTACACAGCTAATATGTGGCAAAACCAAGATTTATTTAGTTTTTATTTTGTATTATACTTAGCCAACAACATATTAAAAGTTTAATCTAAATTCCTTTAAAATTATAGCTTAAGAATTTTAAACTTCAGTTTGCTATTTTGAGAGATATCATTATAAACTAAACTTTTGCTAAACTTCACCATCTACCTTATATCAATATCATTTTTTTCTTCTTAATGTTTTAAAAATAACAAAAATGAAGAAAATTTTATTGGAATTAAAGGAACAAGTAATAAGTCACAGACTTACAGAAACCAAAAACTGTCTTAAAGTAGTCTCCAAGAAATACCGAATTCTGTTTTTGTAAAAATCCCTGTTACGTGTCCTTCCTTCTTCCTTCCTTCTGCTCTTTTTTGAGTTGAGCAATGTGAGTTCTCTATGTGCAAAGCAGGCTGTTCCATTTTGGACAGCTCTAATGATACTTTAAGTTGGGCTGAAATCTGCCCAAGGGTAATATCTACATATTTTTTTTTCCAGTCAGGAACAGCAAAGAGCAATCTCCAATATGTAGTCCATTAGAATCCCTAGATTTTTCTAATATGAACAGCTGTCAAGCCACGTGGATATCATTTTGTGCTGTGTAATTGGGTTTGTGAACTTATGTGCACCATTTATATTCATATCAGTCACATTTCATCTTGTTGGTTTTAGCCTAGAATTCTAGTCTGTTCATTGCTGTTTTAAGCTAGGATTCTGTGAGAGGCAGTGTTCTAGTGCTCAAAAAATCAGATATTAAGAGAGCTAACAAAAGTGTTACTGGAAATTCCCCAGTGCATCTTTTTTTGTTGGTGGTGGTCTGTTTCCTTTGCCTTGAATGATGTTCTCTCATGGTCAGATGGCTGGTGTGTCATCCTTCGGTCTCCAATGATACTTCTACAAGAGGTTACCCTAACCAATCTTCAGAAGTCTTTATTATTTTATCATTTTATCTTCCTCACAGTATTTAGCACTCTCTAGAATCATTTTGTTTAACATTTGCTCACCAGTTTGTTATCTCTCTCCTCCCCCACCCCTACTGTAGCACTTGGAAAAAGACTTTCTTAGTTTGATATCAGTTTTCTCTGTAGGGCCTAGAACTCTGCCTAGCTCATAGCTGGTGCTGAATCAATACCTATTGAATGAATCAATGATTCGATCAACCAATCAATGTTTGCTTTATTGACTACAGGTAGATATTAGTAACTAGAATCCCTTATTGTACCAATAAACAACAATTAAACCTTTTATAGCCCAGCAAAATATAGTGCTCAGACATGCTATATAAGAAACTGCTGTCCAGATTATCTAAGGGATATTTATTTACATTTTTAAGTGTAGGAAAACATGGCTTTACCTGGGCAGAGGATAAATGGATTTTGCAGATAACAAGATCCCAAGTTGATCATAGAGTCATGGATTAAATATTTCTGCATATTTAAAAAATGCGTTGATGGAACACAGAGTTAGAAGTAAAAAGATCAAAGGATTTTTACCATAAATACATTATGATGCAAGATATTTATTAGACAAGTGTAATACTTTTTATATTCTGAAAAACAAGTAAGCAAACAATCAGTTGTCACAGGTATTATTCATTTGTGCTATTTAATATTTCAATTATAATAATAAATTAAAAAAGGCCATCTGCTACTGTTGTGAAGGTAATTGTAAAGTAATGTAGAGTTCAGTTAAATCATAAGTATACATCTGTGGAATGCAATCTAAAACATTTTGGATTTTACCTCTATTATGTATTATGCTTTATTTGAACTAATTTTACATTATAAAGGGTTCCAGAAAATAAAAAGAAAAATAAATAGAAGGTACAACTGGATTGCTATTGTCACAGAATGTCTGGACACTCAGGTAAAGCAAAATTAAGTCAGGTAATGGAACTTTAAAGCCACAGCCATTTCTATCCTGACACCTCTGAAAATCTCATGGTTTTGTTTTGTTTTTGAATTTACCTTTCAGAGTAGATGGAAAGTTTCTAGATTTCTTTTTTAATAAACTGAAGTATTCCTACATTTTTCTTTAGAAGATGGATTATTTAGTCATAATAAACCAAGTAATTACTATTAAGTTTTAAAAATAGTATCAGTCTATTAACTATTTTGGATAAATTTGTATTGTATTAATGAATATATGAGATTAAAGACACAGGACAAGTTCAATCGTGAGCGAAATGATCATAGTCGATGTTTGCAATAGGGCATGTTGGGTGTCTTGGTTGGACAAGAGTCTAGTTTTAAATGATTGTATTTGCAAGAGTAATTACCCTGCTTCTCACTTAATCCATGTATCTGCTGGACTTGAATGATTCTGAGGACTTGAACTTGACAGAAACCCCTTTCCCAGACATGAAAATTTAAATCCTTAGATTTGCCAATCATGGCAATAAAAAGATTGATTTCTTTCCACCACTAGAAATTAGAGCCGCAGAGGTAGACCTGAGGGACTGATAGATTTGGAAAGGTGAGAATCAAGTTGCACAGCTAGTATGTTAATTTGGAGTAGAAATCAATTGCAGAAAGTTTTACAGGAATCATTCACCATAGGAAAAAAGTATTCTAGAACATCAAGTCAGTTTCAGGTACATAAGCTGAACACCAGTAGGAAACGGCACTTCCAGGGAGACAGAAGAGCCTCACCTTCAATTCTTACCATCAGTGCAAGGGTTGTGACATGAGATTCCCTGGGAGAAAAGGAATTTTTCAGGCTGTGGGTGTATATAAATTAATAGAACAACAAAGTGATAAGAGCACTCCTGCCCTGAAACAAAATGTTTGTGGACATTTTAGACTAAGTACTCAGGGATTGATAAAATGTAGGTGTTAATTTTAATACGATACTCTGTGCACTCACAGGCTAGTTAAACTGGGACATACAAGTCGCAAACAAAATATATTAGCAGCTGTCACCAACAGGAGATTTAGTTCATACTTATATCAATAAAATTAATATAAACAACATGCAGTTGAAGATACAGGAAACTAGTGATTAGACACTCAGTCTTTGAAATCTGATAGCCACTATTTTTCTTTTCTTTTCTTTTTTTTGATAGGGAGTCTCACTCTGTCACCCAGGGTGAGGATAGAGTGCAGTGGCACAGTCTCAGCTCACTGCAACTTCTGCCTCCTGGGTTCAAGCAATTCTTCCACCTCAGCCTCCTGAGTACCTGGGACTACAGGTGTGCACCACCACACACGACTAATTTTTGTATTTTTTGGTAGAGATAGGGTTTTCCATGTTGGCCAGGCTGGTCTCAAACTTCTGACCTCAAGTTATCCACCTGCCTTGGCCTACCAAAGTGCTGTGATTATAGGCGTGAGCCACCATGCCCAGCCTAATAGCCACTATTTGAATCCTTCATCTCCTACTTTAACATTCATATTCCATCTATTAGATGTGAAAAACAATAGTAGCTACATCATACGGTTGCCATGGAGATTAAATAAGATAACGACTACAAAGCACTCATTAAGTGCTTGAGCTATATGTAGCCTTCTGTGATGGACTAACACCCTTTCTAAGGCTGGGAATGAATTCTCAGAATCTCCATATGATCTGAGTTAGAGTTTCCCAGTGAAAGAAATGTGTAGGAGATTCAGAAAGCAGAGTGAAGCACAAAAATACTAATCTTCGGAGTTGAATGCAGGCAGATGTGAGAACAGATGAGAGATTCACAGCAGCTTCCTAGCAAGCTTGTGGAAACCTCCACTGCTGACTGAGATAGCTATGAGGGTTCCACAAAGACACCGAAGAATTGCCGCAGCTTCCAGGCAAGCATCTGAGAACCACATGCTTCCCTGCTGCAGGCTGGTATATTCAGGGTCAGCCCCTCTGACTTTTGGTGATACCCCCTCAAACTTCAGCAGCATTTCCATGTCCTCTGTGGCCCAACCTTCTAACTCTCTATCATAAACCCATTTTTAATAAACCCTATTTAGCACAGCTACATAGAGTGGTTTCCATTTTCCTGACTTAACTCTTAGTGATATACTCCCAAAAAGTCTTAGCCAATATTTTTATTTTTACTATTGTTTTTCTACATTTATATATCATATATTTATATATTTTTATTATATATTTATGTTTATTATTACTATGATTACAATATTTATCAATATACACTTGTAATATTATATATGAATAATACATATTTTATTGGGCTTATATTTTCTGATAATAAAATGAATCAATATTCTCTTTTTTTTTTTTTTGAGATGGAGTCTCGCTCTGTCACCCAGGCTGGAGTGCAATGGAGCTATCTCAGCTCACTGCAAACCTCTGCTTCCTGGGTTCAAGTGATTCTCCTGCCTCAGCCTCCTGAGTAGCTGGGATTACAGGCACATGCCACCATGCCCAGCTAATTATTTTTTGTATTTTTAGTAGAGATGGGGTTTCACCATGTTGGTCAGGCTGGTCTTGAACTCCTGACCTTGTGATCCGCCTACCTCGGCCTCCCAGAGTGCTGGGATTACAGGCATGAGCCACTGCGCCCAGCCTCAATGTTCTCTTAATATTGTTTTTTATCAACTAGAATCTTTAACTTCATGAGTATACTACATAGTGAGACAACTCCCTGCACTAATACCTGTTTCCTTTATTGTTAATTATAATTTTGTTGCTGGAACAAATACTTTTATTTTAAAATTATAAATGCATACAATTACAGCACTATTTACGATAGCAAAGACTCGGAACCAATGCAAATGCCCATCAGTGATAGACTAGATAAAGAAAATATGGCACATACCATGGAATACTATGCAGCCATAAAATAGTATGAGTTCATGTCCTTTGCAGTGACATGTACGAAGCTGGAAGTCATAATTGTCAGCAAACTAACACAGGAACAGAAAACCAAATACCACATGTTCTCACTCATAAGTGGGAGTTGAACAATGAGAACACATGGACACAGGGAGGGGAACACCACACACTGGGACCTCACATCACACACTGGGGGTAAGGGGAGGGAGAGCATTAGGACAAATACCTAATGTATGCTATGCGGGACTTAAAACCTACATGATGGGTTGATAGGTACAGCAAATCACCACGGCACATGAATACCTATGTAACAAACCTGCACGTTCTGTACATGTACCCCAGAACTTAAAGTAAAAGAAGAAAAAGGAAAGAAATGCATACAAAGACAAAATTCCTTTTTACAAATTTTGAAAAGAACTTAGAGAACATAAATCATTATGTAATTATTGAGTGAAAATGTATATTATGCAACATGTAAGGGCTACTGGAATTTAAGAGTCTAATAACCAGTAACAGATAACCTTGTAGTGCTATTTAGAAAATTAGCATGATTGAGCTGGAAAATGAATACTAACTAGTAACAATGATCGTCTCAAAATGCATTTTAATGTTAATTTTCATTAGATAAAAGCAAAGCCATAAGTAAGTTGGTAACTCATCATAGACTCACTTATTATTAAAACTGGAATGAGTCATTAAGCAACAGTAGAAATTATTAGTAAAAGATCCATTTCATTTGATAGAACATGTAAGATCCCTTGATTATAAAACAAAAGAGCACTTGGGCGCACAGAAACTTCGATTTGTACACAATATTCCTGGTGTTTACCCATTCGTGTACTGAGCCTCTAAGGTTTCAATGACTTCAGGTTAAAAACCCTGGCTCTGGGTACCACAGCACACACCCAGCATGGCACTCTGCCTAAAAATTTGTGACTTGGGACTAACTTACTTTTTGCTTCATTTCCCTAACAGGAAAGTAATGCTTGTATCCTTTTTAACCTCAGGGGAAAGTTATTAGGAAACAAAGTTAAAACCATTTCCAAATTCCCAGGAAGTTTTTACTACATGGCCTTTTTTGTTAAATCAATACATATGCAGGGCATTGTACTCTATTAATGATGGAGGTGGTACCAATCAGATATGTTTTTTATTCAGCACCCATAAATTATCTCAAATATTAATAGCATATGGCATGTTATCAGCTGTAGAATGTTATTTAGTTCACAACTAGCATTAAAATCTGATGACTGAATTTATTTACTCTAAATCTGCATCTGTTTCAATTTTCTGTTTTTATCAGGTCTCTATTAAAAATTTGCATTTGAGATCACGGCCTTCCAAACATTCACCCCCACCACCACTACCCAACAGTATTTCATAAATAAGCAGGTAATGAGCGTGGAATTGACAATGAATACATGAGAAATTATCCACTTGATGTTTGGTTGCCTCCAAAAATGTATTTTATTCTCAAATTGCCCCCATTTAAAATTGATGTCACCATTCCCAGTGAATGAAATTCTACTTGGTTTCCACCCGCACTCATAGCCCATGCATGCCTTTTCTCTCATTCTATTTTTTTTGAATGGCAGTAGAATGGTAAGCATGTTTTTCCTGCCTCATTACACCCCTAAGCTCTGTTACAAGTTTTGGCTTTGGTAAGAAACAGGTTCTAATGCAGTATCTAGGTTTCCATGCACAGTGAGAACAGGACAGACATCTCTCTGATCTCTTTCTGTCAGAGTCTTCCCTGACATTCAGAGATCTCAGACTGTCCCCTAGTGGTTCAACCTTCCTCCACCTCAGATCCACACCTGCCCTAAATCTACTTATCTTATTCCCAGTCAAAACTGTGATTTCAATGGAAGGCAGGAAAGCAATGTGAATAGTAATGATTTAAAATATCAGTCTTTTATTGAGCACTACTGGAGGCCAAGATAGGCAGATCACTTGAGTTCAGGAGTTCAACACCAGCCTGACCAACATGGTGAAACCCTGTCTACTAAAAATACAAAATTAGCTGGCCATGGTGGTGTGCATCTGTAACCCCAGCTATGTGGGAAGCTGAGGCAGGAAGATCACTTGAACCCAGGAAGCAAAGGTTGCAGTGAGCCAAGATCCTGCCTCTGCACTCCAGCCCGGGGCAACAGAGAGATACTCTGTTTCAAAAAATAAATAAAATAAAATATCAGTCATTTATTGAGTCTGATAGGCACAAGTATCAGGTATTTTACATAGATTTAATAATTCACTATACATTTAAGAATTGCATACAAGATGCATAATCCAGACAACATATATGCACTTTTACAACGGTGCTTGTTAAAAGTTGTTTCTGAACTCCTTGCTTATTCCAGATCACATCTGACCCTCACCAACAACCCACCAATGCACACAGTCATAGCCACACATCCACAGCTCTATAGGCCTCAGGAGTAAGATCTTTTGCATTCCTGATTTGAAAGACTCTTGGCTTTCTTAAACATGATTTAATGTAAAATTACGTTTATCATATCCATTTGTCATAAATTTTAAAAGCATAATTAGCCTTGTTGTATACTATGGAATAAAATCCAGAGATAAAGGTAGGAAAAATAAAAGAATAAATTGCTTGAATAATGAAGATTAGGAATGATGAAAATACCACAACTAAAAACTAAACATTCTAAATTGTAAAGCTGAATCATAGACACTGAATTCTCTCTACTTTCAATAATACAGGCAAGTAATAAATCTAACCAGCAGAACTATCCAATTATGACAAATGATGCAATATTTTGTCTGATGCCTACTAATACAGAGATGTCTTCTCAGGTTAATAATTGAACATTTAGTATGCAGTTTTAAACAGTCTTCATATAAAAGCACAAGCTTGTAGTTAAATTTCCAGGCAAACACCAAGGTTTCCAGTGAGAAATTAGCATATCCTACGGAAATACTTTCAGTTAAGGATTACACTCCTCAACTAATAGTCTATGGAAGCAACTGATTTAGTGTTAGGTAGGACTTCACACAGTCTTACTTGAAAATACCTCTGTAGGAGTACAATATAGGTGACAGTGGAAAGAGCAAAGCAGTTCAAAAAACTCAAATACATTAAATAAATTTGTGATGCAAGTAGCAGATGTATATAGAAGTTCCCATAAAAAAGAAAATGTCTTTCAGTTCAATAAAAATTACTTTATTTTAGCCTTTTATCATTTATAAAAAATGTGTACCTAAAATGAGGTGCTCAGAATGACAGAATAATGAGAAACTGGTGATGGATACACTGTACCATCAGAGCTGAACACTAGTACATACACAGACCTAAGTTTGATTCCATGCACCTTAAAAGAGAATTTGGGGTGACAATGTGGTTTAATAGGAAGGTACAGATTTTGGTGTTTGACCTGGATTTATAGCCTGGCTCTATCCCTTACTGTCCATATGAGTTTAAGCTACTCATTTAGTTCTCTGAGCCTCCATTTTATCATCCCTAAAGTTGGTAGGACAATATCTCCCTTATCAGTTTGTGGTAAGGAGTAGAAAAACTGCATAAAACATATCATGTGGGGTATATGAACTAGATTTCATAGCAATGTGTCTTCCTATTTTGTTTCCTATAAGGAAAAAAAATGTTTAGAGAAGAGGGGTTGCCTGTTTGGTCTCTCTCAATGTTATATTTCTCAAGATAAGGAAACGACTTGTCACATTGTCTTGCAAGTCATCCCCCAAGAGAATATTCAGCTACAGGCAATTGCATGATCAAATCTTTAGAGCTGCTAAGCTGGAAATAGCATGCCCTTCCTCATTCACAAGGACCATTTTAGTCTAAAATTCATCACTCTCCAGTTACGGTGGTCACGTTTTTTGCTTTGCATCCAGCATCAAAAACTAATTATCTGGTTTTCTGGATACCAATCATATGTCCAACAGTTCAATTCTGATACTGTGTATGTGTTGGCATCAAATCCTGCAAATTAAAGACTCAGTCTCACAAGATTCAGATGCCACTGAAAAGTCCTAGGCCACCCATATTTCTGACCAATTGGCTATAAGTAAGCAGTCCCTATGATCTCCTCAGGTTTGACAATTTGCTAGAATAGCTCACAGTACTCCAGAAAACACTTTACTTTCTATTACAGGTTTATTATAAAGGATACAAGTGAACATCCAGATAAAGAGATACATAGGGTGAAGTCTGGAAGGATCCCAAGTACAGGAGCTTCTGTCCCTGTGGGGTCGGGGTGCACCATCCTCACAGCATGTGAAATGTGTTCCCCAACTAAGAAGCTCTCTGAATCCCATCATTTAGGTTTTTTTTAATTTTTTTATTTTTTAATGGAGGTTTCATTACACAGTCATGATTGATTAAATCATTGGCCATTGGTGATTGGCTCAATCTCCAGCCTCTCTCCCATCTTAGGAGCTTTTGGGTTGGGACTGAAAGTTCTGAGCTTCTAATCAAGGTTTGGTCTGTCTGGCAAGCAGCCCTCCACCTGAGGCTATCTAGAGGCCTGACAAGTCACCTCATTCGAACAAAAGAAGCTCCTCTCACCCTTATCATGAGAAAATTCCAAGGGTTTTAGGTTCTACGTGTCAGGAACTAGGGACAAAGACCAACTATTTTTCTATGATACCATACCACTAAGCACCACAGTTCACTTTTGCCTGTTGTCAATGTTAAAATAAACAGGCACATACAATATCTATTACCTAAATCTTATTTGTTTTGCTCATTCCTGTGTTTGTGAGATTTACTCATTACTCCATATTTGCCCATGATATGTGCATATACTGCATATAGCTCTAGTCTGATTCATTTTCATTGCTGTTTAGTTTTCACTGTATGAATACACCGCAATTTATTCATCCACTCTACTATTAAAGGTATTTGAGTATTTCCATTTCTTGGTAATTGTGAATAGGGCTGCTATGATCAGTCTTGTGTGCACATGTGCACAAGTTTCTGTTGGACTTATCCCTAGCAGAGGGATTCATGAGTAATAACATGTTTGTCTTCAACTTTATTAAATAATTTCAGATAGTTTTATAAACGTGATTGTAAACAATTGTCTCCCACCCGCATTCCCATTTCTCTACATCTTCACCAACATGTTGTCACTTTAATTTTTAAACTATTCTGGTGGTATAAAAGAATCCCTATGATTTTAATTTGCATGTCCATGATTACCAATGGAATTTAGCAACTTTTCATATATTCAATGGTCCTTCAGATACCCTCTTTTTTGAAAGCACCTGTCTAAATTTATTTGCCATTTTTCTACTTAATGCCTTTCTTTTTCATAATGGTCTGTTGAAGTTCTTTGTGTATTTTGGATATAAGATCTGTATGGGGGGATTGCCTTTTCATTCACTTAATAGTTTCTTTTGATAAACAAAAGTTCTTTATTTTAATGAAGTCAAACTTAATTCTTCATTTTATGCTTTGTGCTTTTGGGTCCTATTTTTTAAAATCCTCTATCTCATGTTCATGCAAATATTATCCTACGTTATTTTCTAAAGTTTCACTGTTTTTGCCTTGCACAGGTAGGTCTGCAAAGCATCTAAAGTCAACATTTATTATGGGGTGAGGTAGGTGTTATTTAATTTTTCTTCATATGAATTTCCAATCATCCCACACTCATTCGTTTAAAAGCATTAACTTTTAGCTACAAGGACTGCCTTTGTCATGAATCAAGTGGCCATATATTCACAGGCCTATTTTTAGACTTTATAGCCTGTTTCATTAATCTATTTGTCAGTCTTATGCCATCATTACAACATCTTCATGACCACAGCTATACAATGAATTCTGGTACCTTGAGGAAAAAATTCATCCTAATCTTGTTTCTATCATTTTCTTATTTATTCTGCCAAGATTATGTTCATTTTTCTCTTATCTTTTTTGACTGAAATTTTTTCTGTTTTCTCTCATTAGTCTTAAAGTCAGACAGACTCTTTAATATTCTTTTAATGGTTATCCAGAGATTATAGACTAACACTTCATTTACCTACATGAAGTGTTTATTACTACTTTACCACCATCTCAGATTTTATAAGGATTTTAGAATACTTTGATTCCAGTTATCACGCATGGCTTGTATTTTTATTGTTGTGTCTTGTAACTCTCTCTATATATTTTAAACTCTGCAAAATATTTTTAATTTTTATCTTATACCATTAGCATGCATTTAGATGTACCCACGTATTTGCCATTTTTACTGCTCTTATTTTTTCCTTGATCTCCAACCATCCATCTGGGATCATTTTCAGCAGCATAAGGAAACCTTTTATTTTAGTGGTGACAAATTCTCTGTATTTCAGTTTGCACAGAAATATCTTTATTTGCTTTTTAAGCTTGAAGATATTTTCATTGTATCTAATTATATATTGAGATTACATTCTCTCCATTTTCTTTTGTTTCCTTTTTTTGAGAAATCAGCTATATTTCTTTAAAGAACATCTGACTTTTTCTAGGGAATATTATGATTTTTATTTTTTAAAATCTCATTTTTAATAATAGAACATAATTATATGAATACATTTTATATATTATATATTATATATAATAAGGATGAAATAATCTTTCTTATTTTGTTTGCATATAATAAAAAAACTTAGAAATTTTTAAAACATTTTAATTTTGAAATAACTATACAATCACAAGAAATTGCAAAGAAATGTGCAAAGGGGTTCCATATACATTTCAGCCAGCTTCTTTCAATGTTGATATCTTGAAAAATTATAATATGATATGAAAATTAAGAAACTGACATTGGTACAATCTGTAGAGCTTATTCAGATTTCCCAGTTTATATGCATTCGTGTGTGTGTGTGTATAGTTCCATGCAATTTTATTGTAGTGTGACTACCTGTAACCACTGCCACAGTCAAGATGATTAATTGTACTATCATCCAAAGACTCTCATGCTATCACTCTATAGTCACATCCACCCATTCTTCCCTCTATATCTAACCCCTAGCAACTGCTACTCTATTCTCCATCTCTATAGCTAGATAACATATAGTTATGTCATATCTTATATATTGAAGTATATATCTTTTTGATATTTGCTTTTAATATTAAGAATAATTTCCTTGAGGTTTGTCCACGTTGTTATGCATATAAATGGTTTATTCCTTTTTATTGCTGAGTATTATTCATGATATAGGTGTACCATAGTGTGTTTAACCATTCATTAATAACCTTTAAAGGACCTTTGGTTAGTTTCTCTGTTTTTAG